>NC_000002.12:220614618-221239618 GCF_000001405.40 Homo sapiens | reverse complement strand
AGTGGATACTGGGTTTTGCAGCTAGACTGCTGACTAACACAACAAGGTTCATCCTTACTCCTTCAGACTTAAGAAGATTATTGTGTAGATATTAATTTTTTTCTATAAAAATTTTTGGACTAGTGGAAAAGTACAACATTATGTAGGGAACAAAAGGAAATTAGGTACATAATTTGCACTGAAGACATTGAGTACAATTTATCTTTGGAATTCTTATTTTATTATCAAAATTGCCCAATCATTTCTGGTTGATAAAATTTTTTTTAAATGATTAGAAAAAATGGATTTAAAGTAACTGCTTATTGAACATTTTGTCTCTACTCTTGGAAAAACAGTTTCATCATGGAGCCACAAGTCATGAGGGTTTGACCACTGACCTTTACTCCAGAGTATTCATGAATTTGAATAAGTATCTCAGATGAAACAGCCTTTCAAATAACTCTGTGCTTTTATAGATCTTCTAAGACTAATTAGGAATAATTAGTATTATTTCTCTGATATTTTCCATTTAATTTTCTGGTCTTTAAACATCTGTAAGCCAGAGATGTTAATAATTTCTAAAGTACAAAGAAGGTCATGTCATTCAGGTGCTGAAAGTATGTTTCCTAAGCTCAAAGGGAGCTGGTAGTTTTGTGACTATTTCAGGTTGAATCCTGAAGCTGACCTCAATGAACCACATTTTGTCTTTATAAATCTATTTCAGAATAATGGAGCTGCAAGTTATCCCTTTCCTTACTTGTCATCTGTTGGCAGATTTTCAAGACAGATATTTTCCATTTAAACTCACACCTCCAAAAATGACCTCAAGAGTAGTATTAGCAATTCCTGAACTGCTGTAGAAAAAAAAAAAGACAATTATACGAGAATAAATGCGGAAAGAGCAGAGCTTTGAAAATATCAGTACCCTCTTTCCAAAATGACTTATCTTGTTTTCAATTTTGTCTAAATGCTAGTCCAAATTCTAGTTTCCACTGATCAGATAAATTCAAATAATTTGAGAAATATATGCATATGCCTGTTTTTAAAGTTAATATTTATGAAAACATCATATCCGTATGTCTTAAAATGTCAAATTGTCCTATAAAATTTATAAACAAAAATAGTAGCTCTCTTCTCCCTTCTATACTTACTAGTTTCACTTCTTTGGGTTAATTACATTAAGTATTATAATAATATAATATAAGTTAAATCTATATTCTGAAATAATATTTAATAGTGATTTTTATCAATATATAAGCTATTGAATATATAAGCTGCTTATGAAGATTTAATTATCTTATACCACACACATGTACACACACCCTACTTTCAGTCTCTTCTTGTGTCCAGTTGTACATATTTACATGAAGTGGCCTCTCCTGAACAAAGAGGTACACTACAACTTTGTTTCCTTTTTTTATACAATTCTTTACTTTTTCCTGAAGGGAATTATTATCTTTAAAATGTTTTCTTAGTTTTCTATGTACTCACTACAATTTTTCCCCAAGTGTTCTGACACATATATTAAATGTTTACCTATAATATTTTCCAAGAGTTTAATTGAGCTCATAATCCATGGCTCCATTTTCTTCTGAAATCCCTCATTGTAGAGATTTCCATATCATTCTTTAATTTGGCATGTCCTTTTGGTATCTTTCCCCTTCAGTCAGGATGGGGTGCTCTTGATCTCTTCCTGCTCTATCTAGATGAGCCCTCTCTTGACTTGATACTGAGTGTATTTTGGAGATCATCTTATATTACTTTTCTAGATGGGAAGCAACACAGAAAAGCATAAAGCAGAAATTGAAGTTGCATGGTATTGAATGAAGTAGGTATAGGAGTTCATATCAAGGTACATCCATGTAGGATGCAGGAATGGTTAAAGAGATCATGGAGGGCATTTCAATACATGTTTCTCTACTTTTATATTTCATGTAAAATGTAAAATTCATTCATATTTTAATATGAAATTATTCTATTGCACTTTGAAAACAAGTTACTACTTCAGTAAGTTCCCATAGGTAGGTTAAAAATAATATCTCTGAGAGAATCTATTCTACAAGGTTTATAAGGCTCTTTATCATCTGGCCAGCCCCTCAAGTCTCCACATTTCTCCATTCTCTTGCTCAGTTTCTGAGCTTCAGTCATGCAGTCCTCTGTGGGTACCCTACATGTATCCCAGCCCTGCCCCAGAGTCTTTGCTTTTACCTGGTTAACTCATTCACTTTTACCTTAAACTTTGACTATCTGGCAGGAGACTCGCTGACATCCCACTCAAGTGCTCAGGAATGTGCTCTCATGAGCCTCTCTACCTCCTGTACATTGTCCTGACCATAGTGTGTTTTTACATATTTGCTGATGATTTTATTGTCTCACTCCCCCAAGAATACACTGGCTGCATAAGAAGCTGGGGGCATATCTATTTTGGTTTCCCATTAATTCCTCAAGATCTGGCATAATCTCTGCAAATAGAAGACACTTGCATGAATAACTAAATAAATAACAGCTTAA
The DNA here is from genome assembly GCF_000001405.40 of Homo sapiens. NCBI lineage: Eukaryota > Metazoa > Chordata > Mammalia > Primates > Hominidae > Homo > Homo sapiens. Next base: position 221,237,128 of record NC_000002.12, on the reverse strand, counting down.
ATTAATGAAATTAATAAATTGTTTATAAATAATGGCCAAACTAATAAAATTGGCTAAGAATACACATGTCAATGTGGCTCAATTTATTGGTACATTGAACACAAGGCAGTGCCTGCACATAATTACCATTTAGTAGATATTTCTGAATTAATGCATTAATTGCTGAAATTTAACTTGGTAGTTTTAAAATTACAAGTTATGATAGTTTTGATTCCAAGAAAAATTTGAATATGAGCTTATTTTCTTAAACCCAAGGACCCAAACTATCATTGAATTCACATGCATGTCTATTGTACCATTATTATAAACCATTATGTTTAAATTTGTTAACACCATTCTGTCTTAGACTGTGTCTACACAGTTAAGAACACTAATTGGATCCAGACTGCAAAATAAAGAATACTTATTTGATTTTCATTTTACTGAGGTATCACAGAGTCCATGAGATAAAGCCATATTCTAGCTGTACATAGAAGACCTCAGGTTTCCACCTGTAGCCTATTCTCAATTTTAACAGGCTTGGTTATCTATACTCAATTTTGCGAATTAAAAGGGGAAAGAGGGTTTACTTATTAAAGAATGAACAAGAGTTGATTGCAAGGAAAGTGACAGAAAATCTTCCAAAAGCAAACACAATTAGCATGCATACACATATACACACATGCAAACTTGGGTGATTTAATTGATCGTTGAAGTCTTCTTACATTCCGCGGTTGAATCTAAGGGCATTTAGGTAGTATATAGTAAATGATTTGCGTTAAAAGATCTTTGACCAAGAAATAACTAATTCAGTTAAACATGCAGGGAATGCCTAGTACATTTCAAAATGTTTCAATTCAAAACAATTAAATAACCTGTTTTCAAGACTTAAGGGGATTTGCCCTCAGAGATTTGCAAAGCTTGGTTTTCTGGAAGGATCTATTCCCTAAGGATTCTGAATGGCCAAGGTTTTATTGTACTTCCTGAGCTAAATTTCCTGCTGATAATAAGAAAATAGAGCGCTTCCTGTTTGGTTTCCCTTGTTTGTGTGTTTCCATAGAATCACAGTGGCTGTAGAGTTTAAAGTGACAAAGAAAAATTCAAAATATGAAGAAATCACTTTCTTCTTGTAGCGTATTGGACTTTGACATGGTCTTTGTGCTTGTGTATATTGTTTTTGCCTATACAATGATAATGTCAGGTGAATATTAAAAACTATTTGAAGAAGAATCACCAGCAAAATATTAGGACTCACCTCTAAGCATTAGTTTAAAAAGGCACAACTTTTGCTATTGGAAAAAAAAATTAAATTTGGAAGATTTAATGGTTGAAATGTGAATCCTGTTACTATCCACTTCTCTGAACAGAGGTAGTATGAACCATCTTGGGTAATAGTTTTCTTATATATTAAGTAGAAATACTAAGGTTCAACCTACCAGCTTCCCAAAGTTCAAGTAGACTAAATAAGATATTAAATATAAGGTTGGCTTTGAAAAGAAAACAATTTAAATGTCAACCACTATGTTTATCATAAAAAAATTGTATGGCCCTATGGGCCTAGGCACATTATATAATTATACTGGTTTCTAATAATCCTCCTAACTTATATTAATATCTTAGCCAAAGCAACTACATGTAATGGCTTCAAAGAAGTATAAGCATTAATCTTAAATCTTACTGTCCTGGAGTCTAATCTCCATTGGATGAAGTCAAAGTTCTTTCAAGTCTTAGGCCTATTTCACTTGCCATCCACATGGCTGACATTTTGGAAAAATATAGCATGTTTCTCTCAACCAGGTTTGTTACCTTCCTGTAAATGTCCACTGACCCAAGTCATATTTCTGTTTTTGAGTTGAAGGTGAAGAGACATGCTGTTCCATTCCTTTGAACAATGGTATTTCTTTGTTAGATATTAATAATGCCAAACAAATTTGATTTTTTAAATAATCCATAAGCAAATTTGCCAAAGCATTTTGGCAGTGCCATATGATGCACATGAAATGGTAAAAAGTTTCTTATGTGTTGCACTTACCAGATTTTCAGAATAATTGGATTGTGCTGACCCTTTGGAACTGGAAACTGATTAGTGGGACTCCTCTTAGATGTCATTATATAGAGTTTGCTAAATGGAACGTTCTCAGTGAGGTCTTGAGTTTGGGGAGACAGAATATGTATATTCAGATGCAATGAATGAATGAATGGACTTGCCAGAAATTACTCCCATCTTAAGTGTTTAATTTTTTAGCCATTCTTCTCTAAAACTGGTATTTTATTATTTTAAAATAATATTTCTCCTGGATGCTAAGAAACTGAAGTTGTCACAAGTAAGGAGAAATATTCTAGCATTGCCTAAACACATGTGAGAGGGAGAAGAAAGCAGATGTTCTTCACCACATAGCTGTGAGACAGTGGGGAGAGGATAGACTCATTCTCACCTATTTCTAATCAGTTGAACCAGGGAACAGAAATCACAGTGATACAAATATGGTGTCATTCTTAGCAGATAGCGCACAATGAAATCTTCACCTGAGTTTTGGGGTGATGTCAGAGATTTATAGAAAGAAATGGCAAAATCTTTTCTTGTATGAATCTTGTGGCCCTATTAGGGTAGTCTAAGTTAGGAAGTAGCCAACATTCTTCTTTCAAAATATTCCAGACTTAAGTAGAAAAAGAAAATAATAACAAAATAAAAATCACTGAGTAGTCACTGAGCTCGGAGGTGCAAAATGTATTTGATATAAGAGGCAGACCAAACGGAAACAGATGAAACAAAATAAAATTATTCTATTTTTATGTGTTTTATCAAAATATTGACAAAGGCCCTGGCATTTTCCTCTTCTTTCTTTGCAAGATTTCCCTCTTTGTGTAAAGCATCCACCATTTTTCTAACTGATGCAAACGTGGCTTACACATGCTAAGTTAAATGATGTTAGGATTTATTGGACTTTGAAACATTTTATTTAATGAATGACCACTTCTTATCTTTAGTGGAAACTCTTTGTATCAAGACCAGAAAAGAGTATTAAAAATTATGTCCTTTTGTAAATAAGTTATAAATCAGTTAAGATAATACCTCAGAATATTTATGTGCATTCTGAAATTCACATGGAACCACAAAAACCTTGAATAGCCATAGCAAGCGTGAGTGAAAAGAACAAATCTTAAGGCATCACACTACCTGACTTCAAAATATACTATAAAGCTATAGTAACCCAAACAGTCTGGTACTGGCATAAAAACAGACACATAGGCTAAAAGAACAGGATAGAGAACCCAGAAATAAACCCATATATTTACAGCCAACAGATTTTGGATAAAGGTGCCAAGAACATACACTGGGGAAAAGACAGTTTCTCCAGCAAATGACTTGGGGAAAACTGAATATCCATTTGCAGAAGAATAAAGTTAGACCCTTCTTATACAAACATCAGCTCAAAATGGATTAAAGACTTGAATGTCAGACTCAGAACTACAATCTTGCCAATGAGGCTGAGAATATTCTCCTGCAGAGGACAGATACTAGCGCTTGGGCCTCAGAATGTTTAGGTGGCAGGAAAAATCCAGAGATTTCCATAACCCCTATACAAGCAATGATTTTTTCTAGAAATAAGATGAACTATGTACTCTGAAGTACCTAATTTCAAAATCCAAATCCTTTGTGTTGATTTATTAATTTTAAATAATCTGATATATAAGAAATGATGTATGCTGAGATTTCTTCTTCCTGGTAAATTCTTTTAAACTTATCTTGTTCCCTACTTCTTTGTTCATTTCTAACAACATTGTAATTATGGTCAAATTTAGCTGAACAAAGAAGCTTTGAAAGATAGCAATAGAAAATTAACAGTAATGCAACATTAAAGCTCATTCAGAATTGAAAAGTCTCACTTTGCAAAGTTAAATTTAGTAGTTTATTAATTTGTAACCAAAGAGCATAAAACAGTTTTAGACCAAGGGTTGGCTGGCAAACTATGGCCTGTGGGACAAATCTGGCTTTCTGCTGCTTTTGGTAAGGTTTTATTGGAGCACAGCCATGCCCATTTGTTTGTCTACAGCTGCTTCTTGGTGGACTTGAGTAGTTGTTGGGGTTGGGGATGCGGGTGTCAGAAATATTTGCTATCTTACCCTTTACAGAAAAAAACAAATCTATTGATTTGTTAATATTTATTAAAATATTGTTGTCTCACTCTCAAGGTACAAGAACATGGAAAAACTCAGTTACTTGAGTCTTCCCTTCCCTTCCCTTCCCTCCCCTCCTCTTCCCTCCCCTCCCCTCCCCTCCCCTCTCTTCTTGTCTCTTCCCTTCTCTCTTGAATACTTCTGTATCCTAGGTACTATGCTAAAAATTTAGTGTATATCCTTCCATTTAATTTTAACATTATCTTTATGATGTGAGATAGGTATTATTAATATCCCCCATTTACCTACCAAAAAAAAAAAAAAAACCTCACATAAGGTTACCTAACACTATAGTTATTAAGGGATTGGGAACTAAATTCAAGTCTGTCTGATTCCAATACACGAAACCCAGTTTTAGAGTTATTTATATTTATTTACATAATTATTTATATGCACATGTATGTCCATTCTCCAGAAGGGTTGATGTGAGTATTAAATAATTTCATGTATATAAGGTATCCAAAAGTGCCTGACAGAATAGATGTTCAATAAATGTTAGTATTTGCCTTCTTACATCTGGATTTCATTATCTCTGTTGAATTGAGTAGAAATTAACTTGGAAAAATCAATGTATATTTGGCATGGAAACAGCATATCTAATTTGACTAAAAGGCAGAAGTCATAAAATTTCTTCTTTTTAGAAGTAGCCCACCATCAGAAAATCAGATATTAGTGAAAAGTGGCCTTGAGCCAGCCACGCGCTCCTATCTAGTCTCAGTTGGGATTAAGAATGAGGCTTTGAGAGATGGATGACTTTGGTTAAAGGTCCAAGGTATGGCTGTGGAAATGATTTTGTGCTATTTTTTTCTACTCAAAGTGCACTGACTCCCAGAGGACCAACTCTCTGACCTTAGCATCATTAGCACCAGGCTCTAACCAGCTAAGCTAATTGGCCTATGAGGATTCATAAACCCAAACTCAAAAGCTCTAGGCTAGAGAGAGAAGCGACCTGGATTCACAAATGCTTTTGTTAACTTCCTTGATTGGGTGACTCTCCTGATGCAACTAAACTTCTTAATAATACATTTCCGTAATGTCAAATTATTATATTCTGTTGTTTTGAAAAGTAAAGTTCCATTGGATGTAGGAGTGAATTGAAAATAAAACAAAAGAAAAACTGGGACATGTCATACACTTCGTGTTTTACAGAGAAGGTAGAAGTTGAATGTCGTAGCCCTGCTAGTGGGAAGGAAGAATGCTGGCCTCTTAGCTGCAGCCATGGGCTTCAAAAGCCAGACTGAAATTCACCCTTATTTTAATCAGGTTGACTGTCAACGCATGCAGATTTATCTATGCCTGGCAACAGAAAGTAATGCATTCCAAATACTTGCTAGTGAATAGTCTTAAGCTTGTAGCCACTCAGTAGTTACCTACATACTAAATCAATATTCAAAGATTTCTGGATTTAGATATTAAAATTATAACTTAACCAGATCAGTAGAAAGCACATTTGGTTGGTCTCTTGCAAAATTGCTGTTCTTAAATTCTATTTTAGTGGCATGCTATCAAGTTATATGAAAAGTCATGATCAAAACAGGCCTATTAAGTTCATTGTTACATTTTTGTTAAGGGTATTCTTGACTATGTGGCATTCTTTTATCTTTATGATTTATTAGAGTAAAATCCTTGGACAATCTTCATATCAAGAATGTGTGTAAGCCACCTGGAAAATGATTCTTTTTTATCTTAGGGATGCAATGAATTATGTACCCTAGATTTTCCCTTCAGTTGGCAGATAAAAAATCAAGGGCTAAGTCTGTGATGCTTCCATAGCACACACATCAGTTGTATGGTTTCGCCTATGTACTTGTCTCATTTTGATCTCATGCTTATTTTATTTTATTTTTATAAATTCATATTTCTTTATTAGAATATCTGTAACTTTTTTTTATTTTTCATAATTTCAACTTTTATTTTAGATTCCAGGGGTACATATGCAGCTTTGTTACGTGGGTATACTGCATGATGCTGAGGTTTGGGATATGAATGATCCTGTCACCCAGATAGTGAGCATAGTACCCAAGAGTTAGTTTTTCAACCCTTGCTCCTTTCTCTTCCTCCCCTCTAATAGTCCTCAGTGTCTGTTGTTGCTATCTTTATGCCCATGGGTACTCAATGTTTAGCTTCCCATTTATAAGTGAGAATATGAGAAATTTGGTTTTCTGTTTCTGCATTAACTCACTCAGTAATGGCTTCCAGCTGCATACATGTTGCTACAAAGGACATGATTTTGTTCTTTTTTATGTCTGTGTAGTATTCCATGTGTACATACACCATATTTTATTTATCAAATCTGCCTTTGATGGGCACCTAGGTTGATTTCATGTCTTTGCTATTGTGAGTAGTGTTGTGATGAACATACAAGTGCGTGCGTCTTTTTGGCAGAACAATTTATTTTCTTTTGGATATATATCCAGTAATGGGATTGCTGTGTTGAAAGGTAGTTCTGAGTTCTTTGAGAAATCTCCAAACTGCTTCCCACAGTAGCTGACCTAATTAATATTCTCACCAATAGTCTATAAGCATGTAACTATTTCTTTTAAGTCATAATTTTTGAATATGTACTTAAAAGCTGACAACATTTCACCATGCTTAGGTTTGGTAAATACACAAGAGAAGTGCTGCAACTTTCCAGTCTAGTGCCCAAGGCAGACATCATTAATCAATAATGGTTCTCATTCCCTTGAAGGCTGGTCACCACTTTAGATTCCTTTTCAATCCATGTTTCATGTATTCACTACCAATTGATTAAAAGTGGCTTTCAGCATGAAACCTATTTGCCCTCTCTGCCTTAGAGGTTTTTTCCATGTAATTTAAAAAATATATTTCTTCTCGGCTATAACTTAGGTAAAATTGGCTTCTAGTATCCTTAATGTGAAATATAACCTTTACCTCTATTTAAAATCAGTAAAATAAAATGGTACCATATAGCAATAGTATGCATAATTAAAAATAACTTAAGTAAATAATAATCTTTCATAATAAGTTGATTTTTAAGAGTGAAAAAATAAGTTTCTCATTTTCTTTGGATCACTGACATTGAAGAAGTAGAGTAGTAGGGCTATACCTTTACTCTGAACTACTCTGGCTCTTGAAGATCCTGGAAACCTTTGTTTAGGTGTGACTTATCTCAGCCATGTTTTATCTCAGCCATGTTTTATGTAAGGAAAATGATTTCCATATGTCTCCACTACTTCACAGCCAAAACATTTGTGCACAGGTTGGGTGAATGCTTCCCATAGGGTGCATTCCCTTCATTTCAAGTCATGAATAGAGAGGCTTTGGATTGCAGAAAAGAATTTGACAGTTTTCATATTGTGCACACATGCACACATGCATGCGTGCACACACACATGAACACACACACACTTCTCTTTTTCTTTCAGGGATTTAAAATGATGTTGGGTTTATTAACCTGTTATATACCTTTAATTAAAATGCCACTATCAGGATTAATGAGTAGATTTAAATCAGTATTGTATCACAGACAACATAGAGTTTAAAGGGAAAATGGCTCTAACATTATATGAAATTTATTTTAGTGTGTTTCTTAGAAAACCTCAGTGGTCCAAATATGTTGCTTTGCTTTCCTGTATTTTCAACTCCCCACAGTAATGCCCCACACCCAAGCCAAGCAATTTTTAAAATTAAGAACATATTTTATTAATAGCTCAAATACAGGAAGAATACAGCAGCCCTTCCTGGTGATGTAACTGAACCTGATGATTTGAATTAAGAATATGCTAACATCTGGTAGTACCAAAAACATGCCCTATTAGAAATAGAACATACTCATCTCTGAATTAATATTCATGCTTTCTATATATTTTTTAGGAATAAGAAGTCTATTCCTCCAACAGAAATCTACATAATTTAAAAAAGTATTTGGCTTTAAATCTTTGTTCAAGTGTACTTTACCAGAAGTGACAGTCGTACCGAATAGGGTCTGGAGTCTTGAGTGTCAGACTGGAGGTGAAAATAGAAAATCTCTTTTCCTGGCTTTATAGAAAGAAGCATGTTCCTAACAGATCAGAAGCAAAGTGATGTGTATTTTTTATTATCATAGGATCTGGGATAAAGTACAATAGATAAATACTTAGATGAAAAGTTAAATGGAGGCAGGAACCTTAAACAGGCCCTTGAATAATGTGTTGTTATTAAGGCGTTGTCAGACTTTGAGAGGAATTAAATTATATTGTGGCAATTTGAAATGTTTACCTTTACATGCACATACCAAAAAAAGAAAAAGGAAAATGAAAAAGAAAACAATATACCACATTTCTTTTATTTCAGTTTTCAAGAAAGCCTTCAGCAGTTTTTTACATGATAAATACAAAAAGACAACCTAATAACAGCTTGCTTTGTTCTAAAATTAGGAAAGGAAAAAGGTGGAAATGAGCATGTTGCATAGTTCTTAGAAAAAGGACAATTTGTTTTTAGAACTGAACGTTACAGAAAATTTTTTGTCCGGAGCATGGAAAATTACTAAAAAGGTTATAGAAGTTATTCCTAAAGTGGCTTCCAGCACCATTGTGCCAATGTTTAATTTTATCTCTCCCCCAACCCCCTCCAGCAAGTGTTCTTAAAGGAAAAGGGATTTTCTATTTTGAGTCCCTCAAGAACAAACATATCGTAACAGTTTTCTTTCCAGAGAATGTTCCCTGTGCTTCTGTTCTTTACCTTTTCATCCCAGAAAACTGCCATGCCTACCTAAGGCAGGAATCAGTGCCAGTCTCCTCATCCTGTCTCCAGCTAAGAGTGCACCTCCCTGTTAAATGATTAAATAGGTCAATATTCACTTGTATAGCAGAACTTACTTTTGGTAACTTTTAAAGTTTTATATGATATCAAAATTTATTTCAGGAAAAAGAGCAAGAATAGGTTAAGGAGCTCTTGTATATTCTTTACCAGTTGTTTATATTTTTCTTTATTATGTCTCTATTGCTCCTTCTCTCTCTCTTTCTCTAGACACACACATACACACACACACACACAGAGTATATTATTTTTGGAAACATTTGGAAGTCAGTTAAAGACATTGTACTTCCAGTTCCAAACTAACTCTACAGGGTTTTGCTGTTTTCCACATTTGTGACTTTCTTCTCTAGTGGTAAAAACCCTGGCTTAAATTATCTTTAATATAAATATTCATTTGCTCAGGTCTAGAATACATGGAAAGCAGTTTTAGAATTGTGAATAACTGCAAAACCTAAACTTACCAGTGAGAGTTTAATATTTGTTTTCAGTTCTATCAAGGGATAATTCACATACAGTGGAATACAAAAATCTTAAGTATGTAATTTGATGAGTTTTGACAAATTCACGCATTCATTTATCCACATGCCCACCAAAATGTAGAACTTTTCATAAACTTGCTCTTTGCCAATTAATCCTCATCCCAAAGCAAATTAACCCAAAGTATATAGAATAAATGAAAGCAAATTAACCCAAAGTATGTAGAATATTGAAATAATAAAGGTAATACTAGAGAACAATAAAACAGAAAAATGGAGAAATAGAGAAAAACTAATATTTGAACATTTGAACAAATCAAATTTGTTCAAATCAAATTAAACAAAACTAATATTTGAATATTTGAACAAATCAATAAAATTGATAAACCCTTAGCTAGACTGATAATTACTAGAAATAGATGAGGATGTGTGAATATGAATCTTTTAGATAGTAAAAAATAACAAGGAAATATGAATAATTTCATGTGATTTGTCAATTTAGATGAAATGGACACATTCCTAGAAAAATACAAATTAAGAACACTGACACGAAAAGAAATAGAAAATCATACTAGCCCTATATCTGTTCAGAAAGTTGAATTTATAATTACCCCCTATAAATAAATCCCTATTATTTAATGGTGAACTGAAACCTTTAAGAAAGAAAAACCACAAATTCTACATAAACTTATTTTTCAGGAAATAGATGAGAAAAATGTTCTTATTTCATCTTATTAGGCCAACAAAACTCTAATACCAAAGCCAGACAGACATTACAATTAAAGAAAATCTGTAGCCTAATGTCCCTTAGAATACTAATTAAATCCATCAATATATTAAAAAAATAGTCTGGACACAGTGGCTCACACCAATAATCTCAGCAGTTTAGGAGGCCAAGAAAGGAGGATCACTTAAGACCAGTAAGACAAGGCTGCAGTGAGCAATGATTGTGCCACTGCACTCCAGCATGGGCAACAGCAAGAAAAGATGCTGTCTCTTGAAAAAATTTTTAAAAAAGAATAGATAATAATATCAAGTGAAACATTAAAAAATTACTGCAATTTATTAAGATTTTTAAAAATCTTATCTCAACAGATGCAGAAAAAACATTTAATAATATTTGCCGATTTATGACTTAAAGCCCCAACAAACTAGGAATTCGTGATAAAGGGCATCTATGGAAAACCTACAGATAGCATTGTATTTGATGTTAAAATATTGGACCCTTTCTCAATAAGGTTATGAACAAGGCAAGATTTTTCACTTTCCAAACCTTTATTATAAAGCTGGCAAAAGTAATTTATGGTAATAGAAATCAGAAAAGGTTTTGCTGGAGAAATGGTTAGGACTGTCTAAGAAGAGGCACTAGAAAACTTTGGTTGGGGTATGTATTGCTAAGATGTATTCTTTATAATCTGTGTATCTTGATGTATGTAATTTATATTTCAATGATGATCTAAATTCAGTCTCCAGATATCTATTAAACAATTCAGCTTTTGAGTTTTTACTTTTTATTTTGATATTTTACATGTTCCATATTTCTTATTGTGACAGACAAAATTCTATAACCCCTAATGACCTACATGTTGTATAATCTGCTCCCTTGAGTATGGGTAGAAACATAACTTGCCTGTAACTGAATATTGCAAAGATGATGGGATATGACTCCATGATTGTTACATTATAGAGTAAAGATGAAGGAATTTTGCAGATGTAATTAAGTCCCCTAATCAATTAACTTTAAGTTAATCAAAAGAAGATTTTCCTGGGTGGGCATGACCTAATCAGGTGAGCTCTTTAAAACAGGATCAAGAGGGCAAAGACTCTCTCCAAGCTGTCCTTGAAGAGGAAATCTGCCTTGGGTACAATGAAATAAATTCTGCCACCAATAATGTGAGTTTGAAAAGAGAATCCTGAGCTCCAGATAAGATGCAGGCCAGGTGCGGTGACTCACACCTGTAGTCTCAGCACTTTGGGAGGCCGAGGCAGGCAGATCACTTGAGGTCAGGAGTTCAAGACCAGCCTGGCCACAATGGTGAAATCCCTTATCTCTACCAAAAATACAAAAATTAGCCCGGCACAGTGGTATGTGCCTGTAATCCCAGCTACTCGGGAGGCTGAGGCAAGGGAATTTCTTGAACCCGGGAGGTGGAGGTTGCGATGAGCCGAGATAGCGGCACTGCACTCCACCCTGGGTGATGATGCGAGACTCTATCTAAAAAAAAAAAAAAAAAAAAAAAAAAAAATCTAAACCTAGGAGACACCTTGAATGCACCTTGTGAAGTCTTGAGCAAAGGGTCCAGCTGAGCTGTACCTGGACTCCTGACTCATGGGGAACATGTGATAACAAATATATGTTGTTTTAACATTCTAAATTTGTGGTCATTTTGTGCTCAGCAGTATGAAATAAATGCACTAAATATTGCTTTAAACATTTTTATAAATGTGATAGCTTCTTGGATATTTCTCTTTCCCATTATTGTTTTCCCCCATAGAAGATGGATTTTCTCCTTAATAAATTTTGTATCTATCTCTCATGTAGTTGATTTCCTTCATTTCTTGTTAGGTTGAGTTATAATTTTATCTTGTCTTTGATTCATCTGGATCACTGTTAGTGGATGTAGATTTTATTTTCAATACCATGCCTTTGCTTAAGTTGTTACAGAAGAAGAGAAGCAGAGTGCAGGACAAGATTCTGTTCTGCACATAGGGACTTCTATTTCCGCTAGTAAATTACCTGGGCCACATTCTTAAGGCCTGCTCAGTGGGGTTCTTATATCTGGACCCCATTTCAGGGATTAGTGCTCAGAGTATGCTGAATTGGCTACCGCCCTTCTATCTTCAGGCTGGGCTATGCTGTCTAGAATCAACACCCGTTTTAGGTACCCTCTCCAAATATACTGTCCACTATTTTTTTTTAAAGATAGTATTACCTTAATGTCTAAGTAGAGAGAAAATACTACTGTTTCATGGTACATAGTGTAGGCAGAGGAAGGGTAAGTTCTTTAATTTCTTCCTTTGATAATTGTTGAATGTGTTTGGCCTGCTCTTGGTATGTATTTCTCTCAATTTGAGTTATCTCAGGAATTTCTGGAAGAGCTCTCTCCTCTTGAACATGTTTCAGTTTGTGGTTCCTCTTGATGAAGACTTCTGCTTCATCAGTACAAGTCTACCAGCTTCTATTCTCAGGAATTCCTTATACTCTCTGTCACAATAAATGACATTCTGTCTTGTTTTCAAGCATTAATATGGACATATATATCTTCTTTTTCCATTTTGTAAGATTTGATGAAGCAGGGAAGTGCTTTTATTGTTTCTTGTTATATTCCCATGTTCGAGGTGGTCAGATAATTTTACAGATGAGAAAATGAGATTGAAAGATGGCCACAGGATTTACCCAAGGTCACCCATCTGGCAAACTGTATGGACTGGATCTGAGCTTAAATCATCTAACTCTTAATGCAGTGTTTTCTTGCCTCTCATTAGGACCTAAATTATAAATGTTAACGTGATGGAACTTCTCAATATAGTCAAGAGCATTTATTGTCTACTTACATATTAAAGAAAATTACTTTGGAATTCTGGGAAGCCACATATTGAATCATTCTTCAGTGACTCTGAAACTAGCAATGTTTATTTTACTATCACATAATTTAGAGTGTGGCATGTATTTTTGTTTTCTTCCATAGTTTCATATTTTTTCATATACACACAATTCATTCACACACACACTCTTAAGTTAGTAAGATAGTCTTTAGCAGGGTGTGCATGCATGCTGGAATTACACAGTTAAGGACTAACAGCTTGCTCATAAGAGAAAATGGATTTACTACCCATCTCCTTATTACTGTCTTCCTCAGTGTTAATTCCATCAATGGCTCTGGAATTTTCACTTGCATGCTTATCTTGAATGGGAGTTGTTTCTCTCTCTCTGCCTAATTATTCCAGTCTAGTCATTTTATAGTTGTCTCCACCTGGTCTCATTCATTCTCAGGTCAGTACAAATCTTGTTCTGGTGGCTTAGGGCTCCCATGCAATATTGTTTTGGTTGATACTGCAGATTTTACTAAGCCAGGTTTCTCTGCAGGTGATTTTAGCTAAATAGAGAGGTTGGGGCAACTTTTCCCAAGACTTCAGTTTAGTATAATAATCCTAGTGCTAGTCCATTACAAGACCTGGGCTGCTTTTGATTCTATTACCCACAGATTCTGGGCCTAGATGCCAGCAGTTTCAAGGCACCATTCTCCCTGATTTCAGTTATATGAGTAGGAATCATTGTTTTGTTTCAGGACAAAGAAAATGGCTTCTCTTGCTTTTGTTAATTTTCATTTTAAAATTTTATTAGTTATTGTTGTGCTTGTATGGGGGGGTATTCCTTGAAGTATGAACTCACCATGCCATTTTGCCCAAATGCCAGATAATTTTTATCTTCCATTAGATCAACTATTAGCGATAATTTTCCTCTCATCTTCTGTTGAATGTGAGCAACTGGAACAGGCTCCTCCTTTTCTGTGTTTTGAAAGTTCACTGTGTTTCTGAAAAATAATAGTTTGTAATTAATTTATTCAGATCGGTGAATGTTTAACAGCAGGACCAACACACGTTCATATCACACTTTGCGTTAGCCAGCTCAAGGGCCGGACAAATGCCAAAGTATTTTCCATTTGTGTTTTGGTATTTCATATTTGCTGAATATGAGCCATTATGTGATATATTTACATATATATAATGAGCATGAATCAAAACATTTTCCTTCTGATTTTCTTAATTGGTTGTGGAAGGAAAAATGTCTTTAATCTTGTTTGTAAATGATGTTTAATTTTCTTAGCGTTAATTGGTGGAAATACGAAAGACTCTTTGTTGGTAAAACACATACAGGAAGATCTTATTTACGGGTTTAATATTCTTAGTTAATGATTCTAGCACCTGGAGCTATTCGCCTGTATGACTAGACTCAAGTGGTAATGCTAGTAAGGTGAGTTGATATAGCTTGTAAATTATAGACCTGCAAGTTCTAAGGGGAAAAAATGTGGGGGAATAAATTAATCAAATCAGTCTTTAGCAAAACATCTTTATTGGAGGTAATCAGATGTTTTTCACAAATATGTCCTGTCAGGCTGGACTATTATGAAGGATAGGCAAGCATGTTAGATCAATGGGAAATGATAACTAAATGAAAATTATTGGAATGAAATTACCGTGGGTTAGAACAATCTTCCGAGGTAACGGGCTTAGAATTGAAAATTTTCAGTTGGCGTTTTATTAACACAAAGATTGTCCATGTCTGTGGCACACAAACCCTCAAATGGTTTCCAAAAGGTTAAAAGAGCTTTTTCAAATTCTGTTTACACTTGCATTCAAAATAAGAAAAATAATCTCATGATTGAAATCACTGAGATTTGTGGCAAGGACTCCTTTGATGAAAGGTTGGTTTGGTCACACACAGCGTTAAGCAGGAGCTCAGCCAGGGATCACAAGACAGACTTCCTTCAAATATCCTCCTTTCACGTCATAAACATACCTTCACGCCTGCGTGGGGGCATGAGGTATCAGGGAGAGACAGTTGAATTCTATAAAAAGTTTTCAGATAGCTAGAAAATAGGTTTTGAAAATGCAGTAGGCACAGGAACCTTATCCTTTCATCCTTAGATTCCTTTCATAGAAATAAAAGAAAACACTTTTATACCTGTCACCTTCCCTGAGGGAGGAGGATATGTGTATTAGTCAGCTTTCTGTAAAGGGACAGAACTAATAGGATAGATAAATATATGAAGGGGAGTTTATTAGGAGAATTGACTTATGCAATCACAAGGTGAAATCCCACAATAGGCTGCCTGCACGCTGAGGAGCCAGGGATCCAGTCCAAGTCCCCAAACCTCAAGAGTAGGGAAGCCAACAGTGCAGCCTTCAGTGTGTGGCCAAAGGCCCGAGATCCCCTGGCAAACCACTGATATAAGTCCAAGAGTCCAAAGGCTGAAGAATTTGGAGTCTGATGTTCAAGGGCAGGAAGCATGCAGTATGGGAGAAGGATGAAGGCCAGAAGATTCAGCCAGTCTAGTCCTTCCATGTTTCTCTGCCTGCATTTATTCTAGAAGCAAAGGTATTTTGTGGAGACTCTATTGTCCTCTAAAGCAAAATTTGGTTCAAATAATGATTATAAATTTTGCAATGACTTTGAAAACCAATAAGACAAAAATCAACAGAATCCTCTATGATGAGATGGCAAAATGGTAGAATCATGAGATGGTAATAGAATGTAATAGCTGGAGGAGTCCTTTGAGGTCTTCTAGCCTAGTATTTCTCAAAGTGTGAAAATAAGCAGGAAAAAAAAAACAGAATGTGAGGGTCATTTTTGGGCAATAATTTAAGAAATCCTTGCTTAAACTCTTGTTTTTTCACTGCAAGACTTTTCAGGCCCTTTAACACTTAAGTGCATTTTAAGTTTTCAAAAGAGATATTTCTCAAAAGGTGAGCCTGCATGAAGTGAGTACGTGTGTGTATGCATGTATTTGCATGTGTGTATGTGTGTGTAAATCTCTATGAATATTCTGTGATGCGCGTGTTTATGTGTGTGTGAATCTCTATGAATATTCTGTGAGAGACACTTGAAAAATTCTATTCTCACTTAACATCCCTATCTTATAAAGACGGAAACTGAGATCAAAGCAGGTTGATGCACAGCTCATGATTGTTGAGCTGTGCAGTGGCTGAGCTGGTCCTGAAACTTAGCCACTGTGCAGCTCACCAGACATGAACTGTGCATCAACCTGAGCATGGTGTTATTTACACTGTCCCACAAAAAGAGGATGAAGGCAGTAATGTCCATGGGCTTAAGGAGAAGAGCCCATAGCTGACATGCTTTCCATTAGAAACAGAAAAATGATTCAAAATAAAATATTCCCTCACTGGCCTGCTAAGATGCCAACAGTATTATTCTTCAAGAACCTTGTAGTGCCATGGGATTTTTAATTAGCTAACTGGAAAGAAGGCTATATTTAGCCAGCTTATACCACAGCAGAGAGTTATTTTCACTGCTAATACCCAGGATAGAAAAAAGTGGGCCGGGCGCGGTGGCTCACGCCTGTAATCCCAGCACGTTGGGAGGCCGAGGCGGGCGGATCACGAGGTCAGGAGATCGAGACCATTCTGGCTAACACGATGAAACCCCGTCTCTACTAAAAATACAAAAAATTAGCCGGGTGCGGTGGCGGGCGCCTGTAGTCCCAGCTACTCGGGAGGCTGAAGCAGGAGAATGGCGTGAACCTGGGAGGCGGAGCTTGCAGTGAGCGGAGATCGCGCCACTGCACTCCAGCCTGGGCGACAGAGCGAGACTCCGGCTCAAAAAAAAAAAGAAAAAGAAAAAGAAAAAAGTGGGGTATAAGCTGGGCAAGGTGGCTCATGCTCGTAATCCTAGCACTTTGGGGGACCAAGGCAGGTGGATAACTTGAGCCCAAGTTCTAGACCAGACTGTTCAACATGGTGAAACCCCATCTCTATAAAAAATACAAAAATTAGCTGGGTTTGGTGGTGTATGCCTGTAACCCAGCTACTCAGGAGGCTGAGGCAGGAGGATCACTTGATCCCAGGAAGTTGAGGCTGCAGTGAGCAGTGATAGCACCACTGCACTCCAGCCCGGGTGACAGAGAAAGACCCTGTCTCAAAAAAAAAAAAAAAAGAAAAAGTTGAGTATAGAATTAGCCTCCTATAAGGAGCATCTGTGCTAAAGAAAGATGAGGAAAAGGGTGCTTTTCAGATTTTAATAAGCACAGGGGCAATCTTGTTGAATTTCATGGGTTTTGGATGGGGCCTGGGATTCTGCATTTCTCCCAAGCTCCCAGGTCATGCTAATGTTGCTGCCTTATTGAGCCATACTTTTGAGTAGCAAAGGGCTAGATCATGGACTAATGAGATGTGGTTTTCTGTGTGTGTACTTGGGGAAAGATAAGATGGTCTGGAATACAGAGGCTGGCCCAAATGTCCTGGCTTGTTTCTTTACAACTTTGTTGAGGAGAGGAGAAACAAAGGCTGAAAATATCTGATAAAATACTAGAATTGAACCAATCATTAACTCTAAGTTATGAAACTCTGCTATTTATTTAGCCATAGATTCTTCATTTTATTCACCCATTTTCTTCTCTAAGACCAAGAAAAGAACTGGGTATGAGATTTCCTTCTTCTATATACTATCCCTGTGAACTTCGATCTCTTCTCTGAGCCTCAGTTTTCTGAGTATTCAGTGGGAATAAAAAATATGACTATAAAATGAGATCATATGCGTGGACTTTTAACACTCTTCCCTCAGGTTTTTTTTCTTTGTTCCTGAAGAAAAATCAATGAATATAATTTTGGGTTGAAAGTGAATAGAAATTTGGATGCCAGAAAAATCTGCTATTCCAGTGCTAGTGCTTTGTCTCCATTTTTAATTTAATTTAATTTAATTAATTAATTAATTAATTAATTTTTTTGATGCAGAGTTTCCCTGTTGTCCAGGCTGGAGTGCAATGACATGATCTTGACTCACTGTAACCTCCACCTCCCGGGTTCAAGCGGTTCTCCTTCCTCAGCCTCCCAAGTAGTTGGGATTACAGGTGTGCACCACCATGCCTGGCTGATTTTGTATTTTTAGTAGAGATGGGGTTTCACCATGTTGCCCAGGCTGGTCCCAAACTCCTGACCTCAGGTGATCCACCTGCCTCAGCCTCCCAAAGTGCTGGGATTATAGGCGTGAGCCACTGCACCTGACCGCTTTCTCTCTATTGTTACTAGGACTGCATAGATTCCAGCAGGGCCTCTGTCTCTTCATCAGTAAACACGAGCTTCTTTTGATGGGGGGATAAGTGGGCACATATGGCAGTGGGCAGAAGTGTTTTGCTTTGGAAAAAACAGTTTTACCCTTTTTTAGAGTCCCTTCTTGATACTTTTAATTAGAGATACTTATTTCTGTCAAACAATAGGGTATTTTCTAGAAAAAAAGCTTTATGTAGACTGTCAAGGAATAAGTTTTTCACCTGCATGCTGTAACTTAAACACTTCCTTTGGACAACAAAGACACTGGAGAGAGCAGAAAACAACATAATGAAGCCAGTACTACAGTCATCTGGGAGATTCCGGCATCCTGAGATACACTAATCAGATTTGCTGAAATTTCTTGGAAGGCTGGGCTAGTTCTACAAAGAGGGAAGGGACTGTGTGCACGGGAGCCTGGTTTTCACTGAAAACGAATGTTTGCCTTAGTTGTAATGGGGCCAGTAGATGGTAGTCACTGAATGATCCGAGGCAACAGAGACTCTCCCGACATTTGCGCATAGAAGAAAACAAACCAGGCTCAGTACCAGATCCTGCCATCTAATAGCTGTGTACATTGAACTTGCTTAAACTTCTCTGAACCTCAGTTTTCACATCTAGAAAATGGACATGATAAGGCTTGCCGTTAGAATTTGAGTGAAAATTAAAAATAACACATTACACACCCTTACATAATAAGTACTAAAGAGAAAAACTGTAATTGTATTTCTAGTATTTATCAATTATATTGTTCATTCTACTATGATCACTTATTTTATCATCTTTCCAGGTCTTTGTTGACACTACCTTTGCCTTGCCCCATGGCATTAGAGTTTACTCCTCTCACTGCCTTCGTCCCTGTGGTCATCATGGTCTCGCAGCTGTTCTCTGTTCCCACATCCCATCTCCCACCCCTACTTTCTCATGCATTTCACGAATACATGAACTTGCTTAACTTCTCTGAACTTCAGTTTTCACATCCAGAAAGTGGACATGGTAATGCTTGCCTTTAGAATTTGAGTGAAAACCAAAAACAACATGTTATACACCTTTACATAATACGTACTAAAGAAATAACTAGGCCAGGCGCAGTAGCTCATGCCAGTAATCCCAGCACTTTGGGAGGCAGAGGCAGGCAGATCACGAGGTCAAGAGATCGAGACCATCCTGGCCAACATGGTGAAACCCTGTTCTCTACTAAAAATACAAAAATTAGCTGGGCATGGTGGCGTGTGCCTATAGTCACAGCTATTCAGGAGGCTGAGGCAGGAGAATCGCTTGAACCTGGAAGGCGGAGGTTTCAGTGAGCCGAGATAATGCCACTGCACTCCAGCCTGGGTGACAGAGCAAGACTCTGTCTCAAAAGAAAAAAAGAAAAAAAAGAAATAACTGCTATTGTAGTTTTAGTATTTATTGATTCTGTTGTTCATTCTATTACTATGACTTATTTTATCATCTCCTTTCCAGGTCTTTGTTGACCCTACCTTTGCCCTTCCCCATGGCATTAGAGCTTACTCTTCTCACTGCCTTCGTCTTTCTGGTAGTCATGGTCTCATGGCTGTTCTGTATCCCCACACCCCATCTCCCACCCCTACTTTCTTATTCATCCACTGCCACATTGTTAAACTCTATCATGCACCAATCTTTACAAAATTGGCAGACGTATATGATCCCTTTGGACATCCCAGGTATAGGACCAAGGCACAGAGCCAACTCATAATTACTCTCTAGCATGTCATTTTTAAGTGCTAATGTAGCACATCCTAAATCCTATGCACGTAGGGCCTTGGATTAGTTGGAAAGTGTTAAAGTATTTTCTGTGACTGCTCTCTGCCTTTCATAACCTTGAACAAGTCATTTTCACTCCTCTCTTCTCACTTTCCTAATGGAAAGATTAGAGAGATAATATCAGTAAGGTGCTATCTAAATATGAAATGAGGTATAAAGAAAATAAATATCAGACTGTGCCTGTCAGAAGCTGCTGATCCTCCCAACAATAAGTTTTTCTGTGACCTTCAATCTCGTAGCACTGGTCCAGGAAGCAATAATACAAGTCAAGAACAACTTCAGCTCTCCAGAGACTTCTTAAGGGGGCTGTTCTGCTTGCTTTGTTGCTGGCAGATTTTCAATCCCTCATTCAATGAACATTTCTGGAACATCTGCTATGGCCCAAATGGTAGACAGATCAGAAACTGAGAATTTAGAAATGAAAAACAGTCTCTGTCCTCAAGGAGGTTACATCTTTCGAGGGGGGAGAATCCAAATAACAAGCATTGCAATACGTGCCTGAAGGAGGTCTGTAAAAAAAATGCCAGGCAGAACTGAGAAAGCGGAGAAGTTTTGTCACCAAACTCAGTTTGGAGGAAAGTTTTCTTGAGGAGGAAGCTCTGAAGTTGGGCTTTGAAAGTTGAGATGCATAGGTTGAGAAGAGGAGACCTGGAGTAGGTGAAGGGAAGAGTGATTGCGTCGTGACTGCAAGAAGCGTAGTGTGTAGTTTGGGGGTGTGTCCAAGGGCTGAAGAGTGGCAGCTGGGGTGCAGGACGGTGGGTGAAGGGTAGTCTTCATTTTTTATCTGAAAGCAGTAGAGAGCCTTTGGAGGATTTTAAACAGGAGTCTTGTTTGATCAGAAAGGTGGCTTTGGCTTTCCAAATATCTGCCTTGCTTTTGAGGTCCACCGTCTGTGTTCTTGTAGTTCCTGATGAGGAGTGCACCTGGCCTCTCGCCCTCACTGTCCAATCAATTTGATAGCAACTAGCCACATGAAAATATTTAAAAGTAAATTTAAGGCCAGGCGCGGTGGCTCATGCCTGTAATCCCAGCACTTTGGGAGGCCAAGGCAGGCGGATCAGGAGGTCAGGAGTCACCAGCCTGACCAACATAGTGAAACCCCATCTGTATTAAAAACACAAAAGCCTTAGACAGGCATGGTGGTGGGCACATGTAATCCCAGCTACTCAGGAGACTGAGGCAAGAGAATCATTTGAACCTAGGAGGCAGAGGTTGCAGTGAGCCGAGATCACACCACCGCACTCCAGCCTGGGCGATGGAGTGAGACTCCGCCTCAAAAAAAAATAAAATAAAATGAAATAAAAAATAAAAAAGTAAATTTAAAATAATTAAAACAAAATGGAAATGTAAAAATACAGTTCCTCATACTACCTAATTTACCTAATCACCATGCCACATTTCAAGTGCTCAATAGTGACATTTCAAGAGCCAGTGGCTACTGTATTGGGCAGGGCAGTTGTAGAACATTTCCATCATCACAGAATGTTCTGCAAGATAACTCTGCAACCCTCTGCTTGCTGTCCAGTGAGACTGTACATTACAGTGGGAACATGCAGGTGCACTAAATTCAGTAAGCACTAGTTCACATCTTCTGTCTTTATCACCTCCAATACTGTCTGACCTTGGACAAGTTACCTAATATCTTTCGGCTCCAGTTTGCTAATAATAAAACTTATTAGTGTTGAGGCTTAAATGGATTAATGCATGCAAAGAGTGTAGAATAGTGGCCAGCAAATGGTAAGAACTCAGTGTTGGATGTTAGCATTCATTTTATAAAGCCTCACCCTTGCTTGCCTGTTTGGTTCTCATCTATTGTTTAGCTCTTATCTTCCAGACCTGCATTCAGCATTTTTCTCTGGGACCCAGACTCGGCATTCACTGTCTTATGGGCTCTACCTTACCTATGCCTCCCAGGTTTCCCCCAGCTATTTCTGTCCCAGATTTGAGTCATGCAATTTGTAATCCATTGCCTTTGGGGCTTGACATTGGCAGTGAGAGGATAAAGCACATTGCAAAAATTACCTGTTCTCATAAAGTAAAACTTGAGAGAGTGTCTTGGTAGGGTTGGGGGAAGGGAGAAGGGCAACTGTAATTGAGCAGGCTCACCAAATCCCCCTGGATTCTCCCAGGCTACAGGGAGAATCTAAAATGACCTTGGAATTGAGTCATTTTTCAAACCCAAGTGTAAATTGTTTCCTATCATTTGAAATGTCCTCACAAGCAAACTCATTTTAAATGTTCATACTTACGGTTCCCTAAAAGGTGTGTTAATACTTCAATATAACATTTCAGAATTGTAATATGATGGTTTTGTGCTGGGTGTTTTAGCCATTGCTTGGTGCTTTGACTAATGATGGTAAAAGTATAAAATCACTTCATAAATGGTTTAAATGGCTATCACATATGCTTCTAGATCTAAATTTCTCTTTTCTTAAACCCATAATCATCTATTCTGGTAAAATTGCACTCTCCTTTGTCACAAACTTTTCTTAAATAACCCATTTTTCTTCTTTGCCAGAACTATTTTTATTTAAAAGTTACAACTTCTAAACTGGAGTTTATTACAACTCTGCTTTTTAGCCAATAATTTCTATTTGACTGCTATAAAAGTACCATTCTTTCTTAAATCTCTTAGTATTTTGTTCTTTATAATTAAAAAAACACACACATATTTTCAGACAAAGTTTTATGTAGGCAATTATTTTGCAGATGATTTTTTGTTTTGTAGTAGCTATGTGGGCTGTCCCCATGCAAATCATGCTGAGTGTAAAACTTGTCTTTGGCACCTCTCTCTGCCCCCTTCCGTGAAACAGCTCCTGTATCGGGACATCTGAGTGACTTCCTCCGTAGTCCTGTTGCAAAGCATCACTGCACATCCTAGACAAGGAGTCAAAACTAAGCACCCACACTAAGCTCAACGCTTACAGAGATGAAATAGTTAAAGGGAATCAGTGAAGCAAACAGGGTAGGAATGGCGGAAATTGTGGTGAGCTAGAAAGTAGATACCCATCCCAACAGGGTAGCCATTACAGTACTCTATTCTACTAGGTTATTGCCAAACCATTATTCCAGATCTGCAGATTTTTCAAGAGATGCCTGAAATCCAGATTTAATTAAAACATATAATGTGGACAAATATTTCACGGACCAAGCAAGACCTATCAATCTGTTGCCCTTTTGAGATCATTCCCTTCAACCTCTAAATGCCTATGACATCAACATATACCTGTCTCAAGGTGTACCTGTCTCTGCTGGGATTAGAATAAACAAAAATAATAATTACTCATAAAAATACAAGTAATACATTGAAAATTACAGAGTGGCAGTCTTAGAGCGGAGTGGGGTTGGGGTGAAATAAGAGGCAGGACATGACTCAGGCATATTATTTTGATAAAAACAAAATAAAAACCCCCAGAAATCAAAATTTACATTTTGATAGGCATCTTTTGATGACAATGTCAAAATATACTACTATAATTAGTTCTAGGTATGGTGCCAATGGCTATCGGGATTAAACGTACTAGATATGCTACCTACTTCTTGCTTACATCTATGTCTTTATAATGTCCTTACCCATGGGAATTCAGTGGGATGAGTGATGAGGAATAGAGAGAAAGGTCACTGCCTCCTCTCATTCAGTAAGGAAAGGCCCAGCTATCCTTGTTTGTGGATAAAAAAAAGTCAAGGTGAAATTTCTCAGACACGGTGTTAATGTACTTCCCTGATGTACTTTCTTCTAGACTTTGGACTTTTCCTAAACACAAACTTTTAGGAAAATGCTGAACCTCTTTGCTAGGGATGCATAGAAAAGACCACACAAGCACACACAAAATAGGAATTTATGACCATAACCTCAATTTAAAAATTTTTCTCTATATGTGGTATAATTAAGGGCCTGGTTATTCTCTCCAAAAATCATGTTCTCAAAGCTAAGACAAATGCATTCCTTTGAAACCTACTTATTTTGAAATCTAATTATGACATATAACAGTTTGTGCATTTAGCCATAGTTTATCTACACAGTTGCAAACAGGATATGCCACTAGCTCAGGGTCTTTACTAACAACTCAACTCTTTGAATGCCTAAAATGGTGCTTATTTATCTGTCTCTCCCTTTTTCCTTAGGAAGGAGAAAGACTGATTGCAAATTAACCTTAAGAAATATCCTGCCCAATAGGGCCTTAGAAGACCTGAGATATTTTTAAGGTGAAATATATTGACTTTGTCACAGAGGTTTACAATAAGCAGTCATGTGTTCTTTTACATGACCAAGGGCACCACAGGAAAAGAGAAACAATGAAACATCGTGATAGATTATGCTCACTTTTCCATGTATGTGAACAAAAAGAGGCATGCATCTGACAGGGACTAAATTGAAATTTTAACCCTTAGTGGAAATACATAAGAACACACAACAGTATTGGTTAAAACAAAACAAAACAGCAGGCTTCATTCACAGAAGTACCAAAATTTCAAGCTTCACACTCAGGCCAATTTTGAATTATACATCTTGGAACACTGTTAAATCAAATATTTGAGTGTCTATAAAATGAAGCATTCCCATTTCAATTACAATCTATTATGTGCCTGTCCTTCTTTACAAGGCCAATATCGGGAGACTAGCACATCTCTTACTCCTCTAAGGCAGATCTTCAAAACGAATCTGGTGAATTAAGGTTGAGATTGGTGGCAGGAAACTCAGTTTTCAGATACAGTTCAGAAAATAAGTGATAAAACATATATCTTCCAGGAAATTGTTTTGAACCAACTCTGTATTCTTTAGAAGTCATTTTTATGTAATAGATGTTGCATGCTTCCTGGTAGGTGTGATTTTATGGCTTTTGGTTTCAGAGACTTAGGGAGTTATAGCAGGCGGTTCCCTAGATGGCTTCCTTGTATTCCTTAGGAGCAGTGGTTGGTGGGCTGATCAAAATCAAGGGGTGTGCCTGGTTCTGATTCCTTTGTTAATTTCTGGTTGTTCAGTTAACCCATACTCCTTTGGAGGCACATTCTGACACTGTTGTTGACTTCATCACCACGTTTAATATTGTTCTCAAGGGGGGTCTTCCCTGCTACCTATGTCTAGGTATGCAAGATTCCACTACAAGATTCCAGAACAAATCTCAGTCAGCTAAAGTCTGGCAGAGAAAGCAGACAATCTTTGATCTAAATGTCAGTGATGTTTGCAATGGTTTTGAAGAAAAGATTCCCACAAAGTAAGCACTAAGAAGAGAGTATTCAGGCTAGAGTACAGGTTCCCAGTGCACTGAAGCTGCCCAGGAAGTGTTTGTGTGATGAAGAAACAAGATTACGACTAGAGACGGGATAAAATACTTCCGCTAAGTCCCAAAGATAAAATGGTGAGTATGTGGTAGACTTTATTTACCTCTCATAGTTACCCTTTATATCAGTTAGCTATTGCTGTGAAACAATCCACCTAAAACTTAGTGGCTTAAAAATTAACCATTTACTATTACTCAAGAGCCTATAGCTGGCTGAGTTGTTTTAGTTCTATCTAAATTCACCCATGCATCTGTGGTCAGTTGCATCTTGTATGGAACATTGTAACCTCTTATTAAAATGTCACTGTTATTAGTAGTAGCTATGTTTTATTCAGCAAATATTACTTAAATGCTTTCAATAGGAAAAACACAAGTTCAGATGCTGCAATAGAAGTTGTTATAAGTGACTGCCCTGTTCCTCAGAATATTATAGTTTTAATGGAAAATGAAATACTAACTTATTCATTCCATAGATGTTTAATGAGAATCTATTTTGTGCCACTCAGTGCTATAAAGCCTATGGGAGGAATTTCTAGCCTAGACATAAGTAGCAGGGAAGGCCCCATGAAGGTGGTGGCATTTGAGCTGGGTCTTGATAAGTGTATACAGTTTACCGTTAAATAACATGGGTTTGAACTGCATGGGTTCACTCATACGCAGATGGCAAAACCAACCCCTCCTCTTCCTCCTCCTCAGCCTACTTAACATGATAACCATGAGGATGAAAACCTTTATGATGATCCACTTCCACTTAATGAAGAGTACATATATGTTTACTTCTTTATGATTTTCTTAATACCTTTTTCTTTTCTCTAGCTTACTTTGTTGTAAGAATCCACTATATAATACCTATAATATACAAAATATGTGTTAACTGACTGTTTAAGTCATTGGTGAGGCTTCCAGTCAACAGTAGGTTATTTATAGTTAAGTTTTTGGGGAGTCAGAAAGTTGTACACAAAAGCTTGCCAACCTCCACATTGTTCAGGGTCAACTGTACATTGTCATGGGCAAACAAGGCACGAGGAAAGGCATTCTAAGAAGGGATCAGTGTAGAGTTGGCGAACATTTTCTGTAAAATGCCAAACAGTAGATATTTTAGGCCTTGTGGACCATTCAGTCTCTGAAGTAACTTGTCAACTCTGCTGTTTCAGCACAAAAGCAACCATAGGCAATCCATAAAGGAATGAGCATGGCTGTGTTGCAATAACACTTTTTTATGAACACTGAATTTTGATTTCGTATCATTTTAGATGTCATATAGTATTATTCATATTTTGCTTTTCCTCCTAACCATTTAAAAATGCAAAACCCGTTTTTTTTTTTTTAACTTTTATTTTAGGTTCAGAGGTACATGTGAAGGTTTTTTATGTAGGTAAACACGTGCCGTGGGGGTTTGTTGTACCTATTATGTCATCACCCAGGTATTAAGCCCAGTACCCAATAGTTATCTTTTCTGCTCCTCTCCCTTCTGCCACCCTCCCCCTTCAGGTAGACCCTAGTATCTGTTGTTTCCTTCTTTGAGTTCATAAGTTCTTATTATTTAGCTCCCCCTTATAAGTGAGAATATACAGTATTTGGTTTTCTGCTCCTGTGTTATTTTGCTAAGCATAGTAGCCTCCAGTTCCATCCATGTTCCTGTAGAAGACATGGTCTTTTTCCCTTTTATGGCTGCATAGTGTTCCATGGTGCATATGTGCCACATTTTAAAAATCCAATCTGTTATTGATAGACATTGAAGTTGATTCTATGTCTTTGCTATTGTGAACAGTGCTACAATGAACATTTGCCTGCCTGTGTCTTTATAGTAGAATAATTTATATTCCTCTGGGTATATACCCAGCAATGGGATTGCAGGGTCAAATGGCAGCTCTGCTCTTTGAGGAATCATCATACTGCTTTCTACAATGGTTGAAACAATTTATACTCCTACCAACAGTGTATTAGTGTTCATGTTTCTGTGCAACCTCAACAGCATCTGTTCTTTTTTGATCTTTCTTTTCTTTTTTTTTTTTTGATATGGAGTCTTGCTCTGTCGCCCAGGTTGGAGTGCAGTGGCGTGATCTCGGCTCACTGCAACCTCCACCTCCCAGATTCACGCCATTCTCCTGCCTCAGCCTCCCGAGTAGCTGGGACTACAGGCGCCCACCACCACACCCGGCTCATTTTTTGTATTTTTAGTAGAGACGGGGTTTCACCATGTTAGCCAGGATGGTCTTGATCTCCTGACCTTGTGATCCGCCCGCCTCAGCCTCCCAAAGTGCTGGGATTACAGGCGTGAGCCATCGCACCCGGCTTCTTTTTTGACTTTTTAGTAATAGCCATTCTGACTGATGTGAGGTGGTATCTCATTATGGGCAAAACCCATTTTCACCTCTTGGAGCCATACAAAAACAGTTATTGGGTTAGATTGGGCTTGTAGGCTGTAGTTTGTAGGTCCTGCTTTAGAACAAGTGTTTTATGCTGAGAAAGGGTTGAATATGTTGAGAAAAGAATGAGTTATCTTAACTGATGTTTGTGTAAGGTAGTAGCAGAAGATAAGAATAAAAAAAACAGAAGATGGTATGTCTTGAATGCTTAAATAATAATAATCATGGTAACTATTACATCCAAATGTGTACATCACAGCTTGTACATTTTTGCATACAATATCATATTCTCATTTTGTAGATGAGAAAAATAGAAATGCAGAGAGATTACCAGACTTGACCAAGATTATACATCCAATAATGACAGAAATGCAGCTAGTTTTCTAATATCTTTTGGCATTTAATTCTCCTTCAACTATATTATGTAGAGTTTGTCCCATATGCTATGGATTTGATACTATTTTATGAAAAATTTTCATGTTCACAATTGGTCCTTTGGGGAATGAATATCTTCATATTTGAAAAGTCCTTTATTAGGATTTTTATTCATATAAAACCAAGATGTAAAATTCAGGCCCAAGAAGTCAGACAGTTGTGCAGGATAGAGAAATATTTTTTGGAGTAGGAAGTTATGCTAATTGAGTTTTTACTTTTAGAAGGACGAGGTAGGTTCTCGTGCTCCCAGGACTTGGGCAGGGAAGAACAAGGGAACAGGCGCTTAAGTCAGAGAGGGCATTAGAA
The DNA here is from genome assembly GCF_000001405.40 of Homo sapiens. NCBI lineage: Eukaryota > Metazoa > Chordata > Mammalia > Primates > Hominidae > Homo > Homo sapiens. The sequence goes on along the minus strand of NC_000002.12, from coordinate 221,208,772 downwards.
CCATATAGCATGACCTCAGATTAGGTATTGAATGAAAAGATAGCCAGTAGGGGTGTTTGTGGATCAGGTAGGGTTTATGGACTGTAGGAGCACAGTATTTTATATGGAGCTTTAAATTTGCCCTTCCTGCATGACTTCTTTCTTGTGTGATCCTCAGATTGTCAGAAAAAAAGAATAAAGTACTAAACTTTATGTAGCTTTGGATTAGCAGTTTCTTTAGAATGAAGAATAAAGTCTCATTCTTACTTTATCCGATGGTGCTGGAGATGGCACCAATCTATGGAAACACTGACCAGATACCCAAAGGAAACGAAAAGAGGACACAAGAGTGACTGATTAGGGTGAGAGGTGGCAGGTAGGTTATTCATGTCCAGGAATTCATTCACATATAGATACACCTATGCCTTTATTTGTCTTGTATAAATAAGCTATATAAGGACTTATATGTGTGTGTGTGTTTGCTATTTAATTTGGACATTAAAAGTGAACCCCTAAATCTGGAAAATTTAGGATACTAGAATTAACAATCACCTGTAATGGAGAAGGAAATGATCAGATGTATATTTAAGAAAGAAACTCCAGAAGCAAGGTGAAAAGTGCTTTGGAGAGAGAGGTATGGGAGGTAACCAGTTAGGAGACTCTTGTAAAAGGACCTGTACTAGGGCAGGGCCATGAGGTTCAAAGAAAGGAGAGAAGCATCAAGTACTTCAGAGAGTTTGGGAACCTCCTGGATCTGGAAGATGAAGAGGAGCGCTGTTTCCTAGAAACACAGGCTAAAACAGCTTTGTCATGTTTTCATGTGAGGGATATTTGATTCTCTGCTAACAGAGGCAAAGCAATTTGTTACTCATGATGTTCAAGTTTCTACCTAATCTGTCATTGACCGGTCTAGAACAAGGCCAGGTTCCTTAAACACCCTGTGAAGCTGAGTGAGAATATATATTTGAGGTTTGTGTGCCATTACTTACCCCTGGTGAATTTCAGAAGTCACTCTGCCAGCATTCTTAAGCAATCCTACACTTGACCTCTATGTCCCTATTCAGGCTGCCATTTGTCTCCTGAGCTATCCATCTTGAAGCCCAATTTTAGAGAAATATCATGTTTTATTCTCTAAAGGCAGTGCTGTCTAATAGAACTTTCTGTGATGAAGACAATGTTCAATATCTGTGCTGCCCAATAATGTAGCCACTAGCCCCACGTGGCTAGGGAGCACTTGAAAGGTGCCTAGCGAAACTAAGGAGTTGATTTTTAATTTAATTTAAATTTACATTAAGTAGCCCCATGTGACAAGTGGCTGTCGCATTGCGTGGTACAACTCTAGATCCTGATATCCAATATCCTACTCAAACCGTGGGAACCTAAGAATTTTGGTTTGGGATGAGGAGATTACATATTTTTTATTGCTTCTTCTTTTTTTTTTTTTTTTTTTTTTGACAGAGTCTCACTCTGTCATCCAGGTTGGAGTTCAGTGGTACGATCTCAGCTCACTGCAACCTCCACTTCCTGGGCTCAAACAGTACTCCCACCTCAGCCTCCTGAGTGGCTGGGACTACGGGCATTCACAACCATGCTTGGCTAATGTTTCTATTTCATGCAGAGACAGGGTTTCACCATGTTACCCAGGCTGGTCTTGAACTCCTGAGCTCAAGAGATCTGCCCGCTTCAGCCTCCCAAATTGCTGGGATTACAGGTGTGACCCATCACACCCAGCCTTCACATTTTTCTAGTCCACATGAATCTGTGGATGTGTCAGGCACTAGCATCTGGCCCTGCTATCGTTATTATATGAGTTCCTTCCAGGAATCATGCTGGCAGGCTGGATTAATTAACACTGTACAAGTAAAGAAGCTGGAAGTAACTAATTACATGAATTTGAGTAGTAGTTCAGATTAATTTTTTTTAAATTACATCATAAAACTTTGATGTTTAGCAAGTTTACCAGTAGAAGAAATCTAGATTCAATGCTCTTCGCCTTATGCGCTGGATTCATGTTTGAGTCGCATCTATTTAGATGGACCTTCTTGACTCTTCATGGCTATTGATGCAATTTTATTGTCTGGCAATGATTTTGACTCCTCATCTTCTGGACAAGCATGGAATAAGCTTAAACTCACTGGCTCTATGTAGACCTTTCCAGCTATCACACAAAAACTTACCTACCTGAAGTGGCAGTCTCTTGAAATCTTGTCATATGTTTGGCTACTTTTTAATTTTACTTGTGCTAAGATGTTAATAGGTAACCATTGTTTCATCACTGTCAGATAGTATATTAGTATTCTAGAGCAATAGCCTTTAGTGTCTGGAGCCAAAGAAGAGACTAATAGGAAGAGTTCTAGTTTTCTCTGATTGGCAACTGAGCTGTGTAAAAGCAGAGGGCAATATGAGAAAATTCAACTCATTAAATATTTAGAATATGACAATGACATGGAAAACTTTGAGGTAGAGAAAAATGACTCCTCTTTTTTGTGCCAAGTAAGTCACAGGGCAAGTCCTCTCCTATCGTAAAGTTAAGTCTAATAATATCTGCAATTCATTGGACCTTTTAAGAACTTCAAAGTATGGAGTAATTAAATCCTGGTGTTTTGATTGAATATATATTTTTTAAATTCTAAACTATTCAAGCAAAGAGGTAGGGACATTTGCTAACTTTATGGTTTGTGTACCCACACACATCCACACATATATGTATATATAAAAACATATGCATGGCTGGGCATGGTGGCTCATGCCTATAATCCCAGCAGTTTGGGAGGCTGAGGTGGGCTGATTACTTAAAGTTAGGAGTGGGAGACCAGACTGGCCAACATAGCGAGATCTAATCTCTACTAAAAACACAAAAATTAGCCGGGCATTGTGGAGCATGCCTGGGTGACAGAGCGAGACTCTGTTTAAAAAAAAAAAAAACATATGCATGTATCTATGTGTGGATGGGTATGTGTGTGTGTGTGTGTGTGTGTGTGTGTGTGTGTGTATTTTCCCCCACCCCAATAGCAGGTAACTATAGGGAGTGTATTGTTCCCTTTGCTGAGAGTTCATGAGTTTTACCATTTGCTGGTTGTGCAACCTTGGGGCAAATCTCAATCTCTGTCAGCTTCAATTTTCTTACTTATAAACTAGGAGTAATGATACTTCTGAGGATTATCAAGAAAATTAAATGTTAGTAATACATGAGAAAACAGTAAAATAGGAAGCCATTTAAGGTCAACAGATTTGATGGGGGGTGAGGTGAGAATTGCTCTTTCTCCAACATGATTATGAGGGCTTGAGCTGATGTCTGATTTGACAAATGCACTAAGAAGCATATGGATACATTTTCCTGACAGATGGCTGATAAATTTTACGCTGCACATGCATGACTTTCTATGGAGTTGCTTTAGCTCAAAGAGCCTCTTTCAGGAATCTTTATGGGGCTAAACTACGTTAGGTGAACCTCAGCAAACAAAGAGCCTGAGGCTTGAACCTAATGCAAACAGTTGCACGGACGTTCAGTATGCTGAGTGTAAATAACATCTTGAATGCCACCAAATGTCAATACCGATGCTTGATGGTATGGCATAAATTCAGCTTTAATTGAGCAGAGCTAAATCCAACCAAATGGACCTGTTTATATCCTCAAATACTGAAATGAAGCCTAAATAATGAAGATTTTATGCTTTGTGTTTGGGATGTCCCCATATATGAAATATATATATATATATATGTATATATGAAGAGAAGTATATATATATATATACTTCCTTAGTCTGACAGTTCTTATCGACTTGAGAACAAAGTCTTAAGTAAACAGCCATCCTCAGATACCAGCTGTTCCAAGGGCTACTCTACCGCACAGGGGAAGGGTGATTTATGCACAAGGAGAAATTGTTTATATTATGTGGCAGTGTGTCCCTGCTCCATAAAAAATTAGTAACCAAATCCATCTATAACAACCTTAAAAAATAACATGGGTTCACAGGAGGTTCAGTTGCTGGGTGCTAGCACATTTATGGCTTCAAATAGATAATCCAGGGGATTTAAACAGACTGCTGAAAATGACTATTATAAGGTGTTCCTGGAGTAAAGTGCTGGAGTTGAGCACTTTAAACAACTGTTTTCAGGCACAAAATCAAATACACTCTGCCTGTTGATTTCTAGCCAGGTGTCTGATATTAAATTATATATATATATGAAATATATATATATTTATATATAAAATATATAAAATCTGAAAGAATATTGCAGCTGATGAACAATAAAGATTTTCATTGTAAAATGGAGATGTTGGGAGATAGGAGGTTGCTGTTCTATTTTTTTTTTTATTTCAGGAGATGAATTGCAATCTCTTTGCCACAAAATCCAAATCTAGTCATTAAAACTCTGATTTTCAAAAGAAGCTCTTGCATGCATATATGCATATGGCTTAGATAGAGCTGAAATTCTTGATTTTCCACTCAGGTTCTTTCTCCCTTGTTCTGTAATGGATCAAGGTGAGAAGAGTTGTTTATGATCTTTATAAGTGGTACCATGTAAGCATGGATTTACTATCATGCTGCACTTAACTGCCTCTTCTGTAGGCTAAATAGCCTAGTTCTACAAACCTTCCCCTAAGTGTAGATCATTTTCAACTGTTTAATAGCTATCTTTGTTGCTTTCCACTGAAGGATTTCCAAATTATTTCCACCCTTCTAACGTTTTCATCATCAGTAACATTGCATCTGTGAAGTAAATGTTCTGCTGGGCACTGTGCCAGATTTGATTGCGAATGTCTTCTACCTGTTCCACAAGCTTTAGGGCCATGTTACAAACAACACAAATGAGATCAATACATTTAATAACACATTGACAATGCATGGCCTTTGATTCAGGCAGAGAGAAAGACATAGGCATTGCCTGGGTCTTTTTATCTTGTTTTACCTATTTCCATTAATGATTTTGCTCATTCATCAAGGCTCTTTTGTTAGTTATTATTTGGAGGGTTGTCACTGAGTTTTAAATTCAGTCTAAAGATATATTTGAAATCCACTCAGTTTCAGCCATATGGGTTGGAAGAGAAGACTTTGAACTATCATCAGGACTATATGAGGGTCATTATCCAAGAATTAGGAACCAGAACACCAATGGAAGGGGGAGTGGACACTTGTGCAGCTGTATCCTGGGTTTTAGTGGACACTCCAGGGCCATATATAAGTCAGGAAGATGATGTGAAAACCAGAAGATCCAGGTATTGGAAAAGGTGGTATAAAAACCAACTAACCACTAACAACATTAATAACAACAACAAAACAAAAATAGAGGTAATTATAGATTAATCAGACAGAACACCTCTCAAGGCAGCTGTTGAGTAACAGCTCTTCCCTATCCTGGGTTTCCTTTTGCGGGTGGCACTGGCTCTCTGGTGAGGTCAGTTCAGGGACCAGGTGCAGGCTGATCTAAGGCTTGCACCTGCATTCATTATGAGGAAGTAAAGAAATAACCCTGAGGGGAAGAACTCTCAGTTCAGAGATGTGAAAACCTGGTTTTAAATAATGAATATTCATTATTAAACCAATAACCTGATTTGGTAGACTTCCCCATCCTCATACAGTGACCTCCAGGAAGTTTAAGCCACATTTACACATCAGTGATCGCATTGAGGGAGAACTCCTCAGCCTGTACATCTGTACTTTCTTTGTTTTCACTCATCTTTATACTCATATGTACATTTTCTCTAGTTCTGGTTTTGCATCCTTATTTATATTTTCCCATATTGATAGCAGGGGTTCTTGTGCTTCACATTATTTACAAAAGAAGACAGGGAACAAATAAGTAAATGTCTGCATCCATAAAGCAAAAGCATTGAGTGGATCGTAAAGCCTTGCTGCTTTGTGTATTCTACCTGTTGTGATATTTACTTCCCAATATCTGTCTAGGTGGGCAAAATTCACAATCTACATAAGAATGAAATGAACTTGTTCTCTTGAAATTTTCTTACTTCCCTAAGCATGAAATAGAAGTACACCTTGTTTTCCTTCAGTGAAAACTCAAGTGTAGTCTGGTTGCCGTCTCTTTGAACAGGCAAGAATAACATGTGTTTTGGATCAGATGCCTCTCATGTGCATTCTTGAGGATCCTTGGTAACCTTAAGGAACAGAAGCAGTTTTAAACTTAGGCTCATAAACTGAGAGTCACACTGTCATGTGGTAGGCATGGTTCCTTGTGATCAAGGACTTTGATAGGTAGCTCTATACTAATTCTGTTCTGCAGTACCGCTAATACGTAAGTAGGATCTGAAATTGAACCCTAGACGCATTCTGATGATGCATTGAAACTGTCTTTTTAAGTCTCCGGAAAATTTTATTTTCCCGTGTTGGATGGGGAATAGTCACAAAGAGATACAATTTGAGTCTTCTGCGGCTATGCCATTCAACATTTTAATCCAAACATCCCTTTTTCCTTATCCTCCCAGAGAAAGCATTCTTTTGGAGAGTAATGAACGAAATGAATAGTGGAGATGACATGAAATATCTTCTTAGAAAATTATCCTTATTCTTCTGTTGAGAGTCCAGGATTTGCAGTTCAAAGACATGGGTTCTAGTCCTGGTTCCCACTATTATGTACTCTGTGATTTTATACAAGACATTGAAATTCTTTGAGCTTAATTTTCCTCATCTGTAAAATGGCAATAATGATTCCCTTTTGGCCTGGTGAGGAGCTGTTGAGATAATTTATACAAAGGTTAATGATCTAATCTTCTATGCACCTAAGCCATGGACTCCCATGCTCATGCCTTTGACCTCGTAAGACCTCCTGTCCACCAAATCTATCACCATCTCACTCTCAGTTATTCTATTTTGTGTTTTCATTTGCTTTAAAAAAAAAACACACACAAACAGATAAGACTCTATTGTCTGTAATTACAACACTTTCTTGCAAATATAACTCCTTTGCCAGGCCAGGCATGATGGCTCACGCCTATAATCCTGGCACTTTGGGAGGCCAAGGTGGGTGGATTATTTGAGGTCAGGAGTTGGAGATCAGTCTGGCCAACATGGTGAAATGCCATCTCTATTAAAAATACAAAAATTAGCCAGGGCTGGTGGTGTGTGCCTGTAATCTCAGCTACTTGGGAGGCTGAGGCAGGAGAATCACTTGAACCCGGTAGGTGGAGGTTGCAGTGGGCTGAGATTGCATCACTGCACTCCAGCCTGGGTGACAGTGTAAGCGAGACTCTGTCTCTAAATCAATCAATCAATCAATCAATCAATAAATAAATAAATTAATAAATAAATAAATAAACTCCTTTGCCTTTCTGTCTCTCCTGACAGTGTTGTTCACGGAAGTTCCTGCTCTGGTTAATATACTCTTCTGTACTTTAGGCTTGTATCTGAGTCAAATGTTCCTAAAGAAAAATACACATGCTTGCTGAATGTTTTTACTTTAAATTTCTGGCCACAGATCTCAGATGGGCATTCCACCCCATCTCCTGTTCCCTGCTCTACCTGCTGATGACCTTGCTTCATTTTTCTTTGAGAGAACAGAAGCATCAGTCAGGAGGCCTCTCATCCACTCACCTTCAGCATTCTCAATTTTCTCACATTCTGTATTTTGTAAACAGTACAGGGATCTATGAATATTAATTATTATTTTGGTTTCATAATTCTTGGTTGGATATATCTAATGCATTTGGAATACTTTCTAAAAACCCTTCTCAAATTTGACCTCATTAAACTGTTGTACAGAAAAGGGACTATATTAATCACAGTGCAGTATTGTGAAATTTGTCTTTATTAAAATGTGTACTAGAAGCATATGGGTCACAAAAGGAGCTGCTTAAGTCTGACCAAGGTAATGAGCAATTTGACCTTTTTGCCATTGATTATTTTTGGAATATTTATATTTGGAGGAGGGATAAAGAACATTCAAATTTAAGTATTATTCACTAGGTTTGAGAGCTGAGTATAGGTGATACATAATTGCCTATGTTACGTTCTACTTTACTTTCAAGAAACCCACAATGACCTGTGATTGTGTTGTTAAAAACTCAGGTTCCAAATAAAAAAAATGTTCCTTTTCCCCTTTGCACCTTGTCACTTGCAAATCAATGAGAGCCCTATTTGCTCACCCAAGGTTAAGCCATTCAAACCATTCAGCTGAGAAGGGCATCCTCAACCACTTGTTAAACTTCCTCTATGAAAGGGCCCTTCATAAGCAGCCTCTCTCGGGGAAGCAGCAAGGAGACAAATTAACAACTTGAAAAATAAGGCTGTATTTTCACAATCTGTCACAATCTCTTTGATCTTGTTATGAAAAAGACTTGTCAGATTTCTTTTTCTTCTCTAAGTTATAGCTCTGTAATGATCCCAGACTCCAGGATGCAGTCATTACTAGGTGTGCTGAAAAGCCAGCCTTGCATTCTGTTCCACGGTGCTATCTATGTACCATTTTCAGTCCCAAATCTGTTAGAAGTGATAGTCTAACCCTTGAGCACAAGGGCAAGACAATAGAGGTAGTGTATTGGGACTTTAACTTTCTCAAAATGAATGAAATAAGCTAAGTCTTTAATGTGGCTGATGACATACAGCAAAGTAGAATTGGAAATAAAGTTTTATTCTTTCCCTTTAGCTTGTTTCATCATCTTTTCTTAGGTATTTCCTTTAAAACATTGATTCTATGAAATGGTCCGTTAGAGAAAATTTTCTGTAATCAAAAAAGTGGGGAAATATTTGTGTTGCAAACTTTTTTTTTTTTCTTTCTTTTGAGACGAAGTCTTGCTCTGTCGCCCAGGCTAGAGTGCAGTGCTGTGATCTTGGCTCACTGCAACCTCCACCTCCCAGGTTCAAGCAATTCTCCTGCCTCAGCCTCCCAAATAGCTGAGACTACAGGCACGTGCCACCACACCTGGCTAATTTTTTGTATTTTCAGTGAAGATGGGGTTTCACTGTGTTAGCCAGGATGGTCTCAATCTCCTGACTTCGTGATCCACCCACCACGGCCTCCCAAAGTGCTGGGATTACAGGTGTGAGCCACTGCGCCTGACCTCCAATCTTTTTAAGAAATTCAAAATGCAAAGTTCTGAAAAACCCTGCTGTGTGTGACCTTGAGCAAGCTACTCAACCTCTCTGTGTCTGTCAGTAAAATCAGGGATAATAATAGCAGCTACTTCATTGGATGGTTTGAAAGCTTAAAAGAGTGAATTTATGTAAAATACTTAGAGCAGTGCCTGGCACTAAGAGAGCTATTATTTTTTACTGCAGTATTCTTCAAACCTTTGAGCAGACAATCCATTAACCCGAAACTCAGCAGAAAACCTGCCATATGATATTATTTTATTAGATGGTTAGCATCTTGAAGGCAAGGATTCTGTTCTGCTTATTGTACACCTTGCTGCTAGCACAGTACCTGGCATATCATAGGCGCTCGGTAAATAGTTGACACACTCATGCTCAACATTGTCCTTCATGTCACGTCTTGCTTTCCGGACATGCTTAGTTTAGATTGGTCTGTCCCTGAACACAAATGGATAGATCCACATTCTGTTTTCCTTCTTGGTATTAATACTGTTCAAGTGGTTAGTACTTTATAAACTAGTGTTATCTCATTTCATTACCTAAAATAGAAGTCACCATAGTATCAATTAGAGAATGAGACTAAGTGGTAGATTTGGGATTTGAACCCCAGATGACTCCAGGTACTGGTTTTCTCTCGCTGTCATTCAGAAGAGAAGCCTTCTCAGCTCTGTCAGGCCAGAAGTGACTTGGATCTAGAGTTAAATTTTCATATTAGAATTTCTTTCTTTAAGCTTCTGCAGCTTCTCCATGGTTTTTGAGATGCAGAATTTGTCTTAATCCAGAGGAATGTTAATGGATTTGATCACTTTGTTGTGTACTAAAAATTGTAAGTAAAGATATAGGGCTTTTTTTCCCACTACGTATGTTTTGAATGATTTAAATGCATTTACAGTAATAATATATATAATTTGCTTGTTCACTTAGTCAGATTTGTTGTAAGATACGTAAGTCCTTGGGAACCCCAAGGAACAAAGTGTTTGGTACAGGGCCCCAGTGACTGGCTGAGAATTGCTGTCCTTTGACTGTTTGCTCAGGTGAAGATGACTAAGAATTTTTAGGACTCACATTTACACTTTAGTTTACAATACTTTGTTTTGTATATCTGATGAAATACATTCCATAGCTTGATGATGTCTCTGAAAAAGAAACCTTTTATCTGAGGAATGACAGCTCTTTTAAATGATCAGGCCCACAAAAGTATTTAAAATGTAATAGCCCCTATGTCTCACTCCCCCTTGAGCTAAAGAATTACCTCTTAAGCCACTTGCTATGCAGGCTCTAGACTGACACCAAGAAGCCATAAATTACCAAATATTCAGTAGTTCAACAATGTATAGCCAATCATGAACAAATGTTATTTATGTAAACCAATAAGAATTCCTGATGAAAAACTTTTGTAATCACCTCCTCTGCTGATTGGTCATTTTAATCTTTATAAACTTGAGCCTCTCTTTTGCTCTCCAGAGCACCCCGCAAGGCAACTTGGAAGTGTGTCCCGGGTTGCAGCCTCAACCTTTGTGCTTGAATAAACCCTCTGTAAACTACTTTCTGATGCTTTGATGATCTCAGGTTGACATTTATTAATATTTTCCTTATCTCAAGCGTGGGCCTATTAGTGGTTCCTCTTAATGTGAGTGAAAAAAAAATTTTTTTTTTAGTCTCCTTTTATTTAGATTTCATCTTTACTGAATTAGTCCTGGAAGCATGTGATTTTATTTCCCAGTAATCTAAGAGAGACCCTCCAATTTTCCCTCCCTTTCTAAGTTTTTGGAATTATCAAGAACATTTTCTTTCTTCTCTATTTTAACCACCTATGCTAATAACATCGTGCATCATTGATCATCTGCAGTGACTCTGTTGAATATGATTTTTTTGGGACATAAATAGAATACTAGGGGATGTTTGCATTCCACTTTGGGCTGAAAACACCGGAGCAAACTGAGTTTGAAACAAATAATGTCTTGCTGTTCTGAAGCTGTGCAATAAGCCTCTTAAATTACAATTTCAGTTTTGCAAAGGCACAGCACAAAATCAGCAAAATGAATGGGACCACCCAGCTTGTTCATTTATGTATATGTGCTACTCAGGCAACGTAACACCTGACAGAGCAATGAATTTCTTTTTGAGTTCCACCTAGAATTCTGAATTTGATTGATGACATTCAAAATGCAGGAGCAGCACTGGTTGTAAATAAGTGAATCAAATGAAATAATGGATATAAAACTGCCTGTAAATAAAAAGTATTATATGTATATAAAGGATGACTATGAGTCATACTTTCTGCTAGAGAAAACACTGAATGAAATTCACAGTAGGTCCTGTGTATTCATTCAATTACCATCAAGACAACTGTGCATTCTATCTATACAGTCTTTGGATGTGAATACTAGAGAAGAAGGACTAGGTTAGACTCGATAAAGACAGTGTGTTTGTCTAGTTGTATTCTAGATAAACATTGCTGCGTTGGTTTGCAGTTTGCTCTTCATCTTGATTTAGGAGTGGTCCTAGAACATGAGAAGCCTTTTTTATTTATGTCTTTGATGTCCTAAAACTGAAAAGATTAATGTTGTATTTAATGCTTATGTCCAACTTCATTTACTCACTTCTTAATTGTATTTATGTATTGTGAGATTCTCAAATCCTCTGACACCAAGTGTCCGACAATTCAATTCCATTCTGATACTATATACTTGGAGTTAGTGGCAGACCCCATAGGTTAAAGGACTCTGGAGTTAGTGGGAGACTCCATATGCTGAAGGGCTCTGTGTTGCCACCAGACTCCCCCATTTCAGATACCAGTCTCAAGTCTCAGGCCTCTGGTATCTCTGACCAACTGGCTATAAATCAAGGTTTCTCATAACTCTCTCCTGAGGTTTGATACTTTACTAGAGGCTCACAGATCTCAGAGCTCAGGAAAACACTTTATTGACATTATTGGTTTATTATAAAGGCTACAACTCAGTAACAGACAAATAGAAGAGATACATAGGGCAAGTTGTTGGGGGTGGAGGGTAGTGCAGAGCTTTTGTGTCCTGTCTGGGTGCACCGCCCTCCCAAGATTTCAATGTGCTTGCCAACTGGGACACTGAATCTCATTGTCCAAGAGTTTTTATAACTCAGTCTCCAGCCCTCCTCCCATCTCAGTCGGTTGGTGGGTGGAACTGAAATTTCCAACTCTCTAATCGTTTGGTCTTTCTGGTGACAAGGCCCATCCTGAGGCTATCTAGGAGCCCCACTCAAAGCCATCTCATTAGCATAAATTCAGATGTGATCAAAGGGGGCTCTTTTTTTTCAGTTTAATTTTTAATAGGCAGATAAAAGTGTTTGCATTTATTGTGTACAAAATGATGTTTTGAAATATATGTATATTGCAGAATGGCTAAGTCTAGCTAATCTACTTATGCATTATTTCACAAAATTATCACTTTTGTGGTGAGAACATTTAAAATCTATTCTCTTAGCATTTTTGAGAATTCAATATATTGTTATTAACTGTAGTCACCATGTTGTACAACAGATCTTTTGAACATGTTCTTCCTACCCAACTGAAATGTTGTGTCTTTAGACCAACATATACCTAACTGCCCTTTCTATCCCCAAGCTTTGACCCAGCCCCTGGTAGCTACCATTCTACTCTCTACTTCTATGAGATCAGCTTTTTAAAATTCCACACAAGTGAGATCACGCAGTATTTGTCTTTCTGTCCCTGACTTATCTCATTTAACATAATGTCATCCAGGTTCATCCATGTTGTTATAAATGACAGGATTTGTGTCTTTTTTAATAGCTAAATGACATTCCATTGTGTATACATACCATGTTTTCTTTATTTGTCTGTTGATGGATACTTAGGTTGATTCCACCTATTTAATTGTGAATAATGCTGTAATAAACATGGGAATGCAAACATCTCTTCAACATACTGATGTCATTCCCTTTGGATATATACCCAGCAATGGGATTGCTGGATCATATGGTAATTTCTATTTTTAATTTTTGGGGGAACCTTTATATTATTTTCCATAGTGGCTGTACTAATTTACATTCTCACTGTGTGTAAGGACTCTCTTTTCTGCATATTCTTGCCAACAATTATATTTGTCTTTTTGATAATAGCCATTCTAACAGGTATAAGATGATTTGTCACTGTGGTTTTAATTTGCATTTCCTTGATAATTAGTATGTTAAGCATCTTTTAATATACCTATTGGTCCTTCATATGTTTCTTTTGAGAAAAGTCTGTTCAAATCCCTTGCCCATTGTTAAATCGTTATTTGTTTTCTTGCTATTGATTTGTTTGAGTTCCTTATATAGTTTGGATATTAACCCCTAATCAGATGTGTGATTTGCAATTATTTTCTCCCATTGTAAAGGTTGATTCTTCAATCTGTTGATTGTTTCTGTTGATGGGCAGAAACTTTTTAGTTTGATGTAATCTTATTTTTTAGTTTTCTTTCATTGTCTCTACTTTTGGGGTCATATCCAAAAAAATCACTGTGTAGACCAATGTCATGGAACTTGTCTTCTGTGTTTTCTTCTAGTGGTTATACAGTTTTGGGTCTTATATTTAAGCCTTCAATTTATTTTGAGTTGACTTTTGTATACGACATGAGATAAGGGTCCAATTTCATTCTTCTACAAGTGGATGTCCAGTTTTCCCAACACCATTTGTTGAATTGACTGTCCTTTCTCCATTGTGCATTCCTGCACTTTCATTGAAAATCAGTTGGCTATAGATGAATAGATTTATTTCTAAGTTATTTATTCTGTTCCACTGGTCTAGGTATATTTTTATACCAGTATCATGTTGGTTTGGTTACTACAGCTTTTAGTTCATTTTGAAGTCAGGTAGCATGATGCCTCTAGCATTGTTCTTTTTGCTCAAGATTGCTTTGGCTAATACAGGCATTTTTTGGTTCCATGCAAATTTTAGGATTATTTTCTCTATCTCTGTGAAGAATGTCATTGGTATTTTGATAGTGATCATATTGAATCTGTACATCACTTTTGGTAGTAAGGACATTTTAACAATATTAATTCTTCTGATCTATGAACAGGGAATATCTTTCCATTGATTTTTATCTTATTTAGTTTCTTGTATTGATGTTTTATGGTTTTTAGTGCAAAGATTTTTCACCTTTCTGGTTAAATTTATTCCTAAATATTTTGTGGGTTTTGTAGGTATTGAAAATTAGATTGTTTTATTAATTTCTTTTGCAGATGGTTTGCTGTTACTATATAGGAACACTATTGATTTTTGTATGTAGGCTTTATATGCTGCAGCTATACTGAATTTATTAATTCTAACAATTTTTTGATGTAGTCTTTAGGATTTCCTAAATATAAAATTATGTCATCAGCAATCAAGGACAATTTAGCATTTTTTTCCAATTTGGATGCTTTTTATTTGTTTCTCTTACCTAATTGCTCTGGTTAGACTTTCCAGTACTACGTTGAATAGAAGTGGTGAGAGTGCACATCCTTGTCTTATTCCTGATCTCAAGTTTTCACCAGTGAGTATGATATTAGCTGTAAGATTATCATATATGACCTTAAGTGTGTTGAGTTACATCCTTCTATTTCTAATTTGTTGAGTGTTTGTATCATGAAAGGATGTTTAATTCTGTCAAAGGTTTTTTGGTTTTTTTTTGCCTCTATTGACATGATCATATGGTCTTTGTCCTTCATTCTGATAATGTGTTGTATTACATTTCTAGGTTACATATGTTGAACCATTTTTGCATCCCTGGGATGAATCCCACTGGATCCTGATGAAAGATGTTTCCAATGTGCTGTTAAATTCAGTTTTCTAACATGTTTTTTGAGAATGTTTCCATCTATTTTCATCAGCAATATCAGCCTATAGTTTTATTTGTTGTATTGTTCTTGTCTGGCTTTGATTTCATGTAAAGCTACCCTCGTAAAGCTAGTTTGGAAGTATTCTCTCCACTTCAATTTATGGAAAGAGTTTGAGAAGAATTGGTGTTAGTTCTTTAACTGTTTGGTAGAATTTACCAGTAAAGGCATCAGGTTCTGGGCTTTTCTTTGGTTGGGGATTTTTGTATTACTGATTTAATATTTTTACTCGTTATTGATTTGTTCAGATATTCTATTTCTTCATAATTCAATCTTGGTTGGTTATATATGTCCAGGAATTTATCCATTTCCTCTAGGTTTTAGAGTTGATCAGTGTGTAGTTATTTATAGTTGTCTTTAATGATCCTTTGTAGTTCTGTGATAGCTGTTGTGATGTCTCCTTTTTCATTTCTAATTTCATATATCTGGCTTTTTTTTCCTTTTTTCTATTTAGTCTAGCTAAATGTTTATTGATTTTGTTTATCTTTTCAAAAAACTAACAATTTCATGGATCTTTAAAAGTGTTTTTGTAGTCTGTTTTATTTACTACTATTCTAGTTTTATTATTTCCTTCCCTCTACTAACTTCAGGCTTAGTTTGTTCTTGTTTTCGTAATTTCTTGAGGTGCAACATTAAGATGTTTGAGATCTTGCTTATTTTTTGATGTAAGACGTTTATAACTATAAACTTTCTTGTTAGAACTGCTTTTGCTGCATTCCATAGTTTTGATATGTTATGTTTCTATTTTCATCTGTCTCAAGATATTTTTACATTTCTTTTAATTTCTTTATTGGTCCATTGGTTGATCAAGAGCATGTTATTTAATTTCCATGTATTTGTAAATTTTCTGAACTTCATCCTATTATTAATTTCTAGTTTGGGGGTCAGAAGAGATACTTGATATAATTTCAGTCTTTTTAAATTTGTTAAGACTTGTTTTATAACCTAACATATGATCTATCCTACAGTATGTTCTATGTGCACTTGAGAAGAATCTATGTTTTGCTGCTATTGACATTTTATATATGTCTGTTAGTACTATCTGGTCTAGAGTCATTTAAGCCTGATATTTTCTTACTGATTTTGTGTCTGGGTGACCTGTGCATTGCTCAAAGTGTGGTGTCGGAGTCCCCTATTATTACTGTATTGCAGTCTATCTCAGTCTTCAGATCTATTAATGTTTGCCTTACATATTTAGGTGATCTGATGTTGGGTGCATGTATATTTACAACTGCTAAATTATCTTGCTCTATGGATTTAATATGGGTATCTTTGTGAATAAAAAAGACCCTCCTATTACTCACAAAATTCCAAGGGCTTCAGGAGCTGTGTGACAGGAACTGAGGAAAAATAAAAACATATTTCATGTATCACATCTGTTTTTTAAAAAATAAACTTTATGGTGGGGTGCAGTGGCTCCCGCCTATAATCCCAGCACTTTGGGAGGCCAAGGCAGGTGGATCACCTGAAGTCGGGAGTTTGAGATCAGCCTGACCAACATGGAGAAACTTGTCTCTACTAAAAATACAAAATTAGCCTGGCATGGTGGCTCATGCCTATAATCCCAGCTACTTGGGAGGCTGAGGCAGGAGAATTGCTTGAACCTGGGAAGCAGAGGTTGCGGTGAGCCAAGGTCATGCCACTGCACTCCAGCCTGGGCAACAAGAGCAAAACTCTGTCTACAAAAAAGAAAAAGAAAAAGAAAAAAAACAAATGAGCTTTATATTTGAGGAAAATTTTAGGTTCACAGCAAAACTACGCAGGAAGTTTAGATTTCCCACATACTCCCTGCCTTCACACAAGTACAGCCTTCCCACTATCAACATCCCCACTACAGTGGGACATTCATTACAAGGGGTGATCCTTTGTTGACACATCATTATCACACAAGTCCATCACTTACATCAGGGTTCACACTTCATGTTGTACATTCTTTGGGTTTTGACAAATGTATAATGACATGTATCTACTATTCTGGTATCAAACAGTAGTTTCATTGCTCTAAAATTCTTCTGCATTCTACTTATTCATCATGCTTCTGCTTTCTTAACAGTATATCTTAATGTACATGATAGTCCAGCAAAGCAGAGCCTATTTGGATCTCTAACATACCATAATGGGAGAAAAGCAGTTTCCAGAAGTAACTAATGAAAATTTGGGCCATTCCCCAGTAATGATGTACCTCAGTTTAAAAGGTCCTTCATAGTGTACTTGGTGGTTATCTAAAAGATTCTCATATTATGAGTTGAGTCTTCTACAGTGTACAGAAAGCCTGAGATGACTTAAAATGACATGAAGCCAAAAGCTTATTATTCTAGGTACAATGATTGCTAAAAAGCTAAAACAGAGGCTCAGCCCAAGCAGAATTTGCTTTGGAGAAAGACTCTCCACTTTGCAGGGCACTCTGAGGAGTGGACTTGAAAGTTGTGGACAGACAATGCCTTGAGCTCTGGGTCACTTCTGTTCTACATTTCATGATCCCACAATATCTCTAAGATGGGTCACTTATCTGTTGCATTAGTGGTAGCACAACACATTTTTTTTTTTTTTTTTTGAAACAGAGTCTCGCTCTGTCACCCAGGCTGGAGTGCAATGGCGCGATCTCAGCTCACTGCAAGCTTCACCTCCTGGGTTCACACCATTCTCCTACCTCAGCCTCCCAAGTAGCTGGGACTACAGGCGCCCACGACCGCACCTGGCTAATTTTTTGTATTTTTTTAGTAGAGATGGGGTTTCACCATGGTCTCGATCTCCTGACCTTGTGATCTGCCTGTGTTGGCCTCCCAAAGTGCTGGGATTACAGGCGTGAGCCACCACGCCCGGCCAGCACAACACATTCTTAATCGTAGAAAATAACATCTGGAGTTAGACATTTCATCAAATTTTTGATATTCCCAGTTAGGATTATAAGGTGTTCTTTTTTTTTTTTAATTATACTTTACGTTCTAGGGTACATGTGCACAATGTGCAGGTTTTTTACATATGTATACATGTGCCATGTTGGTGTGCTATACCTATTAACTCCTCATTTACATTAGGTATATCTCCTAATGCTATCCCTCCCCCCTCCCCCCTCCCCCCACCCCATGACAGGCCCCAGTGTGTGATGTTCCCCTTCCCGTGTCCAAGTGTTCTCATTTCTCAATTCCCACCTATGAGTGAGAAGATATGGTGTTTGGTTTTTTGTCCTTGCGATAGTTTGCTGAGAATGATGGTTTCCAGCTTCATCCATGTCCCTACAAAGGGCATGAACTCATCCTTTTCTATGGCTGCATAGTATTCCATGGTGTATATGTGCCACATTTTCTTAATCCAGTCTATCAGTTATGGACATTTGGGTTGGTTCCAAGTCTTTGCTATTGTGAATAGTGCCGCAATAAACATACATGTGCATGTGTCTTTATAGCAGCATGATTTATAATCCTTTGGGTATATACCCAGTAATGGGATGGCTGGGCCAAATGGTATTTCTAATTCTAGATCCTTGAAGGTGTTCTTTAATTTTGTTTTATAGTGGCATTTCAAAAGGGCATAAAAGTTTTGCTTTATCCTCAGAGAACAAATTATATAAAAATCTATATCACTAATATTGTATCAGATTAGAAAAACTTCTTGATACTGTTAGAATCAGCCTTCTCAGGCCAATATTTAATGATTCATTCTTTTGGCAACAGCCAAAGCTATGTTGGAGAACATAACTGAAAGTCTCTGGAATTGTCTAGAGATCTTAAAAGTTCATAAACAAAGAGATAACATACAGGACCTGGGTGGAAAGTGCTCATATGCCTTTGAAATACCAAATCAATTATTATTTAAACAGTAAAATAAAAGTAGTACTCAACATTTAAAGAAGCCTCAGAGATAATGAGGAGAACAATTTGTTGATGCTTGTTTTTCTGTGAGAGCTCTATGATATGGTAAATAGTATTCAAAGGAAAAAAAATAGAGAGATGCACATAAGAAAATATAAAACTCTTAGGGGTGTGTGTGTGTGAGACATACACATCCATCCATCCATACATACATATATGCATTCACGCATGCGTCCACACACATTGTCAGCTCTCAATGTTCTTTCCTGGTGCAGCTGCCTGTTCCTGTCTCCCTGCCTGTTGGTGTACATCGTGGTGATGATTTCAAGTAAAAATACTGCTGGTGAAAACGGCTCCTTCTCAGGGCTGTGTGTGTTTGGGGGGCAGGGGGAGCTTCTCTCTTTCCTCTCAGAATCCTACGACACCTGGTCGTGTCTGGCTGCATCCAGCAGGGCTTTAAGCACCCAGCCAACTTGCTTGGTCCTGAGTTTATTCTTTCTAACTGGGAGTGATTATATAGAACAAAAGCTCTGAGCATCGTATTCTCTAAGAGGATTTAGGGAGAGATCTCCGGAGGAAGTCAATAGTCCTAGGAAGATATGTAACTTCAAAGCTACCTGGCAGCTGGAAAGCCCCTAACTCATAATAAAAAGAGGAGGGAGGAGGGGACCTTTGCAAATGTCAGAAGAACTAAAGGTAAAATTCCTCTGTGGAATGTTTGCTGATGGTTTTCTTAATGCACAAATATATTATCAAAAGCCCAATCTTTTAAGCCATTTTCTATTTGTAGTCTTAACTTTGAAATACTTAGCTTTGGTATGTAGGAGTGATTTTTAAAATATGTTTGTTTTGATTTTGCTTAATAACTCTCATACAGTCTTTCATTTATCACGTGCACAACGATTTATTCCAATACTTGATTATCAATGCAGAATTATGCATTATTTATCCCATTGATTTATCCCTTAGCCTGGAATTATGTATTTCCCAATGAAAACCAGTAATGACACTTGAAATAATGGAAATCCAACTTATATCTCTTTGCACAATACACTGCTGCTATGGCATAACCTACATACCCCTGGATGTGATATCAACAGTAAAACTTGAGCTCCTGTGCCATGAACTTACTTGCACTCCCTAAAATTCACGTGTGAAGCTTTAACCTCCAATATGATTGTATTTGGGGATAATGCCTTTACAAACGTAATTAAGGTTAAAAGAGTGTGGGTGAGGCCCGAATCTTTTATGACTGGCGTTCTTAAAAGAGGAGGAAGAGACTCCAGAGATCCCCCACACTCTCTGTCTGCGTGCAAAAGCAAAGGCCTTGTGAGGACACAGTCAGAAAACAGAAGAAAGGGTGGCTTTACCGGAAACCAATCCTGGCAGCACCTTGATCTTAGACTTCCAACCTCCAGGACTATGAGAAATAAATATCTGTTGCTTCAGCCACAGTTTGTGCTTTGCAACCCAAACTGACAAATATATCCTGAACCAAAGGAGAATAGTTACTATTATACAGGGAGGTTCATGGGCTTCACGTTTTTGAGCCATAGAAAATCCGTGTTTTGGCCCAAGCCCTAACTGGAAAACATTTTTTTTTTTTTCCCAGCAAACAGGGCAGATTTCAATCCCTTTCATCCCTACCTCAAATGTAGAACCCAAAGAAGGCGAAATATAACAGTATTAGAAAAGAGATCCCAACCTGACCAGAACACAGGCAACTCATTCTATTGGCCACATCTATCTTGGGGTTTCCAACTTTCCAACATATACCAATGAGAAATTAATTGAAAATTTACTTAAAAATTATATGTTGTTTGTTACAGATAACTATATTTAAGCCAGCTCTGTAGTAAAATAAATCTGTTCTCATTCTATAGTATAAGTTTGGTCCTACTTTAAAAAATGTCCTTTTTACTACATTTATAAAATTACAAGTTAAAAAATGCAGGATATATTTATAGGGAGATAACTGGATTAGTTGGCTATTCCCCAATGATTGAATTCAGAATTATGATATCTAAATTCACAGAAGTAGAAATAAAAAAGAAAGTAAAGGAGTTTTCAACCTCATTAGAAGTCAATGAACTGCAAAGGTATTCTAACCAGGGTATGTAATGTCTTACCTACCAAATTGACAAAGAAGAAAAGACCCACTTTTGTTCTAGAATATGATAAAAACAGAACTTTACATAAGCATTTCCATGGGAATATACTGAAGATATAATGATACATAGACTACCATTGACTTGGTAGTTGTGTTTATGAAAATTCACACTAAAGAAGTTTTCTTCTAAATTGTCAGCCTCCTCAGTGTTCCGGAGTCCTGCAGTTCCCTTGGTTAACATTTTCCTTTACTACTCAAAGCATCATTCTCATTCCATGTTCTACAGTGCCACTCCTTTTCCAGAATTTCTGAGGGTTCTCTGAGGTCTATTACTTTACTATAATTTCCAGCTTCTATGGAATTTTTAAATTCAGCCTTGCCGCTGAATTATTTTTCTTATTCCTCTATGTTTTCTTATTGCATGGGTCTCTTAGTTGTTCTTTTCCCTAACATCATGTGGCTGCTGACAGTGTAACAGATTTTCTCCTGAAAGTTGCAGATGATAAGGGGGAATTACAAGGCAACACGGTATAAGCAAGAATGTAAAAGACAAGCTCTGCCTGCCTCTCTTGTCCATTGGCCGTGCCTGTCGAAAAGAAATCCTCATTGGCCAGGTTTCCTCCTCACCTGATCCTGACGGGCCCTGGCAAACCTCCACTTTTCAGGTCTCTCTCTTTCTCTTCACCTTGGAAACCTTCTGTTCCCTCTCTAGCTAAAAATCATGAACTCTTTTCCTAAATTGTTCTCCTCTAGGCAGAGAAACTCTCCTCCCTTAATCAACACTAGACGTCAGGCTAAACTTTGCATTTTGAAAACTTACTGAAGTATTTTTTTAAAGCAAACGTTCTATCTCCTCCAAATCCCCACTTTTGGCAGCACAAAACACTACCAAAATGCAGGAACATATACATATATACACATATGCGTACATACATAATGACTGTCATATGTTAATGGGGAAATGTAAAAATTAGGAGAGAGGGAATAAGAAATCAAAACAAGAACAATGATAACAATAACTGAATTTAAAACATTAAAAGCATTCATAACAAAACCAGAAATCTTGATGTCTCATTCACTTATTTATGTAAAATTACATCTGCTTGTGTCTGAAGACACGGTGTGGCCCGGCATGGTGGCTCAAGCGTGTAATCCCAGCACTTTGAGAGGCCAAGGCAGGTGGATTGCTTTAGGCCAGGAGTTTCAGACCAGCCTGGGCAACATGGCAAAACCCTTTCTCTACTAAAAAAATACAAAAATTAGCTGGGTATGGTGGCATGTGCCTATAATCCCTGCTACTTGGGAGGTTGAGGCACGAGAATCACTTGAGCCTGGGAGGCTGCAGTGAGCCAAGATCACGCCACTGCACTCCAGCCTGGGCAACAGAGCAAGACTCTGTCAAAAACAAACAAAAACAAACAAACAAACAAAAACAAAAACAGAAAAGCACAGCACACTCTGCATACTATTCTTGGAAGTAATCTTAGAGCGGTAAGATTTCATGATTTTTTTAAAAATATGCATATCTTCTAATTTAATGTGTTGTTCTAAAAGGGCGCTCTCTTGTACAATCAGAAAAAAATCTAGAATTGCAATTTCTTACTGTGGAAAACAATGTGCAGATTTTATGAATAGAGTCCTATTTAGGCAGGGTATCACTTCTGCCATGATACAGGTGATCAAAGAAACTGACAAGGGTGTCACTTCCGTCATGATACAGGTGATTAAAGAGGCTGATGAAATAGCACAAATATATACTTTTTCTCTCTCTAGAGCAAGTCCTAGAACTTGTCTGTGGTCTATTTCTTGCAGTTGCTGTATACTAGGATATGAACAAATATGCATAAACTTAGATGGATATCACAGTTTTATTACGTGCAAGAGGGAAGCAGCAACTCTTTCAGAAGCCAAGTGTACAAAAGCTGCCTTCAGTCTGGTAGGTGTTTGAATTACACATTATCCCACAGAGATGGGCTCCTGGAAACAACTATATATGTATATACATACACAGTTTACATTATGCAGATGTGGGCAAAACACCTGCACCCTTCTGTCTACATTTTCTAGAAGGAAAGCAAAACAATTTGGAAATAGCAAACAGGGTGTAACTAGGATGAGACTTGCCATGGGAGTCACTGTGGGGCAAGCCTTGCAGGTGGAGTGGGTAATGCAGAAATGAAGTGGAAGCCAAAGTGATGGGGTGCAGTCCTTCAGCACATGACAACAACAACAACAGGGTACACACATCAGGTCTGTGGTCAAGATCAGCTTCCCACGCTTCTGCTCAGGAGGGTACCACATGCCAGTAGCAATCCCTGGGTGCAACATTGCTTTACATCCCTGGGATGGAGTAGATTCTGCAGAGTGACAGAATTCAGATTTTAGGGTTGTTCTTTCCATGATATGGAAAATCAGTAAAGGGTAGAGCTCAGCACTTTGCTTGCTGACTGACGCTTTTTTAAGAAGTCTCTTTTACCCACAGGGAGGCACACTTCAAAATTTATACTCTAAGAACAGAATCAAGCGCTATAGTTAAGCTCTGAAGGAACTACAGAAATGGCATTTCAAAGTTACTTAATTATTATTAATCTCATTATATTGAGAAATAAAGAATATTCAAAAAAGGTTTAACCTAATCAACCCTATTAAAGGAAATTATCTCTTTTTTAACGGAGGAACTGGGAATTTGCAGAAGAAATAAAAAGCAAATGTCACAATCAACATATAAGATATATAAAACCTCATTTAAATGAGAGGTAATTTGTATGTATTTAACATCTTGAATATACTTCAAATATTGCAGTATTTGCTGACTGTATTCATTTCCTATTGCTGCAGCAACAAATCACCACAAACTTCATGACTTAAAACAACTCAAATTCGTTATTTTATGGTTCTGGAAGTCTGACATGGGTCTCATTGGGTTAAAATCAAAGTTTTGGCAAGGCTGCCTTCCTTAGGGAGGCCCTAGAGGAAAATCTGTTTCCTTCCCTTTTCTGGCTTCTAGAAGCTGCCCACATCCCTTGGCTTTTGGACTGTTTCCTCCATCTTCAGAGCCAGAATTTTTGCACCTTTGATTCTTCTTGGGTAGAAATCACCTTTTGATCACAACCAGGAAAGATTCTCGCTTTTAAAGACCACGTGATTATGTCAGGCCCGCTGAGATAACCCAGGATAATCTTTCCATTTCAGGGACCTGAACTGAATGACAGCTGTAAAGTCCCATTTGCCACTTCAGGTAACACGCTCATAGGTTCCAGGGATTAGGACATAGACATCTTTAGGCACTATTATTCTGCCTGCCTCACTGACAATGAAGTGTGGCGTTATAGTGCAGAATAACAGCACTGAAAATGTTTGCACAGAGATTTTCAGGTCTGATGACATTTCATTCCTATTAGCAATGCCTGTATATTTTAATTAAAACAGGCCCTTTGAAACTTGGTACACTATCATTTTATGATGTCAAAGCAAGGAGGTTAACCTTGAACAGCAACCACTTGAGACACACTGGTACCCACAGTTGCTTTGCTGCATTAATTATCTGATGATGGACCCTTGTATTTCATGGAGATGGCATTTGTGAATGTGGTTATTTAAGCATAAAGCAATGATTTGTCAAAAACTTAAAGCAGATAGCAAACATTGGCTTGTGAAGATCAAGGAGCAGGAAATAATTTGTGATGGAAGACATTCCATTGAAATCTGGAAATCTAAGTACATTAAGTTCTTTGTTTCCTTTTTCATTTGCAGAACAGCTTTTTATTAGGAACTCATCTAGAAGGCTAGTAAATTGCCTCCTTAAACATTGTGTACTTTCTTTTATGGTTGAAAAATTAGTATTATTAAGCATCTGAAGTAAGAGAGGGTTTTTGAACCCCACTGCATTTTGGCTAGTTAAAGTTAATTGCATAATTATTGCTTTGCTGGCTTGAAATGCTGGTTCTTATAGTCAAATTTACTTCCACAGAATATTAAATGAAATAAAAAATTAAACAAAAAATAAAAAAGAGAGCTAGGAATTGGATTATATGATACTACTAAAAAAGAGATTCCTAAAGAATGAATATATACTATATATGAAAAATTTCTGCCACTAATTTTAATTTTGATATTTAAAAAATGATTGATTTCTAATTAACTCCTAATTAAATGCAGTGAATATTTTGGTACTTTTCTGGCATACATTTCCCTTTCCTCCTTCCTAATAGAACCCCAAAAGTTCAGATTATATGGAATACTGCCTTTCATCAGCCCTCGACTCAAGAGATTGATTTAAGAAAATCAGTATAATTTCCCTCCATTTTCTACAGGGATTGGCACAAGCATGGCCAGGTACACCAGAGTCTGTATGTGGTGTTTTCTAGCTGAAACTTTAATTTGTGGTTTGGGAATTTTTTCTTCTGAAAAAGAAAATTGCATTGCCTATGGATGCAAGTCTTGAAACCATAAGGAAAAAAAATACTTGAGGATGAGGCTAGCAAAAGTATAAAGGTGTTGCTGAAAGAATTGCAGAGACATGAGGGCAAAACAGAACCTCAGCTTAATTACCTCTGGAATTTTCAAGTTATGAGAACTTTGTACCTTTCATGTTCTCAAGACATTGTATGTAGTATGTTCTGTTATTTGAGACCAAAATGTCTCAAACCATGCTTCAAGCAATACATAAACACATTAATATATTCTCCTTTCAACAAATACAAATGCATCTACATTAACTGCCACATTCTTTTTTTTTTTTTTTTTTTTTTTTGAGACAGGGTCTCAATCTTTTACCCAGGCAGAGTGCAGCGGCACAGTCTTGGCTCACTGCAACTCCAGCCCCCGGGCCCAAGCAATCTTCTCACCTCAGCCTCTCGAGTAGCTGGGACCACAGACCACAGACTTGGGCCACCACTCATGGATAATTTTTTGTTTTTTGGATTTTTAGTAGAGACAGGGGTCTCACCATATTGCCCAGGTTGTTCTCAAACTCGTGAGCTCAAGTGATCTGCCTGCCTCAGCCTCCCAAAGTTCTGGGATTACAGGTATAAGCCATAACATCTGGCCTGTTGACTGCCACTCAGGAAGTATTTAACATAATATATAAAGTATATAAATAAAAATGCCAATAGTCTTAATATCACCTCAGTGGTTGCTAAGATCTAAAAACAACACTGGAAATTATACTGATTAATTAAGTCCACAGAATTGGATCTATTATAGCTGTTGTTTCATAACCAATTATGATTGCATACCTCTCTTGTTTATTCATGTAATTTGTTTTGTGAACATCAAAATACACCTAAGAACTAAAATATTATCAACACTTTACATCAACTCATGTGTTGTTTCCCTACCTTACAGTGAAGTAATGACTATCCTGACAGTTGTGTTGGTCATCCCTTTATTTTTATAATTAGTTTGATTACATAGATTTTAAGGCCTAACAGCATATGGTATACCTTTGTTTTTGAGCTTTATTTAAGAGTGTCATCCTTCATGTAGGCTTCTGAGACTCACGCTTTCAGTTAACATGTTAATTCTTGCGTGCATGTTGTGGTAAGTAACTACTCTTAAATGTTCATTGTTGCATAATATTCCACATCATGAATATACCACAATTCTTCATATATTTTTCCATTACAGATTTTTAAATTTTTTTCCAGAATTTTGCTATTATAAACCTTTTCCTATGAATAGTTTTATACATCTATTCTGAAGCACATGTAGAATGATTTCTGTTGGTCTGCATCAAGAAATAAAATTGTGGTCATAAGATAAGAAAAATATATATAATACTGTATTACCATCCAAAGTGGTCAATGAATTTATATATTTTCAGTAGCAGGAATAAGGCATCCAATACTTTGAATTATCAGATTTCTTAATATTTGTTAATCAAACATGATTTCTAATTTTGGTCTTGATATACATTTTCCTCATTATAATGTTTGAACATTTTTCCATATTATTGACTATGCAAATTATCTTGTCTAGAACTACTTGTTTATGTTTTTGTCAACTTTTTATGTGTATTGTTTGTTTTTTCCAAAAAAAAAGATTTAATTTAGGCAGGGTGTGGTAGCTCACGCCTGTAATCTCAGCACTTTGGGAGGCTGAGGAAATGGATATCTTTAGCCCGGGAGTTTGAGACCAGCCTTGGCAACATGGCAAAACCCCATCGCTACAAAAAAAAAGTGTGTATATATATATATGAAAATATATATAAAAAAATATATAAAAATATATATATATAAATATATATAAAAATATATATAAATATATATAAAAAATATATATAAATATATATAAAAATATATATAAATATATATAAAAATATATAAATATATATATAAATATATGTATATATATATATAAATATATGTATATATATATATATATATATAGATATATATACAAAAAATTAGCTGGGTGTGGTGGTGCATGCCTGTAGTTCCAGCTACTCAGGAAGCTGAGGTGGAAGGATCACTTGAGCCTAGGATGTTGTAACGAACTGTGACTATGCCACTGCACTCCAGCCTGGGCAACGGAGTGAGACCGCATCTCCCTCAAAAAAAGATTTATTAAGTTTGCTTTTATGCTTAACACCTTTTAATGTTTTATTTAATAAATCTTGGCCGGGCATAGTGGCTCACACCTGTAACCCCAGCACTTTGGGAAGCTGAGCCTGATGGATCACCTGAGCTCAGGAGTTCGAGACCAGTCTGGCCAACATGGTGAAATCCCATTTCTACTAAAAATACAAAATTTAGCTAAGCATGGTGGCTGGCACCTGTAATCCCAGCTACTTGGGAGGCTGAAGCGGAAGAATCGCTTGAACCCAGGAGGCGGAGGTTGCAGTGAGCTGAGATCGTGCCATTGCACTCCAGTCTGGGCAACAAGAGCAAAACTCTGTCTCAAAAGAAAAAAAAAAAAAAAAAAGCTTTTCTCAATGTAAGATTATATATGCTTTTTCTAAAATCATTAAAATTCTACTGACAGTTTTATGTTTTATCATCTGAAATTGATTTTTATGTATTGTGTAATATAGGAATGTTTTAAATCTTTTTTCCATACAAATAACAATTTCTGGGTTCTATATGTAGCAATCTGTCATGACACCTCTATTGCATATTTATGTTATTTAGTCATAAATTTCTTTCTGTATTCTGTATTCTATTTGCCAATTGTCTTTCTCGACGTCTCACTCTACCATCTTAATTCTTATAGTTTCTTAGTCTAAGTATTTGAGGAGGGGAGAATTTTCCCCTCTTTATTCATGAGTATTTTGGCTACTTTGAGTTCCTTTCTCTTTCATAAAAATCTTAAAATGAGCTTGTCAAGTTGTATAAACAATCCTTCTCAGCTTCTGGTTAGAATTACACTGAATCTATAGATTAGTATGGAAAGAATTACTGTTGTTTAGATAATGATTTTAAAATCTTTGAACATATTCTAGCACTTCACTTATTTAGAAGAGATATTATTACCACTTTTCTCAGTTTCTAAAGCTAATTATCTGATTTTTTTCCCTAAGTTTCTTTAAAGCAATTTAAAGAAATTGGCTATGTATACAAAAAATCACTTGAGAAGTTAACAAAATAATGATGACTCTGCCCCACCCCAGAACAATCAAACCTGTATCTTTAGAGATGGGGCCCTGGTGTTGATATTTTAAAAGTCTTCCCACAGTGATTCTAATTTGCAGTTTGGTTGTGAGAACCTCTTTTTAAAGGTAATTTTAGTTGTCAAACTATCTGTTCATGTTCACTAAAGACAGACACTTGTGTGATGTTGTTTCATATGGAACAACTGAAAGAGGAACTCCTACAGGTCATTCTCTCTTCTCCCTGCATCTTCACATGGTCTTTTCTCTGTACCTGTCTGTCCCCAGATTCCCTCTTCTCATAAGGACATCAGTTATGTTGGATTAGAGCCCAACTTAATGACCTTAAAATAAGGTCATTAGGTTAAAATAACCTGTTTACCTCTTTAAAGACCTCATCTCCAAATACAGTCCCATTATGAGGAACTAGGGGGTTAGGACTTCAACATACACATTTTTGGGGTACACACTTCAGCCTATGACACTCACTTACCCAGCTTTCCTTTCTGATGGAATATCAGCATTTGACTTGGGCTCAGCCAAATCAAATCCTTTAGTCCTCAAATTTGAATTGGGAACTAATTACATAAAGACACATAGACAGTAGAAAATTCAGTCTGGAAGAGGTAAAACATAACGCTGGAAGCAGCATCTAGTTTCCAGGTCAGTAGTGGCTGTAGTGTTGAGCTGGAAGCTGCAGCATCCAGATGGAAGATGTGGCAACAGCAATATTTTTTACCAGAAAGTTCTGTGCCTTCTATTGTTCACGCCATTTTTTGAGCCTGGATCTCTAGCCTTCTCAATGCTATTATGATATACCCAGTATCCTTTTAATACATTCCTCAATTCTTAAATCAGCCAGAGTCCATTTCTATGCCTTGCAACCAACAACCCTAACTGATATACTTCATATGGTGAAATACTATATAGCCATGAAAAACAAAGTTTTCTGAACATTTTAATGGCATTGGAAATATTTATGGAATATTACTAAGTGAAGAAGCAGGTTATAATACTATATATAGTATGATTTACGTTGTGTTTTAAAACTGTGTATATATAATCCTAGACAAAGATTAGATGGGAATATATCAAATGTTTACTGTGATTATCTTTGGGTAGCAAGATTGCATTTGACTTATGTCTTCTTCTTTTGACTTGCCTGTACTTCACAAGCATTCTACATATAGTACTTTTATTATCATACAATATTTACAAAAGTGAAAGTCAACTCAGCATGGCCTTTTGGAATTCTCCCTGTTCCCATAATGTCTGGCTAGATGTGTGCTTCACTCCATGCTTTCATGTAGATCTTTATGGCAGCTCATGTTACTCCTGTCTCTAACGTGGCCATCTACACTCCCTGGTTCACTTATCATTCTTCCTTGCCAAGCTGTGAGTTTCTTTAGAAGAGTTATGAAACCTTACATCCCTATATTACTAGTTCCAAGCACAGGATCTGGCATAGAAAAAACACACAGCCAATATTTGTTGAATGAAAAAATAATGATCCTTTAACATCATGTAATCAATTTCTTCAGTTGTATTAAGCTATTTTGTGGAATTTTGGTGATGACTAAAATTCTAATATAGTATTCTTGAGATTTTATGTCACTCAATTATTTATCTAGGGTAGGAAGAATTAACAGTATCATTCTACATTCAGGTTTTTCTATCATAAAGTAGACATTCTAATAATACTTTTATAATTGTGAGACATGAATGAAGGGATGCAGGAAAACTATTTCCTACATGGCATAGCACCTTAGATAAGTAATCAATTATGTTAATCATTCATGTTGTAACCAACTCATTAAGCATAGAGCTAGCTAGGTTTTATCTTATAGTCTGTTATAACTCCAGATTCTAGCTCAGTCACAGGCTACTGTTGGTGAATCAAGGCTACATTTCAGGGTCACATTGTCTGTGAGGAAGTGGAAGTGCAAACGTCATTCCAAGGATTATAATCCTTCTAAAACTCAACACATGATTCTATTCTAGCTTAAAGCAATTTGTTCAAGCTGGCCAATCCGATTCTGTGTCTAGGGTGACTGGTAGCTGTTTCATGTCAGTGGTAGCACCCGAGGCTTGTGTCTATCAAAGTGCTCGCCTGCACTAGATAAGGAGCTCATACCAGAATGTAAATCAGCACACTGCCTTCTTCACTAGGGAAATCTTGCTATAGAAAGATTGTCAGCTGAACTAAACAGTATATTGAATAAACTGCCTTAGAGTAGAAGATGTGGAGGACCCCAAAGTCCACAAACTGAGCTACGTGGGGCGTCCTGATTCTGACACTTCCCATGTTTAATTGATTGACTTTTTTCCATCTTTCAAAAAAAATTCTATTATTTTTCCTCTGCTAGCTCAAGCAACCAAAATTTACTTAATAGAGTAGAGCTATGAAAATGAGCTAATGGGCCAAGAGTATGGATCTTAAAGTCATGTTCACGGAGAAGGTCACTGGAACCAAGGGCAGGTAAACATGAAAGAGAACATTGACTAGGAAAGATGAGTGATAGAAAGAAAAATCTTGAGGCCAGAATCATTTCATTTATAAAGTTGGAGTTGGAAGAGACATAATTAGAGGGAACCGGGAAGGGATATCAGACAGAGTGGAAGAATCAGGAAGATACATGACATAAATCCTAGGGAGAAACATGTTTCACAGCAAGATACTGGCCTATAGTATTTTCTTGGGTTAGGATGGGCTGTGTATGGTCACCAACTCACAAATGCATTTTAATGGCTTACCACAATAGAAGTTTATTTCCTGTTACACAACAGTCTAAGGCAGGTGGTCCTGGTTCATGGGTGATTCAAGGACAATGGGTCCTTCCATCTGGTGGCACCAGCACCCGTGAGGATCTTGCTGTTATTGGCTGAAGAGACATGGGAAAGTCTTTAATCTGAAAGTGAATTGTGTCCTTCTGCTTATATTCCATTGGCAAGTACTAGCCACAGCCAGATGCAATTACAAGAGTCAGGCGGCCCCTTTCTAGCAATAAGTCTGTGCTATAGGAGAGGTGAGTACATTTTGGTAGACAGTTGGCTTCTCTTCCTCAGTGTTTGCCACTTTTCCAAGCAAGGTTAAGAAAATGAGGTCTAAGGAATATCACTGAAGTCATTTGGAGGTCTTCAGTAGAGTGAGAAGAACTGAAGCTGTATTTCACCCATTAAAAGGAAAAAGATTATTCGAAGAGGAAAGATAGAAGGAATAGACTTCTCTTTCAAATAGCTAGGCAGTGCAAGGGCAGTAAAAGAAAAAATAATATTAATAGATGGAAGAGATAGCAAGAGAGAAGGAAAATTTTATTTTTATAATTAAGTTGACCTGAGCATGTATATAATGAGTAGAAAGAAATGAGACATAAGAAAAGCAAGAAAAAACAGAGCTTGCGAACACAGGTGCAGGGGTTAGCAATGGATGGGGAGAGAAGATGTCTTCTGGAGAGACTAGGGATTAAAAGCGAGGGTGAAGACACACATGTCAGTGGAGGAAAACAGTTTATTTGGCCGCTGTCCAGGAAAGCAGGAAGAAAGGCCATCTGCTTCTGTTGAGAGGTAGGGATATAGGACTGGGGTTCGTGGGAGTATAAAAACTATGGAATCTCCCATTGCAGACGTAGGGGTATATGTCAGGAGATTAAAAAAAATGATAGCTAAGCAGAGGACAGCACAGAGCCGAGACTAGAGATTTACAGGTGTCCCAATCAAAGAATAAATCCCTTGGTGATATTTTTCCTTCTCTTACAAGTAACTTTTCATCCCACTTTTTTTTCTCTTTTTTGGAAAAAGACATATTTTTTAAAGTGTCAGTTAGGCTAGTATGACTTATAAGATCAAACTAGTCAACTATTTGAACAGACTGGAAATAATAATTCCCCTTTTTTATGCTTGGTACTATAGGTTGGTAAAGAAACACAGCAAAGTGGATATGAAAGAAAAGGTCACATAAAATGACTGAAATACACAAATTGAGGGTGTTATTTTTACTTATCATTTTATATTTCAAATGGCTTCTGAATAATGATACTTGTAAATGTTTGTTCACAAATAGAGGTATGGATTTTGTGTAGGTGTTAATGCCATTTAAAAACTGGAATTACTTAAAATGCATTATTGGTGCAGAGGGTGGCGGTTATTTTTTCTTTTAATATGGAGAATAAATAAAAATAACATTCTTAAAGAAGAGGGAAGTCATTTTTACTCAGCTGAATGGCAGTGTTTTCCATTTTATGACTTTTCTCAGCCTGCAGGTTGTTATTTTGCAAAGCATATTTAAGAATAAAGTTTTTTTCTTCCATTCTTCCTAGGGAACACTAAACCTATCCATTACCAAAGACTCCTACCAGTTTAAACAGAATTCTGAAACTATTACTTTTTCTAGGCCAAGATGAAGCCAGCAATCTCCACCCAGAAGGCATTTTATAACCTGCTAAAATGACCTCAGCATGTGCCAGATTTTAAAAGAAGTAATTCTGACATTCCTCCTTCAGCCTTTGGTTGAAACATTTGTCCACCAGTTAGATATTAAAAATAATTATTTGTGCACACACACACTGCACATGTACACACACAAACACAATCAAAAATATATCTTTGGGTATTTTTAGCCTCATTTTCACAGTCATATCAACTTAAGAAAAGTATATGTTTATATGAACATTTCAATGGTATATTTTAATATATAGACATATTTTTGAATAAAAATGCAAAAAAATCACTATAAATGTTATTACTTTTAAAACAGAAGTATATTGAAAGCTTTTGATATCAAGGCCCATTAATCTGTATGATATTGTATATAAAATAAATAAAACTGGTTTTTCACTTGAGAAAAGAAAGTGTAAATGTAACTTAAAATTGAATCTTGTTCTCATTGGTTTTTGAATTCTAATCTGTAAACATTGTCCCTAAGGAAGAAACTTTATGGAATAATTTTAAAAATATGTGTGTGTGTGTGTGTGTGTAACATATGTACATATATGTTAAAATGGCCTTAATTCTCATAGGCAGGAAATGATCCTAAAATACCACAATTCAATGAAATTACCACAGGTTGGTTTATTATATTTTACTTCTTGTATATCTGATTTTTTAAAAGCTAGGGAAAAAATTACCAAATGTTTATAGACAGATGGTTTAAACTTAATCAGATTAAATATCAACATGGAAATCACATCAAGGACTGAAAATTCCAAGCATGCTTTAAAAATTTTCTAACAAGACAACTTCATAAGACAAAGTCAGGCAGAACACTCATGTTTCATCTGTCGGATTTATCCGCAATTGACTTGTTAAGTGTCCCTCAAATAAGCTGTCTT
The DNA here is from genome assembly GCF_000001405.40 of Homo sapiens. Classification (NCBI taxonomy): domain Eukaryota; kingdom Metazoa; phylum Chordata; class Mammalia; order Primates; family Hominidae; genus Homo; species Homo sapiens. The sequence continues at coordinate 221,175,053 of NC_000002.12, read as the reverse complement.
GGTAAATGGTTGCCAAAGTACATTTCTAAAGTTCATAGAAATGTATTTGTTGACAGTTGGGATTTAAAAAGTTTAACTAGTTTCTTTTTCTTTAAAACAGCTATTTAGTACACAATTGTCTAATTTTAAAAAGCAGAATAGGTCCCAGATTGGTATTATCCATCTTTAATTTCAGCTTTTTGGAGAGTATGAGATATGTGTAATTGGAATGGATATTCATTTGTTGTTATGTAGAGCTGATTTATTAGTTTTTTTCTAAACTTATACAGAATTTCTTTCTATTTTCTCCTGCTGAACTTAACATAGAAATTTATTCATGCAGAGAAGAAGCTTAGCTTCCCCACAGTCTAATAATGCCTTGACTGTACAGTTGAGGAAGGAGGCAGATAAACATCCTATATGCTAAAGCAAGTCTGCAACCAATTCATCTCAGTACCTGGGTCTCAATTATAAACAATCTTTAAAAACAATTTAATTAATATATAACATACAATTATTATCAATTATTTATAAATTATTTACCGTTATAAATATAACTATTTATAATGAAAGTTCTTTCTACAATACCAATTTCTTTGTAAATTAGATTACGGTCATTTATGTTCTTTCTACCCTTTGCTTCTCTTTCTCACTTCACATTTATAAGATTATTTCTTGACCTACCTACAAACCTCAGAGTCAAGGATTGAAATCTATCACAGTGCAGACCTATGAACGGATTTTGATAGATGACATCTAATAAGTGAATATTTTTGTGTTCACAGAGAAATAACCTAGATATAACTAATGCCAACTTGAGCCCACATTTGAACAAAAATAGTGATGATCCAGAATCAGGTTTAGTCAGCTGAAAAAAGTATACAGTCAAGCAGACTCACCAGGTTCATTCAAGTCCAAATTCTGCTTTTGCCTAAATTAACCAGATTGACTCCTCCATCTTCCTTCTGGCCCTTAAATACTGCATAGAAAATGACTCAAAAACTTGGCTCGGTTTTTTAGGGAGATGTGAAAGCTTCTTGGGACCACTAGTACATCTGTCTCTCCCTAGAGTTGCCTGAAGGTTTTTAAGGCTGTTACATTAGATGTTAACTTTTCCCCATGGCATTCAGCAGGGCTTCTCTTCGGGGTCCGTTTCTAGCAACCACCCTTTGGAAATCACTGGGCACTATGTATTTACGTGAGTCTACTTATACTTCCATACCATATTTTTATTGTTATTTTAAAAAAGAAATACAATTTCTCACTTATATTATTTTCTCCATGAAGGTAAAGGAGATGATTAAATAATTTATAATGGCTGAATAGCTCCCTCTTCCTTGCATCCCCTACTTTATTGAAGAGTATAGGATTTCTGAGACTCCAAAATACCAAAATCAGTGGGCTGTACTCATTCTCCATATCTCAGAACTAATCCACTCAGGGGGTTATATTTTGTTCTTCATTTTTAAAACTCAGGATACCAATCTGTCATATAATGAGTGGTGAACAACGAAAGCTGGTACATGAGAAAGACAGTTCCTGTCATGAGAAAATGTCACCTCTACCTATTTAAACTTCCAATACTATATATTTTTCTTCCAAATATTTCAGGGTGACAAGCAATTTCTAGCTTGTAAAATGTAACCTTCAGCTTAAGTAACAGCTTCTTAAAAGTTGTTTTGATCACCTTAACTTCAATATAAGAATCTCAAAGGAGAAAATTGAAAAATAACATTTTTGGGGGGCAATGCCTTCTTTTTCTAGCCATAAATACCTATGTAATTCAAATACACAAAGGAAAAAATAGCTCCCTTGGTCGTATGAGAATGTCCAAATCAATTAAGTTAATTAAAAATAACAAAGCATTTATTAAGCTCTGAATGTTTTTAACATACAGATGTTTAAATTCTCTAAGGAGATTTGGACATCTGCCTATAAGAGGTGACTTCCAGATCATGGCATTGAATATAGGTACTGTTCCTGTTATCTATTGTGGAGTACAAATGGCCTCAAAGTGCAGTGACTTTAAAAAACAGCAATCATTCATTCCAATCATTAATTTACAGTTTGAGCAGGGTTTGTCAGGGAAGGCTGGTCTCTGCTCTGCTCAGTGCAAGGTAGAATAGCTTAGCTGTGGCCTGGAGGATGTGGTCCCAAGATGGCTCTCTCACAAGGCTGGAAAGACAGGGACTGGCTGCCACCTGGAAGTGCAGCAGAGGCTGAAGTTTAGGAGCCTCAGTTCTCCTCCATATGGGCTTCTCCAGGTTGCCTGGGCTTCCTTATCTGCATGATAGCTGTGTTCCAAAGATAAGTGTCCCCAAAGAGAGAGAGCCAGTAAGAAGCTCTATTACCTTTTATGACCTGGCTTTGCAAATCAAATCATGTCTTGCCCAGTTCATCCCATTCACTGGAAACAAGTCACTAAGGCCAGCCCCACTCAACTCATATTCAAGGTGAAGGAATTAGACTCAATGTCTTGATGAAAGGAGGATCAAATAATTTGTGGATATATATTTTAAGCTAACACAGCATGAAACAAGAATGCTAAAAGTAATGCTAGATAAATTCTAAAGAGCTAAAAAGAGCAATTCTTCCTTGAGTTATAATTTTTGAAATATCATTTATTAAATTCCTAGTATGTGCTTTACATTTATTTTCAGTAATCCTTACACAAATTCTAAGTCGGCATTTTCTGTTTTACAGATAAAGTCAAAATCACAGTGGGAGTGGGAAATGATTTGCCCAAGGTCACATAGGTAATAAATGATAGAACCAAGGATTTAAAAATTAACCTCTTTTTGCTACCCATGTTAAAGTTCTAAGAAGGTGGTGAGATTTGACTCAGAACCTGGCAGAGGGGTAAAATCTGAGTGGCAAGAGGAAAATGGAGATATTCTCTCTCTGCAGAATAATGTGATAAAATGTACAGGAAAGCATCAGATAATTTTCATAAGAATCCTTTGGCCAGACCAGAATATTTATATGCAGTCTATTGGAAGCCATACCTGAGGCAAGTGTGGGATGAAGATACTGGTCTTTGGTAGCTAGAAAGCTTTGCAAAGGTGTGGCAAAAGTCTGTCCAGATAAGCTGGTACTAGTCCATTCTGGAGAGGGTCTTTGAGAAGTTGGCAGATTAGGGAGGCTGGCAGAAAAGAACCAGGTCAGGGATCCTAGAAGAGTCACTGACCACTTACTAAGTAACATTTCAGCTAAAGTGGCACGTACACTACGATTTCTAGAATTGTTAACCACTTGGAATTCAGTGCTGTCTTTTCTCCATAAATAGCACTTAGTGTGAAGATGGGCAGTTTATAAAACATCTTCCTCAAGGAATTGTGGCATGTTACTCCTTTGAAGTTTTTTTGTTCCTTTTAAATCATTTTATTGAGGAAGGTTGACATACAAAAAGTTGTATATGTTTAATGTATACAATTTGATGAGTTTGCAGATAAGCATACATCTGTGAAACCCTCACCACCACCTATGCCATAAACAGATTCATCAACTTCAAATTTTCTTCCGCTTTATTTATAATGATAATGATTATGATGATGATAGGAACACTTAAGATAAAATCTATCCTCCGCAAACTTTTAAGTATATCATACATCTTATTCACTATAGACAGTACGCTGTCTAGTAGATCTCTGGAACTTGTTCATCTTGTATAACTGAAACTTTGTACCCCTTGACGTGAGTTTTAAGAATGGTTATATCCATCAATCTATCCTGAGTTCTAAAACAGACGTTTTGTTCCTGTACTCAAGAAAAACATTTTTAATTCATTTTTATTTAACAAACACATAGCACTTACTATGAGCCAGGCACAGTGCTTAATACTTTGTAAATATTTTTAAAACCTATTTGAGTTACGATTGCCATTGTACTTATGATTACTATAGTTCAACCCCAGAGATTCACTGTCAATACATGTTTTTTTTGTTTTGTTTTGTTTTTTTGTTCTGTAAGATGAGGAAGAGGGTAACTAGAAGTCAATCTGGGTTTATCTCAGAGACAGTTGTAGTGTGAAAGAAAAGACCCTTGAATTTGAAAGCTGCTATTTTCTTGGAAAATGCATTAGCTCCTCTAAGCCTTGTGTTCCTCTGTGAAAGTTTCTGTAAGAAATAAATGAAATAATCTACAGGCCAATGTATGAAAAGGTATGCCATGAAGTCAAGAGTTATCAAAATATAATGTGATACAATGCTGCTAAGAATGAATGAGAAGCTGTGCCTCCAGGCCACATGGGCCAGCTATTGACAAGGGCCCCTGGCTGCATGCATTAAACCCAGCTCCTCCCAATTCACAGACCTCTCTTTATCAACAGCTGTTCCTGGGTTAGCACTAGAGTTACTTCTACCATTGGCTGAGCTGATAACTGAAGAATACATGTATATTAACAAAAATAAAATGAGTGCTTTGGATGATAAAGTATAGCAGCCCTTCCTTATCCTCAGTTTCAGTTACCCGTGGTCAACCATGTTCCAAAAATATTACAGAGAACTTGGAGAGACAGAGAGAGAGAGAGAGACCCCATTCATAACTTTTACTACAACATATGATTATAATTGTTCTTTTTTTATTAGGTATTGTTCATCTCTTACTGTGCCTCATTTATAAATCAAAGTTAGTTACAGGAAAAAACATAGTGTATTAGGGTTTGGTACTATCCACATAACATGGTTAGAGGCCTGCACTGGGGGCCTTGGAACGTATGCCCTGAAGAGAAGGGAAAACTAACATTTATATCAGTGGTTTCCAACCTTTTTGGCACCAGGAACCAGTTTCGTGGGAGACAATTTTTCCACAGACCTGGGGAAGGGAGCATGGTGTGGGGATGATTCAAGCACATTACATTTATTGTGCACATTTTTTCTATTATTATTACATTGTAATATACAATGAAATCATTATGCAATGCACCATAGTGTAGAATCACTGGGAGTCCTGAGCTTGTTTTCCTGCAACTAGTTGGTCCTATCTGGGGCTGAATAACAGATCATCAGGCATTAGTTTCTCATAAGGAGCTTGCAACCTAGATCTCTCACATGCGCAGTTCACAATAGGGTTTGCGCTATAAGAATCTAATTGCCACCACTGATCTGACAGGAGGCAGAGCTCAGGTGGTGATGTGAGTGATGGGGAGTGGCTGTAAATACAGATGAAGCTTCGCCTGCTCACCCGCTGCTCACTCCCTGCTGTGCGGTGGAGTTCCTAACAGGCCAGGGACCAGTACTTGCACCGGTCTATGGACCAGGGTGTGGGACCTTTGGTATACATATTCATCTTAGGCAATATCATTATGGGCTTAACCATGATACTATCATTGGATCTTCAAGTTTTCCAATTCTTTTTGCTAATAAACATTATTTTTGTATACAATATCCATTTTTATTCTTTTTTTTTTTGAGACGGAGTCTCGCTCTGTCGCCCAGGCTGGAGTGCAGTGGCGCGATCTCGGCTCACTGCAAGCTCCGCCTTCCGGGTTCACGCCATTCTCTTGCCTCAGCCTCCCAAGTAGCTGGGACTGCAGGTGCCCGCCACCACGCCTGGCTAATTTTTTGTTTTTTTTAGTAGAGACGGGGTTTCACCGTGTTAGCCAGGATGGTCTCGATCTCCTGACCTCGTGATCCGCCCGCCTCGGCCTCCCAAAGTGCTGGGATTACAGGCGTGAGCCACCGCGCCCGGCCTCCATTTTTATTCTTACCTTTCTTTGTTTCTCATAAATCTATCCTTACTCTTTTACTTTAATGAAGAGTAGATGGCGAACCCACTTTGCTCTTAATGATACATGCACCTTTCATGACTATATATGAAACATGATTAAAACAAAATTATATATATAACATATGATTTATATATAAAATGTACGCATGATATGTATTTAATTTTATATGCATTTCTGTATTTTACATGCATTTAACATGTACATTTGTATTTAATTTAACATGTTTTTAATTTGCTCCTAGAATTTGTTGCCATCTCCGTACACTTTTAACTTCAGACTGCAAATATTATAGTAAACAAAACAAAACAAAAACATTGTCTGAGGAAGAAAAGCTGCTCGTTATGCTAGATCTTAGTCTTTCAATTATTTAAAAATATTTTTAGTACTACTTCACAGGTAAAGATTTTATGAAAGAATTATTTTTCTGTCAAACATCCTACGATGTACCCTTTTTAAAAAGAAAAGCTTTTATTTTTCCATGAAATGTCACCCTTGTTTAAAAAACAAGTGTTTTAATCATTGTAAATTTAGCCATAACACAGACTTTGTTCTTTATTTCTAAAAAGAAGCTACGGCTATAAATAAAGGGATTTTTGTTGTAACAGTAACATATCACAATAATGGTAGTTCACAATAATTATTATAAAAATGGATAGAAATCATTTTTTTGAGAATCAAATATCTATTTTTTTGTCATCTTTTATAAACACCATCTCATTTAAGGCTCACAATGACATATAGGGCAAGTTATATTTCCCCCATATACAGAAAAACCTCCTTAGGCTCAAAGAGGTTAAGTGACTTGCCTCAGAAGAGTTACAGCCAGAAATCAAATTGATGCTTTTTTTTTTTCTGTTATGCCAGGGTAGTGCTTATTAGCCAAGCCCCTAAAACACAGATTACAGATTTACTTTTCACCCTCTGACTACAGATTACTGTTGTCAACTCGAGCACTTTTTCAGATTCCCAACTCTTTTGCCAATCCTTTCTACTTTGGAATAATAGATTGCATTGTGGAAATACTTTAAAATTATGAAATACGTTCGCATGCATTTTCTCTCATTTCTGTCAACATTTGTAGTCTTATTTTACAAATTAGACACTAGCTTATATTATAACCAGGTCATGGTTTCTTATATAATGATCCTATCTATAAAGATAAACTACCATCTCCCTTGTATGCATACTGAAATAACTCAATAGTTGATGAGTAAATGATAATCTTTAAAAAGGCATGTGTTCTTGTTAATGAGTTATTGTAACTATCAAACAAGTGAAGCCTTTGCCCCAAAATTGATGAGAAGGGTTCCAGGAAAGGCCAGTGCAAGAAAGAAGACGAACCACAGACCCCAGAACTCTAAAGGGATTGGCTATTTAAAACATCAAAGATTTAAACCTGTCCCCTGGGCCACTCTCTACTGCTGTCTATTCTAGGATTAGTCTTGAGCATATGTAGTCTTTATGTGCCAGATCCCAGATTGCAAAGAGTTTGCTAAAATCAAACCTGGAATGAAAAAATAATAATAATCAAGGAAAGCAGTACAGTTTTCAGCACCCTCTGTCAGCTCTGTTGCAACCATGAATATGGTAGCATTTCCACAACTCAAGCTGTTAACCAATTAAAAATTAAAGAAAAAGGAAAAGCACAATGCACTGCTTGAGGTTTCCAAGCAGAATGCTTAACTGACACATGGTCAGTCATTTTTTTCCCTTCTACAGATGCTATGGAAGTTTTCTTTCCAGGCCTAACATTCTACCACCTTTCCTCTTTCTCTAAAAAGCAGGAAGTATGCAGACACTGTGAGGATCATGCTTCTAAAGAGGCGTGTGGAAAGTTACTCAACGATTATTTTCACATTTTTTTTTATCACAGTACTTTAGGAGAACAAATGACTCTAAAAACTACCATTTCCATTGAAATTTAGCATCTGCTGTACGCTTCCCAGCTGCGCCATAGGCATCTATGAAGTGTGTCTATAACCATTGTAAAGCTGGGAGTCAATGAGAGAAGTAAAAATGACCAATATTATTCGAGAGGTCACAGCATCCAGAGGAAACAAATTGATCTGCTACTTAGAAGTCCAGAAATATAATTATAGCTCTGAGATACTATCTGAAATTATAACTGTAGACTTACTATGTAATTGTAAACTTTCTTACTTGTCTCCATCTGTAGCAATGTGAATGGCAGTTATGACTCAAGAGGGCTGGGAGGAAGAAGAAACTATTCCAGGTGAATAGACTTGACTGTGTCCTTTGAAAGAAAGGTGTTGACTGCATTTGAGATGTTACTCTGCATTCAAACTGAATACGAATAAGCTCCAAGTGGCGCGTGGAAGGTAGAATGGGCAAAATTAGGCCAATGAAACGTGCAATTTTGTTTTCATTGAAAGCAGAGGCATCATCTTCAATTTAAGTTTTAGTATCATAATGCTGACATATAGCTTACACACAGACAATTTCTCTTGGGTTGAAAGGTCAGGCAATTAATCTATTGCATCACCCATTCACCTATGCATGCCAGCTGTTTGGAAGAACTTGAAAAAATGATGGAAAATTCTTAATATTCTTTGACAGTACAATATTTGTATGTAGACTCTGGCTATTTCAGAATGATGCTTCCCTGTTAGAATAGCCAGTCAATCTCACTACATGATGGAAAACAGATGTAAGATTAGGATGCAAAGTAGTTTTCCAGATCCTTGGTCCCAGCATGCTGCACAGCCGAGCCCCAGAGTTAACCAGCCAAGTGCTGACACATGTCTTACAGCAAAATATTCCTCACAGCCACAGTTCAAAGGCCTCGCTACCCTCCAGGGCAATTAATACAGCATCACGTTCAATGGTGCTTGAACCAAATGCATTGAATCCTCAGGGGAGAAATAAGAAGCAATCGCAGAGCTCAGACAAGAGCAGCATGTAGTGGTGGCTAAAATTTCAGTTCTCGAAAACGTAGCTTTTCCTGAAAGCACGTGTAGTGTTACAAGGAGCTGTGCTCAGATTGTGTAATCTACTTGTAGGACAGATTTTGTAAGAGAGCATAAAAACTGAATCACAGTTATTTAAAAAAAAAATGAAGAAAGGAAGAAAAGAAGATGAGGGAGAGAAAAAGGAAAGAATGGAAGGAAGGTAGGAAAAAAGAAAGGAAAGAAAGAGAGAAAATCTATTGACAGATGCTCACTTTACCATAGAGATTTGAAGTTTGTTTTACTGGAGAGATAACTAAAAAGTCAAAAACAGTATGTATTCATCTGTTCTCATGCTGCTAATAAAGACATACCCGAGACTGGGTAATTTATAAAGGAGAGAGGTTTAATTGACTCACAGTTCAGCATGGCTGGGGATGCCTCAGGAAACTTACAATCATGGCGGAAGTGAAGCAAACACATCCTTCTTTACATGGCGGCAGTGAGGAGAAGGGCCAAGAAAAAGGGGGAAGAGCCCCTTAGAAAACCATCAGATCTCATGAGAACTTACTCACTATCACAAGAACAGCAGCCTGAGGGTAACCACCACCATGATTCAATTACCTCCCACCAGGTCCTTCCCACAACACGTGATATGACTTGAATAAAATTGGAAGATACTGTTGGTATGTTCTACCAGGAGAAACAAAAGTGCTTCTTTCTGAGACCTGAGGTAAGCATGGTATAATTTCACCTGGAGCAGATGAATTTAAGAAGTAGGCCTTTCTCAGGTGTCTTCCACATTCCTCTCTTAAAGTTTATTGGATTAAAAAAATGGCAACAAACAAACCATATTGGTTAACTTTGAAAGTAAAATAAAATTGATACTATGACAAGCTGTACTTTATAATCACTTCCATGTAAATTGCAAGCAAATCTTTTTACTTTTGACAGGACCCAGACACAGATCCCAAGACCAGCAAATTCTAAAGTTGACCCGCCTGGTTATATGAGTCAGGCGCTTTTGGATGCCATATTCACTCTTTCAGGCCATTGTGGCACCATTTAGCATTTTGTAAGAAAGCAATAATTCAGTGGCCAGAAAGAGTAATTCAATATTCAGGGTGTCTCACTTTCACAGAAGCTGAGAGAATAAATTTTGTTCAACTTTCAATTATCTCCATGTAGATTTTCCATATTGTGCATTATTTGTGACCCTTGGGAGCTCTTTGTTACTATTTCCAGCAGCAGGGTGAGGAGGACAGCATGACTGCCCTGTGGTACGCACCCAAGCTGTGCTAAGCAGAATATATTTGTAGTCTTTTCACATTTTTTCCCTCTTTAAAATGGATAAAAGCAATGTATTGTTCACTACAGAAAACATAGCTAAACAGAAATTTAAAAAAAATGTAGTCACTTAAAGATAATCATGTTAAATCTTAATAAATATCATTCTAATTTTTTTTTGTATATACACATATAAAGGTGAATTTATGCGTAAAACCCCGCATGTGTCTATACAAAGACAGGTATCATGTTGGAGACATGGAAAATGCGAACTGAAGCCAGGCTGTCAAAGTTTAAAGCTCACATCTGTCATTTACTAGCTGTTCTACCATTCACAAATCACTGAAGATCTCTAGGCCTGGTTCCTTCATTCATAAACCAGGGACAATAGCAATGAGTTTGAAGTGAGTGACTTTACCATATATAAAGTACAGAGACATATGCCTCTCTTGTAGTAAATACTATCCAAATATTAGTTATCATTATTACCATTTTTACAATCCCTTTTTTACTTAACAGGTATCATGAACATCTTTTCATGTCAATATACATTTATGCCTCCATTTTGAATGACTATATAGAATTAAATGCATGCTATGATTATCATACTGTACTTTATAATAAATAATAGATGGGGTCTAGTTTTTTCTACTACAGACCACATTCTAATAAATATCCTCATAAATACATCTTTGTATATTTATATGCCTTTTGAGAAATATATTTATATATATGTATAATTTGATCTATAAATTCCACTACTGGATATACCTACTATCTAGTAGTAATTTGTGAGCACAGAAACTCTACTGCTCACAAATTATTATGATCACCATTCAATAAACTTATAGAAGAGTAGGGAGCAGAAAAAACCCAAAGAAATGGTCCCTAGATCTTTTGGGATACACCCAAATCCCCTTGTATAAAAAATAGGGGAGACTCTGAGATGATCACGGGCTAGTGGGATTCTAGTAGAATCCAGGAGAGAAAACAGAAATCCTATCCACTTGAAGTCTCACACCTCAGGAGAAAATGAGGAGGGAAAACTGGCTGTGTAAAAATAATTCATTTTTTGAATAGTAGTATATTCACTGAATATGTATCTTTTATATACAATGTTATTTTGCTCATCCCATGAAACAAAAAAATTCTAAAAATCTTTGCAAACTTTGATAGATAATCTTAATAGACTAGGGAGTAGAAATATCTAGTAGCGAAATTATAGATAGATACATATATTAATATGCAACTAGTGGTAGAATTTATAAGCCAAATGATATGCATATTTTTAAGATTTTTGATTTGTATTGCCAAATTGTTCTCCAGGAAGTTTTCACTAATTTTATTTTCACCAGCACTATATGGGAATATTTGTTTCCCCACATGCTTGCTGAGTAAATATTATCTATTGGAAATCTTTATTAAATAGTCAGTAAAGGTAATGAAACAAAAAAGATTTGAGTCAAAAAGAAAATGACCTAAGATTAATAAATTTAGAATAGACATTTTTCTCCTTGAAGACAGTGCAACACATGTTATAGCTATGCCTATCTTTGTATACATGTGTACACATGCATTTGTGTGTATATCTACATATGTATATATGTTATATATGTTTATTTAAAGAAGTCCATTATCTATCAAAATTTGCAAAGATTTTTAGAATTATTTCTGTTTCATAGAATGAGCAAAATAACATTGTAATATAAAGACGTGTGTTCGGTGAATAATGCTACTACTCAAAAAAAAGGGATTATTCCTTCACAACCAGTTTTCCATCCTTATTCCTTTTCCAAAACACCCTATACATTTCATCTGGGTGCATATTATAGAAACAGTAAAGGAATGTGATATAATCAGTGCGAGGGAGGATCAACTAATAGACACAATTACGCTGCAGTAATAAAGACATAGCACAACCCAATCTCACTTCTCTAATTGGCAAGGTTTTATTTTCTTTGGGGCCCAGATCTGGAATTAAGTACCAGTTTCTTTTTTAAAAAGCTCACCTCTCCTGTCTTGACTACGAGACATCAACTTCCAGACCCTAGGATCCATGACAGCTGGAACTGTGCATATTTTAGTCCTCATTGTATCTTCAGAAAGTAACTAGTGAATGAATTGCTTCCGTGGTATCATCTTTCTCCATTTCTAATTGTTTAGGAATCCCTTTTTCACCAATTGGCTGCTCATCAAATGAGAATTCTATCTGCCTCACTGATAAACCTGACTCATTATTCAGAACAGGTCTCATTAGTTCATGAAATGGGGTGTGAGTTTTAAGATTCAACTGCACCACACAGCCATCCTGCTGTGTGAGACTTCAAACGGAGATGATTTCTGTTTTCTCTCCTGGCTTCTTGTAGATTCCCACTGGCTGTGATCATCTCAGAGTCTCCTCCATTTTTCATAGAAGGGGGCTTGGGTATATACCAAAAGATCTGGGGACCATTTCTTTGTTTTTTTTTTTTGTTTTTTTTTCTCTCCACTCTTCTCTGAATTTATTGAACAGTGATTGTAATAATTTGTGAGGAGTAGAGTTTCTGTACCCTTTCTCAACCACATCCTAGTTTTCCTTTAACCTTTTTTCCAGCCTTATGTTTGTGACAATAGTTTTAAAAATTTAAGTCTTCGTCTAAAGAAACAGAGAAATATGGAATTCTCTAACATATCATTGTACCACATTCTGAATAATTCTAAATTATTATATTTTTGTGACGTGTTTGAAGGACATTTTGCGCATCCAAAATGACTCTCAGAAAACATTAGGAAAAGCAACACTCCCAGGAAAGCCTTTTCCTGAAGTCTAGAGGTGAACTAGGCTTTAAAAGCTATGGAGGACTTCAACTCTTGGAGAGGATGTAGAGAGCAGATTTGAGATAGAGAAACTGGCAACAACTTAATGTGGGGGGCAGGGAGCATGCTGCATGTTCCAAAATGCTAAGCTGACCAAAGTAGAAGAAACATGACATCTGTACAAGGAAGAGTAAGAGGTAAGGTTGGATTTAAGTTGTTAAGCTAAGATTTGTATTTTTTTAAATTAAATTCACAGGTGAGAGTTGTAGAAGTTTTTTGAGAACAGACTAAGGTGGAAAAGCAGTATTTGAAAACTTCCTGCTTATTTCCTCACTGTGGTAAATGGTACTGGGTGGATTGATGGTGGTGGTGGTGGTGGCAGTGGGATGTGTGTGTGTGTGTGTGTGTGTGTGTGTGTGTGTGTGTGGTGACAGGGTACCTAGAGAGGAGACCACCTGGACAGAAACCACCCAGTTGTAAAGCTGTAAGGAGTTGCCCAAAGGGATGAAAAGAAAGATCTGTGTGAGGATGCTGAAATGGAAGTGTGTTCAAGACTGAGCAGTTGTGGGAGGAGCTACCATCAAACCGCTGTGTGTGCTGAAAAAAGGGGCTTTGACCTTACATGAAGCTTTGCAGTAACAAGCCATAGGCTGCACTAAAGCAGGCCCAAATACATGTTGGAGAATCAAAAAAAAAAAAAAAAGTGCGTTCAAGATATAGTCTCCTCTAGTTGCCATGACTTCTACTTTGAAATATGTTGTTATTTATAGTCAATAAATAAGAAAAAAGATTGGAAACTTCAAGCAGAAGGGCCCTTCCATAGCTACATATTCAGTATTGGCCTTTCCCTCATTTTCTCCTGCAATGTGAAAGGCAAGTTAGTTTCTTACCTGACCAGTGTGATGGGGCATTAGGGCACAGGGAGCCCTGGGCTGCTGTGGACACAAATGGGATTGATTTTACAGGAGGAGTTTGGTTTGTCCCTAGGAGCAAAACCCTGCCTATTGAGCAACTTTTGTTAAATTTCTATCCCTAAACTGTCCGTCTGACTGTTACCTTTTGCCCTGGTACCTAGCTTTTTAGTGAAAACCTGCACAAAGTAAATAAATCAATAAAGACTATTGTACTTCAGTAAAAATGAAGAATCTGAAGGTAAGAATCATACAACCATAAGCAGATTTTTGAGGGTGCTGTAGCCCTGAATCCAGGGTTGGTACCATCCTTGAGGGGAAAAGGAGGACCCAGGGGAGAGATTGCAAATCTTACCCCTCATCCCACTGGGAAACATTTAGAATCTCATTTCAGTGGGAGTTAAAGTTTCTGCAAAGTTGCGCTTTGTGTATAGGAGAAAATATAGGTGAAAAAAATATATAAATATATGTGTATATATTTTCACATAAATATATGTAGGTGAAAATATACCTGGCATTGGCCAGGTGCAGTGGCTCACGCCTGTAATCCCAGCACTTTGGGAGGCCGAGGTGGGCGGATCACGAGGTCAGGAGATCGAGACCATCCTGGCTAACATGGTGAAACCCGGTCTCTACTAAAAAATACAAAAAAAATTAGCCAGGCCTGGTGGCGGGCGCCTGTAGTCCCAGCTACTCGGGAGGCTGAGGTAGGAGAATGGTGTGAACCCGGGAGGCAGAGCTTGCAGTGAGCCGAGATGGTGCCATTGCACTCCAGCCTGGGCGACAGAGCGAAACTCCGTCTCAAAAAAAAAAAAAAAAAAAAAAAAGAGAGAAAAAAGAAAATATACCTGGCATCAAAAGCCCTAACACAGTTTGAGGAAAGACTGTGTGAGTTTCTGGACTGTGGGTTCCATGAGAAGAGAGTTTAAAAAAAAAAAACAAAAAGGCCTTTCTAAAAAAACTAATGTTGTTCCATATGTATCTATTTAAAATTTAAATTTGACAGTGCCTTTACTCCACTTCACAACCAATACTTTGAGGCTCAAGTGAAGGAAAGGGCTGAGAAGTTTGTGACATCTTAACTTCTTAGTCAGTGGGAGCACATGCCTCCGGGCTTTGCTGTCAGTCGGAACCTATTTCTTTTGTCAGATGTTTTATTAGATTTTCTAAGTTGTACAAAGCTTAACAAAAATGTAATTCCAGAGTCCGATTATGATACCATTCAGGTTTTTATCCCGATTCTTTGGGCTACTGCCTTATGACAAATTGTGAATTTGAGTTCTAAGAGGTGATTTTGTATACTTCTCCCAATAACTGATGAAATTATTCATCAGACACGTTTAATAGATTTGTGCTCACTTTATTCGATGTCGGTGCCATTGGGAAGCATCTGTCTGTGCTGGTACCACAGCCGTCTTTTCTGTATTTATCTTTGTGCCCTGAAATGTTTGAAGGATAATCTGCCACTTCATCTGCTTTTTCTCCCCAAGAAAAATCTTCTCAGATAACTTAACACTTCATAATTTTTGATGATAATAACTCATGTAACTTGAATGCCAATTGGGTGTCACTTAGCTTCTCAGTTCTGCAATGGGGATTTTGTTATTCTCATTTTACGCAATTTTTAAGTTTTTTCAAGTATTTAGCAAGGGGTCCCACAGCTAAAAGAAGGGGTAGTACGTTTCATTAGTCCATAATCTGGGGTAGGAATGTTGTTTGCTCTCAATCCTCGATGTTTGTCACTGCCTAGCTCAATACCAGCCTGCAGAGGTACTCAGTATGTAGTGTTAGAGTCAAAGAATTAAGGGTGAGTGATCCAGGTCCAGGGGTACAAAACCTAATGCATTCATTTAAGAGATTCGCAATTGCTAGCAAAGGGAAAGATCAATTCCATGGTGAAGTTTTCACTGGTCCTTAGCAAAATGATTGAAAAAGAAATTTAGATAAATTTAAGTCTTGCTCTTGATTCTGAAACATTTTAGAAATGATCATCTTAAGTGGATGGTTGGTGTTAATATCAATGATTTTAATGCCTAAAATAAAAAGTTGGCAACTTTATATAGGCCCACACAACTTAAATTTTTTTTTCCAATCCTCCAAATCTCAGTCTAAGTTACCCTGTGCAGCCTGCTGAGGAAATTTTATCTCCATAATTTACAACAGTGACCAACTCAGACGTTGTTTCTACTTTACTCTTAACTGACTTTAAGAATCTTAAGGAAGTTTCGAGGCAGCATTCTTCAATTGTCTGTGAGAATCTACAACTTCCAATAGTCTCTATGAGCTGCACTTTATATATTGAATCTTTACCAAAAGTGCAGCTGTGTTGTGAAGAGGTTTTCGTGTTCCAGACTAGATAATGCCAACCTCTTCAGCCTGTACAGTTTGGAACTCCTTCTTACAATGATGTGGTTAAAAATGAAATAAAGTCTTTTTAAAAGTTAAGATTAAAAATTTTTTGTTATAGTATTGGTAGTTGAGGTAAATTAACCCTTCAGAGGGTTAATGCATACGTATACACTTTCCAGTATATATACACAGAGATGTACACACACACACACACACACACACTCAGAAGATTTCAAGAATGAAATATCAGGAATACCTCATGAACAATTCCTATGAGTTGGTTAAATAAGAAAAATCAGTTCTCAGTAGGAAACATGCATTAGGTTTTGAGATTGAAAAAAAGGGTACTCAAACTATATTATTATAGTGTATTATGTCATATAATATACAGTCATATATGGCCAGGCGTGGTGGCTCATGCCTGTAATCCCAACACTTTGGGAGGTCGAGGTGGGCAGATTACCTGAGGTCAGAAGTTCAAGACCAGCCTGGCCAACATGGTGAAATCCCATCTCTACTAAAAATACAAAAATTAGCTGGGCATGGTGGCAGGTGCCTGTAATCCCAGCTACTTGGGAGGCTGAGTCTGGAGAATCGCTTGAACCCGGGAGATGGAGGTTCCAGTAAGCCGAGATCCCACTCCAGTCTGGGTGAAGAGCAAGACTTCATCTCAAAAAAAGAAATATATATATATTTCATACACACAAATATATCATACACACAATATGATATATATATTATATATATATTTATATCAATCTTAAAGGGAGAAGTAACCTCAACCATTATTTTTATTTTTAAATTTAGTTGAATAATACTGCATGTTCAGTATTGAAATGTTTCCATCTGACTTAGCAATGTGATCCCATGGGTCCCCATGAATGCAAATGCTGAAAAAGCAGACCTTATATTTCTAGAATATTAAGAAAGAGAAGATAGGAGATAAGCATAAAAGAGTGTTCCCAGAGAAGCTGGTGTATTTTAAAATAAACCATAGGTAAAGAGATACATTTCAATGTTTTCTCAAGGAAAAAGAAATATAGGCTAGAGTAATGGATATCCTACTTGCAATTGTTTTGGAAGGAATATTGTATTTTTGTGGTGCAAACACCAATGGTTAGGCTGCAACATGAGGGAGGTTGGAGAATCCATGGTGGTAGAAAAATAAGCTATTTTCATTCCTTCCTAAACCTCCACAAAATTATGCTTTTAGTAATCTTTCACCACTTTACATGGCATTGTCTTATTAAATGTGAAATGAATCTGCATTCAAAATGGCTTCAAGTGTGGCCACAAACTCTCATCTGTAGACAGAACACATCATAAACACTTTTGCGTTCTGAAAATCTCCAAAGAAACTAGGCTTGGAATACCCTTATTTGGATAATGCCTGTGGTCACCATCACTGCCCCACCAATCGAACTTCCAGCCAGAGCTGTTCAAGTTAAATCTCAGAAGGCATTTCCAAGATTCCTTTCCTGGCTCTTCTGAGTTTTCTGCAGTTCTCATTATGGCATTTGTGGCTTCATATTTGCCTCTCTACTTTTAGGAAGGTAACAGAATGGCATTTCTTAGGTAACAAGTGTTTGCAAGGCTGCCCTCAATTTACTTTTTTAAAGAACACCCAAA
This sequence comes from Homo sapiens, assembly GCF_000001405.40. Lineage (NCBI taxonomy): Eukaryota > Metazoa > Chordata > Mammalia > Primates > Hominidae > Homo > Homo sapiens. Next base: position 221,157,468 of record NC_000002.12, on the reverse strand, counting down.
GACACATCAAATTGATTTTTTACTCTATTTCTTTTTCTCCTTTTTCTTGTCTAAGTCTCTAATAAGTTGAAGTAAACTGAAGTGATAAAATCATATCTGCAATGCAATTGTAATATTTTAAACACACTATTTTGTGTGTCTTTATGTTTCATGCATACCATGTAGTGGATGAATTTTTTAAAAGAAGAAGTTACAGTTGTTACAGAGTTACTGTAGCCCCCTAGAACAATCCTGGGCATGCATCTAATTTTTCTTGGTTAATTCAACTTGTGTTCAAACAATTTGGGGTCTGAACTCTTCCGTTTTTTTCTAGAAGGATTATAGGCTATTTTAACCAATAAATCATCGGGTAGTGTCACAGGCCTTTTTGAGTAAATCTGTTATAAGAAAATACCAGATTTGATTATCTAGGCATTACAGAAGTCTAGGTTGTCTGTTAAGTGTTGCTGGCAGTATTCCTCTTTCTAGAACTTTCTCCTTTTTTGCTGATTCCAGGGATGGGAGGAATGAACAGTGTACCTATGATATTTTCCTGATTATCTTGCCGGTAATTAAAAAAAAAAAAATCCACACCCCTGTTCTCCATGCCTTAGCAGGCAGGTTGAGAGCTCATTTTAACTTGTTTGAGAATTAATCATCCACAGTCTCACAAAAGCCTCAGTATCACTTGTTCTCTGGAAGTATACGTTAGTTTATAGCTTAAAATACATGCAACATTCTACTATCTGGATGTTGCTCTCTATGAATGAGACATTGAGACATTCTTTTTTTGTTGTTGTTTTTACATCTTTCATTGGCCTTTAGGGAAGAATCAGTGTATTTACATATCCAGAAGATTTGTTTGAGGTTGTTGATGTCACAATGATTTGTAGTCTTATTAAAATAACATTTGCTGATGACATGATACGATGAGTTGCATCATTTCATCTCAGCATGCAAACACACTGATCTTTTCATCACAGCCACACAGGTAATCTAGTAACCCGAGACTCTAATGTGATCAGCCACACCACTATCACCAGCATTTGCATAAGTGCTTCTCTGAGATGGACTGAATTTCTAATCCAAAGTCGCGTCAAGGAAAAATAGCTGTTGCAGAATGATTTATCCCTTTATTGACTAAATGAAATTATTCAAATCCGGAAATCTGTTCTCTCTCTCAGTATTAGAATTTCAAGTGGGCACACTCTGGTTCTATAGCCATATCTTAAACACACACACACCCCACACATAACAGTAGAACCTAAAAATGGTAATATGAAATCTTGTCTTATGCATTCAGCTATCTCCAGAACTGTCACCAAAAAGGAACAATTCATTAGCATGAAATAATTGAGAAAATTAGATCACTCCTCTAGGCGACATAGCACGTGAGAGTTTGCACATATTCTATTTACACACAGAACCAGCACAGTTGTAAGTTTCCTTTCCTCCCTCAATTCATAGGAGGAAAAAATTCAGTAGGCAATGAAGCAAAAAGGAACAGGGATTTCATTGAGACAGACACAGCTCTAGGTAGTATAATTGTCACAAAAGAAGACAAGACCATAGAGAAAGGAGGCTTATTTGAGAGGTCATGACACTTTCTGAAGTGCTGAGTGAATTTCATATTCTTAAGCATCATGGATGTAGAAAAATATAGAAAAAAAAGCATCAAAGGAAACAAAATGAATAAAAAATACTCTCAAGTAAAATTTTTAAGTGTCAAATACATTTGAAGAAACTCATTCTGTCTCTCTTGCAGAGATGTATTACCTGTTTTAAACTAGGCTGTAAATCCAGGTGCTGAAACTCCAAAAAATTCATGTGTTAAAATATCAAAGAAGCAGTTTTCTCCTGTGGCATTTTATTTTATTCCATGTGAAAATAGGGCGACCAAGGACATTTTATAAAACAGCCTGCTTTCCAGGCTGATGTTATAGACTTGTGAGATTTGGATATTTTGGTCAAGTTCCAAGTTTCTGAATCCACCAGCATTTCCCCATCAATATTTGAAACCTGTCAGTTCTCAACATTAAGTCCTGTGATGACAGACAGCAAACTGGACGTGAGTCTGTAAAAATAAAGACCACCTGGTTCAGCAAAGCCCACCGTTCAGCTTCGGGCTGCGATACTTGTCCCTAAAGATGAGCTGTGACAAACCAGACCATATTTTAAGGGGAAACAACTTTTTTTTTTTTAAATTGCATGCCTCAAATAATTCTTTTAAAATGAACCCTCATTTTTTTAAAAAAATATCAATTTTCATTTTCAAAATTCAATGTTAAAGTGTGAGAAGTTTTATCCCTTAAAAAATAATTGTATATTGTAGCCTCAGACATCTATAGTGCAAAGGCACACTTCAAAATTGTAATTTCTAGGATCAAATGTATGCAGCATGGTTATTACTTATTTTTATTCTAAGTTTTAATAATACTACATAATTGGAAAGAGGACTTATGAATCATATGGCAATGTGAATGCCATTTAGGCCTCTTTCCTCTGCTTATAAATCTCTCACATCTGTGAGTTTTATTAAGCTTGTCATTGTGTATTCATAAATGCCCCCACTCTTTTGAATAAAGAGAAGGGAAAAGTATGCAAGATAAATAACATTGCAAAACTAATTATTGAACTGTTCTTAGTGACTGAATTAGTAGTCCAAAACATTATAGAGAATGAAAAGTTAATGAACAGACTGGTGAGAATACAATGACATTTCAATAAAGATGTCTTTGCTATGGTTTATAATGTAATTAAGGAAAAATTTCCACCTTTCATTATTTTGGGAACTTGGAACTTCTTTTTCTCTTATTGTTCCAGGATTTTATAGGCTAGATAGTTTGTAAATATATATTCGTAATATACAGCCCTTTTCTTTGCACTGCTCCAAAGGTCTTAAAGGCTTTGAGTACTGAGAGCACTGACCTTAATACTTTAAAACGATTGCCCGGTTCAGTTTGATATTTCAGATGTTTCGGGGAAAAAAATCAGCAGCAGAGTTAAAGTAGCTTCCCTTCGTTTTACCAAACATATGATACCAATCCTCGAACTAGAAACATGTCTTGTAAAACTTTACACTCGACAATCTGTTCTGGTTTAGTAAATGGCTGAGAATATCTATGCCAGTCTTCATGGAGTCAGACAGTCCTTGGATCGTCACCACTTTAAAGTGTTAATTACACTAGCATTTCAAAATTATCTTTAAATTTTAGCAATTCAAATACTCCTCAGATGAAACACTTTTATTTTTGGTCACTGTTCCCCTATCAAACAGATACTGATTTTCAGAAATGCACTTATTTCACTTCCACCAAACTGAATTCTTTTTACCCTATAAAGATTACATAATTTTCATCATTACCTATGATAGTTCTGTTCCAGCAAAGATAAATTGAGGAAATAATGTGAATATTCTCATAACGAGAGATACTATTCACATGTTGCTTTCTGGTTTATAAAATAATGTTTTCCATATATGTTATTCAATTTAATCCTCCTAACAGCACGGTAAGAAACATTGCACTGTCCCCATCTTTATAGATGAGTGCAACAAACTTGTTCAGGGTCACTCAGCTAGGAAGGAGCTCATCAGTCTTCTATTTTTTTCAGACCCATTACCATTTTAGTTCAAATAAATACACCATTCTCATTTCAACAATCTAAGTAAAAATATAAATTTGGAATTATTCAGATGATTTCAAATTGCCCACCGAAGTTGTAATTATGGGTACATCAGACATATCTTCAGTATAATTACTGAACATTATTCTCACCTTTCCTGGATCTTTTTCCTACACAAAAGCAATGCAGATTAATGACATCTAAAAAATAGGAACTTGGGAATGTGGAATCCTGTTTGATTTTGGTATTTTATTAAAAAGGCAGAATTAGAATTAAAAGAGATTGAATATATTAGCAGGGCAACCGCTCAGGATTCATCAGATAAAAGGGAGCATTATCAAGATCCCTGGCTCCAGCCCAAAGGAGAAAAAGCTTTCTCTTGTGCAAATTGCCTCACACTTCGACACAGTGCCAGCATTGTAAATGGGACATATTTCCTCTCTAACTAAAGCCAAAGTATCATATTTACTTTTTCTGAATGCAATAATTAAGCCATTAAGTAGAGGTTTCTAAATTGGACACTGTTTGCAAAAAAGCATTAGGAAAGGCCAGGATAGACCATTTTGTTTCTGAAACATCACAGCCTGTTCAGCAAAATCAACCAGACTGAGCAATCATATCTCATGGTATAGGAGCCGATTTTGCCTGGAAAGCTCGTGGAAGACACAATCAACTGTTTCATCTAATCACTATTGTAGTCTCCATTAATAGATTTCATGGGTTTTTATAAATCAAGCTTCAAGCTTGTGGGTCTCAACTTGGTGTTAAGAGGGCCTGGGGGCCAGCCGTGGTAGATCACTCCTATAATCCCAGCACTATGGGAGACCAAGGAGGGTGAATCACAAGGGCAGGAGTTCAAGACCAGCCTGGCCAATATGGTGAAACACTGTCTCTACTGAAAATACAAAAATTAGCTGGGCATGGTGGCACGCGCTTGTGGTCCCAGCTGCTGGGGAGGCTGAGGCAGGAGAATCACTTGAATCCAGGAAGCGGAGGTTGCAGTGAGCCAAGATGGTGCCACTGCACTCCAGCCTGGGTAACAGAACAAGACTTCATCTCAATAAAAAAAAAGGGGGTCTGGGAACTTAGGAGAATGTTTGTTACATCTACATTTTCGCTAACCTTTACCTGAAATTAAGCGTTTCCTTTAACTATTAATCAAAACAACATACCACCACAGTATTAGCAGTGACTTTGACTTTTGCAGCAAAGCAATCAGTTTTTTCATATCACATTTCAGCTGTTACAGATATCTCATAGTATTGTTTAAACATATCACTTCCTTGAAATTATAGTAGTTAGATCTGCAGCTAGATTTTGTTATGTAATAAGTAGCACAATCTTACTATGCCACAAATTTATTTTTATGTACTTCTAATGACTGTATTTTAATATAATTGCTTTTTTTTGTAACCCTAGACACATTTCATTTTATATTCTTAAAAACATTGGTATGAGAAGGAATTCACAGACTTCAGGAGTCCATGGCATAGAACAAAAGTTTAATATCTTTGAAAGGGATCCCATTGTTGAGATCAGCATTTATGTCTGGTTTAGTTGTGTGTGTGTGTGTGTGTGTGTGTGTGTGTCTGCTATTAAGTAGGCTCTGTGCTAGGCATGAGGATACAAATATGGATTTCTATATTATTACTGGCTTAAAAAGATGTCTGGTAGATAAATCTATCATACACTTAGATAATTATGTGCCAACAAGGACTATGTACTAACAATCTGTGATAAGTATTTTATTTGCATCATAACTTTTATTTTCACTTTATAGATGAAGAGACTATGGTACAAAGAAATTAATTTAATGATTAAAGCAAGTAATTGGTATAGCTTTGATTTATTCCTAGGAGGTGGGAATCCAGGGTCCCCATGCTAAACTACTGGGCTTGACTGTTGCTGGGTGTGAAGAGCATAGAAATAGCCATTTGTACAAGCTCTCCAGAAGCGGAGATGACAAGCAGTTGGAATGTTTATGGGTATCACTTCTTTGGATTTTGATAGGCTGGCAGGTAGTAGCAGTAAGTCAGGTGAAGAAGGGAAATCAGGGTACAACAGAGGGTGGGACAGTGATGAGGAAGAAGGTTGCAATTGATTTACTGCCAAATATTATCGAGTGTACCATGGAAGCAGAAGCAGAGAGTGACAGTAGCTGGGACTAGATGGCAAACGGGTATAGACAGTAGGCATGAGAGTCAGTGCAAAACTCTCTCTTGCTTTTTCTTGGTGAGTATATGTGCAGTTTTATTCAATGTATTGTTTATGTGATCTTTTTGGTCCTAGCCACTTTGCCCTGCAAATTCTAGCTAATAGTTTTCTTAGTGCCTATAGTCCTCAGTTTGGTTGATTGGTGGTGTGGACTTGAAACCTCATTAGCTAAAGTTCATAGTCACTACCACAACAATTCCTTTTTACCTCTCTATTCTATTTATCACAAAAAGATTTACAAACATTATCTGTCTTATTAACTTCTGGATGCTTTCAAAACTATAGAATTTAGTTTAGAGCAGTCAGTTTCAAACCTAATGGGCATGTTAAATCACAGACTGCTGGATTGCTGGTTCCAACTCCAGACTTTCAGATTCAGAATATCTAGGATATGGCCAGTCTGCATTCCTAACAAGTTCCCAGGTGATGCTGATGCCTTCAATCCACTGGTCTACTTTGGGACCATGTTGATGTTATACGACTCTTCCTAAACCAGCTTCAAGTTACTTAACCTCAAGGACTTAAGCAAGATGGGATAGTGGGAAAAATGGGTTATGGATTTAGGCAGACCTTGAGTCATATTCAAAATCTAGTATTTAGCAGCTGTGTGACCTTGGCAACTGTTACACCTCCCTTGGCCTCACTTTTCTCAGCTTTAAAATGTATGGAACAATTTCTACTCAAAATATAGTAATAGACAATATTATGGGGTGTTGTTATTCACCAAATGTTTGTGTCCACCTCCTCCAAATTCATATGTGAAGCCTTAATCCCCAATATGATGGTATTAGAAGATGAGGACTTTGGGAGGTAACTGGATTGAGTTGAGGTCATGAAGAGGCACCATGATGGGATTAGTGCCCTAACAAGAAGAGGAAGAGCTCAGAGCTCTCTCTGTCATGTGAGCACACTGTGAGAAAGGCGGCAGCAGTCTGCAAGCCAGGAAGAGAGCCCTCATTAAGAACTCATCCACGCTGGCATCTTGATCTCTTGGTCTTCTTTTTTTTGTTGTTTGTTTGCTTGTTTGTTTTTGAGATGGAGTCTTACTCTGTTGCCCAGGCTAGAGTGCAGTGGTGCAATCATAGCAACCTCCACCTACCAGGTTCAACCAATTCTCCTGCGTCAGCCTCCCTAGTAGGTGGTACTACAGGAGCTCACCACCACACCTGGCTAATTTTTGTATTTTCAGTAGAGACCGGGTTTCACCATGTTGGCCAGGCTTGTCTCAAACTCCTGACCTCAGGTGATCCACCTGCCTCAGCCTCCCAAAGTGCTGGGATTATAGGCATGAGCCACCACACCCAGCCCTGATCGTGGTCTTCTAGCCTGCAGAACTGAGAGAAATAAATTTCTGTTGTTTAAGCCACTGAGTCTATGGTATTATGTTATAGCAGCCTGAGCTGATGAAGACAGTTGCTAATTTTATCTCATGCTCTGTGCTAAGTGGTTCATTTGCATCATCTTATTTAATTCTCATAACAAGTCCTCCCTATTTTATATGTTGATGCTGAGGCATGGTAAGGTTTAGGCTACGCGGGTTTAAGCTGAAGGGTCAGTAGCTGAATGAACTGGGGGAATGTGTTTCTAAAGCCTTTGCCTTTAATCTCTACAACATGCTTTCCTTTATATCTGGGCTTTTGTCTCTGCGTAACCTGTGTCAAAGTAAATACTCTGGTCTTGTCAGGCTGATTATCTACCTTACCTCCCTTCCTTCCATGCTCATTAATAACAGGTGTGTCTTCTCCTTTAGCTTCCAATGAGTGTTCACTCACTGCCAACAATCATAGTGAATAAGCCCTCTGCCTCCAAGCCTTCTCAGACAATCCAGTTCATAATGATTCAACTCTGTTATAGTAATGGAACCCCTAGTATGTTTTTTCTTCCCTGTCTCTCTTATAGAACATTCTTTCTATGGTTACGTGGACTCGTATTATACTGCAATTATTTCTCATATTTATGTTAATTTTTGCAGTCTTGTGTGAAGGATTTTGAAGAGAAACAGTGATCTTCTTTTGAATATTCCACTGCACCTAGCATAAGACTAGACAGATAAGAGCACTCACACAGAGAATCTCATAGGCTTTAGTCTCCACTCAGTGCTAGTCCGCATGTCCATAATCCAACTCAACATTCCAAAGTTGCACTGAAATCAGTTTAGAAAATATGTCAACCATATCCAGTTGACATTTTCAGTCACTACTTTATTCAAGATGTCAACTTGATTTGTAAAATGAACGTATATTGTTTCTACAAAGAACTTTGTTTTGCTCAAGCAATAAGCCTCTAAAGTAATCAAACATAAAATCTGAATAAAGACTTCTGGAATAAACTAGATTCTTAAACAGACAGATACTAAAGCACTGGAGGCTGATTGGCTCTGCTAGTCTGAATAGAGACTTTTGCCAAGCACTTGTTTTGTGCCATTGGTGCTGTATGGATTCTTTATGTATCACACATTGTATCATGATGTATAACATCATAAGAGAGTTACTTGTAATGCCCATTTTACAGATGAGGAAACTGAGTTTTAGGGAGGTTGAATAACCAGCCTAAGGCTATTAGAAGATAGGGATGGCATCCAAACCTCATGTGTCTCACTACAAAATACATCTGAACTTGACCACAATTCTATGTCATTCACCTCACAAGATTTCAAAACAATGCCAAAACAATTGTCCTACTCAATGACAAAACTGTTCAAACCATATATCTCAGTCCCTTTTATGCTGCTGTTACAGAATACCCAAGCCTGGGTAATTTATAAAGAAAAGAAATTTATTTCTTACAGTTCTGGAGGCTGGAAAGTCCAAGGTCGAGGGGCTAGCATCTTGTGAGGGTTCTCTTGCTGCTTGGTGGAAGACGGAAAGGCAAGAAAATGTCAGAGCACAAGAGGGGGCCGGACTCTCATTTATAACAAGCCCAATCTTACTATAACGAATCCATTCCCACAATAACAACATTAACCCATTCATGAGGATTCCACCTCTTAAAAGTCCCACTTCTCAACACAATTACATTGGGGATTATGTTTCCAACACATTAACTTTGGGAGATACGTTCAAACCATAGCGCAAGGTATTTGCACTATATAACAAATAAATAAATATATAATTCCCCTTAAAACCATATTTTTCTTTTCACTTGTAAAGTGGAGTCATGATACAGCTGAAAGAATAAAAAATATAAAAGTTTAATAATTTGGTAGAAATATTTTGGGCTTTTAGTTCAATTGTGAAACTTGGCCTACTCGTAAAGATCCTTATAAATAGCTAGCTGATGAGTTCACTTTGAGTTCAGAAAGGCACACATTCATTTTAAGTATTCATTTCATTGTCTCTAAAGGACTAATTCAGTTATTTTCTTTGAGTTATCAAGGAAATGTTGGTGAATACTGAAAAAACTGTCTAGTTGCTTTATTAACTAGTTACTTTATCAAAAAAAAAATTACCACTATAGGCAGAATAACGCGTAAGGAGGAGAAATGTACTGCTCCCAGCCACCTAATTATTGCAGCTTGGAACTGATGTTATTTTAAGTTTACTACTCTTTCTTGTCACCTTTTCAAAATGTTGCCTGATAAATATAATTCTCCCTCAGAGGTCTATAAACCTATTGATTAGGCATCTTAAATTACATGAGAACACATAAGAATGCCCAAACTGATTCACATCAACAGACAATTGAGCCTTGTCATTAGTTTTTGCAACATTACTGAATATAAAAGTAATTTCTTAGACTTATATAACCTTACTGTAATTTGAACATACCAAAATGGACCCCTCCAAAAACACTGAGACCTTCTCGTATAATTCATTCTAGTGTATAGGTTAGGATAAAATAGTTTTATCTTGGACCCTACCAAATACAGGAATATGTAGAACTGTGTGCGCAACTTTAGCTAACACTGTCTCCCCAACAGCAGGATGCATGACAAGGATGCTGGTTTTGAAATATAGGGATGTTAGGTCTAGGCAGGTGGATCACGAGGTCAGGAGATCGAGATCATCTTGGCTAATATAGTGAAACCTCATTTCTACTAAAATACAAAAATTATCTGGGCATGGTGGTGCATGCCTGTAATCCCAGCTACTTGGGAGGCTGAGGCAGGGGAATCGCTTGAACCCGGGAGGCAGAGGTTGCAGTGAGCTGAGATCGTGCCACTGCACTCCAGCCTGGTGACAGAGCAAGACTCTGTCTCAAAAAAAAAAAAAAATATATATATATATACACACACATATATATGGATGTTTTGATATAGAGTTTTGTAATGTAATTTACATTACAAATTAATTACATTTATTTACATTACATTAATTACATTACAAATGTAATTTACATTATAATATCAAATATATGTATAAATTATATATATATATGTAGGGATGTTATATGTTATAATGGCCCATTTGTATAAGCAAAAATACATGTAAGATTTGGTAATAGTGAACTCTGACATAGCACTTACTCTGGACCAAGCTATCTTCTAATTTTTACATTAATAATAATGCTCATAATAACTTTATGATGTAGACACAAATAGCTGAATTATACAGATAAACTGAGGCAGAAAGTTTTTAAATAACTTATTCAAGGTGATAAACAGCTAATAAGTCCCAGGGAGCTCAATTTAAGCTACGCTGTTTGCTTCCACAGTACATATTTCTAAGCAGCAAGATTCATTCCTCCTCAACTTGAGTATGTAAGAATAGAAGTGAGGTTGAGTTGTCTTTAGCCAAGTTTGAGAGAGACGGAAGTTTGCTGAAGCTTAAGTTGAAATATTGTATAGTAAAAGTGTTTGCCAACTCCTCTCAAAGAAGCTCTTCAGAACAGAGATGTCTCCTCTAGCATTCATTTGTTAGTTAAAAATTGGCAATAAAATAAAGATGGTGGCTACCGTGAAGCACTGCATAAAAAGACTTCTTTCCAAATTATGATTAGAACATACAATCAATCAAGAATAAATTACATTACAAAACTCTATATCAAAAGAGCTTTGATTAAAGCTAGCGATGTAATATTGAGACAAAGAAAATAGTAAAGGAAGCACAGGTTATTGATCAAAAAGGAAGGATGAGAGCTGGGAGATAAAGACAAGAGGAAAGTACCACATATGTGGTGCCCACTGAGTATCAATAAATTATATTGAAATTCCAACAGGCCAAGGAGAGCCCCTGAAGTAGCAGTAGGTGCTGGAGCACCATGCTCTTTCCAAGGATGTTTACAAAACAAGCAAAATAAATAAAATACATGGAAAAAAATAGCTAAAGAGAAAGAAAAATCAGGATGCTGGAGAGCCAGGTGAAGAATCAGACAGATTTCACTGTAGGCCATTGGCAGACCTAAAAAGACTGCTAGCTTTTTTTTTAGAATAAGGATAAGGAGTTAATTAAAAGCCGAGAGGATTGGTGGAAAGGGAGAGAAGAGTTTGTTTTGCCAAACAAGCTAAAGGACGAGACCCTTTGGAAGTGTAAGCGGGAAAGATGGATGACTCCAGGAAGAGCACCACACATTAGGGTGGCCTGGCTGAAACATCTGTATGTCTTACATGGATACCACAGTTGATTGGACTAATCTAGCTGGTAAGGCTTCTTCAGGCACAGCCTTTCTGAGGCTGCACAAGGAAAGAATAATAGAAATTTGTTTTTCAAACAAGCTTTTATAATCCATAGGCCTCTTTTGCTAGAACTTACAAACAACTGTTCAAGGAATAGTGTGTAAGCTAAATATGTTTAATATCAAATGATGATAACAAATACTTATTTGAGTAAGAGTCATTAATCTAGGAGCCTGTGAACAATGCAATTTTCAGGAGCCTGCAAACCCCTTTAAAAATCACATGCGTAATTTCATATGTGGGATGAGAGTGTATTCATCTGCTAGGGCTGTCTTAACAGAATACCACAGACTAAGTGGCTGAAACAACAGAAATTCATGATTTCATAGTTCTGGAGGCTGGAAGTTCAAGATCAAGGTGTCAGCAGGGTTGGCTTCCTCTGAGTCCCCTCCCCTAGGGTTGCAGATGGCCACTGTCCTCAGATGACCTTTTCTTTGGGCGTGTGCATTCCTGGTATGTTCAAATTTCTTCTCATAAAGACCCAAGCCAGACTGGATTAGGCCCTACCCATATGACATCATTTAGCCTTCATTACCTCATTAAAGGCCTGATCTCCAAATGCAATCATTCTAAGAAACTGGGGGTAGGACATCACCATATGAATTTTAGGGGGCCACAATTCAGCTCCCTGCAGAGAGCTTATAGTTCTCATCTCAAAAAGATAAATGATTCAGAAAAAAATTAAGAACCAGTAGTTTGAAGTCAAAGCATCTGTTTTTGTGTGTGTGTCATACTTCTTAAAAGCTTGCATCAAATAGTATTTTGCTACCTCAATATAGATCATTGGTATATAATGTTATGTGGTTATTAGATAAGGAATACTGACCCCTTTTTCACTAATACTGGTTCTCTGAAATGCTCTACATAACATGGGCCCTGTTGTCCTCTTGTTGAGCCCAAGTCCAAAAGTCCATTTTGGACTTTTCCAAAATATTTGACCTTATGGTCTTTGTGCTGAGTACTCAATTCTGCCACCGTGGCATGAAAGCAGTGATAGACAGTACATAAAAAAATGGGTGTGGCAGTGAAATAAAGCCTTATTTGTGGACACTGATATTAATTTCATATAATTTCACATATTACAATATATCATTCTTCTTTTGACTTTTCTTCAGCCCTTTAAAACTGTAAAAAATACATTACTATTTCATGACTTGTAGAAAAACAGACAGTGGGCTCAATTTGGCCCACAGACCATAGTTTGCTGAGCCCAGTTTAGGAAAAAGAACCAGTTCCAAGAACTATGCCAGTGAATTTAGAACTATTTCTCTAATGAGAATCATCACAAGAAAAGTTTCATAGATTGTCTCCTCTCCATTGTTGTCTCCATTGTTACAGATTAAGGTAGAAGACACCTTGCCAATTATGCACAGATGCAGTTTTTCCCCCAAACCTGTAGGCAATCACTTTTTATACTTTAGTACAAAGTAATAGTGACAGAAACTCCTGTTCTGATCTGTATGTCAAATACTAATCTAGACACCGGAGGTAAAGGAGTGAACATATGTAGAAAATCTTCCTGTCTCTCTGGAGCCTATATATTCTTTATTTCTCCTCAATAGTTGTGAGAGGAGAAAGTAATTAAAACTTACTGAGCACCCACCTGGAGCCAGATGTGATACACTGAGACATGCTATCAGGAATTGCCAATCAAATGCAGGCTGTGCACTGCCCAAGTCTCTGAATCTGATAAAGTGAAGCTCCCCAGAACTGTGAGTTGGGGAGCACCTTTTTATGAATACAGAAGTTTATTTTAAGTCACATTGCTCTTAAGAAACAGGACAGGCCGGGGCATGATGGCTCACGCCTGTAATCCCAGCACTTTGGGAGGCCGAGGAGGGTAGATCACGATGTCAGGAGATTGAGACCATCCTGGTTAACATGGTGAAACCCCGTCTCTACTAACAATACAAAAAATTAGCCGGGCGTAGTGGCGGGCGCCTGTAGTCCCAGCTACTTGGGAGGCTGAGGCAGGAGAATGGCGTGAACCCGGGAGGCGGAGCTTGCAGTGAGCCGAGATCCCGCCACTGCACTCCAGCCTGGGCGACAGAGCGAGACTCCGTCTCAAAAAAAAAAAAAAAAAAAAAAAGAAAAGAAACAGGGGAAAGTGCAGTGTTGTTTGCCTCCAAAATCCACCTCTTCCTTTATATAATATTGTCTTCCAAGGTAATATTTGTCAATATTAAGCAAAACAAAACAAATATAACACACATGTTGGTACACTATTCTTGGAGAATATAAAACAGGTTGAGGTCAAATGCAAGTCCAATTTGCTCAGAGCTCTATCTGTTGGGAGTTCTCTTATAGCCCCACTGTGAACATTAATTAAGGAGATTTAATTAAATGTAATTAAATTTTTTCCCCTAATAGTATTATGTCTCCACTTAGCCTTATTTCTTAGGTAAATTTTATGCCAAACCTTTCCCAAGGATTTTTCTTTCTCAACTTTCTCACATTCTGCAGACCACAATGTCAGTTTTGAGAGTTTGTATGAGCCTTTTATGACCATATTTATGTTACAAGCAAGCATATGAAAATGAAACCCTTAAATTTCCATTTAGCAAGCAAGCAAGCAAGTTGATGCTCAAGCTGGAGCAAACTTTGATGTTGCTAAGTAAAGATTATGTCTGACTCTAAACTTAGACCAGATTGGAAGGCAACATGATAAAATGAAGGAGAAAGATTAGGGGGTCTTAAATTTTAAAACTGTCTAGAGTTATGAGCCTATCCAAGTCACGTCCCACGTCCCACACTGGAACTCATCTTTCCTAATTAGTAAAGTGACATTTCTTTCAACCTCCAACATAACATGAGCCTTCTTTTGTGAAACAAACAGATGGATCCAGATAGAGAAATCTTCATATGAACCATAAAGTGACCTGGCTTGAAATGGACTCCTTGTCTATTACCTGGTAGCAATGTTTGGATAATATGTCAATTGAATTTTGCGGAAAAAATTGTGGCATAATTAAAATATCTCTAGGATTATTGTGAGAATTAAATAAAGATATATGCATGCTTAGTACAGAGAGCCGAGGGTAAGTATGTCTAGTATGTGACTGTGAATGGCATTCTTCTTCTTCTTTTTTTTTTTTTTTTTTGAGACAGAATTTCGTTCTGTCACCCAGGCTGGAGTGCAGTGGTGTGATCTCTGCTCACTGTAACCTCTGCCTTCTGGGTTCAAGTGATTCTCCTGCCTCAGCCTCCTGAGTAGCTGGGATTACAGGCACATGCCACCATGCCTGGCTAATTTTTTATATTTTTAGTAGACACAGAGTTTCACCATGTTGGTCAGGCTGGTCTCGAACGCCTGATCTTGTGATCCGCCTGCCTTGGCCTCCCAACGTGCTGGGATAACAGGCATAAGCCACTGCACCCGGTGTGAATGGCATTATTCTTAACAGTCATTCTCAAGCTAAGAAAGCTGCAGTGGGCAGCCAGCTGCCAAGTGTGGTAGATAATTTACAATCAGAGCTGCAGCTGTTAAGCATGTCCAAGAAGTGTAGGAAGTTGTCATGGGTAGCCATGTCCATAGAGGGTTGCATGTTGAGTCCGGATCAGAGCTGGAAGTGAGTAATAGTGTGAGGACAAACCAACTTGATATGTTTGCTCCCACAGTCAGTTCCAGACTGCTGGATTGACTGGACGTCCAGCTGAGCTGATCTTACTTCATTGATCTCTGCAAGTGTTTCTCATGTTTTTCCTTTGGTCCTCTTGGCGTAGGCTGAATAATGCTCCCAACAAGATGTCCATGTCCTAATCCCAGAAACTGTGAGTATTTTATTTGACATGGCACAGGGACTTTGCCAATGTGACGAAGTAAAGGATCTTGAGATGGGGAGATTACACTGAATCATTTAGGTGGGTGAAATATACTCACAAGGGTCCCTGTGATAGGAAGCAGAAGGGTCTTTATCAGAGAAAGCAATACAACAGGAGAAGCAGAGGAAGGAGAGATGTGAAGATGGTAGCAGAGGTTGGAGGCATTCCATTGCTAAAAAGGGACCATGAGCCAAGGAATTCAGGCAGCAGCGTCTGGAAGCTGGGAAAGGCAAGGAGACAGATTTTTGCCCAGAGCTTTGAGAAGGAATACTTCCAACTTATTTTAGACTTTTGACCTGCAGAAGTGTAAGATAATACATTAATGTTGTTTATACACCCTTTGACTGTAAATCCCCTTTCTTACTGATACTTTTATTCGTTAGATACCTATATCTAATGTTAAAACCTATAATCTAGCTATAAACAAAAGTTAAGTAAGATACTTATATCGCTGGGCATGGTGGCTCACACCTGTAATCCCAGCACTTTGGTGGCCGAGGCAGGAGGATCACCTGAGGTCAGGAGTTCAAGACCAGCCTGGCCAACATGGTGAAACCCTATCTCTACTAAAAATACAAAAGTTAGCTGGGCATGGTGGTGTGCACCTGTAATCCCAGCTACTCAGGAGGCTGAGGCAGGAGAGTCACTTGAACCCAGGAGGCGGAGGTTGCAGTGAGTCGCGATCATGCCACTGCACTCCAGCCTGGGGGATGGAGCAAGACTCTGTATCAAAAAAAAAAAAAAATCTAAACAAGATATAGGTACTATAAATACTATATAAATGCCTGTATATTTATACTTAGTGTATAAATTCATATGTTTACATTAGTTCTAAATACATAAACAAGATACTTATATCTAAGGTTAAACCTATATAGAATCAAGGAATAAACAAGGGTTGCAGGTCTAAGAATTATTTAATATCCTTCTAGCGATTTCTCACATCTTCATGATGATCACATCAGGTGATTCTTACAATCAGCTCTCAAAGTACAATCTGATATTCTTTAAATTCAGGTTCTTTTGTATAAGTTCACAGCCACCTTTTTGTGCTACCAGTTAGTACAAACAGCTACTGGCTCAATCTGTCAGTCTTCTTAACAGTAGGTCTTTGCATTTTAGGCCTGCCTGAAATGCAAAGGCCCCCTTGTTATTTTGGGATGCACGTAAAGGAATACTTCACATGGACCCCAAGGTGGTCTGGCGTCAGAAGTCACTGACTTGGCCCTCGTGCTTTCTCTGGCAGCAGGAGTCACTGACTTGGTCCTAGTACTATCTCTGGCTTTATCTTCCACGTGTTCATCCCTACTGACACTCTTTAGGAAACTCTCCATGGCCATGGTGCTGGTAATTCCAATGTCCCTGGGTGCCCCCAAAGCTTCCCAAACTCTAGGTACTCAGTTATCACAGGACATATGCAAGACTGAAAGAGATTTGTGTTCTTCCACACTCAGTTAAAGACCCTAGAGATGACCCTCTAACTAGTTCTACATGAAATCTCTGAGTAACACTATTAACGTTGGCCTCTGCTTTCCTCTTACTGTAGTTAGTTAGAACAATTCCGCCATTCACAGTGAGAGATGAAGTCTAAACCTTCTCACTCCTCTCCTAATCTCTCATCACCAGATCCTTCTCTCTTCTTTCCAAGTCAAGGAGCAAACTCCCATGCATATGAATGGATTAAGTGATCTATTTTGATTGATGGGAAAGTATTTTTCTAAACTGGGTATAGGGAGATTAAGAAAATTGATAGACATGAATAGTTGGTAGTGACTTATACCTGCATCCTTATTGTTTTCTCCAAAGAATTTGGTTTGATAGTGTGTTGCTGTTGTAGTTTTTCAGGTTCTCTGCCCTTCTACTCTTAATCCTGCTGATACCTGACCCTGACTCATTAGGAAACTGGGGAAGGCCTCCTCTTCAATAATTCACAGTGCATTTGGAGGTCATCTGAAAAGTCTGAGGACATTAAGACACGCCTTTGAATAAGAATTCCTCTGCTGCTTTGAGTGTTGGAGAAGTTTCTAGTCATGTTACTATTTATGATACCAATACTGGTTTGTGTCACGTATTTAGCTACCGTTCTGAAGGAAAGTCAGCTTGCGTTTGCATGTATATTTATATATATATATTCTCAATATAACATCAAGTAGTGTAGGAACTGGAAATCTAACGTGTGGACTCCACATTTCTCATGGCATCTGTGGTGAAGATGCAGATGGAGTTGAGTTTGTAGGCTGTGGTGACCTAAGACCAGTACCTGTTATAATTCAATAATTGTTTTGGAAGTTTTGATCGAGTGATACATTGAGATCAGACTCAGTGGCCAGAGAAAAATCTTATTGCCGTTAGAATCAATTGATCATTTTGTTTATAGGGTGGTCTAGACTGAGGCCAGATAAGTCATTGTCATGGAAAAAGGTTCATCTTTTTTCTTTAAAAAGGAAAAAAAAAACACCACATCTTTTGTATTTCTTCTCTCCTCCTACCTCACCTTTGAGAAAAGGTGACAGTAAGGGAAGAATAGGGAGCACAAACAGGTTAAAAAACAAACTGTTAAACATGACTCTAAAACTGTAACAAATCCATGAAAATGGTGCTTGTCTTTAGGGATTTAATTTTATGCTTTTCGTACCTGATATAAAAATAGTCATTATCTTGTTCCATATATACTTATAGATATGTCTATGTAAGGAATTTTTTAAAAAAACACAAATGGAGGAGCAGGGAGGGGGAACATCTCAAGATATTTTAAATCCACTGAACTTCTTGCTTGGACATTTTTAGATACTTACAAAATTTTTGAACATATTCTTTAAAAATGTATTTATCAACTATTATAAGCCTACATATCTTTTCATTCTTAAGAGATTGGAGCCTATCAAACTAAAGTGGGGTAGAATGATGACTACAATTTTTTTGAAGTATTTTAATTTTAAGTATGGAATGAAAAGAAATATAGGACAAATGTACATGTGCAATTTGCATGAGCAATACATTTCATAATGTGGTTTCGCTAGAATGTAAGCCACATGGTGGTAGGGGTCTTGTCTGTCTCATTCACTGCTGTGCTCCAGTGCTTACCACAGTGTGCGAGTCATAGTAGAAACAATATCAGCTTAAATGAGTGAATACATACACATACACAGCCTTGCAGATGTCAAGGACTAGAAATTATTGGTTTCTATAACTACATTGCCATACTGCCTTATGAATGAAGCATTGCATTCAATTTGATCTTCTACCTAAAAACATAATCTAATATTTGGAAGAGAAGGGTATACATGTACATGTACAGATTTTACCTTAACTTATCTTAATGCTTTTAATTGCTACACTATTTGGCAGAAGAAATGCTATCATTAGCAAACTAATAGAAATTCAGAGATGATAAATAAATCTCCCATTATTGGAAAATAGTTTGAATTGTTTTTTGTCTTGAGGAATACATGCCTTTGGGTCCTTTTGCTCTAGACTGACTTATGGAGGCATATCTTTATTATCAACACAAGCATATTCCAGTAATGTTTATCTTATCAGCAAACTGAAAATCATCCTTTCCTAGGAATAAAATCCCTACACTTTATTTCATGGATATCTTTTATTTGCTAGATATGTAGTAAAATAGAAAAGTTTAGATTTTCTAAAGAGATCTGATTCAATAATGTGACTCTTGGTTCTTAGAGAACCACTGAGTTTTTTAAATCACCATAAGTATATCAATTTCTGTAGAATATGAGACATAAACCTCTAGATCATTTCTATTGATCTATAAGTTTACAGCTTAATTTTCCCTATCTGAAAAGCTAATGGATAAAGAGTTACTGTGATAGTCAAAATGACTGATCATAGCAGATGCCAAGATTCAAACATGATTGGATTACAGCATTTTATGAAACAATCAGAGAGGCCCTGACGATGGAGGGGATAGAGGTTAGATTGTTAAATTTCATCAGCATTTATAAGGGAAAGGTGATGTGAGTCTTGCCTTCTCTACAGGTTCTTGGGAAAGTCACATTAATAAGACTTTCTTTTTCTATCTCAAATCCTGTACATGAAAACTCAATTACCAAAAGTATCATAAGGAGTTCATTTATGAACATGATCCTAGAGAAAATAAGGACATGTCATTTCCCGCTTTAAAAACATCCAATGGCTTCCCATCACGCTTGTGAAAGAATCTACCTCCTTGACAAGAACCACAATTCCTATCAGAGCTGGACAGTGCCTGCTTCTCAATCTTGTTTCCTAAGCACTGCTGCCATTTTATTTGTCTCCTTAACTTTCATGATTCTTTTCACCAGACACTATCTGCCCACAGGTCTCCCGATGAACTAGCTGAAATATTGCCCACACAGAGACCTTCCCTCACCACCCATCTCAAGTAATTCAACTCCTCCCACTAGAATATAAACTCTGTGAGAAGAGATTTTCCATTTATTCTACTGTAATCTTCCTTAGCAGTGGACTGTTACAAAGTAGGTAGATGCCCATCCAATATTTGTTAGATGGCTTTTTAACAAATGTGCTTCTTGTTTATACCTTAATTTAAAAAATTAACCTTGGTGGTTCATCTAAGGGAGCCAGCAGCTGGTGGAAGAGGCGGAATCATCGTGTAGGTGCCTGCCTGCCAAGAGTTTTTTTGCTCTGTCTCAACATTAGAATTTCACTTCCTTTTTTGCCTTTTATACAGTGTTTTGCTTTTCATTGTTTTCTTCTTCTTTAAATAATTTTGTTATTAAAAATATCTGGAGGAGAAAGTTTCAGATATTATGAGTAATATTCAAAGTGTTCCTTCATAAGGATGAGAATAAAGATACCAAAGAGTATGTAGAGCCTGTGAACATTCATGTCAAAAATGCAGAAATAATAATAGGTATTTTGCATTTGTTTGTATGTGCACAAAGAAGCTCTGGAAGAATATGCAAGAAATGAATCGTAGCAGGTACCTGGGAAGTGGGGACAATGGATTAGAAAAAGGGGTAAGAGGGAAATGTTTTATTCTACAACTTACAGATTTTAAAATGTGAAACTAGGAGATGTAATTTTTAATCACCTAACACAAAATGTTAGAGATAAATTTTTTATTAAACAAAGAAACAGTAGTAAAACCTCATCAAACAAAAAATAAAACAGTATGTGTACATAATACAAGGTCAAGCATGATAACTTTTGCTTTCAAAAGCAGATTGAAAATACAGTGACATCCGCATGTAGTCACTAAGTTGAACAGTTGGAGTAGATGTGCAAGTCATTTGTAGTCAAGGCTGAGCTCCTGTACAAAATCCGAAATGTTTTAGAAGTTAGTGAATAAATTTTCTGCCATATTAAATAAGGAACATAAACTACTAAAACTTTCAAGAAGATTAAGGAAACTTATGAATTTCAATTGCTTTACTAATTGAAATTGGTTATTTCTCTTCTCTAAAAACTTTCATATAAGTGTATATTACTTTCACAATAATTACAAAACCCCTCATATTGACTTGTAGTGAACAGGGAGTATGAATTTGAAATGAAGATTCCATTTAGGTGGTGAGCATTGACATTGAAGGAAATATAATGATTTTTAGTAGGATTTTATAATGTGGCCAGCTAACCTCACCAAGACCATCAGACATAATCAAGGTTTTAAAAGTTGATTGACAGTTATGAATTAGTGTACGTAGGGTAAAAATATGAGAGGCACATCTATGCCTATGGTTAAAGATGAATGAACTAATTTTCCTTGGATTACAGGCCTGTGAACCTGCAGCTTTTGCAATGAATAAAAGAATCCTCTATGTAAGCCCTGAGACATTTCTCTGTATTTTCTCCTTGACTCTTTATTATTTCTTTTTCAGGTTAGCTGATTTAATTAAATAATCTTCAAAACATTGGATGTTAAGAAATATACAAAACCTAAGATCCTGAGATTTCCCAATTAAGCATTGATTAAAATTGATGAGTTTGGAGTTTTCTATTAAATCAAAAGCTTCTGGCTTTCAGCAACTCTTTATTTTTTGAGAAACAGCTTTTTCTTTGTGCAACAAAAAGGCTTAGAAAAGCTTCTTTAAAAAAAAAAAAGACTTACAGCTGCTGAGTCTTAAAATAGCCTTTAAGAACAACACTAGAACTAGCAAGGTGTGCAAATACACTGGGCACAAAACCAGAGGAGGCTAGAATCTTCCTCCATTTGGCTCATGCCCTTTACTGGGGTTGCCTCCTGCAAATCAGTACCACTATGGTGTTGTGCCTTTCCTGGAGATTATTATTAAGAGGAGAGGCCATTTCTTTTGTTTCATTTATCCTGTTCTTTAATCCATTTATCCCTGAGTTTGCAATTTTTTGAACTGCAAAATCAGACCTTGGGGATGACCTTGAGCAGTAGGATATAAATAACTCCAACATGCTTAGCATTCCAATAATGGAACACTAGGCATAAATTTAAAGTTTGCATTATTACTGTGTGACCATTTTATATACATTATATGGCATTGATTGACTAAAAGTATAGAAACGTTGAGTTAATAATAAAATATATTTCCTATGGCTATGCTTCTCTAATTGCAGGGAGCTTGATACCTGCTGAGTGCTCCCCTATATGCCAGGCATTGTTCTATGTACTGGACATTCATAGATAAAATACTTTGTCCCTGCTTTCAAGTAATTCATCAGATGGAGTGAAGGAAGAGTATAAAGATTCTTAAAACACGTATTGGTTGCAAAATTTTTAAGGAAGCAACTCTTAGGATTGATCACAGAAATGTGGAAATGATTATGAATAATTATCTTAGTATTAGTTTAAATAATGCTCAGTGTAATATGTATTGAGGCACTATAAAATGTGAGAAAACAAATGCTGATGGAAAATTTCTAAATTTGGTCTGAAAGTGTTGTAAGGATAAGGAATTCTAAGATAAAAACAACTGAAGGATTATGTATATGCTGAGTACCCACTTTGATATTGGTTGCTTTTATAATTCTTTCACTTCTGGGGGTGGTGATTGATAGAGAAAACCTGTTTCTTTTCAGTGTATTCATAGAGCAGAATAATTTCCATAACAGATTGACCACCAAATGTATTATGATTCAATATAATAGAAGTTTATTTCTTGCTCACATAACAAGGCAGATACATAGATAAATAGGTTGGTGAAATTGTTGACCTCTACAAAGGCATTCAGGAACTCAGGATTAGAGAAGTGCAGCCATCTTCACCATGTAGTTTCTAAGGTTACCCTGAGGTTGTCTCTATTCTTTTAGCCAGAAAGAGGGAAATGTGGGCATGGTTAGCAGGAGGTTTCAATGGACCGTACCTGAAAGTGATGCATTTCATTTTTACTCACTTTGCATTGACTAGTTAGTATTTAGTCTGTAGCAATAACTAACTGCAATGAAGCCTGGGAAATGTAGTCTAGCTGTGTGCTCAGGATAAATAAGACGATATAGATTTGAAGGAGTATCCATAAGTCTCTGCCATAAACAATGGGATCAGGGAGCGTGATTGCCCCAGTTAGTTGGTATAATGACCTGGTTATCAATTCGGTTTACACAAGTAGTCTTTAGATATCAAACAGCTCAGAGTAAAATAAGTGACAGTGATGGACAGCCCTAGCTTTATATATTAATGAAGATCTCATTTTAATTTAATTGTGGATTAGTTGTTATTGTGGTTTTCTTTCTGGAAGAGCCACCTGCTAGGACATTCAGCTTTCCAACTGAAATAAGGCTTTTGCTAATGGACAATAAATTGTATTGCTTTCTCTTTGTTTTTTTTTGTTTGTTTTATCTCTGTGAGCTAGTTATCCCTAAAACCTTTCTGGCAATGGATGTGAGTAAATATGAAGCAATTTAAAATCATTCACATTGATGAATTTCAGTGTACATTATCACTTCTATTCTTGTGAAAATTTGGGGGATGGAATGGGTCCAGAACTAGTGGCAAGAGGAACGCACATGAACTTCACATTTTTCAGGCCTTTATTCACCCATTCATCCTGAAAATATGTGTTGAATTCCTTCTATGTGCCAGGCTAATGCAATGGGCATGTTATAATCAATGGACATTGACTATGTGTCAGACTCCATGCTGGGTGGCACACATCTGTTTCCTCTTTTAATCTTCCCCAAATCCTTCTGAGGCAGAAGTTAAAGCCTCTGAAAAATCGAAAAGCCACTGAGATTAAGTCACTTATCCAAGGTCACTTGTTAGAAACAGTAGTAAAACCAGGGTTAGAAACCAAATCTGCATGACTCTAAAGTTATGCTCTTTCCAATATGCCATCCTGACTCCTTAGGAAAGTGTGTATTTGTCTGATCATTAGCAGAACCAGGCTGTGAGATCCCGATGTACATGGGCCCGTAAAATAAAGTAATGGGACAGGAAGGAGTTGAAGGATTTCAGGTGCTACCAGTTTATATTTTACCCCCACTAGGATTACAGAAGGTTGAATATAAGCCGTGGCTTTTGAACATTAAGCACAGATGTTTGTCCTACTGCCATCAATGTGGGAAAAATTTCTGAGAGAGGAATGAAGAAAGGCCATAGAGAAAATGGCCTGTTGTTTTCTAAGGAAGTTATACTGTTGTGCTGCTTGCCACAGGGACTATTTCTGTCAGCCCCAAACCATGGAGGCAAAATAATGAACCTCTCACAGAATGCCAAGAACATTCTGAGAGATGTTGGAGTGTTAGTAGAAATCATGAAATTGTGATGGCCGCAAGTGGCCAGTTCTTGGCCTAAACCCGGGTTGACTAGTCCTGGGTGATGGGCCTAACCAAACAAGACCTGTGGCCGTGGGATAGCAACAGGTTTTTAAAGCCTGACAACCTAGACAGAGGTAATTATATGACACTGTGGTTACAGGATTAGAGCAGGTCTTAAGAGCATCTGTGATTACCATTAATACATTTATAGCCAACTAATCAAAAAGTCTGAGTCCCACCT
The DNA here is from genome assembly GCF_000001405.40 of Homo sapiens. Lineage (NCBI taxonomy): Eukaryota > Metazoa > Chordata > Mammalia > Primates > Hominidae > Homo > Homo sapiens. The sequence goes on along the minus strand of NC_000002.12, from coordinate 221,133,286 downwards.
CAGTGGGTATAAAAATTGCCTTCCTAAAGAAGATATTACATGTTTATAAGCATTCTATTATTATATCTACTATCTACAGTAAACATTACATGTTGGTTCATTTAATACAAATTAATTTATTACCTACTATGTGCCTAGGCTGGGGATAAAGTGTTCAACAGTTTGACAAAATTTCTGCTCTGACTACACTTCATGTATGGGAGACAAGCAGCCATATGAATACACATTAAATGGCATTTCAGGTTATAATGGGAGAAAAAGTATTTAGAGGTAAAGGAGCAACTTACTTTCAAATGATTAAGAACTAGTTTGGTAGGGAAAGGGAGGCTATTTAAATATATCAGAAGGAGTGATAGAGGGGATATCTGAGCCAGGGGTATCAGTGAATTGGGGAACTTGTGGGAAAGAAGTGTTTGAGGCACAGGAAATAGCAATTTATGTAAAACTGAGCCAGAAAAATGACAAATAACAGAATAGAAAATCTAAGTGGAGGCTGGGGGTCTCATAGGCCGTGGTTTAGACTTTGGGTTTCATTCTAATTCTGAAGGCAAGCCATTGGACTTTTTTAAAAAAGAGAACCTGATTTACATATATTGATGACTATAGCTGCTAGGAAACTACACTAGAGGAAGAATGGAAATAGAGAACCCGTTTAGAAGGATCTCAAATTCTTCCATCGAAGACCTGAGTTTAGCTTAACCTGGGATGACAATACTAAATGGAGTGAGATAGTTAAGAAAACTTTGGGTCAGAAATAGAATGTTTTAGTGGTGATTTATACCAAAGGTAAGATATGCAAGTTTCTTGTCTCAGAGAGCTTACCTTTTAGTGGGGAAGGCAAAAAACATACAGATAAACTAGCAATGTAGAAGGCAGGAATCATATCAAGTAGTGACAGCTGGCATGAAGAGAACTGAAATAGGATATGTAAAGTCACTAAGTGACCAGGGAAAAACTTTTTTCTTTTTCTTCTTTTAACTTTTCAATTTTCATGACTTGTCAGGCCTACAGAAAAGTTTCAAGATTAGAATTATTCACCCAAATTCCCCAGTGTTGAAATTTCACCATAATAACCTTCTCTCTGTTTCTCTGTCTCTCTCTCTGTTTCTCTCTCTCTCTCTCTCTCACACACACACACACACACACACACAGACATACAAACATATTTGCTTTCTCTTTCTTGAACCATTTTAGAGCAAATTGCAGACATAATGCCCCTTTTCCTCTAAATACTTAAATTTGCATTTTCTGAAAGGGCATTTTCTTACATAGCAACCTTATAATTATCAAAATCAGGAAACTAGCACTGATGCAATACTCTTACCTAACCTACAGACTTTCTTCAGTTTTGATTGATTTTCCAAATAATGTCTTTTTCAGCAAAACAAAACCCTGGAATCTGTGTGGCATTCAGTTGTCATGTCTCCTTAGTCTCCTTTAATCCAGCAGAGTCCCTCAATCTTTCCTGTGTTTCATGACCTTTACATTTTTGAAGAGTAACAAGACAATCCTTTTCTGGACTGGTTTCCTTATGATTAGATTGAGAGTCTTCACTTTTGGCAGGAATACCATTAGGCAATATTGGGCATCCTATTAAGGGGCACGTGATGTCAATTTGTCCCATTACTAATGATGTGAATTTTGATCACTTGGCTAAGGTAGTATCTGACATGTTTCTTTATTGTAAAATTACTATTTTTCCCTTTGCATTAGTAAATATTTTGTGGGGAGATAGTTTATAAATACCATTACTTCTCAAACTTTCACCCAGGTCTATAATCATAGTTCCTATAATTTTTGCCTGAATCAATTATTATTATGATCGTTTCCAAATATTAATTTCTAATCCCATCTTTCCTTCTATATTGTGTTTCCCAATTCCTTTCTGGATTTATTTATGTCAGCGTGGACTCTTAGGTTCTCATTTTATTTAGTGTCTTGTAATTGTTTACTATTATTTATCTTGATTATCTGAATGTCCAAGTGGAAGTTCCTTTGTGCTAGACCCTGTGTCCTCTGGACATGTCTCTATCATTAGATACTTCCTTACTTTCTGGCACCACAAGGTCTTCCAGGCACATCTTTTACATTCTCTGACCCAGCCCTAGAGGGAGGGCATCTTCTAGGAAAGCTTTTAAGCTAAGATTCTAATGACAAGAAGTTGGCAGACATGCAGAGGGAAGGATGGTGAGAGAACGGAGGGAAGAGAGAACAGACAGTGAGTCCAAAGACAGGGATGCCTGGTCAAGTTCAGGGATCAGAAAGGAAGCCAGTGAGGCTTAAGAAGGAAAATGATGTTGATGAAATCACAAAGATCAAGAAGCTTGCAGCAGAATTGTTATGAACAAATGTTTCTCTGTAAATAATATTGTATATATTTTTGTCATTGTCACAGAAGCTTTGAGTTTCACCTAGGCTGGTAGATGAGTATCCTCTAAGAGGGCCAACAGGTGGGAGACAGGCAGGCACAGGAAAAAGATAGCTTTGCAAAGGAGAAACAAAGGAGGTCCAGTCATGGGTCTCAGCATGGGACATCTGCTAGCAGTGGAGAGAACATCATTTCTTGCACTGATTTTTCAACAGACCCAAAGCAAAGAGCAACAGATAATAAGACAAGCTGTGGTTTTGCTGACCATCCTGGGGGAAGTGTTTGTGATTCAGCAGTTACACAGTGCAGGAGTGTAGGGGAAATAAGGTACAGAAAACGTCAGGGAAATATGGCAGCAGTAGAGGAAAGTGGAAACTATTTCAGATCTTCTGACACTGGAGAAGCTGTGTTAGAGAATATAGGGGAGACACTGAGGGGCTCCTACAGGCAGTCATCTTCCTAAACATTACTGAGAGAGATTAATCTTAGTCTAGTAAGAATAAATGTGAACATCAATGATAGGATACCTCAGAAAAGAAAAAGCACAATGCAGCCTGAGTCCTATTAACTGATAGGTCATGGAAAGAAGAGCTTATCGTTTCCTTGTGCAGCAGAATTAGTGATTAGATGATAGCACCTCTACTTCTAGCAGAAGCCTTTTAGAAACCTGTATAAAACCTGGCCACAGTGTTTGGATTCTACACGTGTTCCTTGCTTACTGTCTTAGTCTACTTGTGTTGCTAGAAAGAAATATCTGAGGCGGGGTAGTGTATAAAGAAAGGAAGTTTATTTGGATCATGGTTCTGCAGGTTGTACAAGAAGCATGGCACAAGCACATGCTTCTGGTTAGGGCTTCAGGCTGCTTCTGTTCATATCAGAAGGTGAAGGGGAGCAGGTGTGTACAGGTCACATGACGAGAGAGGGAGAGAGAGAGGAGGTACCAGGCTCTTTTTAACAACCAGTTCTCAAGAGAACTAATAGAGTGAGACTCACCACCACTCCTCCAGGGACACATTAATCTATTCATGAGGGATTTATCCCCATGACCTAAACATCTCCCATTAAGCTCTGCCTCCAACATTGGGGATCAGATTTCAACATGAGATTAGAAGAAGTAAAACACACCAAACCACAGTAAGTTTGTAAGACCCCACATTAAAAGAACTCCATTCAGATCTTGTTGAAACAGAATCACTGAAAAAGTTGGAGCAGCAGAGGGAAACAGCAGCAAATGAAGATTATCTATTATCTTTCTTTCTTTTTTTTTTTTTTTTTTTTTTTTTTGAGACAGAGACTCACTCTGTCGCCCAGGCTGGAGTGCAGTGGCACAATCTCGGCTCACTGCAAGCTCCGCCTCCCAGGTTCACGCCATTCTCCTGCCTCAGCCTCCCAAGTAGCTGGGACTACAGGTGCCCACCACCACGCCTGGCTAATTTTTTGAATTTTTGGTGGAGACGGGTTTTCACCGTCTTAGCCAGGATGGTCTCGACCTCCTGGCCTCATGATCCGCCCGCCTCGGCCTCCCAAAGTGCTGCAGTTACAGGCATGAGCCACCATGCCTGGCCTATCTTGTATTTTCTAAACTGGTCCTAAGCAAAGACAGAAACATCCAAATCCAGCTTTGCCAAATTCACAAAGCTCTCATACTCTTGATGCGTGGAAACTAATTGTCTGTTAGTCATTCCTATTTGTTGGTTTTCCCTTTCCTATATTGATTTATTTCCACGTGTGTGGATGCCTGTTTTATACAATGGCCTTACTATTATTAATAAAACTAATAAGCATTTGTAATAGTCTGTTTTCACACTCCTATAAGGAACTACCTAAGACTGGGTAATTTATATTTTTAAAAAAAGGTTTAATTGACTTACACTTCTGCATGGCTGGGGAGGCCTCAGGAAACTTACAATCATGGTGGAAGGTGAAGGGGAAGAAAGTACCTTCTTCACAAGGAAGCAAGAGAGAGAGAGAAGGGGGAAGAGCCATGCACTTATCAAACAACCAGATCTCGTGAGGACTGTATCATGAGAACAGCACGGACAAAAGTACCCTCATGATCCATCACCTCCCACCAGGTCCCTCCCTGACACATGGAGATTACGATTCGAGATGAGATTTGGATGGGGCCACAAAGCAGAGTTAAACCATATCATTTTTCCCCTGGCCTCTCCCACATTTCGTGTTCTTCTCACATTTCAAAACACAATCATGCCTTCCCAACAGTCCCCCAAAATTTTAACTCATTCCAGCATTAACCCAAAAGTCCAAGTCCAAAGTTTCATCTGAAACAGGGCAAGTCCCTTTTGCTTATGAGCCTGTAAAATCAAAAGCAAGTTAGTGACTTCCAATATGTAATAGGGGTATAGGCACTTGGTAAATGTTCTCATTCCAAATGGTAGAAATTGGCCAAAACAAAGGAGCTACAGGCCCCATGCAAATGCAAAACCCAACAGGGCAGTCATTAAATCTTAAAATTCCAAAGTAGTCTCCTTTGACTCCATGTCTCACATCCAAGCCATACTGATACAAGAGTGGGCTCCCAAGGCCTTGAGCAGCTCTACCCCTGTGGCTCTGTGGAGTATAGCCCTCATGACTGCTTTCACATTGAGTGCCTGCAGCTTTTTCAGGTGCACAGTGCAAGCTCTCAGAGGATCTACCATTCTGGGGTCTGGAAGATGGTGGCCTCTTTTCACAGCTCCACTAGGCAGTGCCCCAGTGGGGACTCTGTGTGGGGGCTCCAACCCCACATTTTCCCTCTGCACTGCCCTATTAGAGGTTCTCCATGAGGGCTCTACCCCTGTAGCAGACTTCTGCCTGGACATCCAGGCATTTCCATACACCCTCTGAAATTTAGGCAGAGGCTCCCAAAGCTCAACTCTTCTCTCCAGTTCACCCACAGGTCCAACACCACATGAAAACTGCCAAGGCTTGGGGCTTGCACCCTCTGAAGCATTGGCCTGAGCTGTATCTTGGCCCCCTTTAGCCATGGTTAGAGCTGGAATGACTGGGACACAGGGTACCATATCCCAGAGCTACACAGAGCAGTGGGGCCCTGGGACTGGCCCATGAAACCACTTTTTCCTCCTAGACCTCTGGGCCTGTGATGGGAGGGGCTGCTGTGAGCATCTCTGACATGCCCTGGAGACATTTTACCCATTGTCTTAGCTATTAACATTTGGCTCCTTGTTATTGATGCAAATTTGTGCTGCTGGGTTAAATTTATCTCCAGAAAAAGGGTTTCTCTTTTCTACCACGTAGTCAGGCTGCCAAATTTCCAAACTTTTATGCTTGCTTCCTTTTTAAACATAACTTCCAATTTCAGAACATCTCTTCTTCATGCATATGAGCGTAGACTTTTAGGAAATGCAAGGTCACATCTTGAACACTGCTGCTTAGCAGATATTCTAAATCATCTCTCTCAAGTTCAAACTTCCACAGATCTCTAGGGCAGGTGCACAATCCTTCCAATCTCATGCATAGCAGGAGTGACCTTTATGCCAATTTCCAATAAATTCCTCATCTCCATCTGAGACCACCTTAGCCTGGAGTTCATTGTGCATATCACTATCAGCATTTTGGTCAAAACCATTCAACAAGTCTGTAGGAAGTTCCAAACTTTCCCACATCCTCCTTTCTTCTTCTGAGCCCTCCAAACTGTTCCAACCTCTGCCCGTTACCCAGTTTCAAGGTCACTTCCACATTTTCGGGTATCTTTATAACAGTGCCCCAAACTCCCGGTATCAATTTATTTACTAGTCGATTTTCACAATGCTAGAAAGAACTACCTGAGACTGGGTGATTTATGAAGAAAATAGGTTCAATTGACTCACAGTTCCACATGGCTGGGGAAGCCTCAAGAAACTTACAATCATGGTGGAAGGCGAAAGAGAAGCAAGCACTTTCTTCACAAGGCAGCAGGAGAGAGAGAGAGAAAAGAAGCGGGAAGAGCCCACACTTATCAAACAACCAGATCTTGTGAGAACTCTATTATGAGAAAAGCATAGGGGAAACCACCCCCATGATCCAATCACCTCCCACCAGGTCCCTTTCCCTGACACAAGGGGATTACAATTTGAGATGAGATTTGGGTGGGGCTACAGAGCCAAACCATATCAGTGTCATTCATATTTTCATTGCTATACTTTTACTTCATATTACAATTTGTCCAACACAAATAATTTTTGATTCTTTCATCTCCATACTTCTTGAAGGTTACAGGCACAGTGCCTGGCACAAAAGAGATGCTTAATAAATGTTTGTTGAACAAAGCAATAAATAAACTTCCAAGGCTGCAGAGACACAGGTATCAGCTAAATGACCACCACCTGAGAGGATAGGGTAGTGGACTTAACAGCCATTATTTAGTGTTAGTTAAGAAATGGTGTGTGTGTTGTATTTCATCTAACCAGCTGTTATTACAAAAAGTGCTAGGTCCTCAAAATAGGTAATAAATGTTCCTTGTAATGAAAAGATGTTAAATCGTGCTCTTTGTCCGATTTGTTTTTTTGTAAATTTCCCAGGGATGATTTAAAACACGCTCTCATCATCTAGGGTTTTGTTCTTTTCTTTTTAATTGAATATTGAACTGTTTGGGTCTCTATAGAATTTAAAGATGCCTAAGGACCCATGCAAATGATCCTAGACATTCTAATCTCAAGCAAATGATCCTTTCTTCTCACTGTGAGGGCCTCAGGTTTTTCATGTATAAATTGCACATATTGGAGTTCATGCTGCCTGGCCTCTTCATCTGAACAGTCCAGAGCTCTATGGCCCCCACTAAGAGTGTGGCTATTGCCCTTTAAATACTCTGTGACCCTTATTAACTGTGACTTTATTATGGGGCTTGTTCAAAATAAAATAGAGATGCTGGAGATAAATCCGAAAAACGCATAGTTGTTGGTGTTTTTCATTAAAACTGAAGTGTAACAGTGGGATCCAAGTCAGGCATCCTTTTCTATCTAAGATCCTCCCACCTCAGTGCAAAAAGTCATATTGTGGGGGTTGTTGTGGTGACTAATACACACTACTCTTGGATGCTTTAATAGCTTGCAGGATTGGACTTGTTGACATACACGTTTTCTCATTGTCAGGGAGACTTTCAAAAGTCTGGACTGTGTCCTACTCCTCTTTCCACACCCAGCATTTAGGCCAGACCCCAGCACATAGTAGGTGTTTAATAAATAATTTTATGAATGAATAAATGTATGTATACACACATACAAACATATATACATACATGCATGTCATATATAGGATTAAGGGCTTACAGAAATCAGGAGTGAAAAAGAATACATTTAAAACAATCTTTTTCCTAAAACAAAGAATAAAGCAAAACGGAATATTTCTGCAAAATGCTGGCCGCTTGAGAATGAGTGTTTTTATAAACCACAGTGAAAGAAATTTCCGTTTGATGACAACTTTATTTTTAAAAAGGGCACAGGTGATTTATAATCTAATGCGCTAAATACTGAAGAATGTTTAAATGAATGAAAGGATGAATGAGTGAGTGAATGATTGTGATAGACACAAAGAGCTTTCTTTGGAATTGGTAGCATTATCACTCCTTCAAATCTATTTTAAATATAAATTAAAGTACACATAAACACAAACAAAATACACACCACAAAATGTCAGTATCTAACACACACACACACACACACACACACACACACAGAGTGAGAAATGCTTTCTCTTTTACTCCCAGGCTGTCCGGTGGGTCTGTAAGTAACCATACCTTTAGGAATGTGGAGAGGATAGTAACTTAAGCTGGTTCAGCAGCTCCTGAGTGGGTGGTGGAGACAGGGCAGCTCTGAATGAGCTCTTTGATGGACTCAAGCATCTCCCATCTCCAAGCGCCTCACTCTCATTAGCACTTGCCCTTGGGGCAGCCTTCTGCCAAAGGAAAGCAGACAGGAACACACCCCATGCTGGGCATTGCCACATCTCACCAGGGATTGCCTGTCTGGCTCTGTTGCTGGTGAGCCACGCAGCTTTGCAGTCCTGTTTCGCTTTCTCACATTAGGGCCATCCTTTGCCCAGCGGCTGCCTCTTCTTTCCCAGGTTGCTGACCTGCAGCCATCCATGTGCGTGGCTGCTTTGGGGGAGCTGTGGCCGTGGAGCTCAGGGCTCCCAACAGCTGGCCTTTCTCCATTGTGAACCGGTAAATGCTAAAACTTTTGCTCCATTCCCAGGGGACCCCCCATTAAATTCATTTTGTATTCACTACCTGCCAACAGGACCTGTAAGCGAGCCAAGAGGAGCAGCAGATTAAGCATAATTATGAATTCTGAGTGGAAGGGAGTAGTCTGAGATTGTTTTTCATGAAAGACCTATTTTTTTTCCTACTGAAAATTCACATAGAGGAAGTACTGAATGCTCCATGGAGTCTTTATATCGAAATGCTCTTTGCAATTAATGCTTCTTACTCCTTGTGCTTTCATGGAACAGATAGAAAACCTCTCAAACTTGAAAGCTGTTCTTGGAATTGGATTTTGGTTTGCTCAGGATTTGTATCTAATTTTCTAGAGAAGTATTATAATATTTATTAACAAGAACGGGTACTAAGTGTAACCCTCAAGTCATTTCCCAGGCTTAGTTGTCAATGAGAAGCTAATCCCTAAGGATTTCTAAACCAGCACAACTGAGTAAGGATTCAAAGGCCTCTTGCAGGCTGTTCTTGAGTGCTTAACGTGTAGTCATCAGTAACAAGTCAGTGGTACCATTTATTCTTTTACTCTTTCCTTCTTCATAAATGAAAAAAAGAGAATCCAAAATATTGAGCATAAAAATGTTTGTAGTGCCTGCATACTCTATACTCACTCAGTACTATGAATGTTACAATGTGCTAACTTTTCCTAATTTGATATAAAATTATCAACACCCTTCCTCATGTGTTTTCTTCGTATTGCTGATATATTTTCCTTTTTTGAAATACTTTTATCTGCATATTAGAAAAGCATTGAAGTTTGCTACTGGAATAGTCTATCCAAATAGTCTGTCCAAATAATCTGTTTACCCATGATAAATTACTATCATGTTATTAAAAAGGTAAGATCAGAAGTTGCTTGATACCAAGTAAAAATATTGACTTTTAACAAGTCCAATAAACTTTGAAAGGGATTAATAATGATAACAACAATGAAAGCAGCCAGAAGGCACTACGTGCTTACAGTAAGTCAGACACTATGCCAAACTTTTGACATTTATCATCTTTTAAAATCTTCACAAAATTATAAGTTAAATACTATTATTATCTTTACAGATGAGGAAACTGGAACTTAGAGATTGCAAGTTAGTTTAAGATCATGAGGCAGTTTTTGGCTGGAGGCTAAAATCGGAGCACTGACATACGCATGTTCCATGGATGCTAAAGATTTTTTAAAAAAGAACTCTCTTAATTGCTTTTAGAGTAAGCTTTATAGAACACACAAGAAAAATCAGTCTCATTTCTTTCTAAACATCTCTCTATAAAACCCTCTTGTTTCTTATATTCTTAAAAATTATTTAAATATATTCATTGTACCTGGTTTAAAAAGTCACTAATGCATTTGGTTAAAAGAAATTCCACATATATTAATATATTAAAAGCTACACAACCCCCAAATACCAGTTGAATTAAATTATCACTTGTTATCTAACTGTGTGCTTGGAAAAAAAATAAAACCTGCTTTTGTTTATAATGTTAAAGCATCAATATGGTACATTCATATTTAGTAAGTTTTTTAATTCTCTTGTTTACAAAATTATGTTTAACAGTTTATATTGTTATGTTTATTAAAATATTTAATGATGAAGCAAATGTAAGAGAAGTATAAAACACAGGAAGATATATTCCACCCTTGTGTTATCTATACCTCTTTATAAATTCAATATCCCATGGAATTATGGTTTGTGTTTTTAGCCATACTAGTGGAGCTACTTTTTGGGCAAGATGGATTATATTGCTTCTTTGGTTGCTGAAATTTCATTGTTTAAATGACTTACAGTATGTAATCCATCCCCACGTACATCAAGTATTGACTAAATATAAGACATCTTGTTAGTCTGAATTTTATTGTAGCTTTTAGCTTTTACAAAAATCTTGCTTTCCGTTGAATAGTCAGGGAACTTTGGATCTGCTCATCCATTGTTTGGTTAACATTAAAATCTAGACCGGGGTGCCAGATGCTATGTGTAGAGTATAATTTTTGCTTTTTGCAAACTTAGTATGCCTAAAGGTTTTTGAAACTTTTTTTTTTTTTTTTTTTGGTGAGACAGAGTCTCGCTCTGTCGCCCAGGCTGGAATGCAGTGGTGTGATCTTGGCTCACTGCAAGCTCTGTCTCCCACGTTCACACCATTCTCCTGCCTCAGACTCCCGAGTAGCTGGGACCACAGGCATCTGCCACCACGCCCAGCTAATTTTTTGTGATTTTAGTAGAGACGGGGTTTCACTGTGTTAGCCAGGATAGTCTCAATCTCCTGACCTGGTGATCTGCCCACCTCAGCCTCTCAAAGTGCTGGGATTACAGGTGTGAGCCACCGTGCCTGGCCTGAAACATTTTCATGGCGTGAAGCACAGTGTGAGGGGCCACAGTATTTATCCAGCCTAATTATTTCCCTCCGACTTCTCACACTTCCATTGTTTAATCATAGTGGTGGCCGTGTAGAATGACCCGGAAAGGAATCAAATAGATAGTTCTCTCACTTTATGTGTGACCTTTCTGAACTTCGAATATGTGAAGGAGTTCACAGATTTGAAGATAATATGTGACTGAGTTAGCTAATAGTTGACTGAGTCCCCCTTGAGATAATAAGCCTATAAAACCAACTGGTCATTGATAAATGACAACTGTATAGCCCCTAACGGAAAAAGATGGAAAGTCAGGGAGGTAGCAGGCAACTAAGTGATTTACACCTTTGTTGTGGCATAAAAATAAAAGAGTAAATACTTGTATTTCTTCAACTTGTAAAGGAAATAAATCTGAGTCATGAAAAAAATTTTGTATGACCTATCCATGGGTTTTCTTGATGAGTCTTTAAAAGGTATGTTTGAAAATATGGCAACTGGCTGGGTACGGTGGTGCAATCCTATAATCCCAGCACTTTGGGAGGCCGGAGTGGGCAGATTGCTTGCGCCCAGAAGTTCCAGACCAGCTTGGGCAACATGGCGAAACCCCATCCCAAAAAATGCAAAAATTAGCCAGGCACGGTGGTGCACACCTGTAGTCCCAGTTACTTGGAAGGCTGAGGTGGGAGGGTTGCTGGAGCCCAGGAGGTTGAGCCAGGAGGTACCAGCAGTGAGCTGAGATTGCACCACTGCAGTCCAGCCTGGGCTACACAGTGAGAGACTGTCTCAAAAACAAACAAACAAACAAAATATGGCAACTGGAAAAACTTACACAAGGTGTTGTTAGAACTCATATTTCCCTTTGCTTCACAGAATCTGCTTGCTTTGTACTTCCCTTTGTATGGGTGAAAGAAAATGCCATCTGTTCCTCGTCCCCGATGCATCCCCTCTCCTCTTGCCCTCACCTTGTGGTCCTTTGATCAAAGACCCAACATAATAAGCATTCTTTAGGTGCCAGGTGCAGGCTGAGAAGTTTTGATATAAAACTCAGAAGGTGGCAGCCTGCACCCTTGCCAGGATCCCCAGGGGAAACTAAGATGGGAGCTCTCTGAGAGTCCTTTTTTGACCTGATCTCTTCACTGAACACTGCGTGTGATTCCCAAAGTAGAAAATAAATCACATTAGAGATGGAAAAAACATCCCAACCTCATACAATGATGTCACTGGGATATGATTTCCATAGAACACCTGTAAACTGATAACTTGAGAGAGTCACCAGGACATTCTAAGAAGCACACATTCTGAAAGGAGGACTGAAATTGATTGATGACATCAACGCTGTAAATAAATTGAATTTGCTGTGAGGATTTTCAATAAATTTCCAGAGCTATTGAATAATGAAAGTTAGTGTCTACTGAGCACTGGTAATACAGGTAAGCACTTTTGATTTTACTTCTGCTTTTATTTCCTCAATGACCTAATAAGTTAGACACCATATGACTAGTACTTCTCAGATGAGGTAACTAAGGGCTAGTATTAGGTTGATGCCAAAGTAATTTCGGTTTTTGCCATGGCAAAGACCACAATTACTTTGGCCTCAACCTAATAGTTAGGATTCAGAACCAATAGTATAGTATGTGTGTGCATGTGTGTGTGTGAATGTATCCCAGGTCTATCAGTCTATCTATCTATAGAGACACAGAGAGAGGGAGAGGGGAAAGAGAAGAGAGAGAGATTGATGTATTATAAGAAATTTGTTCACATGACTCGAAAGCTGAGATGTCCCACAATCTGCCATCTGTCAACTGGAGGAGAGCTGATGTTGTAGTTCCAGTCTGAATCCAAAGGCTAGAGAATCAGGAGAGCCAATAGTCTATATTCCAGGCCAAATTTAGAAGAAGACAGATGTACCAGCTCAAAAAAACCATCCAGCAGAGAGAGACGATTCTCTCTTACCCTGCCTTTTGTTTTATTCAGGCATCCAACAAATCGGGTGAGGCTCACCCGTGTTGGGGAGTGCAATCTACTTTACTTAGCCTATTGATTTACATGTTAATCTCATCCAAAACCACCCTCGCAGACACATCCAGAATAATGTTTATCCAAATGTCTGGGTACCCTGCGGCCGTGAAGCTGACACATAAAATTAACCATTACCTTGGGATTAGAAAGCTCAAAAAATATATTGTACTTGGTCTCTCAGCCAATGGGATGAAAATGACAGAAGTACAATATTAAACTAAGTTATGTCAAATTATGAATTGTTCAAAGTTAAACCAAGAAATTGATGAGGGAGATGAGGTAATAGAAAATACATTGAATTTGTTGTTGTTTTTGTTCTTATAGGGTGTGGTGGGGGAGTTAGGGAGAACTATGTAACAAGCAACTGCAAGAACGTTTAGTCTATGTGATAATTAGTATATTGAAGTCAAATTGATCTATTTTTACTAACTATAGAAAGATTTTTGAGCCCTGCTTATGGGTTTTCATGCTTCCTTTCAAGGGCTGTAAATGGAGGCTCAAGACTACTTGCTTGTTTGTTAAAATACTATTGAGCAGTCAGGCTCATCTGCCAATCCCAAGTAAGGATTACCACCATGTAGCATCCAAAGAGCATGACGATGTCAACCATCAGACGTAGAAGCCCACAGACCTTGGTCCACTGCATCAACTATGGGCTTGGAGTTGTCAAGGAGCACTCAACATACAAAGCACTGGCTGGAACAATGTTTTACTCATAGAAAGGAGAGGAACAGCAAAATCTGTTGTGTGGTGTGTGTTGCTCTCCTGCAGCTAGTGGGTTCATCCCAATAGCTGATGCAGAGTGATGGACTGCATACACCCCTCTCATGCTGCAGCAGAGGGACTCTGTTTTCTTCCTATGGGGGCAGATATACTGGTGGCACTGGCCAGGTACCATACGATGCATATGCCAAAGCAATACAAGGAAGTTCACTGTGCACTCAGAATAAGGAAAAGATTTCTCCTAATAAGGAAGAAGAATATGGTGCCAAGTTGTCACTTGGCACCCAGCTTCCATTAGAAGGGAATATCTATGTTCAGGGCACTGATTGGGCAATCCTCAAGAGGGGAGACAGGTCATGCAAGAAGTCCCCAACAAAGACCGCATGGAGGATCCCTCCCCATATGGACTATCTTACCCTGCTGCTTCCTCTTTGCAGAATAAGTCCTGTGGTCATGACCTCTGTGGGGCATGGTGGCTGCATAGCAGAACTCGGGTATCATGCATCATGCTTTTCTTCACAGAAGGTGTGGAGGGCTGATGATGTGAGGTGGTAATCTTCCAGCCACTCAGATGTATCTCCCTCAAGTTAGCAGATGTAGAGAAAGAGGGAGGGTGGAGATCTTTTGCTTACTGCTCTAGGATGAGGGAATGTGGAGTCTAAGATGATAAATGATCAGCTGGAGGTGGAAAAAGAACTGATCCCTGTTCCTCAGAAAAAGAACTGTCATCAGAGCTTCCATCTATACAGCCCCAGAATCTCAATCACAAAAAGAAAGCAATAAGACATAGGCAAATCATGTAATTGTAAAATAGAAATTTTAAAAAATTAAATGATACAATTATACAATAGAAATAAAAACTTAGGAATAAAATTAAATAGTTAAAATAAAGCTGAAAATGAAAAATGAAGTAGCCACCTCTAGGAGACAAAAAGAAGGTTTAAATGAGATTCTATACTAATAAGTAAATACTACAAAGCCAAAAAAAAAAAAAAAAGATGAAAGAAATGAAAAAACAGAAAGACGGCCATAAAATAGTTAGTGCTATGGACTAAATTGTGCTCCCCATCCCCAAATATGTATGTTGAAGCCCTAACTCCCTATGTGATGGGGCCTTTGGGAGGTAAATAGGTGTAGAAAAGGTCATATGGGGGAACTTCCTAATGGAATAATTAGTACCCTTATAAGAAGACATACCTGGCTGGGCACAGTGGCTCATGCCTGTAATCTGCAGAGGCAGAGGTTGCAGTGAGCCAAGATTCTGCCACTGCATCCATCCTGGGCAACAGAGCGAGACTCCATCTCAAAAAAAAAAATAACATAAAACAAAAAAAGAGACATACCAGAGACTTTGCTGTCTTTGTTTCTCTGTCTCTCTCCTCACCATGTGAAGACTTACTGAGAAGGCAGCTGTCTGCAAGCCAGCAAGAGGGCCCTCACCAGAAGCCAACCATGCTAGCACTCTGATTTCAGACTTCCAGGTTCCAGAATCATGGGAAATAATTTCCGTTGTTTAAGCCATCCAGTCTATGGTATTGGGTTGTGGCAGCCTGAACTGACTAATCCAAACAAGTAGCTTGTAGAAGCAAAATAAAGGTTCCAAATCCTTTTTTTTTCAATAAAAATATCAACTAGAATATCAAAAAGAATAATAAGGCATGATAGACTGAAATGATACTAAATTTAATATAATTTAGAATAAGACGATTGGAAAATACAAATGCTTTGAAAACACAGCAATAAAGAGAAGAATGAAAGAGAATAAATAAAGAAAACTCTTCAAGAAAAAGAAATAGTACGAAGATGAAGGTTGAACTTCATAATGAGGCCAGCAGGTCATTGGCTGGACAGGGCCTCAGAGGTCCAATGTGTTCCTGCTGGTGGGCATGGGGCCTCCCTGAACCTAGAGCAGTTCTTCAGATGAAGCACTGACTGACAGCGGGTCCTTGGACTCAACTCTTCAACTCTTGTTGGTGATTTTGTCCCTGGTGAGATCACATATCTCTCATTCCTCATGGCAGAGTTTTCTATCTGCTGCAAGGGATCCCAGCTGGTGTGTCCACCTAGACCACAAAGCTATACAAAAGCTAATATCCCATAGCCAGACCGAATTTGGACTCAGTCCTCCTTCCTATCTGCCCACTCATTTTTCCTTTCTTCTATCCATTAAAAAACACTTACTGGGGACCTGTAGTGATGTATTAGTGGCCATTCCAGTTGCTGGGTGCACAAAAAGAACCTGAAAACCACCCTCTTGAAGTTTACACTTAAGTGGGTAGGTGAAGGAGAAAGGCAAAAAAAAAAAAAAAAAAAAAAAAAAAACTGAACAAATACACGTTTTCTAAAGTCAACCGCTGTGAAGCAAACAAACAGCAACCTGAGACCAAATAGAAAGGGAGCTCTATTTTCAGATAGAGTGGACACAGAAGGCCTTAAGAGATCTACGCTGAGACCTGAAGTACGAGAAGGAACCAGGAGAAGAATCTGGCAAAGATGAGTGAACAGCGCACAGTCTCTAAGTTAGAAAGAGCTTCACGTGTTCCTGGGACCCCTGAAATGAGCCTATGAGTGTGACATAGGACAAGAAGAGTGGCCGGAGAGGGAATCATGGTCTCTACAGTTGTGTGTGGTCCTTGGGCAAACTGTATGACAGTTCCGTGCCTGGGTTTCCTTGTCTACTCATAAAATGTAGTTGACAATACCTTCCCCAGAGACCATGCATAACAGTTAAATGCGATGCAGTATATTGAAGATGCTTAAATCTTGGAATTCCTTTCTTCAGCTTCCTTCTGGTAGGGGCAATTTTTCTTCCAGAATCAAAGACATGTTTGGCCCCTTGAGACTATGACCTACTGGAGATTTAAAATGATTGCTTGCTTTTTTTTTACTTTCAATGTATTCAAAAATTACACGCGGTGTATGGGACTGATAATGTGCCCATCTGAATTCAATGAGAAGATTGTTTAACACACCAGATTAATTATTTTTCAATTGAGTGTTTTTCATAATGTAGTCAGCTTTTGAGGCAAAGACTCAGCCATAAATCTTAAAATTAGCTGGGGAATTAATTTTAAAATTAAACACACTATGATGAATTACAAGCAAATGAATGATTAGTAATGTAGAAAGACACAACCTGGCCAGGTGGGTGCCTATGTATATGGCAACTTGTACTGAGCGGCCTTTGCAGGTCAGCATCTTGGTCAGGGAGGAGGAGGGTAATAAGTATTTCTCTAATTTTGTATTTTAACTTTCCCTTTCAAAAGCTTATGCTTGAAAATTTGTTTCCAAATTGAAACTGAATTTATAAGCTGTAGGATTTTACAGCATACAGTGACACTGAGAAGACTTAAGGAACTAACACTTCAGAATCTGAAAATGCAAAGATTAGAAAAATGGCCACAACTGAGGTATGTTGATGACTCAGTCACTCGCTTGATTTCCTAAACGTATTCCCTCATCCATCTTTGCTAACTGGAGTCCCTCTTCCCCTCATCAACTTGCTGCTTCCTACCTCAAAAGCATGACATTTATTTGTTCTCCTTGTGAAGGGTGATCCAATAACACAGAATCCTCCAGACATAAGTAGTGATTTTATTTCCTTCCGATGAAGCTAAACAACTATCAGGAAGATATTCAGTGAAGAAATGCATAGCTAACTGTGCATTTATATTTGTCTATTTCACCTGGGAGGAAATAACGTAATAGGTCCATTTTTTTAAATCTAGATTCCAGGGTTAAAAATGGGGAAAGGGTGAGGAAGGGAGAGAGGAATGAGGCCACTGCCCATTATTTTTGGAGCCTTAATACTTTTCCTTACGGGGTTTAGGGTTGGAAGAGACCTTGTTTCCATTAAGAAAGAAACAAGAACACCCTTCGTGGTTCCTGCCCTGTAACAAATTTATCCTAGTTCTTATAAAAGTCTATAAGCTTTGCAGAATAAATGATGTGTAGAGCCACATGAGAGAAGATAATCTGAGCAGTGTCTGTAATTCCCCAACACTTCCCCAGTAGTTTGTTAGAAATTGAAATTCTGAATTTAGGTTTTGTCTGCAGAGGTTTTTGTCAAAATGCATTCATGTACCCAGAACAGAGAGTATTTCCACACTGGCTCCCGATTAGATTTGCAGTGGAGGGAATGTGGCAATGCACTGTGAAAGAGAGCACAGCCCTGGTACTGTGGCCTTTTTTCAGTCCCCGTGCCTGTCATTTGCTGGTTGTGTGATCTTGTAAAATGTGTTCACCATTTTGAGTCTTACTTCCTTCTACTGTAAGATTGTGAAGACTCCTTAGCCCACAGGTTTAAATTAATTAAGTGAATTGATATATGAAAAGAACTTGGCATTGTATCCAGAGCATAGTTCACACATCAAAAATTTTAGCTATGATTAGTTGCTTATCAGATTTAACGAGCTGAAAGAATGAGTTTGGAAAAGCAAGATTTGATCAGAGGAAAGGGAAGGAGTTACTGAATGAGGAAATGGGTGAGGACTGGACTGGCCTTTGGAGGGAGTCAAGGTGAGCATCAAGGACTTCTGTAATCAGCTGGGGGACTTGGCTCCTAAACAGAAAAGAAGTAATGAAAATCAAGAGACAAAGACTTTTATTTCACAATCAAACACTTGTTTGATGGGAAGTGAAAGCTAAACAAGGCATTTTACAAAAGTTAACTCAGTGACTCCTCATTATAACCTTCTGAGGTAGGTACGAGTTCCATTTACAGATGAAGAAACTAAGGCACAGAGAGGTTAAGTACTTGCCCAGGAACATACTGTGGCTGAGTAGCAGAGCTTGGGTTTAAATCCAGGCTGCTAAGTCCATGACTGTAAACATTAGACTCAGCTTCATTTTTACAACAATTTTTACGAAGCCTGTCTCTGAATATTTAGAAGTGGAGCAGGGGATCCTAAGGTTTATATTGTTCAACGGTATTCCCTCCTTCCTTTCTGGATGCCCACTTTTTTGAGCACTTCCTTGTTGTGTCACTGTTCTAATACATCATGAGTCAACCAATTCCATTTTATCTGAAACTTCAGTGTGTTTTCACATTTATGTATTTTCCAGTTTGATTTTCCTGGAGATCTGGTAGCTAATATAATTTTATTTCATAGTCCATATAAATTTATTGAAATTAGTATGCATTTTCTACTTGAATCGACAATACAGTATTTTCTTATTTGACTACTTGCTATCTGTGGCAGTTAAAGCAGTGGCAGTGATCAAAATCTGCAATTCATTGTTCAAAGACAATATTCTTTTATTATCAATTTGCATTGCTTCACGTGATTTAGAAAATGGTAGTAATTCACCTGGACTTACAACCGTTAAAGCCTGGGTACATTTCTTTACCTTTTTTCCTTTATGCATGTGCTCTGAAATGTTTTTTCCCACAGGGAGTGAATTTGTTACCTTTGTGTGACATAAACGTTCAAAATTATAATGCAGCTATTTATTGACTTTTTAAAACATGGCCAGTTTTGATGCTGTAAACCTATTAGAAGTCATTGATAAACATAAAATGGTTCCTATAAATCTGAGTGAAAGTCACAGTTGTGAAGTCCCAACTTATTTTTACTCAACTGTATAAAGCTGAAAGAGACAATAATTTTAATTTAATTGCAAATATATACATGTATTCCTTTGTGTGCCTTTTTACTCAAGTGAATTGACAGCATCAGGAACCAAAACCGTTCCTTTCTCTCCCAGACAAACTGGGATAAGCATTTAGGTTGCAGCACTGATGGATTGCTATCTGAACTGGAGGCATCAATTTGAAGACAATAATTCCCCTTTTGGTTTGTGACTTACTTTTAGAGTGCTCGTACTGTACATTTTGATGGACATTCTGATTTATAGGAATACCCAATTAATCCTAATTGTGATTTTAGCTTTATTTGCTTTAATTTTCATATTTTAGTCACATTTAATTTATATCTGATTGACTCAAAAGTAAAAGGAAATACCCAATTCCTGTCAACTGATTGTTTAACCTACAGAAAGGATCCCTGAATGACTTAAACATCTGAAAAGAAGGCCTAGGTGGCTAGGAAGAATTTCTATTTTCTATTTTTCTTCTGCAGCACAGAAGGAGGATTTTTAAAATCCTTTTAGGGAAACCTGGAAAAAGAGAAGCATAGAATACATTTTCATTTTTTATTCCTCTTGTTCCTTCTTTTTGGGGAAGTCTACCTGATCATTTTGGTGAAGCCAACGTAGTTGATAATTTACAGAGGCCCCAGGATAATTCCATATAGTAATGACTTTTTTCTTGTTATCACCAGGGTCATCATTATTGCTTTTCATAAATTTCTGACAGTGCATTGTGGCTGAAGGACTTTTTCTTCCTGGCTTCCTTTTATCCAGGGATCTTAAAATGCCAATTTTAGAGTCAAAAGGTGTTTAGCTCTGTAATAAATAATGCTGATCGGAAATAAAATGAAAAACACTACTTAGCAATTTGATTAGGTTAGCCCACTGCTTGTTTTTGTGGTACTCTTGAGCTAAAAATATGGTTATACAGTTTTAAATGGTTAGGGAAAATATCAAAAGAAAAGCAATTTTCATAATCCATGATAATTATATAAAATTCACATATGTATCCATAAATAAAGTTCAATTGGAGTGCAGCCACACCTATCCATTTATGCATTGTCTATGGTTGATTTCTCATTAAAACAGCAGAATTGAGAATTACAGAGACCATATGGCACGCACAGCCTAACATATTTACTTTCTAGCCCTTTACAAAAAGTTTGCTGATCCCTGGATTATAAGGATATCTGGAAGAGTGAAAGAAATATGTGGTTACAGTACATTTTGAACGTTAGTACTTATTGAAAGAAGATGAGCGCCTTAGAAACATTATGTTGTATCCTTTTCTAATTAAATAAGAAATTATAGATTATCTTATCTCAGGCACTTATTTTACAGAAGAAGAAATTGAGGTCTAGAGATTCAAACGTATTTTTATGGAACAAGCAACCTTAAAAAGAGTTATGAATTCTGACACTTTATCCCTTATATTTCTTCAAATATTTATGTCTACTGTTTTATATACCTGTAAGAGTGTTATATAAAAGTGTCAGATGTTTTTATGTGCTGGATCCCTAGTCGTTTATGGAAAATTTGGCACCAACAACATAATTACAAGAAGTAATCCTGGTTAGTCCTTCTTTGCTGGGCAGGTTCCCTGCAAAGACCCTATGGTCTGAGAAGACATAGTAATTGTAGGTTTACCCTCCACTTATAACCCAGGGGCTCTATGTCTTTCCTTGTTTCTCTAGCACATCACAAAAATCTAAGAACAATCATGTAATATCGATTTTTGAAAAAGCCCAATCAGTTTAATTAAGATCTTTGTGAGCATAGTTTTTTCCTGATATTCACTGGCCTTTCCTTTCCCATCCTTGAAAACCTTCATTATTTATCTCTTCAAGTGATGAGCCCCTCGAACTCCAGTCCTCTTCCTGCTCATTGGTTGTCCATGTTTTTCAAGTATTATCATGTTATCACCTTAGTCATCACTCTGGCAAGCACACTTGTGAATGTATTGTCTGCTGCATCTATCTTGCCACATAAATCATGTCTTCCAATACGTTTATCATTCTCTTTGCTTGTCTCTGAACTGCCTCCAATTTATCTACTGACTTCTTTCTGGAGCTGTGATGCCCCAACTTGACTGTGGTATTCTAGGGGTGATTTCACCAACCCACAACTCAATGCCTTCCCTAAGTCATAATTCAAGACAGAACTAGCCCTCCTCTCTTTACTCCATAGCGCAATATAAAATGCAAACAAATGTATAAATCACCACTATGCATCTTCTGTGTCCTTAGTAGTCTTCACGCATAGCCAGTGTTCTCATCGCTGAGGAGTTTGAAAGGACCTTGAAAACTCATTTACTTTTTCCTACAGGCAAATTTAAAGATAAACACTTCTAGACTTGTGTATCCTGTTTTGAAAGACCTAAACCAATGTGGGCCGTGCTTTTTATTTTTCATTACTCAGTAGGTCTGGTTGGTAGTGAATCTGTCCTCTAACACAAATCTCTCCAGCAGACCTTTCTTTTTTTTCAGTCTTTATTTCGAACACTTGGATATGATCTTTATTTAATATTTTTTGGCTCAACATAATTAAAGTATCCATGGAAAAATTCAGTTCTATACAGATACACATAATCTTAAGGGATGCCTCAAGGGCTTTCATGACATGGGAAAGAGCTCTGAGAAGTATTATGTGGTGAAACCAGACTCAACTATCATTTCTGAACTTCCAAGGGGAGAATCACATTAGTCTAATGAAGGGAATAAAAAAAATATCCCTGCACATACTAATTTGAGCAGCAAAATGATCTGGAGAAGTTGGAGATCTTGATAAATGGGGCCAAGTAATTGACAGAGTGTTATAATTAGGGCAAGGCATCTGTCACTTAATTACCTTTTCCTCAATAAAGAATTACGATTTTTGCATGTTCCCATAGCTTATGATTTCTAGCTGTGATTATCTTCTGTGTTCTCATCTATCTAAGTCTTACAGATAGAAATCATTACAAAGAGAATTGCCTAGCTATCATCTCTGGAAAACAAACTGGACAAATGAAATGTAGAGAACATTTGACTGGATAAGACATGAATTTGGCAGAAGAGATCTAAATTGCAGAAAGGTGATTTGCTATTTCAGGCTGTCTTTATGTGGGATTCAGACTAACCATCTAAGTTTGGCCGCTTATTTGTTCACTTGTTCATTTATTCAACAAACCTTATTGAACACCTAATACTGTAATAGTTCAAGGGGATTAAAAGGTCTTTTAAGGAAGTTATGGTTTAGTGGACTAGATTTACAAATAAACAAAAAAAGGCAACGGAAACAGCATTGACATCCACTAGCTCTGCCCTGTGTTGAGAGAACTAGGGAAAGACTTTAGAAGAACGAGAAAGGCATGAACAAAAAAGAGGCTTGGGTCTTTAGAACAATGGTCTATCTACTTTTAATTGCATGCCCTTTTCAGAAAAAAATACTTTGAGTATTGGCCCTCATGATGCACACATCATTGACAAGCTATATGCATGTACTAGTGTCAATCTGCATATTAGATATTTGTAGAATTTATTTTATTTTTTAGATAAATAGGAACAGAAAATCTGATTTTATTTAATACCGCAATAAATTCTTATGCAATCCTTGGCTTATGCATACCTCACTTTGAAGACCTATTGCTTCAGAAAACTTAATAGTAAGTATTCCAATACAGTTCAAGTTCAAGATGTTTACGTAGCAGAGACAATAGATAATACTGAAAAGTTGGTCAATGGTTAGACAATAGTGGCAGCCGCCTTGTGACTTGTGTTTCCTAAAATGTGTTCCACTGAATATTAATACGAATCCATTGAAATAAAAAGAAAATATTTCTGCTGTCAATTAAGTTTGGAAAATGCAGGATTCAAGTATAAAATTCCATTATGAGTAGGGTTATGGATGCATATGTTCCGTTCTTCTAAGCTCTTAAGATACCATAGTTTCCATATCATTTTTATTCAATGGTTGAAACTATTGAAGGGGTCTGCAAATATGAGGTTCATAAAAATTGGCACCACATTTAGAATGGAATTCTGGCATTTAGAGGTAGGAAAAATATGACTCCATTAGACTTATATTCAAGAGACTTTTCTTCCTTATATTATATTGTTCTCACTTTTTTTCACTAAGTATTAGTTAATGAATTACTCAGTAATTTTGTTTTGACTTGAAATTAGTAACCTAAAAGCTCTTTTCACAGACCAGTTATTTGTGGAGGCAAAACAAATAACCACCTTTCACTTGCCAGTTGAGGAGCTTCCCAACTGTCTGAAATGCTGAAAACTTGCAATATTTTATTAACCTTCAGAGAGGACCACTCTTAAAATATGCAAATGTTTCATCTGCTGAGGAGTGAAATGTCTAGATGACTGAAGATTATTCTTTTAATGCCTAAGCTTATTTAGACTTTTGTTTGGGGGAGAGATATTTCTGAAATGCCACACACAGCCCTGCCACAAAGAGAATATAACAGATACAAGTTAATTTTTATCCAATGACACAGAATTGTAATTATTGTCATTAATCACCATACCATGATTGATGAAACCATGATGTACTTGGGAGTTCTTGCTGTATAACGTTGCTTCCCCCTATACTACCTGACTCCAAACTGGTTTCTTCAGAGTATTTGTGTCTGCTTTTTAATAATTGTTTTTTCACATACTTTACTGTCAAATAAATAAATAAATAGATGTAATGTATAATAAACATATATTATGTGTGTATAATATTATACATTTGCATATAAATATATGTATAGCTGCTACCCATGCTGTCACCTCTAGCTACCTATAACATTCCTCTTCTAATTAAATCCAGTAAATCACGCTTATGAAAATTCATATGGTAGTATCTGAGGGCTCCTCTATGAAATAGCTTATGTTCTCTATTTGAGTCTCTCAAAGATCATCCATTTCTGCAGATTTATCATTATATACATTTATTGAACACTTAAAGCATAGCAAGCATTTTCACATGTAATTTTCCCTTTAATTTGTGCAATAGGAGTGCAAATCAGATATTATCAACTATATTTTCATGTTGAGTGGGGTTTCCGGATTTAGCAAATAAAAATGCAGGATTTCTAGTTAATACTATGTTTCCCATAGATAAACACATTTTTATGTCTTAAAGTACATACTTGTGTGAGACATAATTATCCTAAAAATTACTTGCTGTTTATCTGAAATTCATATTTAACTCTGTGCTCTGCATTTTATCTGGCGATCTTACATGTGAGAAGATTAAGTTCAGAGAGTTTAGAAATCTACAAAAATTTATAAGTCTAGGAAGTATTAGAGCTAAAATTTGGATATTGGTCTTTTGACTTCAAGTTTAGGGCTCACCACGACTGTTCTCCATATTGCTGAAAATACTGAAAGCATGTCTTCCAGGTTAAGTAGTGGTGTAGTTTGGATCTGCGTCTCCACCCAAATCTCATGTCAAATTGTAATCCCGAATGTTGGGGTAGGAGCCTGGTGAGAGGTGATTAGATCATGGGGGCGAATTTGCTGTTCTTGTGATAGTGAGTGAGTTCTTATGAGATGTGGTTGCTCATGAGATCTGGTTGCTTAAAACCATGTAGCACCTTCCCCTTTGCTCTCTTCCTCCTGCTCTAACCATAGTAAGATGTACCTGCTTCTCCTTCCCTTCTGCCATGATGGTAAGTTTCTTGAGTCCTCCCCAGCCATGTTTTCTGTATATCCTGTGAAACTGTGAGTCAATTAAGCCTCTTTTCTGTATAAATTAACCAGTCTTAGGTAGTTCTTTAGAACAATGCAATAACGAACTAATACAGTGAGCTATAGGACTCCTATATCAAGTTACTTACATATTAGTTTCCTGGGTTTGCTATAACAAATTGCCATAAACTGAGTGACTTAAAATGACAGAAATGTATTGCCTCATAGTTCTGGAGGCCAGAAGTCCACAGTCAACGTGTTGGCAAGGCTGTGCTCTCTCTGAAGTCTCTGGAGAGAGATCCTTCCTCACCTCTTCCTATCTTTTAGTGGTTACTGAGAGTCCTGACTGTCCTTGGCTTCTGGCAGCGTAGCCTCTGCTTCACATGGCCTTCTTGTGTGTGTCTGTGTAAGCTTCCCTCATTATAGAAGGACATCACCTGTTGGACTAGGGCCTCCATAATGCAGTATAATATCACCTTAACTTGATTATATCTACAAAGGCAATAATTTTGATAAGGTCACATTCACAGGGATTGGGGGTTAGAAATTGAAAATCTTTCCATTCAACCCACAACTACTAGCAATCCATTAATACACATGTAATATAAGAAGATTCTTACCAACCTAGAAAACCTGGGACACTAAACGCAGAACCTGTAAGTGTGAATGGGGATGGGGACACTAGGAGCAGGTAGTGCTTCTGATGGGGCAGAGCCAAAATAAAGATAATTTACACACACCTTTATATACTTAGCATAGCTAGACACTCAAATCTGTATGTTTAGTAGTTGTTATGATTTGGCTGTGTCCCCACCCAACTCCAACCTTGAATTCTAGTTCCCATAATCCCCACCTGTCATAGGAGGGACCTGGTGGGAGGTAATTGAATCATGGGGGTGGTTTCCCCTATGCTGCTGTTCCCATGATCATGAGTGGGTTATCACAAGATCTGATGGTTTTATAAGGAGCTTTTCACCCTTTGCTTGGCAATTCTTCCTGCCGTCATATGAAGAAGGACATGTTTGCTTCCCCTTCTTCAGTGACTAAGTTTCCTGAGGCTTCCCCAGTCCTGTAGAACTGTGAATCAATTAAACCTTTCCTTTATAAATTATCCAGTCTCATGCAGTTCTTTATAGCATCATGAGAACACACTAATACAGTAGTGCCAGGAGGTATGTACTGTGATTTTCACCTCATTTTATAGATGAGGAAATGGACACAAAGATGCTAAATAATTCATTTAAGGTGATGCAGCTAATATGGGATGAAATTCAGATTTAAGCCCGGGCATTCTGACCTTGGAATCCACATTCTTCACATTTTTCTAGGTTGATTTAGGGGTAGAGGAGGCAGAAGGGACGGCAACTTGAGGAAGGAAAGTAATAAGAAACACAGACCACTGTAGTTTTTCTGTTCGTTTTTGTTTTGTGCTGGTTTTGCCTGCCGTCATTGCTGCTTTGGTTTACGTGGAGCAGAGCGTCTCAAACTTAATTGAGCATCCGAATCACCTGGAGGACTTATTGAAACACATGTGGTGGGCCGCTCTCCAGTGTTTCTGATTTCACAGGGCTAGGGTGAGGCCCCAGAATTTGCATTTCTCACAAGTTCCCATGTGATTTTGCTGCTGCCAATCAGGGACCTCAGTTGGAGAACAACTGGTGTAGAGAAAATTGAGATGAGGTTCAAGTAGGAAATGGTTTCCAAGTTCAAAGGGAAGCCAATAGGGAACTGGAAAAGTATAACCATTTTATGCGCCAACTTCAACTCCCTTTAAAAATAATATGAAAATATTGTGTGTATATGTGTTACATACACACACGCACACATACACACAGCATACTTGTAGGATATATCAGTGACTCCTAGATCTATAACAACTGGAAAGCAGCATAGGATTTAGACCTTTGAAACAGAGGCTTGGATTCTAGCCCAGGCTTGTTCCTAATTAGTCAGGTACTTCTTGTCTCTAAGCCTCATTCCCTCCCACTCCCATCCTCAGTATACAATAAGGCAGTTGAGATAGGGAAATGAATAAACACATGGTGGTAGCGAACCATTAACAGTCATTTTTGAGAAAAACAATGATATGGAAAAATCATCTCTACTATATTTTCTCCTATTAACTTTTTTAACGCAAGCATAAGAGTTCATTACAAGAATTCTAACATAATCAGACAATCTAAAGTCATATATTACTCACAAAACACCCGGCCAGAGATAAATATTATTAATATTTTGGATATCATCTTCCAAAGTGAGATAGATGCATACATGTAAAGTATTATGCATACTAATTTATGATCTTTTTATTAGTAGTGTTCCATGCCCATGTTTGTGTATATATATTTATGTATATATGTATGTCACCATTTTTTATATTCTCCTAGTATTACATTGCACAGTTATCCCACAATCTATTTAACCAATCTCTTATTGCTGGGAATTTAAATTGTCCCTAATTTGGAGCTAATATGATAATGGTGGTGATGAACAACCTAGTACATACACTTTGATGTACTTTTCCATTCTAGGGGGAAATTGGTGGGTCAAAGAGTAATCCTGCCTTTAAGATTCATAAAACATTAAATCAGAAATGGTTCTGAGATGTGTCAAGTGATGGTGCTTTTATTGTACATAGAAAAGTCATCCATGTGTGTTTATTCTTTGCATGTATAATGCAGAGAACTAAACTGTAAGGATATATCCTGTCATGTTAATCATTATTATCTCTTGCTCCTTAGATAGGAAGGATTTTTCTTTTTTTTTTTAATTTATTTATGTATTTTTTGAGATGGAGTCTGTCTCTGTCATCCAGGCTGGAGTGCAGGGGTGTGATCTCGGCTCACTGCAACCTCCGCCTCCCGGATTCAAGCAATTCTCCTGCCTCAGCCTCCTGAGTGGCCGGGATCATAGGCGCCCGCCACCACGCCCAGGTAATTTT
Organism: Homo sapiens; assembly: GCF_000001405.40. Classification (NCBI taxonomy): domain Eukaryota; kingdom Metazoa; phylum Chordata; class Mammalia; order Primates; family Hominidae; genus Homo; species Homo sapiens. The sequence goes on along the minus strand of NC_000002.12, from coordinate 221,105,428 downwards.
TGTATTTTTAGTAGAGACGGGGTTTCACCATATTGGCCAGCTGTTCTCGAACTCCTGACCCCAAGTGATCCTTCTCGGCCTCCCAACATGCTGGGATTACAGGCATGAGCCACCGCGCCCGGCCTAAGGAGGTTTTTAAAATTTACCTTATTGTAGTTTTCTGTATTTCCTAATTAGTCTACATTCAAGAATTAGTTGCAATTAGTATACAACTACCTGAAAGTTGGAACCAGAAAAATGAGAAGCGGCTATCTGTGTGGGCAAAAAAGACGGCAAGAGAAGGATTCTTTTCTTTCTTTTTTTTTTTTTTTTTTTCTAGACAGCAGAGGAAGCACTTGGCTTAAAATAAAAAAGCTTCAGCAAAGTTCAAATGAAATACATGCACCAATTCCTTCAGGTCCTTGAGCCCCATGGTATTCTCACAGACAAGAGGAAAGATAGTCTGAAAAATCAAGTCGGAAGGACAATGCCAAGGCCAGCAGGCTCAATCTGCACAGAACGCTGTTTGAGGGGGTTTGGGAAAGGCCACATTGAACTGAATTTCTTTTTTTGTGAACCAAGGATCACTGAGCTGATCCAACAGCCACATCCTCTAGCCGGAAGGCTGCAAGGGGCGAGCTTCAAGGAGCTAAGGCTTCAGGGAGCCCTTTCTGACTGGGAGCCCATTCAAACAGGGAGAGCCCGCCAGCAGGGGAAGTTTGGGCTCAGCAGATGAGTGTGAAGGAACATCGGCCCGGCCAGTGTTGACGTGGCAGGGTGTCAACATTCAGAGCGGCAGCTGCTGCCAGAGCCCTGAGTGCCCAGACTGATAGGAGGGGGCTGGAGCCTTCCAAACAGGCTCAGTCCAGGCACGCAGGAAATGTCAGAGGCAGCAGTCTGGTGGAGGGGCGGCGGCTGTTCCGCGTGGGAAGGTCTCTTTTGATTGATTGCCTGGTACAGAAGCCTGGCGATGGCAGTCAATCAGCACAGGATCTGTGTGGGGTGAGGAGAGAGAGAGGGGAGTGGGAGGAGAGGAGGAAAGTGGAAAATGCGCCAAAAAGAACTTGTGGTGCCTTCCAGAGCCATCAGCTGGAAGAAAGCTCAGTGCTACCCTCCTGGAGAAAATGCTGGCTGAAGACCCCTGCTGAAAACAGGCAGCCACCGCAGCCAGACAGCTCTTATGCCCATGCTGAGCTTCATGGAGTGTGGGACCCATCTCCAAGGGAGCGACTGCCTGGGGTCCTATTTTCCACCCTGCAGAGCAGGAAGGAGAGTCCTGTTTCCCAGCGGATGGGTGTGAGGAAGACACATGTGGACACCTTGTGACTGTGTCTACAGCATCAAGAAGAAGCTGGTGTGACGTGGGCCTCCTGGAGTGAAACTGGGAAGTCAGGCAGCCCTTGTGTTCAGCCCATGGTTTCCTCCCCACAATAGGAGCATTTGTAAGACCAACAAATTGACACAAATCCTGTGTAGATAAAAAAGTAGAGCACAACGCCAAGGAGGCAGGGCTCCAGGCAGCACTCCTCTCTAATTTTTTTCAGTTAAAAGGAAAGGAATCTAGTTTATTAAGTAGACCTCTTGACATATAGACAGAAAATTTAAAATGAATAGATAAATAAATAAATAAGGTGGAAGTCACAGAGATCTAAGATTATATATGCAATTAAATCCTCAGCTAGGAGTTCAGGATTGTAAGAATGGAGTTGAATCTAGAAACAAGAATATGGTCAGGCGTTCCAGACCAGCCTGGCCAACATGGTGAACCCCACCCCCCCCCCACCATCTCTATTAAAAATACAAAAATTAGCCGGGCATGGTGGTGGGTGCCTGTAATCCCAGCTGCTTGGGAGGCTGAGACAGGAGAATGACTTGAACCTGGGAGGTGGAAGTTGCAGTGAGCTGAGATCACACCACTGTACTCTAGCCTGACTGCCAGTGAAACTCTGCCTCAAAAGGAAAGTGAAAGAAAGAAAGGAAAGAAAGGGAAGGGAAGGGGAGGGGAGGGAGACAAAGTGCCCTGTTGCCAATAGTTTTTATTTCAGAGGTCCTCCTGAACAACCTCTCTGGGTTCCTCCTGCCTGAGGTCTCTCACTCCCTATGCAGCTCACCTCTGCCTAACTCATCCCTCCTCAAGGAGGGTTCCTTGATGCCCTATGTCAGGTGGTAACCACTGCCCCGATACTTAAACTTCTGTTCTCTGCTAGAGCCCCCATCGCAGCACTTGCCACGGTATCAGTTATAATTAAAGCATTTATGTGCCCTCTTACTTTTCATCTGTGTCCTCTGCAAGAACATGATCTCCTTGAAGGTGGAACCAAGCCTGTCTTAGTCACCTTGTATCCCAGTACAGGATTGGCATATGGTAAATACTTGTTGAATGAATGGATGATTGAATAGGAACATGTAGTTGGAACAGGAAAGCATCGCACGTTTCAAGAAAACACAGTCTGAGTGTTGGAGACAGGCTGGGGGTAGGTCAGGCTGAGCCATTTTGGGAGGACACTGATCTATAAACTCCAAAAATACTCCAAGATTTGAGAAAAAGAAAATTCACTAGGAGGTTCCAAACCAGCCAACAGTACTGACTGTCAGGAGGAAAAAAAAAAATCCCAAGGATTTTGAAATTCTCAGGAGTGTATCCATGCTCACTTAACCCCCTGGAGATTCACCAGAAGAAGCACTTGTCAAGGAGAGGAAAATAGCAGGAAACTAAGTATTTTGAGGAGCTTGCTTTGTGCCAGTCACTGTTAAGCAGTTTATATATGGGATCATTCCATTCTCATGGGCAGATTTGTGAATTAGGTATTAGTGGCACTCTTTTAGACTAGAGCTTACAGATGTCATCAGATATGCTTAAGGGGAAACATTGCTGAAGGGTAGAGTCAAGATACTAACCTAGATTTATTCCTGACTTCAGAGCCTGTAGCTTTTTCTAGACAACCACCCGTGTTATTCAAGATCTTCCAGTGTAGTTGCTGGTTTTCTAGGGCTTCTGGTATTCCAAGGCAGCCCAAATTATTCTTAAAGCTCTAAAGCTGCTCCATAGTAGAGTGTGTGTATGTATGTGTGTGTCCTTGTGTTGTAATCAATGCTGGCAGGGTAAAAAAAAGATGGAATTTTAATGCCTACTGGCATAAATAATAAAATTCATAGTATATTTACTCAGTGTTGAGTAGATTATGGATCATGTATCAAACTATGGGATCATAGTTACAGCAGCAAAATTGAGAGCTGGAACTTTTCCTATTTGATTATACTTGCAATGTAGATACCTGAATTTTTTTCTCAATGTGATTTGCATTTGCCTTTGTGTCACTATTCTGGATTATCTATCTATGAGTAGATTATTCTCAGACTCCTGGCCTCAAGTGATCCTCCCACCTCAGCTTCCGGAGATGCTGGTATTACAGGTGTGAGCCACTGCACCCAGCTTATAGGTAGATTATTCTAATTTGGGTTTGTCCAAGAGCGAATGTCCTTCTAAGTTATGAATGATGCCTACTCTACACTTGGGACTCTGTTGACATCTCAGCTCCTTCTATTTAGTTTTATTGTCAAGATATCCTTTGAGACTGAAACACTGAACTTCACCTAATCCATCAAAGGTCTGGGGAATGGTGACACGTGGCATCAGTCTGAAAGAGATCTGCTGATTAACACTGCTGAAGTCGTTTCCATGGAGCACTTGAGTAGTAGGGCAGGATGGGGAAGCTGGACAGCTTCTTGGCCTTTTCCCCACGTTTTCTTTTTCTCTTCAGGTGTGGCCTTGTTGCTTTATTTGAAATCATTAGACTTTAGTTTGGCAGATGTGACTTTATTCACACGCAAGAGCAGAGCATAATTAAAAGCCAAATTTAAGTTCTCAATGCATTGTCTTTTTTGTTATCCATGTATCTACTCATCTTTAACAGAGAAAATAGTTGTGGTTGGACTCTATTTTTATTTATTTTTTTTGAGACGGAGTTTCACCCTTGGTGCACAGGCTGAAGTGCAGTGGAGCCATCTCAGCTCACTGAAACTCTGACTCCCGGGTTCAAGCAATTCTCCTGCCTCAGCCTCCCAAGTAGCATGGATTACAGGCGTGCACCACAACACCTGGGTAATTTTTATATTTTTAGTGGAGACGGAGTTTCACCATGTTGGCCAGGCTGGTCTCCAACTCCTGACTTCAAGTGATCCGCCCATCTCAGCCTCTCAAAGTGGTGGGATTACAGGCGTGAGCCACCGCACCCGGCCTGGACTCTATTTTTGGACAGAATTACACACACAGTGTTGATTGTTATCATAAATGCCACGTGCATAGATGATAACATGCTTTGCCCTGGTTGTGTAAAAGTAGTTTGTTGACCAAATCAGATTTTGTACTTAGAGCCGGGGCAGCTTTCCCTGAGGAATCAAGTCCTGTGGCTTGAGAGGTGACGAACGGTCTTGTCACTTCGGAAGAAACTTCAGGCTACTCATCAATCAGGGATTTTGTTCCTCAAAGTCAGCAGCACCTCAGCTGCCTCCTGATTGAAGGCCCAAAAAGCCACTAGGAGGAGCTAATGACTGACCGAGTTTAGGCTCACCAATATTTAAAGCAAATTGCTGCCACAGACTGCCCACCCTGGGCTGCGGGCTCTGGGTGTTTAATTATTTACATGGTAATGGATGGACCAGGAATCGTCCGCCCTTCCAACAGCTCACCAAGGAGAGCAACTGTGTCTCGTGATTTCATTTGCGGGTTATTTCCTGTGAGGAAGAAGGCTTTTCAACCTTGCTGCAGACAGAAAGGTGGAAAAAGTGCTGCATTAGCAAAACTCCCAAGTGGCTCCCATTTTAAATTAAAAAAAAAATGCAAACACACTGACTTCTGGTTTTCTGATGCTTCCCACAAATTCCCAGTGTACAAGAACCATTGAAGAGACCCAGATAATAAAGAATCTGTTTCTGGATATTATGGGAAGTCCCTCCCTTTTCTGTAAACAGAACATCGGAGGTAAAGAAGGGTCAGACCCTGGAGTCCAAAGGCTGGGTTCGAATCCCAGATCTGCCATCTAACAGCCATGTATCTTTGGATGTGGTTCTTAACCTCTGTGTTCCTCCTTTTCGCCGTCAGTGATAATTCTACATGCTCCTGGGGCTGTGGTGAGGATTAAGTGAGTTAGTACACAAACCTACATGCCTGTGAGCTTGTGCTCAGTTCTGCTTAGTGGGTTTTCTGTTCCCCACGGCCAGCCAAATGCATTCCAAATTGATAATAGAAATTGAGGTGCAATCATGGAATACTATGCAGCCATAAAAAATGATGAGTTCATGTCCTTTGTAGGGACATGGATGAAGCTGGAAACCATCATTCTCAGCAAACTATCACAAGGAGAAAAAACCAAACACCGCATGTTCTCACACATAGGTGGGAATTGAACAATGAGAACACATGGACACAGGAAGGGGAACATCACACACCCGGGCCTGTTGTGGGATGGGGGGAGGGGGGAGGGATAGCATTAGGAGATATACCTAATGTTAAATGACAAGTTAATGGGTGCAGCACACCAACATGGCACATGTATACATATGTAACTAACCTGCACGTTATGCACATGTACCCTAAAACTTAAAAAAAAAAAGAAATTGAGGTGCAATCACAATTTTCTATTCTGCTTTTTCATTGAACAGTTTTTCACAGTCATTTTCGGGGGTACCACCAAATTTAAAGTTCTCTGTAAAGGTGGAAAGGAAAATCTGCAAGAGATTTTCAACATTTAAAAAACCCTAATAATATCATTATGCCTGATTTAACTCAATGCATAATCACGTTTTCTTGCTTTTGGCAGGAATTCTGGCAAATCAAGTTGGTTGTCTCACTTTGCTCATAGAGGCGAGAATCTTGCAGCTCTCTGTTTTTTGAGTATTTTTTCAAGTGATTAAAAATAATTAAAGCTATTGTCTCAAAGTAAATTGGATTTTTTGGCCGGGCATGGTGGCTCACGCATGTACCCAATGCTTTGGGAGGCCAAAGTGAGTGAATCACCCGAGGTCAGGAGTTCAAGATCAGCCTGGCCAACATAGTGAAACCCTGACTCTACTAAAAACAAATACAAAAGTTAGCTGGGCATGGTGGCACGTGCCATTAATCACAGCTACACGGGAGGCTGAGGCGTGAGAATTGCTTGAACCTGGGAGGCGGAGGTTGCAGTGAGCCGAGATCACGCCACTGTACTCCAGCCTGGGTGACAGAGTGAGACTCCATCTCAAAAATAAATTTGTTTTTTTTTAAGTTTGGGAGTTATGTAGGAAAAAAAATATGTTAATCTTCTTTGAGAAAAAAAGTTGAAAACTTCTGTTAAATCTTTATGAACATATCACCATTGTCTTCATGCTTATAAAATGAACTTATATAGCCATTTAATTAGAAATTTTTAAAATAAAAGTTTACCTTTAAAAACAAGGTTTTTATTTTTCCTGGATGTAAAATAAATACACAATAGCAAAAGAGAATGTATAAAACAAGAAAGTACACAGTAGAAAAATAAAAATCATCTAGTAACTGGGCTGTTATGAAATAATCTTTATTAACATTTGGGACTTTTCTTTCTGACATTTTTTTGTATATATACACGTGTGTGTGTGTACCTGTGTTCCTGTATGTACATTTGTGAAATGGAGATTCTGTATGATATCATTTTCACTTTATTATAAATATTTTCTCATTTTAGATTTGGATAATACTATGTTTAATGGTGTCTGTAAGGATTTACTTTTCAGATTCCACCTAGAGCTTAATTTATGAAAACGTTAATGACTCTTGAGCTGCAAGACCTAGAATGAGCCCTAGCAATGTATTTGCAAGAGTAAGGTATATTAACAACTTCCTCTCCTATCCGATGTCATTGAAGTGTCAGTAGTCAATGTTAGTATCTGGCCAAGGGAAACTTGGATTGGAGAAGTGATGGTGTGAGTTTAGTGGAATATTTTTAATAGTTGATAGTCACTTCTTGTGTAGTTAAGTTTTTGAAAGTCTTGCATTGTAATGGTTAGGGTTATAATGCACTAGCTCAACTGGTGTTATACTCAATAACTATAGCAATAACAATAACCCATTCACCAAGGACAGGGAGTGGATGACCTTCAGAACCTTGCCTCAGAGGAGCAGACCATAAGTTTTTCAGCCATCTCCCGTCATCAGTCTCCACTCCGTAAGGTGATAGACAGCTTCCTTCCCTAAACCCACAAACCCCATCTTTAAGAGGCGCTGGGGGAACGAAAAGAAACTTGAAAAACTGATCCTGGTCCCTAAGGAAACAGTTTAAATTGCTGACTTGCACTCTACATAGGGTGTTCTTCTCAATATCTCGACAAGCATTTGGATGGGTTTGTGACAAAGATGAGTACATCAGCAGAGAAATGAAGGCAACACATTTCCTCTGCACATCTGAGGGAAGTATGAGTATGTTTGCAACCCTGCGTCCCTATCCAAGAACAACCTATTCTGTCCTGTGAAGGTCGATAAGGAAAGAATTAGTAGAATGGCTACATGGGGAATGTGGATTATCTGAGATTTTCACCTACTTTTAGTAGGCTACCTTGTCCTAACAGGAATCATTTTTGGTTTCCAATATCATGCCAGAGAATGAGGCCAGGGCCTGCATGTGTTAGTCCTAAAATGCATCATTTGTTTCAAAAAAGGATAATGTGATTTGCCTTGCAGAGGATCTCAGCAGTAGTTGGCTAGCCCAGAGGTGAGTCAGGGTTAAGTGACTTAGGAAGCCACATGAGTCAGTGGGGCCTGCACAGATGGAGGGAGCTGACTTGGCAGGTTCTCTTCTAGAGGCAGCCCCCTTGTCGGTGGAGCAGGCCTTTCATTTACTCCCTTTCCAGGGTGGTTTTCCTGGGTGACATGGGCACCAGTGGAAATATGCATAATGAAGGTCTCTTTTGGCTACCACTCTGGCCACAGTATTTTGCCCCCCAACACCCCTGCAGACCTTCCTGTCTATATGCACGAAAGCCAAGAGATTTCACACAGCTTGACTGAAACAAATACCAAGTCAGACGAGACCTCAGATCTGAGCTGCATAAATGCAACACCGTGGAATGCAGCAGGTACTGTCAAACGTCCAAATGTTAATATTAGAGAGATTATGAGTAATTCCTTTTTGATTTAAGCAAGTTCTTTTTTATAGATGCCAATGCATTTCAATTAAATGTGCAAAACTGCCAAAGCCTGTAGGACATATAAAATAAGGTAGGCTAATAAAGTCTTAAGGTATGTTCGCAAAATCCAACATGTTTGTGCTAATCAAATCAGTGATTCAAGGAACTCACACTTCTGCAGTCTCTGAATGAGAGAAATGGTTTTCTAGGTGTGAGTGAGTCACATCAAATACAAGTCCAGGCATCCCAAAATTTTATGTGCATAAGTGCAATGTTATTGGAGGAGCTCTCAAGAAATAGAATGATTATGAAGCCCATCTACTTCTTCAGAAGATTTCTGGGACAATTAATCAATTCAGACCGATGCATTTAATTTACTGAGGGTGATAATTAAACAACGTTCGTGACTGAGAAAGAGGAATTCCTGGTTAGTCACGCTTAGCTTATTTAAAAATGTAGATGCCATCTCACATATCAAGAATGGGGTTTTGCTAGGAGAAATAGCTATATTTCACACAGGGGACTCGACACAAAAACATTTCACTTTTACTTTTGTCAGATAAACTTTTAAAACTGTTTAGCTTCCAAGTTAACCTCAGGGTGACTCTCCTCTAGAAATAAAAACCTTTACTGGCTATTTCGTTTCCCTGCCAAACTCCCCAGGTTAGACAAACAGTTTAGCATTTCTTTTCTTTTTTTTTTTTTTTTTAAAAAAGGTAAAGAAAAAATAAACAAATCCCTTAAGAGAGTTTATGGAAGTTTTACGCTGAATGTAAATAAAGGGCAAAATACAAAGGGAGAACTAGACGGAGGAAAAGTAGGGGTTCAACGAGACCGGCAGTCCCAAACTAAACACAGACCGTGCTTTGGTTACGATTCCATTAAAGCCAATTTTTGCTGTCTCTTTTATTACTACACTTACATATGATTACTATATATATATATATATATGACTACTATATATATTTTAAAATATATACTATATACATCTTACTATATATATTTAAAAATCGCCTATGTATTGATGATGCTGGTGCCGTGTATGTATTTGTGGGGAATCTTCCTGCAGGTATGAAATCTACTTCATGGGAAAAATGAAGGTAGGTGGGCTGGTCCTAGGCAACAGCCACCCAAGGAGAAGGCTTCAGCCTGAAAGGTGGGCAGCCCAGGACCTCTCTCCTGTCAGACAGCTCAAAGCTTGATGTATATTTTCTCCTTCCATCTTTTAAAAGAAACACCCTCAAGATAAATGCGAAAACTGTCAGAAATGACACCTTGTATAGGAATTACATGAGGGGAGGCCTGAAATGCCAAACTCGGAGTATATTTTTCCAGTATTTCCTGACTTCTGTGCCCATGGAAGCTGGTCTCAGAGATCCTGAGGATGTCTTTATGTGGTGCTAAAGGACTTACATCAAGGACTTGTTTGAGTAGATGGGAACACCATGCCCTCTGGGAAGAAAAGAAGGAATATTTTATATTTTAAAAGATTTCTAAAGCCAACAGAGTAAATGTTACAGTTTTTAATGGTGCCGAATGATGAGAATTTGACTCCAGCCAAAGCCAGCTTATAAGAAGAAGAAGAAAAAAAGCTGGCTTTCTTAAGCCTATTCTCTGGGGCTTATTGCTGTGTGATTTCTTTTTTCTTTTGAGTAATCTCTTCAACAAAACGGGGATCAGAAAAGGAAAAGGAAACCTCCACAATGCAAACTGGTCCCTGGGAGCCAGGACTGATTAATGGACAATTTTATGGCTCATTTGTGAAAAAGGAAATTCTAACAGAGCCCTCTGTTTACTTTGCTCCTACAATTCATATCAAGAAGACAGAAAGCAGAAATGTGGGAGGGTGAGGGCATTTTTAGACCTCACTCAATAGCTCAACTAAATAGAGCAAATAGATTATGGGTTTCTGAGCATTAATGACTCTAAATTACTTGTGGATTTGTTACAAATAATGATTGTCAGGGGATGACAAAATGCTAGCATATTTTCCTTCTTTGATAGTATAAACTCAAGTTCAAATGCAACATTGGAAGCTTATGGGTGGGTTCCAGTTCTTTCTTTCTCTCCCACAGTGACCACTTGTTATCACTCTAATGGCTTATTGATTTATCAAGGCTGGCATATTTGTAAATGTGAATGTATGAGCATTTGTGCGCATGTGTATATGAGTACATGTATGTAGGTGTGTACTTGAGTGTGTAAGCATGTTTGTATATGTTAAGTCTTCGTTAGCTGAGTTGATTCTCCCCACTAGCCTGCCCTAGCAAAGTCCTAGAATGAGCACTGCAGATCTCACCCTCAGATGAATGAGTGTTAGATTGGTCCTGGGCCCTCCAACTTCAAATTTCAAGAAAGGACCAATAGAGATGGATACTTCCCACTTGGTAAGGCAGGCTGTGCTTAAATTCTATTTAAATGTTTCTGGAGCTCAATATTGCAAAATAGTTGCTCCATCTTATCTCCCAAATTCAGCTAAATTAAAATCAAAACAGGCCGGTGCAGTGGCTCACTCCTGTAATCCCAGCACTTTGGGAGGCCGAGGCAGGTGGATCACGAGGTCAGGAGATCAAGACCATCCTGGCTAACATGGTGAAACCCTGTCTCTACTAAATATACAAAAAATTAGCCGGGCATGGTGGCGGGCACCTGTAGTCCCAGCTACTTGGGAGGCTGAGGCAGGAGAATCGCTTGAGCCCGGGAGTCGGAGGTTGCAGTGAGCCAAGATCGCGCCATTGCACTCCAGCCTGGGTAACAGAGCGAGACTCTGTCTCAAAAAAAATCAATCAATCAATAAATAAAATCAAAACAAAAAATTATATGAAAATAAGAAGCCAGATGGAGCCAAGTTGAATGGATACATGCTGAACAGTTTCACCCTGGAGGTTGTATCAGGTAGGGTATTTACTAGAGCTTCTCTGCTTTCCAGGGTACACAAATATCCATACACACATAGTGCACAGCATAATGTTTGCACCATACGTTGCTTCAGTTTCCAAGTCACTGCTAAGCACTGTATATTATTTCACAGGGGCAGGGCTTCTGAAAGCATCCCTCTAGCTGCATTTTCTCCTGGCATTCATCAGGGATGATGTCTGGGATCTCCCTTTTGCTGCTGGCACGTTGTTGTTACACACAAAAAGGTCGCCTCTTACTGTGTTTCTTCCAGTTATAAGAGACAAAGCCAAAACTCAAATCAGTTTTTAAAAAGTAAAGTGGGTTTGCTGGCTTTAGTGGCTTGACACCACCCCTGGTTTGGGGGTTCAGGTGAAGCCAGTGTAATGCTCTGTCTTCTGCTTAGTTCCGCTTCTTGAGAATTGGCCTCATTGTCTTTATGGCCATCAGCCGTACAAGGTCTGCAGTGCTGCAACTGAGCAGTGCCAAATGAACTGGAAAATGAAAGTATCTATGTGTGGTCGGCGGAAACAATAGGTACCATTACCATTAAATTCTGCATCCACCTGTACCTCATTCTTGGTACTGCTGATGACAAAAAACGAGCTAAAGAAATTGGTACAAATCTACAAAAAGTCTTTAAAGTAAAGCTTCATGTCATCATTTTTCTGAAAATACATGTAAGAACCTGGAAACAGAGTTGTCTCTGGGAATGAACTGGGAGCCCAAGGGTGGGAAGGAAACGGACTTTTCGACGTATTCCTGCTTCTCACTAAATATCTCATTATGGACCTGCATTGCTTTTTTAAAAAAAAAGAAAAGAAAAGAAGAACCTACAAAAACAACCTGCTAGGGAATTTCACTTTTAGAAATATAAAGTTGTTTTATGGAGACAGATTGAAATACAAGAATATAGATTCCACCCCATTTCCAGCACAAAAGAAAAGGAGAAATACAACCCAAATGACCCAGCTAGTGAAATAAATTAATGTTTCAATAATCAGATTAATTAGAATAATGCTTTAACAGATTATATCACATAATAAAAGTGCCTATTTAATGTCCAAAATTACCATACAAAACTCTATAGATTCAGCACCTGAATTTTGTAAAAATAAAAGTATAAAAAATAGTTGAAGATAGAAAATATTAACACTGATAATCTGAGTGGAAGAGTTTAAGACTCAGGTTTATTTTTCTATGTATTTTCCAATTTCTCCCCAATGAGTATTAATCTAAAAGCAAAAAATAATTACCTTAAATATGCTTAAGTACAGTGAGTGGCAATTCAAGTTTCTATTAAAATAAATAATCAACAGAGTAGAAAATTTGCAGAATGGGTGAAAATATTTGCAAACGATGCATCTGACAAAGTTCTAGTATCCAGAATCTAAAAGGAACTCAACTCAATAACAGAAACACAAATAACCCCATTAAATAGTGGACAAAGGACATTAACAGAGATTTTTCCAAAGAAGACATACAAGTGGCCAAAAAACCTAAGAAAAAAAATTAACTCACTAATCATCATCAACTCAACATCACTAATCAGAGAAATGCAAATTAAAACCGCAATGATACCGTCTTATGCCAGTCAGAATAGCTATTATTAAAAAGTCAAAAAACAATAGATATTAGTGAGGATGTGAAGAAAAGGGAACACTTAAACATTGTTGGTGGGAACTTAAATTAGTGCAGCCTCTATGAAAAACAGTATAGAGACTTTCTCAAAGAACTAAAAATAAAACTACCATTTGATCCAGCAATCCCACCACCGGGTATCTACCCCAAATAAAACATTATATAAAAAAGACACCTGAACGTGTATTTTTTGCAGCACTATTCACAATAGCGAAGTCATGGAATCAACCTATGTGTCCATCAATGGGCGATTGGATTAAAAAATGTCGTGTGTACGTATACACACACACACACACACACAATAATGGAATACTGCTCAGCCATATAAAGGAATAAAATCATTTATTTTGTAGCAACATGGATAGAACAGGAGACCACTTTCCTTAGTGAAATGACTCAAGCAGAAAGCAAAAAACCACGTGTTCTCACTTATACATGGGAGCTAAACAATAGGCACACACAGACATACAGAGTGGAATAATAGACACTGGAGACTCCAAATCATGGGAAGGCTGAGGAGGTGATGGATGAAATACCACCTACTGGGTACAGTGTACACTATTTGGGTGATGAGTACACTGAAAGCCCAGATTTTACTACTATGCAATACACCCAGGTAACAAAACTCCACTTGTACCCCTAAATCCATAAAAATAAGAAAATTTAATAAAGAATATGTAAAACATTAGAAAAAATTAAACAGCAGTTTGCTTAATCATGATAGCCAAGGTAATTTTTAGAGTGTGTACATCAATAAAGCAAAAGAAAAAATAAAAGGCAAAAGTAAGCATGCCTTCTTTAGAATGCATTATAAACTACTTTCTTGCAGTGAATGGAAAAGTTTGACACAGAAAAATGTTTGTAAGCAAACATTGAGAATGTGTTATTAGAACATGCTCGTTTCTTTTTTTGTTGTTTTTAATCATACTTTAAGTTCTAGGGTACATGTGCATAACGTGCAGGTTTGTTACATATGTATACATGTGCCATATTGATGTGCTGCACCCATTAACTCGTCATTTACATTAGGTATATCTCCTAATGCTATCCCTCCCCACTCCCCCCACCCCACGACAGGCCCCAGTGTGTGATGTTCCCCTTCCTGTGCCCAAGTGTTCTCATTGTTCATTTCCCACCTATGAGTGAGAACATGCGGTGTTTGGTTTTTTGTCCTTGCGATAGTTTGGTGAGAATGACGGTTTCCAGCTTCATCCATGTACCTACAAAGGACATGAACTCATCCTTTTTTATGGCTGCATAGTATTCCATGGTGCTTATGTGCCACAATGAGAACAAAGACACAATATACCAGAATCTCTGGGACACATTTAAAGCAGTGTGTAGAGGGAAATATAGCACTAAATGCCCACAAGGGAAAGCAGGAAAGATCTAAAATTGAAACCCTAACATCACAATTAAAAGAAGTAGAGAAGCAAGAACAAGCTAGCAGAAGGCAAGAAATAACTAAGATCAGAGCAGAACTGAAGGAGATAGAGACACAAAAAAATCCTTCAAAAAATCAATGAATCCAGGATCTGGTTTTTTGAAAAGATCAACAAAATTGATAGACTGCTAGCAGGTCTAATAAAGAAGAAAAGAGAGAAGAATCAAATAGACACAATAAAAAATGATAAAGGAATATCACCACTGATCCCACAGAAATACAAACTACCATCAGAGAATACTATAAACACCTCTGCACAAATAAACTAGAAAGTCTAGAAGAAATGGATAAATTCCTGGACACATACACCCTCCCAAGACTAAACCAGGAAGAAGTTGAATCCCTGAGTAGACCAATAACAGGCTCTGAAATTGAGGCAATAATTAATAGCTTACCAGCAAAAAAAGTCCAGGACCAGACTGATTCACAGCTGAATTCTACCAGAGGTACCAAGAGGAGCTGGTACCATTCCTTCTGAAACTATTCCAATCAATAGAAAAAGAGGGAATCCTACCTAACTCATTTTATGAGGCCAGCATCATCCTGATACCAAAGCCTGGCAGAGACACAACAAAAAAAACAGAATTTTAGACCAATATCCTTGATGAACATTGATGCAAGAACGTGTTCCTTTCTTTAAGAGGCTCCAATAGGCCAAAAGAGTAATCTACCAATAAAATGTAAATGTAAAAAAACACAGCATTATTCTCTTTTTTACATTGTTTCTACTCTCCAAGTCTCCATTGTAAATAGCATGCAACAATTTCTTCACCTCATACACTTCCCAGTATATTATTTCATTATTTTCTTCATTAAGAAAGATTTGATTCTATGTGGTTGAAAAGTAAAGGACCAAATTAAGGATTTGGTAAAATTCTGTTTCTACTCATTTTCTGACTCCACTCCTTACCTGAATAATCATGAAAGGAATTTTCCTCCCCTTACTTAATTAAAAAGCTAATCATTTCTGAGAAAATACTGAAATATTCAATACACAGTGGGGTCTTTTCTCTGGAAAGCTTCACAGTGAATAGTTGTATTGAGTCTTTGCTACTTAACAAACTTGAGGTTCAATATTGGAGTATTATTATGAGGCAACACGGGCTTATAAGGGAATTTCATTACTTCTGCGGAGCAGCCATGAAGCCCTTCTCCCCTCCACACTTGAATGCGACTCAGATTAATTTTGGTGGGAGTTGGGCATCTGTATCTAGGGGAGAATAAACCCCTAAGTGTATAATTAGTAATTACACACTTGTTTCTAGGTCCTGACTTGTACATATCAATTTTGTTTTCTCCAGTTAAACACAATGACTGCATTGAAAACATTAAAAAAAAAAAATCTTTCTATAGTTGACCACTTGGCCTGGTTGCTTTCTGGTTAAGAGTAATGGAAGGTTTCGTGACACCTTTTTTTCCCCTGGCAATTGGTTTACACCTTAGATATTTAAAGTGTGGGAATGAATTTTTCTGTGTGGCACATTTGGCCTTGAGCAGCAAGGTTAGTTTGTGCCATACAAAAGGGTGTTTGTTGATATCTGGGCTTATTATAAAAGGTGTGATGTGAACAGACCTCCAAAATCACTGTACATTTTGCTTGTCTTTTAAGACAGGACTGGTCTCCTCCATACCCTTTTCAAAAGTGTTTTATGTCTCATAATGGGAGGGACCATGGATGTGGCCATTAGGAAATTAGATCTCTGGAGGACTCTTCAGATAGATGGGATGAAATAACCTTGTTCTACCCACAGCCCCTGAGGCAACATGTGGAATCAATTGGCTATTTTCTCTAGTCCCTAAATGTCTTCATCCTATCAGGAAGGCAGGATTGGAGGGGGATCAGCTGAAGCCGAGAGGTTTAAGGCCTCTTACTTTATGTTTCCACCCTAGACAGAGAGGATTTCTATGACCGGACCATCAAGTAGAACTTCAACCTTCAATAGCATCATTGGTATAAGTCAGTGTTAAGAGAGACAGTAACTGTTTCTTACAGCTGTTAAAAATGTCCTCCATGCCCATGATCCTGTTTGTTGGTAATGTCATTTTTCCTTTGGATACATTATCATAAAACATAATTCATTGAAAGTAGAGTCTGATGCTAACCCAGTTTGAAAAGAATTACAGGAAAAGGTCAATGAACTCAAGCTTGTTGGAATGATTCTAGAATGGACTCATTCATTTCCTGCTATGCCAATGCATAGCTGTCTGCGCTGATTTTACTCCTACCAACTAAGCCTCTTGATACTTCACTTAGTTTAGAGGAGACAATATTTGGTGTCCCACTTGCCTCTTTTAAGATGATACACAGGTAATGTGGAGATAAGTTGGGCAGTGATGAGCTCAGGTGTGCAAAATAAAACTTACTTTATTTCTACATTACTGAGGTCAACTCAGCTCATAAGATCCCATTTCTACTGGTGGCAGATAAGAGTTTTAGCAAATCAAGGTAATTCAATCACTTCTGGTTTAAAAGTGAGTGCACTTTTGGGCAGCTCCTCAGTCAATTCAGTATCCCTTCTCTCCTAGTCCTTCTGATTTGGGGCAGGCTTGCATTGGTCTGTGTGCATCTTTCAACACAATGGCCTCTCTGAGCAGTGACCAGTCCTGTGTCATCACTCCCTACTTATGTTGCCTCAGCTGTCACTGTGCCCTCCTGCTGTGGCCACCTGCGATGGGTTCTCACACTGCTTCCTTCTTGCCCCACCATGAGCCTCAACGAGTCTATGGTCTTCCAGATTTCTCTGTATTGCTCTTGGGGGCACAGAAAGCTTTTGCCTCCTTTTTCATATTGTTCTGTGGCCACAGAAAAACTGGGAACTCTTTCAGTCTCTTCTTCAGTTAGGTCTGCTCTGCCAATTTTCTCCAACCTGCAGGAGAAGGGCTTGGCTTTTCTAAGAAGGTTTTCTTTCTCTGGCTAAATTTATAATCTACTATCTCCCATAATATATCAGGGGCTTCTTTTATCCCACAACTGGAAACACAGCCTCAGGGGCAGAAATCCCACCCCAGATATGTCACACTAGGCTCTCTTCTCTGTTTTCTCTCTCCCTCTCTCTTTATTCACAGAGAAGATTCAAATATCTTTATAAGATGGCCAGAAAACAGCTCTTGCATCAGCCTGAATTCTTCCACATTCTTAGAATTATAACATAAAAATTTTTCTCTGGGTCTTCCCATGTTATTTTTGTTCTTAATATTTAAATCAACTTTGATACTGCTTTTCCTTGCATATTTGTAGTTAATAACTTACTCCAAAGATAGCACATCTTAAAAAGCCTACTTCTGCTTAAATAGTTGGGTGCAAAACAAAGTAAACACACATATGCAAACACATGTGCATACATACGTTCATATGCACGCACATGTGCGTACATACGTTCATATGCACGCACATGTGCGTACATACGTTCATATGCATGCACACATATACACAGGCACACACATACACACATATGTGCAATTTTGAATATCATTTCCCACCTCATTTTCTCATATTTATAATTATCTATGTTCATTTTTTGTGATCAAAATTATTGGTATTAAATCTCAGTTGCTTTTTCTTTTTTTTTTTTTCTTGAGACAGGGTCTCACTCTGTCACCCAGGCTGCAGTGTGCTGGCACAATCATGGCTCACTGCAGCCTTAACCTCCCGGGCTCAAGTGATCCTCCTAATTCAGCCTCCTGAGTAGCTGGGACTACAGGTACATGCCACCACTCAATGATATGGTCTGGCTCTGGGTCCCCACCCAAATTTCATTTAGAATTGTAATCCCTATAATTTCCACATGTTGTGGAAAGGAACTGGTGGGAGGTGACTGGATCATGGGGGTGGTTCCCCCATGATGTTTTCCTGATAATGAGTGAGTTCTCATGAGATCTGATGGTTTTATAAGTGTTTGACAGTTTCCCTTCTGCCATGATTGTAAGTTTCCTGAGGCTTCCCCAGCTATTTGGAACTGTGAGTCAAATCAACCTCTTTGCTTTCTAAATTACCCAGTCTCATGCAGTTCTTTATAGCAGTGTGAGAATGGACTAATACAGAAAATTGGTACCAGGAGCTTGGGGCACTGCTATAAAGATACCAGAAAATATGGAAGTGACTTTGGAATTGGGTAATGGGCAGAGGTTGCAATAGTTTGGAGGGCTCAGAAGAAGACAGAAAGATGTGAGAAAGTTTGAAACTTCCTGGAGACTTACTGAATGGTTTTAACCAAAATGCTGATAGTGATAACAATAATGAATTCCAGGCTGAGGTGATCTCAGATGAAGATGAAGAACTTATTGGGAACTGGAGCAAACGTCACTCTTGCTATGCTTTAGCAAAGAGGCTGGTGGCATTTTGCCCCTGCCCTGGAGATCTGTGAAACTTTGAACTTGAAAGAAATGATCTGAAATTGAAAGTTATGTTTAAAAGGGAAGCGGAGCATAAAGGTTTGGAAAATTTGTAGCCTGACCATGTGGTAGAAAAGAAAAACCCATTTTCTGGAAAGGAATTGAAGTTATGAGGAGCTGAATGTTAACAGCCAAGACAATGGGGAAAATGTCTCCAGGACATGTCAGAGGCCTTCACAGCAGCCCCTCCTATTACAGGCCCAGAGACCTAGGAGGGAAAAATGGTTTCGTGAGCCAGGTCCACGAGATGGTGTCAAAGGAGGGACCTGGTAGGAGGTGATTGGATCATGGGGGCAGTTTCCCCATGCTGTTCTCCTGATAGTGAGACCTCATGAGATCTGATGGTTTCATAAGTGTTTGACAGTTCCTCCTTCACATGCTTCTCTCCTGCCACCATGTAAAATGTATCCGCTTCTCCTTCTGCCATGATTGTAAGTTTCCTGAGGCCTCCCCAGCCATGTGGAATGGTGAATCAATTCAACTTCTTTCCTCTCTAAATTATCCAGTCTCAGGCAGTTCTTTATAGCAGTACAAGAACAGACAAATACACTCAGGTAATTTGCTTTATGTTTTGTACAGATACGGTCTCAGTATGTTGCCTAGATTGGTCTCCAACTTCTGGGCAACGTAGTAAGACCTCAGCTCTACAAAGACAAACAAAAAAAAGTTTTAATTCATCTTATCTGAGTGGGCACACTGGGGGACTGAAATATAAATATGCTGAGCACAATTTGATAATATTGTAAGTTATGTGAGGGCAGACACCAGGCTTCACTCCAGGATATTCCAGAATCTATCACTGCTGTCATTTGATAAGGATGTTAACACCTCTGGGAATGATGGGGACAGAAACAGACAACACACCAAGAATAGAGAAATTAGTGGCCTGCATAAAATTCATATATAGATGCTTTAAAAGCTGCCTTCAAGATCCCTACTATGAAATGTGAAGCCCCTTGTAAGGTGTTTCACCTACATTCTTATTCTTTCCCCCCATATCTTGTCTACATAAGACATCTTTGTCCAGTCTCAACTAATCATACTTTCTGTAATGCATCCAGCATTATTCCATGGTCTCACTTATTTTCCCTGAAATGCCTTTTATCTGCTACATCTTTTCATCAGGCTGTTCAAATCACCTCAAAGGAAACTTCTGCTCAGAGAAACCTTCCCTAAACTCTCTGGACAGTCAAGTTCTTGCTCTTTTATGTTCCCATAACTCCTGAAGTAAGCTCCTATTAAGGTATTGATTGCATCATTCAATAGTGGTTTGTTTATATGCTGGTATCCCTCACCAGATGGTGATCCCTTTAAAAGCAGAAGCCAAGCCCTCCGCATCCAGGTCCCTGCAATGAATAGCAGGGTCTGGCACACAGTCATGCCCAATATTTGAAAAATGAATGTCTTACTATTGATGGAGGAGACCCAACAAAAATAAACAAAATCCAACAAAAAAGGCAAATCTAAAAGATGACTTTGTTCATATAATGTTTTTCCTACAAATAATCTGGAATTTCACAATCATTGAACCATAATCTACTGGTGTGAAAGGAATAAATTGCTCACATTGTAGCAGACACATTCATTCTTTGGGGCTATTAAGATCCATTTAGATTTTGATTACACAATTCCAAAATTGCTTGCTAACGTTGTGAATAAATCAGTTAAAGCTGATAGAGTAAATCCTCAAATTGGAGAGAAGCCAGTCTAAATTACTGAAATGTTCTTTTTTTTTAAAAAAAAATGCACTTTTATACTTTTAAGATCACTGAACTGTCAAGTCTGCTTTAATGAATAAGTAATACTCATTTGTAATTATCCGAGGACATTTTTGATACGTAAATGAATACTCTACTTGTTCAACAAAACCAGGAAAAGAGTTTGTTCTTTAAAAACAATCTCGCAGCAATCTTGTTTGCACAGTATTTTCTCACTTGAAATACTTTTTAAATTTTGCAACAGTGAGAAGGTAAATTTTAGTTCAATCTAGGTTGAGTCATACCAATTTTCTTAATAGCAGGGTCTGATTCTATCTAGGTAGAACTGTCTCTTTTTCTTTTGCAGGTTCTACCCACAGAAAGGGGTGTGGTAACACTTCCCACTACAATCAGCTGTGTCGTTGTTTGTTTACCTCCCTAACTCTGCTGTGTAATCTGTCTAAAGTGAAAACCTGGGCCGGGCAAAGTGGCTCACACCTGTAATCTCAGCACTTTGGGAGGCCGAGGTGGGCAGATCACTTGAGGTCAGGAGTTTGAGACCAGCCTGATCAACATGGTGAAACGCTGTCTCAACTAAAAATACAAAAAATTAGTTGGGCATGGTGGTGGGCACCTGTAATCCCAGAGCTACTTGTGAGGCTGAGGAAGGAGAATGACTCGAACCTGGGAGGCAGAGGTTGCAGTGAGACAAGATAGCGCCACTGCACTTCAGCTTGGGTGACAGAGCGAGAGTCTGTCCCAAAAAACAAAACAAAACAAAACAAAAACCCTGAAAATCTGATATGCTGCATGTCTCTTTTCAACTTTTCAGTGGCTCCTCATGGATCTCAACACAAAGTTCAGATGTTGCAACTTTTTGTTACTGGCCTCAGTTTCCTGTCCTGCTTTGTCCCTCCTAATGCCTCCCCTCAATTCTTTGCAGCTCCTGTACCCAGCAGCTCTTTGCTCTCTCTGCATCTGACTACCAGCTACACATGTGTCAGCTTCACCTCCTTGCCTGGGTGGTCCACTTTGATCCATGCGTCCAGGTCTAGATCAGGTGACTACTCACCACCATGTTCCCTGACAGAACTTAACTACACTGAACTTGAGTTTCACTTTTTCCTGGATGCTCTGCCATCAGGATTTGAGTTATTCGAACGCAAGAACTTTATGGCATGAATCTTTCTAACCCTGGTGGCCTGTGCCTGTACCTGGACACAGTAGGCTTCAAGAGTGTTAAAGGACTAAATAAATGGACTCTTGCAGAATTTAAAGAATGAAGGTATCTTCATGATCTTGCTTCATGGGTTTTGGTAAAATTAGACCTCACCTAATTTTTTCTTTAAAATAGAAATAATAAAACAATATTATTTTTATTTTCATTTTGATTTATATTTATAAGTATGGCTAATATATCACTTATTTTCCAGGAAGTCAGAGTGTTTTTTTTTTTTTTTTTTTCCAGAACAAGGGTTGGGTTGGAGAGTTAAAGCATGCAGTGTTCCTTCTTTGACTACCACTTCCCATTGTTTTACCGAAGAAAAATAAAAGAAGCCTTAGTCCATATTACAATGATTCTATTTAGATTTTTCCTGAAACTTTTGAGTCACTTAAACCAAACTGATTGTTCCTGTTCCCAAGAAGTCTGAATCCCATCATGAGTGTATATACACTTATCAGAGTTTAGAAGAGGGTGGGCTGAACACACAATATGTCCGGGAAAATGGGCCCTGACTGAGTAGTTAGAAGTGGCACGGATTTGTGTCAATGGTGGCTCCGTCATGACTGGTTGTTTTGCTTTGGCTAAGCCAATAACCCACTCTGTGCTCCTGTATAATCACCTGTGAAACGAACATAACACCTGATGCAGGCCCCTAATAATGCTCACAGGAGATGTGCAATTGACAATGCTCCCTATGTGACAGTGCCCTGTGATTTTTTTTTTTTTTTTTTTTTTTTGAGACTGAGTCTCCCTCTGTAGGCCAGGCTAGAGTGCAGTGGCATGATCTTGGCTCACCGAAACCTCCACCTCCTGGGTTCAAGCAATTCTCCTATCTCAGCCTCCCAAGTAGCTGGGACTACAAGCACATGCCACCACGCCCTGCTAATTTTTGTGTTTTTAGTAGAGACAGGGTTTCACATATTGGTCAAGCTGGTCTTGAACTCCTGACCTCAGGTGATCCACCCAC
The DNA here is from genome assembly GCF_000001405.40 of Homo sapiens. Classification (NCBI taxonomy): domain Eukaryota; kingdom Metazoa; phylum Chordata; class Mammalia; order Primates; family Hominidae; genus Homo; species Homo sapiens. Next base: position 221,083,049 of record NC_000002.12, on the reverse strand, counting down.
CTCGTCCTCTCAAAGTGCTGGAATTATAGGTGTGAGCCAACGCGCCAGCCGATAACCCTTAAGCATTGCTGATTTCCCCGTCTCAGGTAACTTCTTCTGTGTAACCCTGCAAATATCTACTAAAGATGGTTATAGGATATTTTATCACTAGGTAAAATACTTTCTGACTAGAGCATAAGCTTTCTCTCACTATGCTATAGTTCTTTGAGATTTGGAGCCTATGTAAATACCTAGAATAAAGTTTGTGGAATGAATAAACATAATATTAATTCTCAGACTCAGTGCTGATTATTCTATCATTACAGCTTCATTTTCTTGAACATGAAAGCTTATTTATTCTTAGATGCAAATGCCCTTGGGGAGAAGCAGAGCACATCATTACTGTTAGCTAATATTTATGGGGAATTTATAGACTGTCAGCTGAGCTCTATAAGAGGACGGGAACTAGTAACTTGCAGAGTGAACCTGAGATGCCAGGAAAAACAGAGTTTCTGGTGAGGCAGAAAGGCCCTGGAAGCTGGGATTATGATCTGTATTCACGAACCCCATTCTTATCACAGTCCTGACCACTGGTGCTATTCGGCCACTCTGCTTCTATCACAGAATGATTTGATTTCCAGACACAATTTTGGATGAATCCGCGCTAGAGTGTTCTACTTCATGGAAATTTTACAAAAGATGGTTTCTTATCAGTAGATGGCAATAAGAGGGTGGGCATGGTGGCTCCCGCCTGTAATCCCAGCACTTTAGGAGGCTGAGGCAGGTGGATCACTTGAGGTCAGGAGTTTGAGACCAGCCTGCCCAACATGGTGAAACCTTATCTTTACAAAAAATACAAAAATTAGCTGGGCATGGTGGTGGGTGCCTGAAATCCCAGCTACTTGGGAGGCTGAGACACAAGAATTGCTTGAACCCAGGAGGCAGAGGTTGCAGTGGGCCGAGATTGCCCCAGTGCACTCCAGCCTGGATGACAGAGTGAGACTCTGCCTCAAACAAACAAATAAACAACAACAACAACAACAACAAAAACTAGGGCCGGGTGCGGTGGCTCACACCTGTAATCCCAGCACTTTGGGAGGCCGAGGCGGGTGAATCACCTGAGGTTAGGAGTTCGAGACCAGCCTGGCCAACATGGTGAAACCCCATCACTACTAAAAATACAAAAATTAGCTGGATGTGGTGGTTGGTTCCTGTAATCCCAGCTACTCAGGAGGCTGAGGCAGGAGAATTGCTTGCATCCAGGAGGTGGAAGTTGCAGTGAGCCGAGATCATGCCACTGTACTCCAGCCTGGGCAACAGAGTGAGACACCTTCTCAAAAAAACAAGAACAAAAAAGAAACAAAAAACAAACAAACAAAAAAAAACAAAAACAAAGAACTAAGAAGGGACCTCGTCTTCCTTAGGAACCTAAATATTTCTTGCACTTTTCTGCAAGCCAAATGGTTACACTATTTCTTCTTTAAGAAACATTACAAATTGATTGTATTCTGTTGCAGAGAGAAATGGAAATAAGTCAAAGGTCTTGCAATTTTTACATTTTTGGTCTTTAAATTCTTACCTTTTCCAGATTCTTTCAGTCTCAACCAGGTGACCTTGGAGGAGAAGCAGCATGATGCTGCTGGCCGGGTGGGGTGTTGAGAAAGGGGTCTTCAGCCTCTGCTCACTTCCCTGTGGCCCCTGTCTGCCACATCTCAGTTTATTCAGCAGGAGGGATGTGCTGCTTTGGCCAGGAAACTTGGTAGACTCAAGTGTAATCTTCTGGAGAAAGCAATTGTGTGCCATGAAAACTTGAAAGTATGAAAGGAGGAGATTGTTAGTAAGTAACACCTCTATGAGCGGCATTATTGGAAATAAAGAGAGACCTTTGTTGGTTTTGTGGATTTTTTTTTTATGGCCTGACTTATCAGAAAGGCATAGAAGCACTCTTCCTTTAGAGTTAGGTGAGTGGTTTTGAATTTCAAGAATGCATATGACTTGTTGAAACCTCAAGGTTATCAATATGATAATTCGTATTTGCCCTCCTTTGTGCTGTCTTTAACGACCAAAAACTAAGAATCAAAACATAGGATGTGTATGCAGCTCTTGAGGCTTTAATTTCTTCCTCATCAGTTAGAGGGAATTACAAGTGCATTCCCTGTTGGCATCTCAGGATGTACAAAATCAAGATGATGTCAATAGTGACACCCATGGCTGACATGTTAGAGGGGCTCTGGGCACCACTCAGACATGCTTGTTGCCATTTAATTTTTACAGCTACACTACAAGGTAAGTACTAACATTCCAAAATTAGGAGTGAGAAAACTGAAGGTTGGAGAGTTTTAGAAATTTCCTCAAGGTCATAGGGTTAGTTAAGAGTCAGTTTCCAAACTCAGGTTTTCCTGGCCTCCAAGCCTCCATGTTCAATATGCTGCCAAGGGCTCAGAAAGGAAAACACCTCCATTATCAAGAAGCAGCTTCCTGCATTCAACTCTGAGCTATTAGAACATGATAGCAAAATGGTGCTTTCCCACACTGGAAGTTTACAATGAGAGTGGAAAGCATGGGCGTGGAAACGTATCTGAAAAGCTGATTGACACATCCTGACATAGGATTGTATTACATCATCGGGACCTGATCTCACCCTTCTAGAGAAATATTTCATGGGACAAGGTGCACAATTATCATTATTATTATTATTACTATTATTATTATTTCAGACAGAGTCTCACTCTGTCACCAGGCTGGAGTGCAGTGACACGATCTTGGCTCACTGCAACCTCCGCCTCCCACATTCAAGGGATTCTCCTGCCTCAGCCTCCCTAGTAGCTGGGACTACAGGCTCATGCCACCATGCCCAGATAATTTTTGTGTTTTTAGTAGAGACAGGGTTTCACCACGTTGGTGAGGCTGGTCTCAAACTCCTGACCTCTGGTGATTCACCTGCCTCAGCCTCCCAAAGTACTGAGATTACAGGTATGAGCCACCGTGCCCAGCCCACAATTATTTTTTATTATTTAACAAATAATCGGGAAAAAAGACTAAATATTGAAAATTTTATATAGTTAATACATTCTTAGGATTTTAAATATGCAAAAATAAGGAACAGTAATAAAAACAAACTAACAATAAATAAAACTCACCCATAATCCCATCAACAATTTCTATTGTTTTTGGATCACTAACATTGCATATTTGCCATTTTTATTCAACTCTTTTTATGCTGTAAATTAAGCATCCTTCCATTTCCTTAATAATTATTTTTGTAAATAATTTTAATGGCTTCTTTATTTTCCATCATGTAGATATATCATAATTTAATTAGCCTTTTTTCTATTTTTAACATGTGAGTGGTTTTCATTTTATTCCTACTTTTATAAATAACAAAAAAGAGTATGTTTTGTTACTTTTTAATTTTGATATAGTTTCAAGCTTTCAGAAGATGTGAGTTTATTACAGGAAACTCCCATATAACTTTTACTCAAATTTACAAATCATTTATATTTTTACTCATTTGCTTGATTATCCTCTTTTTCTCTCCTTTTCTTTCTCTCTTATGCATACGCGCGCGCGCACACACACACACACACGATTTTTTTTTCCTAAACTAGTTGAGACTAAATTGTCCCTTTACTCCTTAACACTTAAATGCATATGTCCTAAAAGCAAGACTTTTCTCTTACATAACACCAGCACAGTTTTCAACATTTGGAAATGTAATATTGCTATAATATCTTTATTTAATCTCTAGTTTATTTCCGAATTCTTTTTTCTGTTATTTTAAAATTTTATTTTATCTTTAACTTTTATTTTAAGTTCAGGGGTACATATGCAGGTTTGTCATATAGGTAAACTTGTGTCATGGGTGTTGTGTCACCCAGGTACTAAGCCTAGTACCCATTAGTTATTTTTTTCTCATCCTCTCCCACCTCCCATCCTCCACTCTTTGATGGGCACCAGTGTCTGTTGTTCCCCCACTTTGTGCCCATTGGTTCTCATCATCCAGCTCCCACTTATAAGTGAAAACATGCAGTACTTAATTTCCCATTCCTGAGTAAGTTTGCTAAGGATAATGGCCTCCAGCTGCATCTATTCCTCCAGAAAATAAGATCTTGTTCTTTTAAATGGCTGCATAGTACTCCATGGTATATATGTACCACATTTCCTTTATACAGTCTGCCACTTATAAGCATTTAGGTTGATTCCATGTTTTTCACTATTGTGAATAGTGTTGCCTGGGACCTAATCCAGCACAGTGGAGAATTTTTTCATATGTGAAATTTTATTTCAGTTTATGATGATCTTCTTAGGCTAGATTCCTGAAAGGAGGATTATTGGGTAATTAGACATAGACATTTTTACAGCTGTTGGTACAAATTGCTGAAAGTGGTAGCCATCTGACCTAAGCATCCTTGGCTGGTCATCCATGACTGGACTTAAGCATCCTTGGTACAGTGCACTTGTTGGTACAGTGCAGAGTGAATCAGTGGTGGCTCTGCTGCATATGAGTTTCCTTAACTGCCCAATGGATAGCAGTGGCTACCTCAAAGGGTTAATAGTCTTAAACATAAAGTGATAACTAATTGGCATTTATGTTATTGTATATACTTAGGAAAAAAAAACTTCTGGGCTATGTTTCATTTTCACGAAGAAGATAGAATTCAGGAGAAAATTTTATGAGTGGAGAAGAATATACGTGGGGAATATATTGAGGTTGCCTGGAATCTATTTGTGTGAAAGCCAGGGCATAGCAACCAAATAAAGGGTTAGAACTTGAGGCACAAAGAGCAGGGAAAGACAGTCAGAGCCAGTGGCAGAGATTTGGGGAAAAATTTCAAAAGATTTTGAAGGAATAACTAAAGATATATTAGGCAAACTAGGAAACAATCAAACATATATGTACCTTGAAAATCAATTATTGATTCTTCATTTTTCATCTAATAAAAATAATATTATATCTTTTATACATCAAGCATTGTTTTCGTGGTGTAAATACAGTGAAGAATACGATATGATCTTTAGTTCTCATGGCCTCACCATACAGGTGAAAGAACAACACACGTTAAATTGCAGACATCATCATTTAATAAATTGAATTAGGGCTAAGAAGGAACACACTGGTGTGGCAGGAGTTTACAAGAGGGAACCACTTCTAATCTGTGATGTGGCTGTGATTAGAAGGTGGTGTAGGATAGAAGAGGATTCCAGGCAGAGGAAGCAGGAAATGATTTGAAAGTTCATGCCTACTTCAGATTATGTAAAGGGTTAAAGAAATACATCTAAAATTCAAAAGCATGGGAAATACATTGATTCATTCATTCACTAAACAAACTTATTAAGTGTTACATGCCCATGTAGGGAATGCAAAAGACAGGATTTTTAAATCAAAGAGCTCCCAGAGGACTTGACCCCAAGGGAAGCAAATACCAGACTCAGAGCTGCATAAGACCTTGGTTTCTTGTAGGAGCAGGGAGAAAAGACTTCTGCCTGGTCCACACATGGTAGCAGGAGAAAAGCTTGGGAAACTGGTGCCAAACATAGATAAGCCAGCAGGTGGTGAAAACATGAGGAACCGGCAGGATGCTCCTAAAGGGGAGGGCGCATTTGGTCCTGGAAAAGGTATGATCAGCACCAACAAAGCCATATGGAAAATAGCGAGTGAAATCTGGGCAAGAGTCTCAGTTCCAACTGTGTCCAATCTGTGGCCCATATACAAAACCTGTCACAAGCCCAGTCCTACCTAAGGCTTGGTCCAAATAATTGCAGGATTTTATTTCTTTTCTCTCAAAGGTATAGGGCAAGTCAAGGAATGTGAAAATAGAGATATGACCTTCAACATTGACACCATCCTTCCTGGCTATCTCTGCAGCTCCCAGAGGTGAGAGACAGACTGGAGAGCTTTCAGGGGGCAGGTCCACCCATGGGGACATCCATGGGACAGGCTGAAAGGCACCTCAGGAGCTTGGAGGTTAAGAGAAGGAGAAAGGCACATTCACAGGGTGCACTGATGTCTTGAGTTCGAGAACCAGGCCAAGGAACCAGAGACTAAACAGTTAAAGAACAGCTCATTTTAAACATAAATAAAATTCCATCTACTCTACGTATTTTGTGAGCAAAAATGCAGTTCAGAAAAGCAGATTTGGTGCTGTGCTAAATGTTTTCATTTTTTTTATACGCTCCACGTTAGAGCTTGTATTTTCTCATACCTCCAAGGCATAGTCTTTTATGGCTTTAGAGATAAAAGATTTACATTTAAATCACGCTTTCCCCATGCCACATTCTAGCAATAGCATTTTAAGTTCTACTGTTCACCTAAAGGTCAGAATGCCTTTTTTTTAATGCCTACATATGCTACCACCTTAACCAAGTGAAGAAATCCTTTTAGCTTTAATTGTCTAAATATTATTTATAGTTTATGTAATATAAAATCCAAGGGATTCACAACAAAATGGAGACAGGAAAGTGCCATCCTGGGACTGTTTTGAAGAGTGAAGATATTGCATAGGTCTAGGACTCCAAATCCAGAGTCTCTATTATATTTGTGTGTGTGTGTGTGTGTGTGTGTGTGTGTGTGTGTGTGTGTGTGCCACATATACCATCAGGTGACTGTGTTCCAAGCTAATAGGTTCTCCTGAAAGGCATGAGATGGACAATCAGATAAGACCCTTTTGTTTCTCACTATTGCCTTGAAATTTACTGGCTGCATAATTGTTAATTTTATCCTTTACTCTTTTTTCCTGCATAAAGAAGATGGCAGGAGAAAAACAAAAGAATTGTCTCCTATGCCTTATTTGGAAATGGAATCGTGGGCTGTCTTGTTACAATCATGAACATCCATTGCAAAGCCCATCTACCCAATTGTCCAGAAACTTGAAAGTAAGGAGGTGATATGCCATGCATAGACTTTCAGGATTTCATGTCCTTGTATTCAGGACAATTGGGGGAACAAATCTCTCAGACAAACAAGTTGACTTTTACCCTTAATCCTGTAATTACAACTCAGTCTATGTTTTCAAAATTGCACTTACAAGACAAAATGGGAGAATAGCTTGCTTCTGGTTCTGAATCTGTAGTAGAATGTCTATAAGGAGCATGTGTCCTATTTTTTTAACTACATAAAAATTATCTTTCTTAATCATCTGTAGGTGAAGAATGGACCAGAGAATAAGGGTATGTTTCCAAGAGCCAAGAAAGAGCTAGGAAGCTAAATACTAAACCAACTGATATTTGCATTCAGGAATGGTGTGATGAGAACCCAAGCATTTTAATTGAAAGAGTAAAACCAAAAAAGCTCAAGGACAAATCATACCAAACAAAAGGAAAAGAACGATCATTTTAAAATTTTTATCATTTGTACTTCATTAGTCCTTGTGCTTATTATTTATTAATAAATAAGACTTGATGAGAGTTTTTTTAAGTATGTGGAAGTTTATTGCTTCTGTGGCCATGAATGTATTGAATTCCTCTATTCTAGGGTGTTCTTAGGGTAAAAAAAATCGACTGCAGATTAGAAGTAGTTCATGCCTTTGTTTTCAGTGAATCTTGGTACCAGAGGGAGCCCATGACGACATGAAGTTAGAATTTGACCCATAACAGTTACTCCAACCTCTCTTCCACTTTAACATCTTCCTGCCAAATGATCTTCTAAAGAAAAGAAAAAAACCCCACGAAGCTAGAAAAGGAAACCACTTTGTCTACTCTGGGCAATCAGTGGATACAGCACTTCATGTCAAAGGAATGTGGAGGGAATGTTTAAACTGTAATATTTTCACAGGCAAAGAACTTCACAAGGACCCAGAAGGTCAAGACTGCATTGATACCCACTCTTTTCAGAGTAATACTGTCTAGAAAAGTCCAGTGAAAATATTTAATAACTGGTTCTGGTTAGACATCATTTTATAGTCCTATCTAACAAAACTACTATCCTTTCGGATTAGAGAAAATGTTTACTTATTCAGAGTTGCAGAGTGCTACCTGGGGACAGCCCTAGGCAAACCATAAAGTTGAGGAATTTTCCTTCAGTTCTGTCTGACCTTCTCCATGCTTCTTCCATTTTATTCCACGTCTTCTTACCTGCCCTTCTACCTTTACCATTAAATATCTGATACTCTTGAGGACTCTCCTTTACTTTTCCTACCCAAACTTACTCTCAAGAAGGCATTCAACTTAACATTTGAACCTGAGTGTGAAATTAAATCAATTATCTTTCCTCTGTTTTTTTTTGTGTTTTTTATGTTCCCTAATTTAACCCTTTCTAAAGATATTCAAGCATAAGGAAGTGGTAAGATGAAATATTTTAGCCGTTCAAAATAAAATACTTGCTGGCACATGGAAATTAGACTATCTGTTGGTGGTTTACTGTCTAGTCTAGTTTCCACAGAATGACAATATTTACATTTGGTGTCATCATAAGAGCCCCAGAAACATCCAAGGCACTTATATAGCCCCCTAATTGCTTAAAATACATCACTTATTTGAATATTAGTGACAAATATTTTCTTGGTGACCAAGGAAAGAAGCCCCGGGTTCTCAGACTGCACATGTATTGCACGAGACCTGAGTATTCTCAGGATGGAGCGGGCATAGTAGATGTGGTATTTTTGTCTACTGAACATTCTCTGTATGTCCAGCCCTCTTTTTGTCTACTGAGCATTCTCTGTTTGTCCAGCCCTCCTTTCAGTTCTAATCCATGACTACATTTAGGGAAGGCATACAACGCAAAGCTGGGAACTCAGGTTACTCCATCCCTGTGACACAAAGAAATTAGTGGCTGAACAATTATTTTACCCACAATTAACCAGTGAGAGTCATCCCCTGGGATTTGATTATCTCTTCCTAGAAGACACTATCTTTCACTGGAACTGATATCTGTGAGGATGATGGAAGCTTGCAGCCTCCTGAAACCATCTCATGGGGAAAACATGTGTAAGAATCAAGCCAACACAAAGCAAAGGAGAACTGAAAGATAAGGAGACATGTATCTTACGGATGTTTCAGCCTTTGCATAAAGTCAGGTTTGAAATCTGCCACACCTCTGGGCTCCTCAGTACATGCTAGTCTTAAATTAGTCAGTTGGGTTTTTATCATTTGTGACCAAAGTACTACTTAACCAGGAACGTCATCAGGGAACCTATCCTTGAAGATGCCAAACAATGAATTACAGCTAGGGACACAGAACAGATACAATTGTGTTGAAGCCAAAACCAAGGTGACATTGATGTTACCCTTTGTTGAGTGCCTGCCTCATGACAGATGATTGCAGTGTTACAGACACATGCCCTCTTCTACCCCATCTCCGGCTTTTTACTGATAGATGATTCCTGATTGACAGTAGAAACACATTCCCAGAGTGGACAGCAAAGTGGAATGTAACACCAAGTTATTTTTTTCTCCTGTTATTTAATAGTGCCTGATTGAGCTGGTTCCTCTTTGTCAAGTGTCATTCAAAAATCACCCAATTGTTGGTCCACCCTTGCTTGGTTGTTGATGAGAATGCCATGTGGGCTGGAATCAAAGCCTCGCTGAAATTTGTCTATTTTACATCTGTTCCTGGCTGGGAGCTTAATGAGATGCATGGCATAATGAGATGTGTGTCTGGAGTATGTAATGAGATTCTTGATTCAAGTGCCTAATGAAGCCTATAGCCTAATGAAATGTATAGCATAATAAGATGCATAGCCCGAATGTATAGTACAGATTTGAAAATCCTTTTACAAAATATCACTAGGCATGCAAAAGTTTCTCCCATCTGTATAAGCTCCACCCACGTTTCTTTGGAATTCTTAGCTTGTCATTTCTCAATGCTATTGTCATTTTTGTCATGGTTATTTCTCATATCCAAAGCTAACAGAACATAAGCACTGGCCCTCATCAAATATAATAGGTAGTCTGAAAACACAGCATAGAAATTTTTTCCTCTTGAAAAGAGAAAATCATATCTTTGTTTCCTTCCATTCACTTCCTGATTTTTTAATATAAGCAACAATATCAATGAGCTGTTGCCTAACAAAATACCTAAAACTTTATGGCATAACACAAGTGTTTATCACTGCTTATGAGTTTTTGAGTCAGCTGGGTGATTCTTTTAGAGTAGACTAGGTGATATGGTCTGGCTCTGTGTTCCCACCCAAATCTCATCTTGAATTGTAATCTGAATTGTAATACTCATGTGTTAGGGGAGGGGACTCGTGGGAGGTGATTAGATCATGGGGGCAGTTCCCCTATGCTGTTCTTATGATAGTAAATAAGTTCTCATGAGATCTGATGGTTTTATAAGGGGCTTTTCCCCACTTTGCTCTGCACTGCTCTCTCCTGCTGTCATGTGAAAAAGGACATGTTTGATTCCCCTTCCACCAGATTGTAAGTTTCCTGAGGCCTTTCCAACCATGCGGAACTGTGAGTCAATTAAACCTCTTTCCTTTATAAATTACCCAGTCTCAGGTATTTCTTCATAGCTGCATGAGAATAGACTAATACAGTAAATTGGTACCACAAAGAATTGGGTGCTGCTATAGGGATAGCTGAAAATATGGAAGCAACTTTGGAACTAGGTAACAGGCAGAGGTTGGAACAGTTTGGAGGACTCAGTAGAAGACAGAAAGATGTGGGAAAGTTTGGAACTTCCTAGAGACTTGTTGAATGGCTTTGACCAAAATGTTGTTAGTGATATGGACAATGTAGTCCAGGCTGAGGTGGTCTCAGATGTAGATTAGAAATTTGTTGGGAACTGGAATAAAGGTAACTCTGGCTATGTGTTAGCAAAGAGACTGGCAGCTTTTTGTCCCTACCCTGGAGATCTGTAGAATTTTGAACTTGAAATAGATTATTTAGGGTATCTGGCAGAAGAAATTACTAAGCAGCAAAGCATTCAAGAGGTGACGGAGCCTAAAAGTTTGGAAAATTTGTCTTTTTATGATGCAGTAGAAAAGAAAAATCCATTTTCTGGGGAGAAATTGCTGCAAAAATGTGCATAAGTAACAAGGAGCCAAATGTTAATAGCTAAGACAATGGGAAAAAACATCTCCAGGGCATGTCAGATATCTTTGTGACAGCCCCTCTCATCATAGGCCCAGAGGCCTAGGAGGGAAAAATGGTTTCCTGGGCCAGGTCCAGGGCCCCTCTGCTGTGTGCACCTTTGGGACTTGGTGCCCTCTGTCCCAGCCACTCCAGTCATGGCTAAAAGAGGCCAAGGTACAGCTCAGGCCATTGCTTCAGAGCATGCAAGTCTTGGCAGCTTCCATGTAGTCCTGCAGGTGTGCAGAGGACAACGATTGAGGTTTGGAAACCTCCACCTAGATTTCAGAGGATGTATGGAAATGCTTCGATGTCCAGGCAGAAGTCTGCTGCGGGGCAGAGCCCTCATGCCAGACCTCTGCTAGGGCAGTGTGGAAGGGAAGTGTAGGGTTGGAGGTCCCACACAGAGTCTCCACTGGTACACTGCCTAGTGGAGCTTTAAGAAGGTGGCCACTATCCTCCAGGTCCCAGAATGGTAGATCCACCAGGTGCTTGTGTTATGCACCCGGAAAAGCCGTAGACACTCAACACCAGCTTGTGAAGGAAGCTGGGAGGGAGGCTATCCCCTGCAAAGCCACAGGGGTAGAGCTGCCCAAGGCCAAGAGAGCCCACCCCTTGCATCAGCATGACCTGGATGTGAGACATGGAGTCAAAGGAGATCTTTTGTATCTTTAAGGTTTAATGACTGCCCTATTGGATTTCAGACTTGAATGGGACCTGTAGCCCCTTTTTTTGGGCCAATTTCTCTCATTTGAAATGGGTGCATTTGTCCAATGCCTGTACTCCCATTATATCTTGGAAGTAACTAACTTACTTTTGATTTTACAGGGTGATAGGTGGAAGGGCCTTGCCTCATCTCAGATGAGGCTATGGATTTGGACTTCTGGGTTAATGATGAAATGAGTTAAGACTTTGTGGAATGTTGGGAAGGCATAATTGTGCTCTCAAATGTGAGAAAGATGAGATTTGGGAGCGACCAGGGGCAGAGTGATGTTGTCTGGCTCTGTTCCCCCACACAAATCTCATCGTGAATTATGGTCTAACTTGTAATCCCCACCTGTTGGGGGAGGGGGGAAGGAACTCATGGGAGGTGATTAGATCATTGGGGTGGTTCCCCCATGCCATTCAAGTGAGTGAGTTCTCATGAGCTCTGCTGGTTTCTGCCCTACACTATGCACTTCTCCTTCCTTTTGCAATGTGAAGAAGGACATGTTTGATTCCCCTTCTGCTATGCTTTTATGTTTCCTGAGGCCTTTCCAAACATGCAGAACTGTGAGTCAATTAAACCTCTTTCCTTTATAAATTACCCAGTCTCAGGTATTTCTTCATAACAGCATGAAAATGTACTAAGACACTACGATTGCTTATGTGTTTGTGATGGGCTACAAGTCAGCTAGAGTCTCTGCTGATCTTGACTGGGCTCTCTCACATCTCTGCAGGTCACCTTCCTGTAGGCCTGTCTAGGAAGACATTGGCTGGGGCAGTTGAGATTGCCTTGATTTTGTTTCTCATTTCTTAAGAACTGACTACGACTTAATCTAACAGCAGTCAGGAATCCAAGAGGAAGAAGGGAAGGCTGCAGGATATCATAAGGCATAAGGTCATCACACTGTCATTTCAACCATATTCTTTTGAGACAAAGCAAGTCACAAGGCCATTCCATAATCAAGAGATTAAGAAATGCAGGCATAACTTGGAGATATTGCAGGTTGGGTTCCAGGTCACAGCAATAAAGCAAATATTGCAACAAAGTGAGTCACATAATGTTTCCAGTTTCCCAATGCACATAAAAGTTATGTTTACACTATACTGGAGTCTAATAAGTGTGCAATAGCATTGTGTCTAAAAATGTATATACCTTACTTTAAAAATATTTCATTGCTAAAACATTCTATCATTACACGGCCCTTCAGCAAGTCATAATCTTTTGGCTGGTAGAGGGTCTTGTCTCAATGTTGATGATTGCTGACCAATCAAGATGGTGTTTACTGAAGGTTAGCATGACTATAGAATTTTCTTAAAATAAGACAACATAAAGTTTGCTGCATCTATTGACTTTTTCTTTCACCAAAGATTTTTCTGTAGATTGCGATGCTAATTGTTAGCATTTTATCTACAGTAGAACATTTTTCAAAACTAGAGTTAATCCTCTCAAACCCTGCCACTGCTTTATCAATTAAGTTTATATAATATTCTAAATCCTTTCTTGTCATTTCAACAATGTTCACAGAATCTTCACCTGAAGTAGTTTCCATCTCAAAAAACCATTTTGCTTATCCATGAAAAGTGAATTCTCATTGATTAAAGTTTCATCATAAGATTGCAGCAATTCAGTTGCATCTTCAGGCTCCACGTCTAATTCTAGTTCTCTTGCTATTTCTACCACATTGCCAGTGACTTCCTCCACTGAAATCTTGAACCCCTCAAAGTGATCCATGAGGGCTGGAATCAACTTCTTCCAAGCTCCTATTAATGTTGATATTTTGACCTCCTCCCATGTATCATGAATGTCCATATTGGCATCTAGAATGGTGGACCCTTTCCAGAAGGTTTTCAATTTACTTGGACCAAATCCATCACAGGAATCAGCATCTGTGGCAGTTTTAGCCTTATGAAGTGTATGTCTTAGTATTGACTTGAAAGTTAACATTATTCCTTGATCCATGGGCTGTAGAATAAATATTATATTAGCAGGCATGAAAACAACATTAATCTCCTTGTACATTGCTGTCAGAGCTCTTGGGTAACCAGGTGGATTGTCAATGAGTAGTAATATTTTAAAAGAAACATTTTTTTCTGATCAGTAGGTCACAACTGTGGGCTTAAAATATTTAGTACACCATGCTGTAAACAAATGTGCATCCAGGCTTTGTTGTTGAATTTATAAAACACAGGTAGAGTATATTTAGCACAATTCTTAATAGCCCTGAAATTTTTGAAGTGGTAAATGAGCATTGGCTTCAACTTAAAGCCATCAAATGCATTAACCCCTAACATAAAATCAGCCTGTTCTTTGAAGCTTTGACGACAGTCATTGACTTGTCTTCTCAAGCTATGAAAGTCCTGGATGATATCTCTTTCCAATATAAGGGTGTTGTGTCTACTTTGAAAAGCTATTGTTTAGTGTAGCCACATTTGTGAATGATCTTAGCTAGATTTTCTAGATAACTTTTTAGAGCTTCTACATCAGCACTTGCTGCTTCACCTTGCACTTTTATGGTACGGAGACAGCTTATTTCTATAACTCCTATGTCACAGAGACCTCACAAACTCAACCTCTGTTAGTTTCCAAGTTTTCTTCTTCAGCTTCCTCACCACTCTCAGCCTTCATAGAATGGCAGAGAATTAGGGCCTTGCTCTGAACTAGGCTTTTGCTTAACGGAGGGTTATGGCTGGTTTGATCTTTTATCCAGACCACTAAAACATTCTTCATATCAGCAATAAGGCTATTTTGCTTTCTTATCCTGTGTATGCTCAAATAGGAGCAATTTTAATTTCCTTAACTAACTTTTCCTTTGCATTCACAACTTGGCTACTTGGTGCAAGAGGCCTAGCTTTTCACATGTCTTCCTCACTAAGCTTAACCATTTCTAGCTTTTAATTTAAACTGAGAGGCATGCAACTCTTCCTTTCACTTGAACTTTTACAGGATATTGTAGGATGACTGATTAACCTAATTTTAATATTGTTGTTTCTCAGAAAATAGGGAGGCCTGATGAAAGGGAGAGAGATTAGGAAATGACCAGTTGGTGGAGCAGTCAGAACACATACATTTCTTGATTAAGTTCACCATCACATATGGGTTCAGTTCTTGGCTTCCCAAAACAACTACAAACAAACAAAAATGCTAATAGGGGTTACAACTAATTTTTCTTACAACATTTGGAAAATATTTGATAGTAGACAAGATTAGGAATCTACCTCATTATTGAATTAAAATTGAATATTTTTTCATCTTTTTCATGGGTTGTCTCTAAGATTATTGAAGATTGTGTTTTGCCAAGAACTGTGGGTGATTGGCCCCAGGGATGAGGTGTGTGTCGCATGAACCTGTCCTAAAATTTCTGAAGGACTGTGGAGAGTTTTAGCAGTGTGTATCTCATTCACGATAGCCTTCTGGATAAAACCCAGGGCACTCTTTTGAAAATTTATAGGGACTAGTCTATCCAGCAGTTTAACAGCTAGTCTATTTTTTTTTTTTTTTTTAGCATACCCCAGCCAAGGTTCTATCTCCTTCCCATCTCCCAGACTGAATATCCATTATCTCTCGAGATGCCATTACCCTCAGATGCCTCAGATTTATTTGTCTAGCTATTTTATAGAATAAAGGCCTGATAGGGTCCTCTTTAAATACACATTCTCACCACATTTTAGAAACCAGCAGTTGGTCCCATCATTTCCCTAACTTAAGATTATGCTTTTCTATTGCATGGAGATCATAAATTTTACTCTCATGTGCGTTTTACAATTGTGGAAAGGAATGAATCAAACACAATACCCAAATACCAGAATTTTTTCTGATTTATTTTCCAGCTGTGCTTTCCTATCCACGTGATAGTTTATTTAGATACATGCACACATGAATCCTCTGCAAAAGTGCTCAATACAGACTTGTGGATATGTGGACTAAATAGTTTCATTATTTAATTCAAAACCTGGCATCAATCTGCTTAACCTGATTAGCTCATCTTTGCCTAGCTTTGCTAATTAAATATCTTTTTAAAATTTCTTTTTGTTTCATGAAACCTCTAGGTATAATAGCTTTTTTAGATAATAGAGTTTATATTATCTCTCTGTTATCTATATGATATATATCATCATGGAGCAGTGGCCCCTAATCAAACACTAGTTGTGTCTTTATATGCAAAGTGACTACAGCAAATGATAGCAATTAGACGTGCTTGTATTTTTGTAAAGGCCTGTTCAAGTCTAAAATGTGTCTGTAACACATTAGGATTTATTTTACATAGGTAAACTGCTGACACTGATCAAATCATCAGATTGCTACCCAGTCTCTACTTCACTGTTTGCTGGGATGAGTCGCAAGTTTAGTTGCATATATCTCAAAAAAGTTCTGTAATCCATTTCATTTCCGTGCATAACCAAACCCACGTGGTATTTACTCTTTGTGTCTTTTTATGGTAATGCTCAGGCTCAATCTGTGGCAGCTTAAGGGATGTACACACAAGTCAAGTGGCAGAGCTGGCAAGATCCTGGGCAGAATAAATGCAGATAGCATGGAAGGTAAGCCTTGGAAAGGATTGGAAACCAGGAAAGCTGGTGGATTTCAGTAAGGGAGAAGGGAGAACATACACTAGTTCAGAATTTCTCAAAATGATAATTTCATATTACCTGTAGGAGAGTCACCTGAAAAGCCCGATAAAAATATATTTTTTCTTGGCTCCTACCCTCCCTGCTTAATCAAAATCCTTAGGGAAGGTCTCCAGAAATTTATGGTTTATCAAGTTCTCCAGCAATTTGTGTGCATTTAAAATTTGAGAACCAGTGTACTAGACTTTGAACATTACTAGTACACAGTTTATATACAATCATCATTATATTCCCAGTGACTGGGCAATTTGTAGATGGTGATTGAATGAATAAAGAAATGATCAAACAAATTGTATTGATACCAAGATCATTGTATGGTTACTATACAGTCTGTTAGTGACATAGCCACAGGTTAGAAATGCATGAATGTAAGACAACAAATCAATGAGTGCAGCCATCAGCAAAGAAGAGCTTGATACTGAGCCAAATGCTATTAAAGTGGTGCTTTGTGCTGGTTACTTTCTTGCATTTTTAGATTGTGTAGAGGGACAGGCATGGGTTTGGAATGGAGGCCCCCTTGACTCTTCTGTCCACAAGCAGTTTCAGTTTTTATACCTAAAGAGGCCTACTGAGGTATTTTCCTAAACAATTAACCGTCTCCCCTAAGACATATTATACAAAAGAAGTTGCAATATTTATTTTAAAGAAATATTGAATATATATTATTTTAAATAAATATATATGTCTTTCTTAATTTTGTTTAATTTACCCTCCTTCAGTCTTGACTGTATCCCTGTTCTTGATGAGTGTCTTATTTTTGTTTTCAAATAACTACAAATGACTGTCATACTGAATTGAGTGTGTATCACAGATTGGCCTTCCTAGGTTGTGTCCTTCCAACCTGGCTACCACACATAGTACCAATGTGTTAGTAATCAGAGATCACAGACGGTTTAGGGCAGAAAAAAACCTTTGAGATAACATAGAACAACTCTATCATTTTACATGAGGAAACTGGGGTCCAGGGAGGTTCAATTCTTCATCCAACATTTTACTATACAAAACCATTGCTCTTCTACTATGTTGTACTTGCTCATCAAGTCATGATATAGATTCTATTGTTAAAATAAGTAGCGATTTTAAAGATTGTGCTTTCCTTGTTAATAACCCCCACACAAAGTCACAGAAACAGGGTAAAGTCCATATTTCATCATAGCAATATCTGAGTAAATCAGCTTACCAGTAACACTTTGGGTACACTAATAAAATAATCTGACTGAATATAATCTAACATATTATTTTCATAAAGTACATACTTTCCTAAGTCAATTCATTTAAGAGAGAATGATAGAGACAGTTTCTAAAGTCAAGCAAAGACCAAATTGTAATTTGGGGTTAAACTTACAGGTGACAGAGACAAGCTGCTTCTCTGTTGTTTAAAATAGCAGTTTACATCAGGAGTTTACAAATTCTCAGAGAAAGTCTTATCAATGTAAATGTCAGAGAATTTGTTGGCTGTGCCTTTTACTTTTAGCAAACATGTGGATCCCATTCCCTTCATCCGTGGAAATACAAGACTGTATATTTTAATTCATCTGAAGTTTTACCACAGAGTCTATAAATATTACATAACAAATCTGTGCATTACTACTTTCTTGTGCATTCAGGATACATCTCTGTCATCATTATAATCAACCTAATTGGGCAAGACTTCCTAAGTGAAGGCAATAACATTTGTTTACTTCATTGTAGGAATGTGCTCGCTGTCTGGTACCACCACATTTAAATTAGTTTTTATCCAAAACAGAGAGAAATTCACCCTTCAGTCAGCACAGTCTGTTAATTTGAATGTGTTTAAATTAACTACGTTCATGCCCTGTAGGAAATTCTGAGAAACTCTGCTCTTTGTCCTTTTGCAAGAGAACTCAATGACATTTAGACCTTTTCCTTGTTCATATTTTGCAGAGATTAGAGAAGAGGTAGCCCTCCTCCTGTTTCAGAGGTGTCAGGTCGCATGTCCAAAGCTGCTCCAGGTGCCATGTTCCTGGTTGCAATAGGAGTGGCAAGATGATTTCTAGTGAGTGTTGCAATACATTGTGGAAGATGCAAGATTGTGAAGGGAAGGGAGAGAGAGCAAAATAATCACACAAGTCAAGCCCAGATGCATATGGGTTATTCATACCTCTTTTGTAGGAATTCTGTTTCCCTTTATATGTGATAGCTCATCTCATGGAATTAACCTCTTAACATCAGAGATTTCCTTCAGAATAGTCACAATTTCATTCCCAAAGGAATTGCCACATCTTTCCCATTCAATTTTTTTAACTTTTCCTTTGCCCTTTGTTTTATAAACCTTGTAAGGTACACTCCTATGATCTGAATATTTCTCCCGAAGTTCATATGTTAGAAATTTAATCCCAAATGCAACAGTGTTGGGAGGTGGGGCCTAATGGAGGTGTTTAAGTCATGAGGACTCCACCCTCATGAATGGATTAATGCCAATTATGAAAGGACCTGAGGCTGCAAGTTCCACTCTTGCTGTCTCATGCTGTCTTGCCCTTCCACCTTCCACCATTGGATGATGTGGCATAAAGCCTGCTGCCACATGGCAGCCCCTTGATATCAGACTTCCTATCCTCTAGAATGGTGAGAAATAAATTGATTTTACCCAGTCTGTGGTGTTTGCTATAGCAATGCAAAATGGACTAAGACATATGCTTTCTACCTCAAATCCCCCCATACTTAATGAAGGGCAGTAGCTCTAACCAACCTGGAGGCAAGGGGAAGGAAAAGATTCATAGGGTGGTGGTGGTGGGGGACATGTTTAAAGGGTGTCTCCTTGATTTATGCTATTCCTCATTGTGATATTCATGTGTCATCATGTAAAGCACACTTATTATTGCTAATGTTCTTGTGTTTAGCAAGTCTTTCAATATAAGCCATTTTAGAAAGAGGGCATCTCTTTATCAAGGAAAGAGCCTCAGGACTGCTCTGCCTTGCACCCACCATTATGGGGAGCCACCTGCCTTGCACCTGCCATCAGTGGATGGGAACTGATGCCGGGCAGCATCTAGAGTAAGGGGGATGAACGGCTGGTGCCTCTGGCCTGTGCTAAAAATTCTACACAACACACATTTACACAGAAGATTTTTAGGGCAGTGAAACTACCATGTGTGATACTATAACGATGAATACATGCCATTATATGTCTGTCTAAACCCATAGAATGTACAACACCAAGACTGAACCTGAATGTAAATTATGGACTTCGCGTGATAACAATTCATCAATGTAGGTTCGTGGATTGTACAAATGTACCACTCTAGTGGGGAATGTTGATAGTGGTGGAGGCTGTGCATGTGTTGGGGGCAGGGGAAATCTTCCTTTCAATTTTGCTGTGAACCTAAAACTGCTCTAAAAAATACTTAATTCCACCCTCAAAACACACACATTTACACAAGTAGGTCAAAATTAATCAGTTACCTCATTGCTTTTATATTCATGCTTCAGGAAGCATTTTGTTTTTGTTGTCCTATTCCCTGAAAAGAAATCTCCCAGTACTCAAATTTCACCTTTATAAGTTTGTTAAAAGGAGTGTGATATTGAAGCCAATAATCTTATCCTTCTCTTTTCAATGTCTACCTCATATAGGCCTAGCACAAAATTGGCATTTGTTAAATATGTGCTGAATTAAAGTCATACCTCAGGACTTACTGCTGGCCTGCTCCAAAAGTGTTAAATAAAGTATTTATATAAATGTTAAATAAAGTGTTAAATAAAATGTAAATAAATAAAAACTATCAAATAAAGTGTTTTTATGAAATAATAATAAAATCTAATTGCCTAGGTTACATCAATCTGCCTAGGTACAATCTAATAGGAATAGTAAAATAACAGCAACTTTTTAGGATGGACCCTTGGCAGAATACCTGGAATACCACTCACCATTTCTTTTCTTCCATTGCATGACTTCCCTGGGCATCTTACATGTAACTATTGACAACCATGACTCTCGTCTTCCTTATAGCATTTCCTCTGCTCTCCAGCTCGGCACACTTTGTTGACTTTTGGCAGTACATGATACCCCTGGTATATTCCCTGTCATTGCTCATATTTCCTCTGTGGATCCATGGTTCTCATTATTTGAGTCTTTTTAAATTGCTCATGACAGTAGTCCAACTCAAACTTGTTTAAGCAAAACCAGGCATGTATTGATTCATGAACCTGGTACATCTGTGAGTTGATGTGTCTTCGGATCTAGCTGGATCTAGGGATTCACAAATGTTGTCATAGGGATTCCGTCTCTTTCTTCTAACTTTAACACTTTCTCTTCAGTGGTGAACATGAATGATGATTGACAGCGGCACACTCACATCTTTTCAGCTTTTTGAGTCTGAGAAAAAAAGATTTTTCTACCAGCGCCTAAAGAAACATTCTACTGAGAGTTGTAATGAGTCTGGTTTGTATCACCTGCCCATCCCTCACTGATTACTTTGTTTGAGGGATGTATACTCTGATTGGGTCAAAAAATCGCTGCTGTGACAGGAAGTGGGTTTAGCTCTACCTGACCCACATGGAATGAGTTCCCCAGAAGAGGAAGAGGTTCTGTTAACAGACGAAGAGGTAAAGAAGGTGACTGAGAGACCAAATGTGTTTCCAAACCATGTCACTCTGATGATATTCTTTGATGCTTCTGAAGGTGTGAGATTGTTATTTCACATACCACCATAAAGTCAAATAAAATGTCCTTACACCACACAAGTGTTGTTTTCTCTTACTAGTCTTGGATGTGAAAGAGAAATTTTGGGGGACATGGATACTATAGCTTTTTTTTTTCTTTTTTCTTTTTTTTTTTTTTTTGTAGCTCACGTCCCAAGTGCTCTGACACAATGAGTCCCTGAGCAGCTGACCTAGAGGACAATCTGTGGAGTGCAAGTACCCCAGGGCAGACTCATCCACTGCATCCTATTTGCTGCCCGTTTTGAGTTTTTGCATTTTAAATTTTCTTCTCTCATCGTGAAGCCTTTTTCCCAGGGCAAGTACCTAGGGAGGCCCTGGTGACTAAGAAAAACAGTCCTGGGGACTGGGTGTCAATATCAGTGTGTCGTGTCCATTCACTGACCCATCCATGACATTCTGTAGTGTTTTCCAGCAAATAGACTGAGTCTGTGCCCTTTGTTCAAATGCTACCTGCTCAGACACCTTTCCTGACCAGACCTAGAACAGCATCCCACTTTACTAACTTCCTATACTCTTACTCTTGCTTTATGTTTCTTCTTAGCACTTTTTTCTACCTGAAATGATGTCACATATGTTTGTTTACTTACTAATTGTCTGTCTTAGTAGGAAGGTAGGAGAATTTTTCTCTCATATTCTCTGCTGCATCCTCTGTGCCTAGAATAGTACCTGGTATGTACTAGACATGCAGTAACTGCTGACCAGATTTATCAAGAAATAGATCAACGAGCAAACAAAATAATAGCAGGAAAAGATCTCGGGCCATCATTCTGGGACCCTTATTAAGCACAAACCTAAATACACCTAAATGCTACTGGCATTTTTTTAAATGCATGAACAAACGTGTTTAAAAGGCCCTGCATTTTGATGTCATATTGTTAGTCTTGCGTCTCCTTTTAATTTCCTTTAGCATCACTTACTGATGTACAATTTTGCCTGGAATTATGACTAGGTTGACAGAGTTAACTTAAAAAATGCATATTTTGCTGTGATTTTTCTAAGTAAAGCCAGAGAAAAAAGATACATTAAATTGCATAGACCATTTATATTAATTCTGCAGTATTTTGTGGATAAAAAGTCTTTTAATAAAACAGAACTGGGACTTCCTCTCTTTTGTTTAGTAGCTGGAAGCAGATTCTCCCTCTCTTTTGCAGTCAGGACACTGGTTTTTTGTCTTGAAGAAGTTTTATCTTTAGATCTGAACTCTTTGCTACAACATAGTAAAAGATCGTCACATTCACAAATAAAAGTGAATTAAAATCAAGAAGCTGAGAAGCTGGGCTTGTTTCATAATTTCATCTTTCACCAAATTTATTCTGCCTCTTTGTCTTTGGTATGCCTGGACAGAGCCAAGCAGAACCAGTAGCCTGTTCTCAAGGCTCTGCTACCCCTCAAGTGCAGTGGGAATTCCTTTCTGCCTGAGTGAAATGTCTAGTCTATAAAACTGGTTAGTAAAACATACTGTAATTTGGGATTTGGTAATACTGCCTTCATTTTGACAGAGCCCAGGCTGACCCACAGCATTATGTCTTGAACAGATGTGAATTCTAGAGGGGTGAAATGATTAAAAACTTGTTCAGAATGAAAAAGAAAACTGAGTCATAGGAGTTCTTCATTCTTCTATAGTCTAGTCAGTCAATAGTATTTAACTCTGTTTAGTCCACCTGGCATTTGCCTCCAAATGGCAGTAACCTCCAGGAAGATTAAATCTCTCTTGACACATGGAGGGTCTGGTAACATGCACAAATAATGCTTTTAAAAAAGGAGCTTTCAAAGCAATCTACAGATTCAACACAATCCCTATTAAATTACCACCGTCATTTTTCACAGAATTAGAAAGAACAATCCTGAAGTTCAGATGAACCAAAAAAGATCCCGAACAGCTAAAGTAGTCATAAGCAAAAAGAACAAACCCAGAGACATCACATTGCCTCACTTCAAATTATACTACAAGCTAGACCAACTATAATAGCATGATACTGATACAAAAATAGACACATAGATCAGTGGGAACAGAATAGAGGACTCAGAAGTAAAGTGGCAAACCTACAACCAACTGATCTTCAATAAAGCCAACAAAAATAAACAACGGGGGAAATGACTCCCTATTCAATAAATGGTGCTGGGAAAACTAGCCACATGCAGAAGAATAAAACTGGACCCCTGTCTCTCTCATCACATACAGAAATCAACTCAAGATGGATTAAAAATTTAAACATACGACCTGAAACTATACACCTCTGAGCAGAAAATCCAGGAAAATCTCTTCTGGACATTGGCCTAGGCAAATAGTTTATGATAAAGATTCCAAAAGTAAATGCAACAAAAACAAAAATAGATAAATGAGACTTAAAAGCTTCTGCACAGAAGAAACAATCAACAGAGTAAACAAATAATCTACTGAATAGGAGAAGACATTTGCAAATTATGCCTCTGACAAAGGACTAGTATCTAGAATCTACAAGGAACTCAAACAACTCAACAAGAAAAAACCAAACAACCTCAATTAAAAACTGGGCAAAGGACGTGAAGAGATATTTCTCAAAAGAAGAACTACAAGCAGCCAACAAATATATGAACAAATGTTCAACATCACTAATCATCAGAGAAATGCAAATGAAAACCGCAATGAGATATCATCTCACACCACTCAGAATGGCTATTATTAAAAAGTCAAAAAACAACAGATGTTGGTGTGAATGTGAAGAAAAGGGAATGCTTATACAACTGTTGGTGGGAATGTAAATTAGTTCAACCTCTATGAAAAACGGTGTGGAGATTTCTTAAAAAACTAAAAATAAAACTAGCATTTGACCCAGAAATTTCACTACTGAGTGTCTACACAAAGGAAGAGAAATCATTATATAAAAAGGCACCTACACTCATATGTTCATCACAGCACTACTTACAATAGCAAAGTCATGATTCCAACCTAACTGCACACCAGTAGTTGACTTAATAAAGAAAATGTGATATACATATCATGGAATACTACACAGTCATAAAAAATAATGGAATTATGTCCTTGCAGCAATATGGATGTAGCTGAAGGCCATTATCCTAAGTGGACTAACTCAGAAACAAAAAATCAAATACCAAATGTTCTCACTCATAAGTAGGAGCTAAACGCTGGGTACATATAGACATACAGATGGAAATAATAGACACTAGGGACTCCAAAAGGGAGTAGAGTGGGAGGAGGATGAGGGTTAAAGAATTACCCATTAGGTACAATGTTTACTATTTGGGTAATGGGTACATAAGAAGCCCAATCTCTACCAGTATGCAATATACCCATGTAACAAATATGCAAATGTACCCCCCTGAATCTAAAATAAATTAAAATTTAAAATGAATAAATAAATGCAAAAAATAATCAAAAATTTTAAAAGGGCTTTACAGGTAATTAGGGCACCTCCGACATTTAAATATGCAAGAATGCTGAATAATTCATTGAAAAAATTAAAATTCCCAATTCTTGTTGTTTTTTGTACAAATAACAGAAATAATACCATAAACGTGGTTTTATTGGAACAGAAACAATACATTAGATATGAAGTTACAGTGAAGACCAACAAGGCAATGACTTTGTGAAAGTACTTTTCAAACTGTAAACTGCTATAGTATATTACCAGTTGGTATGTTTGGCTGTGTTCCCACCCAAATCTCAACTTGAATTGTATCTCCCAGAATTCCCACGTGTTGTGGGAGGGACTCAGGGGAGTAATTGAATCGTGGGGGCTGGTCTTTCTCATGCTATTCTCATTATAGTGAATGAGTCTTATGAGATCTTATGGGTTTATCAGGGGTTTCCGCTATGGCTTCTTCCTCATTTTCTCTTGCCACCACCGTGTAAGACATGCCTTTCACCTTCTGCTACAATTCTGAGGCCTCCTCAGCCACGTGGAACTGTAAGACCAATTAAACCTCTTTTGCTTCCCAGTCTAGGGTATGTCTTTATCAGCAGCTTGAAAACAGACTAATACAATAAACTGGTACCAGTGGAGTGGGGCATTGCTTAAAAAGATACCCAAAAGTGTGGAAATGACTTTGGAACTGGGTATCAGGCAGAGGTTGGAACAGTTTGGAGGGCTCAGAAGAAGACAGAAAAATGTGGAAAAGTTTGGAGCCTCCTAGAGACTAGGAGAATGGCTTTGACAAAAATGCTGATAGTGATACGAACAATAAGGTCCAGGTTGAGGTGGTCTCAGATGGAAATGAGGAACTTATTGGGAACTGGAGCAAAGGTGACTCTTGTTATGTTTTAGCCAATAGACTGGTGGCATTTTGCCCCTTCCCTAGAGATTTGTGGAACTTTGAACTTGAGAGAGATGACTTAAGGTATCTGGTGGAAGAAGAAATATCTAAGCAGCAAAGCATTCAAGAAGTGATGTGGGTGCTGTTAAAAATCATTCCATTTTAAAAGGGAAACAGAACATAAAAGTTCAGAAACCTTGCAGCCTGATGATGCAGTAGAAAAGAAAAACTGATTTTCTGAGGAGAAATTCAAGCCAGCTGCAGAAATTTGCATAAGCAGCAAGGAGCCTAATGTTAATTCCCAAGAGCATGGGGAAAATGTTTCCAGGGCATGCCTGAGACCTTCACGGCAGCCCCTCCCATCACAGGCCAGGAGGCCCCAGAGGAAAAAGTGGTTTTGTGGACCGGGCCCAGGGTCTCTGTGCGGTATGAAGCCTAGGGACTTGGTGCCTTGTGTCCCAGTCACTCCAGTCATGGCTGAAAGGGGACAATTCAGCTCAGGCTGTGGCTTCAGAAGGTGGAAGACCCAAGCCTTGGCAGCTTCCAAGGTGGTGTTGAGCCTGCCAGTGCACAGAAGTCAAGAATTGAGGTTTGGGAACCTCTGCCTGGATTTCAGAAGATGTATGGAAATGCCTGGATGCCCAGGCAAAAGTTTGCTGCAGGGGCATGGCCTTCATGGAGAACCTTTGCTAGGGCAGTGCAGAAGGGAAATGTGGGGTCAGAGCCCCCACACAGAGTCCCTACTGGGGACTCTGCCCAAGACCATTGGAACCCACCTCTTGCATCAGTGTGACCTAAATGTGACACCAGGAGTCAAAGGAGATCATTTTGGAGCTTTAAGATTTGACCGCCCCACTGGATTTTAGACTTGCATGGGCCCTGTAACTCCTTTGTTTTGACCAATTTCTCTCATTTGGAATGGCTGTATTTACCCAATACCTGTACCCCCACTGTATCTAGGAAGTAACTAGCTTGTTTTTTATTTTACAGGCTCATAGGCAAAATGGACTTGCCTTGTCTCAAATGAGACTTTGGATTGTGGACCTTTGGGTTAATGCTGAAATGAGTTAAGACTTTGAGGGACAGTTGGGAAGGCATAATTGGTTTTGAAATGCGAGAACATGAGATTTGGAGGGGCCAGGGCGGAATGATATGGTTTGGCTGTGTTCCCACCCAAATCTCAACTTGAATTATATCTCCCAGAATTCCCACATGGTGTGGGAGGGACGCAGAGGGAGGAAATTAAATTCTAGGTGCCAGTCTTTCCTGTGCTATTCTCATTACAGTGAATAAGTCTCACGAGATCTGATGGGTTTATCAGGGATTTCCACTTTTGCTTCTTCCTCATTTTCTCTTGACACCACCATGCAAGAAGTGCCTTTCACCTCCTGCCATGATCCTGAGGCCTCCTCAGCCATGTGGAACTGTAAGTCCAGTTGAACCTCTTTTTCTCCCCAGTCTCGGGCATGTCTTTATCAGCATGTGAAAATGGACTAATACACCAGTAATTAGAGTTAATAGCTATAAACAAATCAAAATGATGCTAATGGCTGTGTTTTATAAAACTTTATTGCTAGGGTGTTTTTAAAAGGCTGTGCCATGCTTTGAATTTTTGATAGATTTTCAAATGTTATTTATGTGTCTCACTCCAGATGTAAATTAATCACTTTAAAAACAATATTTCTTGGGGTAATGTAGGTAGAAGGATAAAATAGTGTTAAATGTGTGTGTGTGTATATATATATATATATATATATATATATATACACATGAACATGTATATTAGTGCAGTATATAACTGTTTACATATATAAACATAAATATAAATGCATATGTCTATATTTCATGACAAAGTTTTGGGTACATACTAGATATTAACTAATATAAAACCTTTACTAAACTTCAAGTCAAAATGTTTTTGAGTAGAGTTCTCTTAAAATAAAATAAAACTTTCTTGCAAAATATGTAAAGTTCATGCCAGAATAGATTAAAAACCATTGAAGTGATGACATGCCACTTGATTATTTGTGAGGTGAGCTCTATCCAAACAGAAATGGTCCCTATTCAAGTAACACGGTGTAAGATGATGTCTACCATCAATTTTGGAAACCCAGACGGTGAACAAATAAAGATGATATCCATCCATCTTGGGAGGTGATTCTTAACATTACCCAAAGAGGTTCTTTGAACTCAGAACATTAGTAAACTCAGTCATTCAGCATCTAATCACTCAGCAAACATGCCAAGCACTGTTCTAGACACTGGAGGTACAATGGAGAGGAAGACAGACATTGGCTCTGACCTCAGAAAGCTTGCATTCTAATAGAGGAGAGAAACAAACAAATACATAAAAGAAAACTGCAATTTTCTAGGTTCCAGTTTGCCATCAACTCACCATATAGGATTATAAACTCAAAATAGAAAAATATCCAAGGGCAATGGCAACTTTATGGTGCGAAAAGAGACCTGAAGACACAGGCTCTTTGGAGACGCAGGCCAGTGACTCTCAATATGACTATGCTTTTTTTTTTTCTTTTTTTTCTGGTCAATTCTTCTGTTGACTTAATAAGCTTGTGAGTTAAACATATTAAAAGTGGCAAGTAGACTTCACAGCAGGGAATAACAACCTACCAAGACTTTGTTCCTGGGACTTGGGTGAAACTCATAGGGATATATGTGTCCTTGTTTGAGGCTGGGCCTTTTATGGTCACTGTCCTTGTTCTGTGCCTTCTGTTGTTACATGACTGCACTCAAAAAATAGGGTCCTATACTGAACCACACAGGCCAGTGTCAGCCAGGCCATTTCTTGTTGCTGCCATTGCTGATAATAACAGATAATGCCATCGTGGTGCTTACGGCATCCCATGCAGTATTCTTAAGCAGGTTACAGAGATAAAACATATCAGATCTTGCATATTATGCTGGGTATTTTAAGTCTCAATATGTGTAGTAGCTCAAAGATTAGCCTTTATAATAAAACCTTCATCGAGTACATTTCTGTTACCTCAAGTATTTTTCTGTTTCTATCTGTAATTGCACAGCTATGCTTCCTAAGGTTTTGACAATTATATATTTTAAGAACTGTGTTCTCCTTCTATATCGTCAAAATCAGGTAAATCCATGCATTTAATTAGGTTCCCTGTGACCATGACTAAATTATGTGTATTCTAGAATTTTGAAAACGTTTTTTAAAAAAGTTATGAAGCAGCTAATAGTGTTGCAAGTCAGCTAGGTGCTACAAGATTATTGTTTAAGGGTACATCTCAGCGTCTAATATTTACCCTCTTCTCTTACTTTTCACCATGGAAAACATAATATGTACAAAGGTAGAGACACTAGCTTCAGCAATCACCATGGTAGTGTTGTTTGATTAATACCCTACATTTTTAAGTGTGATCTTATATTTAGAAAGTTAGTGATGATTATATATCTAGATACTAGAAGAACCTGCAAGTGTCTGGATTGCTAATCTAAAAAGACAGAGCATGAAATAAAGGAAGGGAAAAAGAGAGGAGAAAGAAAGGGTTTGGTGAACTACAGAATACCACTCCAGAGGAAAGCAATATTTGAAGGTTGAGGATTAAAGGGGCCCACAAATTCTTCACTAAGTGCCGAGTTTAGTTCCTTCCCCTGGAACTGTGATGCTTATGCCTTAGCCTAAAGAATGTGGCCAAAGGGATGATGTGGTATGCTGGCCTCTTTTACGTTCCTCTAACTCGGCAGGCATGGCCCTCTCAGGACTGTGCAATGGCTATTCCCTCTCTCTGGAATATATATATATATATATATATATATATATATATATATATATATGCACAATTCCTCTCTTTATTCAAACCTTCTTTCAAATTCTTCCTCCTTGTAGAATCCTTCTCTTTCTACTAATAGAATTCTGGAGCCAGTATGTACCAGCTCGCAAGAAGCACTTGTGAGCTTCTGTTCCCATCTCTGTGTTCAGTGATGTCACGTCAGTAGCTGAAACCATGGAATCAGAAATTGCTGCAAATCAGATTTCCTTCTACTTTTTTTTCCAGAGAGCATACCACCCTATCTCAAAGAGCACATCCGTTAGCTCGTATTTGTTTATTGAATAAATAAGTCAACACTGAACATAATTTCTGTACTTGAAAAGTTTAAGTTTGCAAAGTGCTTTCAGTGATATTATAAACTTTTTGTTCATTTCCTTATTTTTTCTTACAACCTCCCTATTTTCCTCAGTTTTTATACTCCCAGCATGGCTAGCTTATTAAGGGCACTGGAGTTTTCCATTTTCTCCCTCTTAGAACACTTACTCTTGGGATGCTTCCTGTTGGAACCTTCCTCTTGGCTGGATGAATCCCAAGCTGCATCAAGAGGCCACATACATATGGCCCTGTTAGACAGTCCCAGTTGAGTTCCTGACTGACAACCAGCATCACCTGCCAGCTATGGGGACTGAGTGGGGTGGGGGAGAGGGCGTGAATCTTGGAGTTTCCAGGCCAATCAAGCTCCCACAGAAAATTACATGGAGCCGAAAAACCGCCCAGCAGAAACTAGTTAACCCATGATTTGTAAGAGATAATAAACACACTCATGTTTTAAGCCCCTAAGCTTTGGAGTAGTTCATTCCACAGTAGTAAATAAATGAAACAGAATTGGCATTAGTAGTGTGTTGCTGCCATGACAAAACAGAAAGGCTGCCTTGAGTTTGGAACCGCTTGCAGGAGGGAGCTAGAAGGCCCTCAAGGAGATTGTGAGGGTAGGAAGGCAGTGACAAAATTGTTTTGGGAAGTTAGGGAAAAGAAGACTCAAGTAATGTAATAGCAGAATAACTAGAAACTGTTGACTGTGGTAACATAGAAGGAAGAAAGGACAGTTCATGAACTCCTGGATCTGGCTAAGGCTATTTCCAGAAACAACATTGAAAATACCTCATTCTATTGGTCAAAGCAAGTCACAAGGTCAACCCAGATTCAAGGATAGAGAGATGGACTTCTCTTCCCATGAAGAGAGAGACAAAGATTTGGTGGCCATCTTTAATTCGCCCCAAGGGATGTTGACATTTGAAGGGCATACAACCCTGATAAATAATTTGAGAGAGCTCAAAAATGACACTGAATTCTGACTTAAATATATAGAAAAGAAAAAGCACATAAAACCCTTACACCTTGAATAGAATAATAGGCTGATTTAATCTTTAATTAGGAAGGCTCATCAATTCTGCAAACCTACACTTTGCTTCTTCTGTTGTCGCTGAAAGTAATCAAGTGGACCAGCTAGAACAATCACAGGAATAAAATTGGAAATTTGCTTTCACTAAGGGGGAAGAAGCCAGTTTTATTATGGGTTTTTTCTTTTTTTGATGTTGAATTAAGCAGCTAGTCTGGTTTTCTTGTTTAACATAACTAAAATCCACATCCAAGTGAATTACTCAGCTCTCCCTGAAAACAAAAGATTATCATTGTCACGATACAGGCAGCTTCATTTTTATAACAAGAGGAGATGTTAAGGTAGGTTAATGTCTTTAGAATCCTTGAGAACATCTACTGCATTACAGGGAAATAGACTAGGAATTAAGAGACATTAATCTGAAAGAAGAAACAACTTCTGTCTTCCTCAATAGCAATATAACAAGAGACCGTGGTTATAGCCAAACCCCCAAATACCTAAAGAGTTAGGTCTTATTGGTCTTTACAGACACTGATATAGTTAGCAGCTGTGTTCTATTAAGTTGCCTGCACGTGCACTGAAGATTAACAATACCTTTGCACGTCGCTTGTATTTGCCCATGATCAT
Organism: Homo sapiens; assembly: GCF_000001405.40. Lineage (NCBI taxonomy): Eukaryota > Metazoa > Chordata > Mammalia > Primates > Hominidae > Homo > Homo sapiens. Next base: position 221,052,020 of record NC_000002.12, on the reverse strand, counting down.
TTGAAGGTTAATGAGTAGGTCGTGGAGAAAAAATTGGGATGCAGGGCGAGTTTATGTTTAGATTTCTTGTCTTCCTTTTCCCCACCCCTTCCCCGGCTACTACATTATTATTATTTTGGACCTGAAATATATCCAAACTTTTTTTATATATAAAACATAAATAACCCTCTCCTTCAGAGGAAAAGGTGAAGCCCTAGAAGCTACATTCAACAGGTCAGGGAAGGGAAGAGGTGGGATAGAGAGGTGGGAGAATAAGAATAAAGAATCAATGCTGGTTGCACAGACAGGCATGTGCCCCTGCATTAATCTCCTAAGGGAGAAGGGCAAAGAACGCTGACTTGACTTCTCTCAGATCCATTTAATTCAGGAATGGTGAAGGTTCTTAACAGATACTTCAGGAACCTCCAATTTGCTACCTCAATTTTTAAAAATACAGTGTAACTGCAGAGAGTGAAGGGGGCCCTCAGCAGCCTGCACTTAGAAACACAAGCTTAGGAAGGACATGGATTGTTTTAAAAGATGGTGGAAAAATTGCTCTGTTAAATTGTCCAGCCACTTTTCCTAACCTACATTCACTGCTCCATATAAAGAGAAAACATCTGCCTGAGGATTCTGGTGGGGTTCCCTGGCCCAGCACATGCGGACGTGGCCTCAGACCGCTGGTGGTCTGGGGTCACCATTCTCTCGGCCACACCTGGGCTCAGCACCTGGAAATGATTGTGCCAAAGCACAGAGCTTTCCGTGTCACGGGCTCCCTTCTTCTTCCCTCTCCTCCAAGTTTTTCTCTTCTTCTTTTTGGTGCTAAGATTCCTGAGTGCAAGAAACCCGGATTCTACGCTTGGTGCTCCCTTTAATGCACTGAATAAACTTGTGCTAGTCATTTCACCATTTCATCCCATTTTCCATCCATAAATTGTGGGGATTAGGCCGCACCATTGTGCCCAACACCTATTAACCTCAATAGAAAGCCATCAGGTTCAAGAAGCCAAAGATGAGACCCAGAGCCAGCAAAGGTGACATGGGGTTTTATTCGGGGCTTACATACAAGGGAGAGAGTCCATTGGCGGCAGGCTGGACAGAATTATCTAACGTACAGAAATGGTCCAGTTGTGGTGGGCTGGACAACATCACTGCATGGCCCAGGCTGGGCAGAAAAACCGCAGCTGCTAGCAAATAGCATGCAGTTTACATAGAATTCACTTAACACCTTCCTCTTAACAACCTCTACCTGGAAACCTCCACGTACCCTAAAACTCATAGCCTTAATCCCTTGTTTGGCCTGTGTTCCATGGGATGGGTGGAGGTCTCAGATATTCCTCACAGGCAGGGAATGACTCTCTGGTTGGCTACTCCCGGATTCCGTAGCCTGAAACACACATTCAGCTGCATCTGCTGTGTAGGGTCATTCTAAGGGTGCACTTACATTGCTCTCAGGGGCATTTCCCTAAACTACACTCACCCCCAGTGCTAACATCCTTTGATGCTAGAACACAGGGTCTGAGTACTGCCAAGGCCCCTAATTTTCCTTCACCATGGCCCAAAAGCCTTGTGCAGAAGATTAATGTAATTCCTTTTCTCTTTTCTGCAATATGCCCTTTTGTTTTGATAAACACAAAATAATTAGTCCAGATGAACAAAGGAGCAGAGTCTTCAGAGAAAAATTAACTTGAGTGTCTTACATGGGAGCCAGCTGATATTTCTACAATATGTCTTCTATTCTGGGCCAAAATACTAACAATAGCTACAACACAGTTGGAAGTGGAAGTACAAGGGCTACTGAGTGTGAATTTTTCCCCAGTAGACCACAGCCACACAAACATCTGTTACTAAGTAGCAGGTGTGATCTATGGCAAGCATTATTTGACTGGCTTTAAAACATCTAACTTGTTACTTTGGGTTTGCTGGGGTTATTGATGACTTTCAGTTGGGCTAGGGAGAAACATGGGGGAATTTGCTCTTTTATTCATAGAGCGTGGTTGGCTCTCACAGTGAAGAAAATCACTGATGACTGTTTCTATAGGCGATATTATTAGAATGGGGGAAAAAAACAGTGCCAAAATGACCAGTGAACATTGAAGCTGAGATGGTTATGATGCATGATCCTATACTTACATGTCTTATGCTGGAGAATTTGGCCAAGGCAGAAATTCAATTAAGAGTGTGCTCATAAGTGGTTGGTCTAGTGTTCACTAAGATGAACAAGCATCATTTTTCTTCCCCAAAAAGCTTTTCTTGCTTTCTTATAATTATTGTTATTATTTTCTGTTAACCCTCTCCTAGATTTCCTGGCTGTAAACACAGCAAGTTATTCTTAGCATTGTCTCTCTTCTCCTGTATAACGGATTCGTGACTGTCTCTGAAATGTCTTTTTCCACTCACCCTTCTTCCCATTGATCTCCTTTCACCCCCCTGATTTGGGCCTCTCCCCTTATAAATGAACCTCCAGCTGAAAGTGCTCTGTCTTCCAGAGGGCCCATAACCCTTTGTTTATATCTCTCCTACAATATTTATCAGATAGTGCCTTTGCTTTGGTTTGGTTTGCGTTTTTGTATGTCTTCCAAACCCTGCTGGGTCATAAATAGTTGTCAGGCAATGTTTTCTTCATGTTCAATTTTTCCACAGCATTTAGCTCTGTACCTTATGCACAACAGAGCCTCAATCTAGTTTATCAGTTGAATTTAAAAGCTGATAAATTATCTGTCCAGGTCCAAGCAGACTATGAGATGTGATGAGAGTGGCAGTAGGATTACAAGTACACATTTGAGCAGTGGTAATAATAATAACAACACTAACAACTTATTTGTTGAGTGCTTATAAGTTCCAAGCCTTGTAATCGTCATCATATATACACACACACACACACACACACACACACACACCTTTAAGAACAAACAAATGTGGACTTTGTTGTTGATATTGCAGATTTTTACATCATTTTACAGATTAGAAAATTGAGGAACAGAGAAGTTAAGAACCCTGTCCAAAGTCTTGTAATACATAAATGTTAGTATTAAATTCCAGAGAGCCTGACCCCAGAGCCCATGATAAAACAAGTTATTCCATGCTTCAGTCTCTCTTTCTCCTCTAGATCACAAAGGGCAAGCAGTTTCCAGGATGTCCTCATGCTCTGTCTTCCTCCCGCTCTGCAAAACTTCTTGGAATCCCTGACCCTTGGAATAACTGCCCTGGAGCTGCTATGAGGGTTCAAGGTCAGAGGGTCCATGGGCAGCCAGGACCATCTTCCTCTCTTCAGTTGTGCCTGCTTCTCTAAATGAAGGGCTCTGGGCCTTGCCAGGAACCTGGGGAAGGAGTAGGAAAGTTGGAACTCTGAGGGTGCCAAGATGTGCCAATGGTGCCCCTCCTGGCACTGTGGCTGCCTCACTGAGCTCACATTCTGTGGGCAAAGACTCCCAATATACAGTCAAACAACCCAATATTGAGAGGTGATAAATGGAAAATGAAGCAGGATGGAGGGAAGGGAGTGTGTGTGGCGAGGGTGTTGTTTTAGGTAAGGTAGTCAGCAAAGGACTGTTTCATAACATGACAATGAATAAAAATAAACATTTTTAAGGAAACCTCCTGAATTTGTGCATAGTCACTGATTAGAAAATTTTTTGTTTTATTTGGTGTTTCCTGTCTGTAAATAGAAACTTAGAAATCACCATTTAACGAGTCTGAAAGACCGACTGTCAGGGCTGATATGAGCAAAATAATGAAGTGGGGGAAGCTATTTGGGGCACAGCCCCTTCCTATCCTGCTGAAGTCCTGTAGTGTGAACATTTCTCCCTTTTTACAGGTTTATTTTTCTTCTCTTGCATCAAAGTGCCTGGGTCACAAAGGTGTTCTCATGTGGTTTCCTAAAATCAAAAGTTGCTCCTAGAAAAGGAAATGATACAGGCATACATACAGACACACTCCTATGCCACACGCAGACACACTCATACTTATACATGACCACAGAGACACACACATACATATATACATGAACACACACACACACATATACATAAACATAGAACTACGCACACACATACAAACACACATATGCATGCATATATACATATAAATAGATAAACATACACATACATAAACACACAGAGACACATGCATACACAAACATGAGCATACACGGACACACACACATACACCATACACACACATACATATACATAAACACACACACTCATATACCACATACACAGACACACACATACATATAAAGACACACAGACACAACAGACTCATATACCATATACACAGAATACACATATACATAAACACACACAGATACACATAATCATATACAAGCACATACACACAGACACACACGCAGACTTCTAGATCCTCAAGTTCTCTTCATCTGGTTTTCTTTTTTGTTTTGTTTTATGGAGACAGAGTCTTCCTCTGTCACCCAGGCTGGAGAGCAGTGGCACGGTCTTGGGTCACTGCAACCTCTGCCTCCTGGGTTCAAGCAATTCTCCTGCCTCAGCCTCTCAAGTAGCTGGGACTACAGGCGTGCACCACCACATCTGGCTAAGTTTTTGAATTTTTAGTAGAAATGGGATTTTGCCAGGTTGCCCAGGCTGGTCTCAAAGTCCTGATCTCAGGCAATCTGCCCACTTCGGCCTCCCAAAGTGCTAGGATTACAGGCATGAGCCACCATGCCCAGCCTCTGCATCTGGTTTTCTGAAATCTACTCTTTCTAGAAAAGGGAAGGATATACATACCTACACACACACAAAGTATAAACACTCGGATACATACATAGATACATACATAGACACACAGACATACACAAGGAATGAAAATAATCTATTTCATCTTGGTTAGAAATATTTACACATATTAAGCCCTAGAAAAATCTCTAATTGTTCAATTTGAAGCTTTAGCAAACCAGGTGGGGAAGGGTTTGGGGCCAGGAGAGCTTTCTCAGCACTCCTGCAAGCAAGCCTCTGGCTATCACCTGTTCTGCCTATACCCAAAGACAGGCCTCCTTGAGATCAGCAACTTTCCAGCTTGATATTCTTATAATGTGGGTCTTAGCTTTAAGTCCCTTTTGAGGGATTTTAATGTCCTTTTGAGGACATTTCAGGGAGATATTTTTAAGCAAATTCCAGTCTATTATTAAAACACCTGTTCAATTGTGAGACGATTCGCGACATATGAGGGATTATAGGCTGGAGAAAGAAATGACAGTACAATTTATTAGTTGTCACATGGCTCAGTTTGAGAAAACTAATCCCTTGTATTTCCTGTTCAATTATTCTTAATAAAATTAGCAAAAATTTCCTCTTTATATTTATAAGATTATGCCAAATGCAATAGATTAATTTCTTACACGTCACCATTTGGGAACAAAGTAGGAAGATAGAATAAAATAATTTATTTCTTTGAGCCATTGTCTGCATTTTAGCTTCTGTGACAATCAAAATTTCTAAGACTACGTGGCTGTTCTCAGATAGCCATCCATTTCAGAAAACCTCAGCAATTATACACTCTGCTGAAATGATACAAGGGAATCCAAAAAATGCTTTGTTATTTACCTTCATGCATCTTAGTCCTTTGTATTGATTGCCTACGAGACCCTGAAATGAAACATGGGGATCGAGCAGGTGTCCTTTCCATTCTTTCCTGTGCACATTAAGTCCATTAACAGAAACAGCCCGACAGCACCGGTTTTAAGTCAATGGCTTTTAAAACATGGATTCTCTACCACAGAATGACTTTTCTTAGAAAGGGGGATAGATGACACAGAAAGTTGAAAAAGAGAGGCATAGGATGGAAACGAAGGGGAACAGATCTGGTTTAGTTATAAAACCCGATCCCACTCCCCACTAAAAAACAATTAAGCAGACTAACCTTTTCAAGTTCATAGACTATTTCCACCTCCTCCACTCCTCCTTGCTTCTATATCTTCACAGGTTCATTTGTTCATTTTCTTTATTTCAGGAGGCATGAACTTGTGGCTAAGAATATATCAGAGCATAGATTGAAATAATTTTGCCAGAAAGGATTGTGACTGGGCCCAATGTGTGAACTCAGTTGTCAAAGAGATAGGTCAGAAAACTAAGTGATGTGGTAATATTAGAAGTAGAATAGCTCATAAGCTTTATGTTGGAGAGACAAGGAAGCTGGCCTTGAGAATTCTCAGTAGTAATTGACATGAAAGGAAATTTGAATTTTGGGACAAAAAGAAAATTAATGTTGTCCTGGGAGTATAAAAACTGAGGAAAGGCTGGGCACGGTGGCTCATGCATGTAATCCCAGCACTTTGAGAGGCCAAGGTGGGAGGATCACAAGGTCAGGAGATCGAGACCATCCTGGCTAACATGGTGAAACCCCGTCTCTACTAAAAATACGAAAATTTGCTGGGTGTGGTGGCGGGTGCCTGTAGTCCCAGCTACTCTGGAGGCTGAGGCAGGAGAATCTCTTGAACCCGGGAGGCGGAGGTTGCAGTGAGCTGAGATCACGCCACTGCACTCCAGCCTGGGTGACAGAGTGAGACTCCCTCTCAATAACTAACTTAATTAATTAATTAATTAATTAATGTAGGATGAGCTCTGACTGTAGCATTTTCTGATTCCACGGTGTATTCTCACTGTGGCTGATCTCAGCTACTAAGGTGACATCACTGAATACAGAGATGGGAACAGAAGCTTACAAGTGCTTCTTGCGAGCTGTTACATGCTGGCTCCAGAATTCTATTAGTAGACGGAGAAAGATTCTATGAGGAGTTGAGATTTGAGAGAAGATTTGAATAAAGGGAGGAATTGTGCAGGGCAGATCTGTGATAGAAAAGTATTCCAGAGAGAGGGAATAGCCATCGCAAAGCCCTAAGAGAGGGCCAAGCCTGATGAGTTAGTAAAACATCAAACAGGCCAGTGTGGCTGGAGAAGAGGGAGTAAGCGGAAAGACCAGCAGGACCAAGATCACGGAGGGCTTTGCAGACTGTCATGAGGACTTAGGATGCTGTTTCAGATACGATGGGAAGTGACTGGAGGGATTTGAGTAGGTGCGTGACATGATGTGACTCGTGTTCTAAAAGGATCTCTCAGGCTGCTAGCAGAGAACAGAAAATGGGAGTGGGGGTGGACAACAGAGGAAGTAGGGAGACAAATTTGGAGGCATTTGTTAATTATCCAGGCAAAAGATGGTGGTGGATTGAACAAAGGGGAGTGGTAAAGTAGTGAGGAGTCACATTTAAGATCTATCTATTGTTCATACATACATGCATGCATGCATATATATAGGCATATGTACACATGTACACATATACATACATATCAACACATACATACATGCATATATTTGAATTCTGGAAACTGGACTCCAGAGGTGACATACCTTGCTTTAGGTCAAACACCTAGGAAGTGGTTAAGCCAGGACTGATACCAAGCCCAGGTCTATACTGCTCAGAATGAGGCAAGAATGGGGTAAAGGGGCTGTTTTGAGCCAAATCAGAGCTTGAAGATTAATCTAGCTGGTAAAAACACTGGGACATATTTTGAAACTAGAATGCACAGTGGGTACTGTTAGATTCTCTCTGGAGAGTAAGAGAGAGAGGAGCCAAAGATGTTTCCACGGATTTTGTCTGAGCATCTGGGCTAATGGTCTGGCCATAAACAAAGCTGTAAAGTACCAGGAGGAACATACTTGGGGGAAGGCTAAGCATTTGGCTTCAAATATATTAGGTTTGAGATGCCTTTTAAGCAGCCACAATGCAACAGAGAGGTGTTTAGAGATGGAGTCTGAAGCTCAGGAAACAGGCTGGGTCTGTAGAAACAAATGTGGAAATCATCAAGTTAGTTGATGGTATCTAACTCCATGGCAGTAAATGATTACCTATTGAATAAGGGTAGCCACAGAAGATATGTGAGAAGGTCTAATGCCTGGGACCTTTCAAAATTTAGAAGTTAGAAAACAAGAGAATCCAGCAAAGAAAACTGAGAAAGAGAAAGATAATAAAGTAAAAATAAAAGCATTTTAGTTTTTCAGATACCAAGAAAAAAATGTTTCAAGGAAAGAATAGTCAGCTTTACTAAATGCTGTTCAGAAATCAAGAAAGATGCAGACTTTAAAACTGACCTTTGAATTTGCCAACTTAAGGGTCAATCGTGGCCTTGAAAAACAGAATTTCAATGGAGTAGAGATCAGGGAGGGTGTTGAGACCAAGCTTCATATGAGTGATTTTGAGACAGAATGAGAGACAGGACAGCGAAAAAAGGTAATGCCTTCCACGTTTGTTTTATAGCAGAGCAAATAAATGATGCAGGAGATGTACAAGAAAGAGGGAGGAGGCTGGGCGCGGTGGCTCATGCCTGTAATTCCAGCACTTCGGGAGGCTGAGGCGTTTGGATAACCTGAGGTCAGGAGTTTGAGGCCAGCCTGCCCAACATGGCGAAACCCCATCTCTACTAAAAACACAAAAAATTAGCCAGGTGTGGTGGTGTGCACCTGTAATCCCAGCTACCTGAGAGGCTGAGACAGGAGAATTGGTTGAACCTGGGAGGCGGAGGTTGCAGTGAGTGGAGATCGCGCCGCTGCACTCCAGCCTGGACAACAGAGCGAGACTGTCTCAAAAAAAAAAAAAAATGTAGGCGGAGAGAAAGGTTTTTAGGTAAAAATATTACAGCACGTTTGTATACCAATTATAATGACCCAGTGGAGAAGGAAACAACAATAATTTAGTAGAGAAGAGAGAGGGGAGAAAATTGACGAAAGCAAAGTGCTTGAGTGAGGGGATAGGAAGAGATGCCTGCCGGGAGCAAGTGGAAACTTCCGGTAGAGAAGAAGCACAGCTGATTCACCCACCATCACAGGAAGGCAGGCGGCTTTCAAGGGCATAGATGCAGACCATGTGGAAGCTTGGTGGTAAGCAGAGAAGAATGTTCTCAGATAGCTTCTGTTTTCTCAGTAAAATGAGAAGCTAGGTCATCACTGGCTGAGAGTTCAGAGTGGAGGTGGGGGATTTGAGGTTTCAGGGGTGAAGGAAAGATATTAACTGTCCATATGGGAGACGGGGAGTGAAGCAACTTGGGAATGCTGCCAGGCTGCCTGGCAATACTGAGGGTCCACTCGAGATTTGCTATCATAAATACAAAGTGAGGCCCGTCTCCGGTCAACATGCCTGGTGGATTCCCCTTGTGAAATTTAGCTGTGCAAGTGCAGTTGTAGAATCTGAGAGGAGCTGGATTTAACCAGGGTTAGGATTTTTCTAGGTACAGAAGGAGGAAGAGCCCATCAAGGCAGTGTTTATAATAATGGTGTGTGGAATCTAAACGAGGCAGGGAGGAAAGTGAGGACTCACAGGGGAGAGGGGAAGGGGGTTACTGAATAGTCAACACCAATGGCAGATATCAATGGATCTAAGGTCCCAGTGGGGCCAAATCGCTGGAGTTGAGGGTACTAGAAAGAGTGAGCCAGGACTATAGGAGGAACTTGTCAGACAGTAGAATACATTAATTGAGATTTTAGAAGTGGTGCAACCACAGGTAATAACATAATCCTGCTGGGGAGATTTTTGAAGATACCATACTTGGGGATCAGCTCTGATAACTGAAACCTCAGAATGGTGGGGCTCAAACATTGGTGTGTTCTAAAGGCTTCTCAGACGATCCAGAGGTAAGAGCTACTGGTCTATGGATTATTTTTTTCTTAGTATGAATCAAAGCTTGGGCATTAGGATTTTAAAAATCTCTTGCAAATGATTCTTAACATAAACCAAAGTTTGAAAACAGCCTGGAAGAGCTGTTACACACAGGTTTCTGGCCCTACCTCTGGAGTTTCTGATTCACTAATCTGAGATGAAGGCTAAGCATTTGCACCTGTAACAGGTTCCCAGGTGATGTGGATACTTTTGGTCCAGGGACCACACTTTTAGAACCAATGATCTAGACTGGAGTATTTACTTTGGGAGTAGGTAGATGAGATAAGCAATATCCACATATGAATCACCTGAAATTTGTTGAAAAGCAGATTTTGATCCAATAGGAAGGGGGTGGGTGTCTCAGATTCTGCACTTATTATAAGATCTCATAATACTGATATTGTTGGTTTGAAGACAGTACTTTGAGTAGCTACGGATAAAGGATAAGATAATAGGTGAACTAAATGTGAGCGCTTTCAATAAAAGAAATACCAGATATTTATTCAGCCTCCACTTTATGTCATGCATTGTGGCACTTTCTGCTAGCAAATTAAATATGAAAGGGCAGGTACTTACCAAATATGTAGCAGGTTTCATTAAGTGTCCCCCACTTGATTACACAAACAACCAGTTGGTATTATGGAAGGCAACCTCAAGTGACATGGTACTATGTTCTCAAACTTTTTTCTGAGTAGCATTTCCATACTTGGACAAGTTTGAAGACCTATCCCTCCATGTATGTTGTGTGAGCTGAAGTAGCCACCCTCATGCTACATGTTATTTAAAGTTGTAACTTGTGTGTTTTGTCCTTTTTTTCTTTTGGGAGACAGGGTCTCCCTCTGTCGCCCAGGCTGGAGTGCAATGGTGCAATCATAGCTCACCGCAGCCTCAAACCTCTGGTCTCAAGCGATCCTTGTGTCTCAGCCTCCCAAGTGACTGGGACTATAGGCATGTGCCACCAAGCCCAGCTAATTTTTCAATTTTTTGTAGAGATGGAGTCTCACTATGTTACTTAGGCTGGTCTCAGAATCCTGGCTTCAAGAAATCCTCCCACCTTGGCCTCCCAAAGTGCTGGGATTATGGGTGTAAGCTACTGCACCTGGCAATTTTTACCTGAAAATTCTGTGTACATTTTACCTGCTAATTCATTAATGTCTGTTCTAATAGAAAAACATATCTTTACTTCCATCTGCAAGGAAAATTCGTGTTTCAAAGAGGGTCTGTTCTTTCCTCCTGGTTTTGTGTTTCTCTTGGAATATGTATAGTCACTGTAAGAATCAGCACTGGAGGAGGGGAAGGAGAAGAAGGAGAAGACACGAAGAAGCTATTGCTGTGAAATGGTTCAGCATGGGCTCCAGAATGACTAAACGAGCTCAAATTCAGGCTCCATATCTGTCAGCTCTGTGTAAACCTCAGTTTCCTAATCTAAATAGGAAAATTCAAGCAATATTTACCAGATACGGTTTTGTTAGTATTAAACGTAGTATCCAGATTCAGTATTTAGCCCAGCACCTGCCATGTAAGAAGGGCCTTTTCCCTGTTAGCTGTTATTGTTACCATTTCGAGTAGTGAGCAGAGCTGGATTCAGGTCTTGCCCCATTAGGAACCCATTTTCTAGACTTTCAGGCAAGTCACAGCTCTTTTTAGGACATCATTTGTCTTCCCTGAAGAATGAGAGGAGAGCCTAGAGTTGTGCTTCTCAAACCTGAGCCAGCATCACAACCAACTGGAGCTTCTGACTCAGCAGGTCTGGAGAGAGGTTTGAGGAGTTGAGTTTCTAACAGGAGTTCTTTCTACATTCTATTGATACTGAACAGAGCATCAAGAGCTTGCATAATCATGTCCAAGAATTAGTGAAATGAAAGAATTTGAAAAATGTGGAGTTAAAGAACCTTCTGGCTAACAAAGGGAGCCTTGGCAATTCCACCCCACCTTGACATTTATAGAAGAAAAGGAGACTCCAGGAAGAGCAGAGGTTGGTCCAACTTAATTCAGATCCAGAACCAACACCCTGATTTGGACTCCCCTGTTTGTGTTTGCCTTACTGCTGCCTCCAACTCAAGCACCATCAGGAAAGAAGTTCTTATTAACTTAGACCTGGCTTAACTAGTGTGTGATCAGATTTCCCCAGCCAGAGGGTACAAATGAGATAACAATAAAAACAATAGCTAACATGTATTGGCCCTTTGCCATATGCCAGGAGCTCAGAAATAAACCATATTCTACAGACAGACACCAGCACTTGCCATTCATTCAGTACCATTATACCTTCCAGACATTTCCAATAACTTCTAAAAATCCTCAGAGATCTCTCACACGTGGTCACACATGAGTTGGTGGCTTTGCCAAGTTTTCCTTCTCTCTCCTGCTTCAATATTCACTGCTGAAATCCTCTACTTAGGCTCAGCCGGGTACAAAACAGGGAGGTGCCTCCTGACAAAGGCTGGTTCCCGGGGTCCTGAGGGGTCTGCCCTGAAAGTCTGATGAGTTGGGCATTGCACAACTGCAGGTGTAGTCACAGCTCTGGAGCGGCAGGAGCCAAGCACCTTATGGTCTCTGGAGCATTCCACATGCCAAAGCCTGACTGTGTTTCAGGCAGATAGTGGAGGACCAGGGAGACGCCTGCCCAGACTAAACAGCCCCTGCCTCCTCTACATGGAGATACTGCTGTCCAGCTTTCAGATTCAAACAGACTTTGAGTTTCAGAGCCAGGTGCTGATGATGGGGAATCATGGTCAAAGGTCGTTCTTTCAGTCCTACTAGTTTACTCTCTTTTAAGTCGCTAAGCTATTTGTTGGCTATCAACTGAGTTTCTCGATTTAACATCAGCAGCCCAATTTAGAGGGAATTCCCTTCAGAATCTGTCATTAGGGGGAGAGTTTGTTTTTGGTGTCTTCTTGATTGTCCATGTCTGTGATTTACAAATATATTGGTGAGAATTGAAAAATGCCGAGTCAAGGGACTGCTTAACAATGAAAAAAAATTCAAATGAATTTTACAGAAAAGCTTCAAAGAAGAGTATGGGCTGTGCTTATATTCCTCACCCAGCTACCACTAATATTAATAATGTATGTAACCATTGTACAATGATCAAAAACAGGAAATGAACCGTGGTCAGTAATGTTAATTAAATTGTACCTTATTGGAACTGTTTTCCCACTACTGTTCTTTTTCTCTTCTAGGATTATATTGTGGGTTCCATTGTTCTTTATGTTATGTTCTCATGTTATAATGAGGTTAAAGTTTTTTGGCAAGAATGCCACAGAAATAATGTTGTCTCCTTCCTGGTGCATCTTATCAAGGACTTCATAATATCAATACTTCTTTTTCCTGGTGCTATTACCCTTGATTATTTGGCTAAGGTAGTATCTGCCACATTTCTTCATAAAGTTAAAATCTTTCCTCTGTAATTAATAAATATCTTGAGGAAGATAGATACTTTGAGACAATGCAAATATCTTTTTTGTTTTTTTTTTGCCCTCAAGCTTTTATCCATCAATGTTAGCATCTATTGTTGATCATATTTACAACAATTACTGTGGTATTTGCTTAATAGTAATTTTTCTATTCCTCTCTTTGTCTCTACATATATTGTTTGGAATTATTTTGTAAGGAAAAAATTATTCAATTCTTTATCAATATGGTCTTATGGACAATTGGTGTTTTATTATGTGCTTTAAGACTCAATGCTATTGTTATTTATATTGTTACACTAATTGTACTTTGGCCATAAGGAGCACCTTTGGGCTGACTCCTGTATCAGAAAGCAATTTTTACTGGAACTAGGCATTAATATTATTCCCTTTTAATTGTAGAGTACACTTCTCTACCACATAATAATCATCACCTGAGAGACTTGTTAAAATATAACCTTTGTCCCCATCCCCAATGCTCTGATTGAGAAGCTGGGTTTGGACACTGTAATCTGCATTTTAACAAAATCTTAGATATATTATGCCACTGGGCCTAAAGACACATGCTGAGAAACACTGTTTTAGAGACAGTGTTTCCATCTATATTCTTCAGACTTTTGAATCCATAGGTCTTTATGTATTTCTATCTATCCATGAACTACCTACCCACCCACCCACACATACACATTTACACATGTACAATTTTACTAGACATTCTGTTTTATAACCTGCTTTGTTTATAGTCAGTAATTTTATTAAAGTTTTTGTATGATATTGAACATTTTCAAGAGCTATGGAATTTTATGTACCATAGTTTGTTAGATAATTTTTGTTATAAATAATGCTGTTTTTATGTATATACATATATGTAATAATGTGTATATATATATGTCATATATAACTAATTATTTCTTTAGAGTAAATTTATAGAAGTAAAAATGTTGAATCAAAAGTCATTTGATTCAACATATGGATTCCATATGTTCCTTGATTCCATAAGGATTTGGAAATATATTGACAATTTGTCCCCTATTGACAATATATAATGGTGTTTTTTCCTCTACATTTTGACAATGTTCCATCATGGTTTTTTTTGTAAAATTGTTAGCAAAATAAAAGATAGCTAGTTTTTAACTGAGGTTCTTCTATTTTTGTGAAGTTGAACCCTTTTCATGTTTTCTTGCCCATTTATATTTCTTCCTATAGATTGAAAAGTTGAAACTATACTTTTTGATCAAGAAAACTAAATGGGAAAGTGAAAATTTTAGGAAAATTGACTTTGCGACAAAATGAAAGATTGATTGTACAGTTAAGAGTTGGAGACAGGGGTTGCATATCTACTCAGCTACTGAAAAAAAAAACTCATACAAAAGTTATATTCTGTGTGTACACTCCACACAGTACTTTTCACTCTGCTCTGTAATCACCACTTCTCCCTGAAGTTATGAATGGCTCATCTCCTAAGGGTAGGGGCTTTATCTTGTTTCATTTACACTCCCCCACCTCAATTTCCATCTCATAGAGTTTTTGGCATCTAGTTTTATTGTCAGTACCTGTTAGCTAAAAGAATAAAATAATATCCCATTGATGGTGAAACATTTAGTATCATCTTTGTACTGAGAGGAGAGTATCATTCACTCTACTGAGTCAAGATTGGAAATTATATATATATTTTTTCCCACTAAAATCTGTCACTTATCCTGCTGCTGAAGGCAATTGTTATCTGCTGGCTGCTAACTTTTTCCCTTTTATCCTTCGTGTCCTGCCTATCTCAAAAAAGATTTTCCTTGGGTCAAACTAGTTAAAAATAATTAAATAAACTTAAAATTAAAGGATGATTTCCAGAAACTCTTAGTAAGTTGGTTATTGCTGTTAGCAATAAAACTAAGCTGTAAGATTTCTGGGAGCAAAGAAAAAAAGGTAAACATGTTGAATTGTATTGCTTTTATTGCCTGTGGAAGGAAGCTCAGTGAAAAGAAACAAGGGGAAAAAAACATTTCATCACCAGGATCTTTATGTAAAAGACACATTGGGTCATATTAAGTACAATGTCTTCTGCTAAAATTTTGGGGAAAAAAAGAAAAACAACAGCACATACTTATGCATATACACATTTTGCATATAGATGTAAATATGTTTTTATCCTTTCTGAGGGCACAGTAATATAGCCTAATTCAGTGAGTGTATTTTAATAGAACATTGTCCAGGTATATTGCTTTCTGAAAATCCAAATTTATACAGGAACAGAACTTAGAAAACCTAGATCCAAATGAGAGAAGGAAGCTGAGGCACAGTTAATCTTATAAGAATATCAACCAGGCATCCACAAGTGCTTGAATAAACTTCAAGATTCCTGTATATTCCCCCAATTTTTTGCAATATATAGATATTATCTGGAGAGAATGTCTGTCTCTGCCTTTTATTTTCAAAGGGGTCATTAACCCAATCTGCTTAGGAACTACCTAGCTAGACTAGCAGAAAACCCCCAAATCATTTAATTTGACTTATATGTGATGCTTTCTGAGTGATTTTAAAATTCTCATTCCATAACCTAAGAATCGGAAAAAGATACTGTGGGATTTTTTCTAGGAGGAGTCGGGGGAGTAAAAACGAGGCTGGCATTCTGGACTTGCATAGTCGAGAGAGCTACTGGTGTGAGGAAGCTGATGGAAACCCAGCGCTGGCTTTGCAGGTGGGTCCCTGCTTATTTTATAACTCCAGGCCATAAATTCCAATTGCTTCTCTACTTTTCTAATTTCAAAATCTCTCATTAAAAATTTATAGTGAGCAGTCATCCAACTATTTATGACCATGTCTAGACAACTGAAAAACAGCAAGCGGTGGCGGGTTCGATTCGGGATTTTTGCTTGTCTTGGTGACCAGTTCAGATCAGCGCAGAGCTGATCACATCACTTGAGTGGAAATCAGATGTTAATGTCATTGGAGAAATTGACCTGGGGAGAAAAACTGATCATCTTCTCTGGAGGTGGCCTGGGCCACAGACAGATATTCATTTTTTGTTTTCAAGTGTGTGTCAACAGGGTTACTGTAGTAGTCTACTCAGGCCGCCATAACAAAATACTGCTGGGGAGGGGTGGTGCTTAAACAACAGAAATTTATTTAATTACAGTTTTGGAGGCTAGAAGCACAAGATCAAAGTGGTGTCAGGGTTGGTTTCAAGAGATGCCTCTCACCTTGGGTTGCAAAAGGCTGCCTTCTTACTTTGTCCTCAAATGGCCTTTTCTCTGTGCACACCAATCCCTGGGATCTCTTCCCTTTTCTTATCAACACCACCAGTCCTGTTGTATTAGGACTCCACCATCATGGCTTCATTTAACCTTAGTTGCCTCCCTAAAGCTCCTATCTCCACATTTAGTCACATTGTGGATTAGGGCTTCAACATGTGAATTTTAAGGTGACATAATTCAGATCATAAGAGTCCCTGACTACGACAAGTTTCTTGTACAAGTGAGGTGACACTCCATTGTTTTTAGGCAATATTCCTTAATTATCTCTGTGGCAGTGAGACCCATTTCAGTCACCTGTCTTGAGGAGGGATTATTAGTTAGCATTCATAAATTGTTCAGAAACCGCCTCTGCTTTATTGACACTGTTACCGACAAAATGCCTGGAGACAGGGAACACTCAGGACACCCAATGGGGAGGATGGGCAATGACAAGTGTTATGGCCACTAGAGAATTCTGACTTTCAGAGACAGAAGCCCAGAGTAAATAATGTCTTATAATCCATGTCAGTGGAGTGGGGCTGGCACAGTGAGAGAATCCATGGTTCAGTGCCCAGATTTTCCCCATTACAGAGTGTGCATTTGTTTGCTTGCGGGGTAATGGGCTATGTGTAATTCTTAATGATGTGGCAAATTGGTGGGTTGTGGAAGCACCAGATCTTTGCGACCTGTGTATGGAAAGTTCATAGGATGATAACATTTTAGAAACAATAGATTTAGAGAATTAAGGAATACTAGTAGTGCCCTATGTTTGTTCGGTGCTTCACAGTTGAGGAGGCTTTTCTATAACATTGCCGGGCCGAGGCCAGTACCAGGTGTAGATGCCTGGACAGAGCTGGGCTGGCCAAATTTTTTCTGCTGTAAATTTGGAATTGGGATTGAAAACAATTGGTTGATCTTTGCTGATGTCTGCTACTAAGGGTATATGAACCCAGGAGCTGTGAGAAAGTTGTATCCAAATGGACCCAGTAAAAGCTGTTTGGCAGAAAGACGAGTGAATTAGATATGCAGAGTGTGGCAGAGATGGATTATGGAAAGGGAGAGAAAAAGAGGGCAGGAAGGCAAGAGCAAGAGAGACAGGTGACAGGAAGGCTGAGACTCAGTGAGTAATGGCTTAGCTCCTCATGGACATGGAGGCAAATTCTGCCTGGCACGGTCATCTGTGTGGGCAGGGGGTAGCAGCAGTTCACAGAATAGCAGAAGGGGTATTGTTGTGAGCTTTGGAAACCCCCTAATGGTTTTACTAGTTTTACACTTCAGATTCTGAGGTAATTTTTACTTCATTAAACAATACTGCTTTCTAGAACACTCACAAAGCTATGAACACTATAGTTTAAGTTCTGGAGACATATCTCAATGCAAAGAACATATTCGTGCAAGGAAACACATTCAAAATAACTCATGACATTTATATATAAATCTCAGAAATATGTTTTCAGTATCTTGATTGTTCTTCTCTGATATACTGTCCTATACACCACAGGTCTTCTGATGCACCTTGCTCCAATGTTCTGCTTCCAGAAAAACCCCTTTATCTTCTCCTAACAGCCTTCTGAGGTCTCCCTCACTCTTTCTTAGTTACACATTTAATCACTTTCTAGAAGGGTGAAGAAGAAAGAATGGGAAAGTTAAAATTTTCCTATTAGCTTACAGAGGGCAATTAAAGGCTGCAAATAGCCTACTTTTATAATTTGTGTCCCTATATACTTATGATAGTATAAAAAGAACATGTAATCTTAGAATTGTGAGAGCTGAAAAAGACTTTTCAAATCATTACATCTAGACAACAATTCTACAAATGAGGAACCTTGGTCCTAGATTTGAGAAACACCTTAATAAAGATTACACATTTAGATAATAGCAGTCTGGGCTAGGCACAGTGGCTCAAGCCTGTAATCCCAGCACTTTGGGAGGCCAAGGTGGGCAGATCACCTGAGGTCAGGAGTTTGAGACCAGCCTGGCCAACATGGTGAAACCCCATCTCTACTAAAAATAGAAAAATTAGCTGGGCATGGTGGCAGATGCCTGTAATCCCAGCTACTCAGGAGACTGAGGCAGGAGAATCACTTGAACCTGGGAGGCAGTGGTTGCAGTGAGTTGAGATTGCGCCATTGTACTCTAGCCTGGGCAACAGAGTGAGACTCTGTCTCAAAAAAAAAGAAAAAAAAAAAAAAAACCACAAACCTGATCACATGACTATTTCCTATTTCAGAAGAGCGAATGACTGAACTTCTCATATAATTGTACAGTGCTGGAACTAGCAGGAGTTTAGAGATCACTTCTTTTAGCCCCCTTACTTTGTAGGTGAATGAATTGAAGGTAAAAATCAAGTGAGGGCCAGGCATGGTGCCTCACACCTGTAATCTCAGCACTTTGGGAGGCCAAGGAGGATTACTTGAAGTCAGGAGTTCGAGACCAGCCTGTCCAACATAGTGGAACACTGTCTCTACTAAGAATACAAAAATTAGCCAGGCATGGTGGCACGTGCCTGTAGTCTCAGCTACTCGGGAGACTGAGGCATGAGAGTCGCTTGAACCTGAGAGGTGGAGATTGCAGTGAGCTGAGATAGTACCACAGCACTCCAGCCTGGGTGACATAGTGAGACTGTCTAAAAAAAGAAAAAAAAAGAAATGGAACTATGGTTTAAATAAATTGACACAAGGAACTCTAATTGGTAATACCAATAATCTCTTGAGTAAAACCATGTTTGACACGCTTTCTCTCACTAACACACACACACACACAGAGTCTTATGCACTTATCCCTATGTTACATCTTGGAGCCGCCGGGGAGATGCTAAGAAATATTCAGAATACCTAGGTCTTTGTGGAGCAGAGTTTGGAAGCCCCTGCAAGCTGCCCATGTCAAGACATTCCCTATCTTTACAACGCATGGTCTGGGAGAATGCAGGATTTAGCAGGAGAATGTGTCAGAGAAAATGCATTTGTTCTAAAAGGTTATACTGTAACTTACATATTTCTACAAAACAGCTTTAGAACACAGAGAAAAATGAAAGTAAGAGGAGATAAAAACTAATCTGAGATTTGGCCCAGGTGACTTCTTAAAAATCATTGTTTATTTTTAAACAATCTGAAATTCTTAAACATCTTCTGAAGAGGCAGAAGTATATGGGCTTGGTTCTTTTGACTGAGGATCCATCCCTAATCAATCGATGATTGGAGGAGAAAACTGGTTGTCATTACTCTCCAACATACAGGTCAGACACAAATCATTTTACTCATTCCCAAGGTGCTTGCTAATCCCCCAAACATCTTTGCGTAGCAGGGGAACTAAAATTTCTTCTTGCATTCACATTTGTTCTCATGAAGGCATGCCAGCAAAGCTAACAAGGAATTTCCTGGACATTTTGAATAACAAAAGAACACAAACTGGGGTGATAAGGGCTAGGTTAAGGATGAACTTGAGGGAATTTTACAATAAAATCCAAATGAAAGGCAAGTTTGAAGGAATGGAGTTGAAATGAAGAATAAGAGGATGACATTTCTTTCATGACTAGTTAATGGAAGGACTCCAAAACTGGCTTCTCCTTACTCATCTCCATCTGTCAAAAATTATACCAAAGGCCTCATCTAATAGTGTTCTTAAACTACTTTGAATTTGAAATGTCACTAGCATAGGAATTAGAGATTTCTCTAAAATTCAGTTTTCATATTTGTTCTTGTATACAAAAAACAACCGCAAGTCTAAATCATGGCATTTTAAAACTAAAAAGAGTTTGAATCCTTAAAATAAATATATATGTTTTATAAATAGTAATGTGATATTTGATTGAATTAATGTAAAAGAAGAACACAAATGCAAAGCCTAAGAAATATTTTTTAAGAAACTGAAAAGGTAAAATAAGCCCAAGTAAAAAGCAATGAAAATAGTTTAAATTAAAATCTGGAAGGAAATGGCTCTATTGTAAGACTTTTAAAAAGATGTAGAACATATTTTAATAAGACATTCATAGTGAATATTTAAAAATTTTAAGGACTCTAAGCAGAAATGGCCTACCTGAAGCTCAGACTAAAAAAAAAAAAAACCTGCTATATAATTATAAATCTGATTCTAATATGCTCTTATTTTATCTACATTAAAATATTCTTATGAAGAGAAGAAAGCTATTATTGTGCTAATTTCACTCTCCTTTCAGAGCACTGAAGCACTCTGGTTATAGACTCTACAGAAATTCTTGGACAAGTAGATTTTTGTGTAAGAAAATTCAAAAGCTAACGATAAAACCATATTATGATCATGAATGATGTAATTAAAATTAATACGCTGTATCGAAGTCACCCCCAAAAGAACTTTTATTTTAATATCTGCTTTTATAATTTCCAATAATTGCAAAGTAATAAATGCGTTCATGTCCAAATTCATTTGGCATGACTTAACACTTAAAATGAAAATGAGAAGGATTTGCAAGTAAACAGTGTGATTATCTTCACTGTATCATGGATAATTTTCCATTAGGTTGGTTGGGACAGCTAATTGTGTACCTGGGTAGAAGAATAAAGTATACAAATAATATTGCTACTGTATTTTAATAAGATGAGCCAATGGCATTTTTACATGTAAGAACATGTTTTTCTTCTGCAAAAGAGGAGAAAATGTTTGGGAAATGTTTTAGTTTAAAGTTAGTATTCTGTGGTAGAAATGAACCCTGGAGGTGCAACAAGAAAACCCAATTTTGACACTAATCTCTGTCATTTATTAAGTGTGTGGTTTTAGTCAAATTAATCACTGGGAGCTCAATTTTCACATCTGTACAATGAGGAGATTGAACCAGAGCATTAATTAAAGACCTTTCAGACCTAATGTATTTATGATGAATATAAATGCTTCTAAAAAATAAAATGGAAATTATCAGTGAATAACTTCACAATAACAAAGGACTACAGATGGCATAGAGTCCATATATAATAAAAATGCAAAAGGAAAAATATGCCTTAATTCCCATATTTGAGAAAATTAAAGAGCAGGCATGACTAAAACCCTGGGACATCAATATGAAATATATAAAGTGCTACAACTTAAAAAAAATACCTTTCTTCTTAACACACTTGCATTCCATATTAAACATAACTTCTACTGAAACATTTTTGGAAGGATTTCAACTATTACCATTTTCAGCATTTAAAAAAATTATTTCATTCTTCTGATTTCAACTTTTTATGTAATTATGAGTTAAGTTACATAACTGAAATAAAGTACATTTTTAGATATTTTATAAAACATTGAATAAAATTTTTTGAAGCTTTTCTTTATGTCTTGGAGCCCAGAAATGTATTTTTTCTTGCCTCAATCTTTTTCATGGCTCTTCAATATCTTCTAGGTACTAGGTACTGGGCGGTGGGTGTATATACTGCCTAAGTGGAAAAAAAAAAAATGACCCTGTAAAATTTCCTCACTTCTTTTTCTTTCTTGAGATGGAGTTTTGCTCTTGTTGGCCAGTCCGGAGTGCGGTAGTGTGATCTCAGATCACTGCAACCTCTGCCTCCCGGGTTCAAGTGATTCTCTTGCCTCGGCCTTCCAACTAGCTGAAATTACAGGTGCCTTCCACTACGCACAGGTACTTTTTGTATTTTAGTAGAGATGGGGTTTCACCATGCTGGCCAGGCTGGTCTCGAACTCCTGACCTCAGGTGATCCACCCGCCCCAGCCTCCCAAAGGTCTGAGATTACAGGTGCAAGCCACCATGCCCGGCCACATTTCTTGAGTGAATAAATTCTAGCCTTGAACATACTTTAATATTTATCCTCAGTCTTGTCCCTTTCACCCTTTGTCTCCTTCATTTTGGAGGTGAGGGTAAAGTTTCTTAGGAGGGACTAACTGTAAACTACAGGGACTGTGTTACTCCATGTGAGTAATGCAGAAAACCTGTTGTTCTGTCAAAGATTTGCTATCCCTCCAAACACCATGCCTGCCACAGAGCAGAGGCTCACTACCTTTGCCTGACACAGTCAGGGCAGGGCAGAAGTGGAAACTTTCTCTTTGCTCCTTCCCACCTTCCATCTCTGGGCAGGGTTTTGATGGAATCATGGCAACTATTCCAATCTTCTTTTCTTTCCCCCCAGAGTGCTGCAACTGTGACTTACTCTTAGATTCTTTTTCCTGGAGGGGCAGCATTGAACTAACAGTAAGTTTAGGAAACATAGAATGTTAATATCCGGGGTAAGAGGAGACAGGAAAGAATGCCTCATGTGTGAGCCTTTTCAACTCAACAGCACCTCTCAGGATAAACCTGGCCAACTCTGTCTGCAAGGTGCAAGATGATGGTGAAAAAGAAAAAGGAAAATAGGATAAGGTTACTGACAAAGAAACTAGGGTGGTCATAATGAATGTGGTCTTAATGGGACAAATTTATTGGAGTCAGATGTGCTTCAGCCACTCACTGTACTTGATAAAGAGGACTTTTTGCCACAGTAAGTCTTGCTCCTGTTTGAACTGTTTGTCTTCAGTCTGGCTTTTATGGAATCACTTTCTCTTTCATTATAGCCCCTGTCTCAGGGATAGAGTTGCCAGCTAAGATACAGGCACCCAGTTAAATTTGAATTTCAGAAAAACAATGAAAAATTTTAGTATATTTCCCAAGTATTACATACATACTTATATATCCTCTATTTGCATTTGCAAAATCTGACATCCCTACTCAGGGATCAGTCAGACTAGCCTGACCCATGACTCTCATAGGTCTTTCTGCTCACTTTCCTAAAAAGCCATATGGAAATTCTATCTCTTGGTTTCCAGTTCCATGCATTTGCTCTAGGCAAGCTAGCACCATATATTGACTTAGTGGTTCCAAGCAAAACATTCTACAAGCCGTCTCAAACAGGCACAAAACTGAGGAGCACAGTAGAGCATTCCACCACTCTCTGAGACCAGCTTCTTGTGGGCCCCACACAGGTAAAGATAAGACCAGACCCACACATGTCAGACCATTGCCAGAAGGTCTGGCTCTACAGAATGCAGACCTTATCTGTGACAAAATAGAGCCAGAGTTTCCTCAGAGGTTGGCACATGCAGAGATCTGATGCTCCTTTAGAAAGGACCCACTGCTGTCTTCAGCCTGGACAAAAGGGCTCAGCAAGGTACTCTACCTTCTGTTAGATAGTGGCTAGTCTATCTAAGTTAAGGTGCCATATTAGGAATTAGAGGGTGAGTCATTGGAATTGGCTGATATTAGTTTCTCAGCAATGGTGCAGGTCCCAGGATTGTAAGGGATGTCCATAGAAGCCATGCGAAACTTCTGTTCTTGCCAGGCCTTCTGCCAATGGCCTGACATATGTGGGACTGGTCTTGCCTTTGTCCTTGTGGGGTCCACAAGCAGCTGGTCTCAGAGAGTGGTGAAATGGACTACTATGCTACTCAGTTTTGTGCCAGCCTGGGATTCTTGTTTGTAGAATGTTTTGCTTGAAACCACAAAAATCAATACATGGTACTAGCCCACCCATACCAAAGAGTAGACGTTTGCCATCATGCCTACAACAGTGTGCTCAGAACCAGGCAAAAGGGCAAATTTAACGTTTTTTTTAAATATATATATATATATATATATATATATATATATATATATATTTATACTTTAAGTTCTAGGGTACATGTGCACAACATGCAGGTTTGTTACATATGTATACATGTGCCATGTTGGTGAGCTGCACCCATTAACTTGTCGTTTACATTAGGTATATCTCCTAATGCTATCCCTCCTCCCTACCCCACCCCACAACAGGCCCCAGTGTGTGATGTTCCCCTTCCTGTGTTCTCATTGTTCAATTCCCACCTATGAGTGAGAACACGTGGTGTTTGGTTTTTTTGTCCTTGCGATAGTTTGGTGAGAATGATGGTTTCCAGCTTCATCCATGTCCCTACAAAGGACATGAACTCATCCTTTTTTATGGCTGCACAGTATTCCATGGTGTATATGTGCCACATTTTCTTAATCCAGTCTATCATTGTTGGACATTTGGGTTGGCTCCAAGTCTTTGCTATTGTGAGTAGTGCCGCAATGAACATACATGTGTATGTGTCTTTATAGAAGCATGATTTATATTCCTTTGGGTATATACCCAGTAATGGGATGGCTGGGTCAAATGGTATTTCTAGTCCTAGATCCCTGAGGAATTGCCACACTGTCTTCCACAATGGTTGAACTAGTTTACAGTCCCACCAGCAGTGTAAAAGTGTTCCTATTTCTCCACATCCTCTCCAGCACCTGTTGTTTCCTGACCTTTTAATGATCACCATTCTAACTGGTGTGAGATGATATCTCATTGTGGTTTTTATATGCATTTCTCTGATGGCCAGTGATGATGAGCATTTTTTCATGTGTCTCTTGGCTGCGTAAATGTCTTCTTTTGAGAAGTGTCTGTTCATATCCTTTGCCCACTTTTTGATGGGGTGGTTTGTTTTTTTCTTGTAAGTTTGTTTGTAGATTCTGGGTATTAGCCCTTTGTCAGATGAGTAGACTGCAAAAATTTTCTCCCATTCTGTAGATTGCCTGTTCACTCTGATGGTAGTTTCTTTTGCTGTGCAGAAGCTCTTTAGTTTCATTAGATCCCATTTGTCAATTTTGGCTTTTGTTGCCACTGTTTTTGGTGTTTTAGACATGAAGTCCTTGCCCATGCCTATGTCCTGAATGGTATTGCCTAGGTTTTCAGATGTTTTATGTCTAGTTCACATGTACTTTTCAGGCTCTTCAGAGAAGACCTAACATAGGGGAAGGACACTGCACTTTTCACTTTCTGAAATACTTTTGTAAAATGAAAATAGGTAAAAGTCTACCTTAATGACACTCTTGAAGGAAAAAGATGTCACAAACAGACCATTGCAGTGAAGGATACGAGTAGAAAGGAGAAAGGGCAGTGCCCACCTTTAAACTTAAAAACAGTGTGAGCCCATTTCTCAGTAGGAATCTCAGTCCTTTTTATCACCGATGTTGGAAGTCAGCTATTCCCACAGTGTCTGTCTCCCTGGGTCATTATGCCTCCTTCTGCAGTTCAGACAGTGTCCCCAAAGTGCACCCTTAAATTTACATTTTTTAGGGAAACTTCTGGTTCTGAACATGTACAAGTCTCACATGTCTATGTTTGTTACCCTTCTCTGGTCACCCTAGAAACACCCATTCTGCTTCCCCAGATAATTCTCCAATGGTTGCCTATTCCACATGATCACTTGTCATCTCAAAACCTAGGAATTGCAGGAATGATCCTTCTAATAAGATTGTGTCTTCACTCAGAAGAATGCATTGCTCCACGGATTAAAGTTGACATAATTCATTAAAGAAGAGTTTGAAGTATTTGAAGAATCAAACTTTTTTTCAAGAAGAAAATGTTTCTCAAAAAGCCAATGGGTTATGATAAAAATTCAAACATATAAAACATTTTGGCTGGGCGCGGTGGCTCACGCCTGTAATCCCAGCACTTTGGGAGGCCGAGGCGGGCGGATCACGAGGTCAGGAGATCGAGACCATCCCGGCTAAAACGGTGAAACCCCGTCTCTACTAAAAATACAAAAAATTAGCTGGGCGTAGTGGCGGGCGCCTGTAGTCCCAGCTACTTGGGAGGCTGAGGCAGGAGAATGGCGTGAACCCGGGAGGCGGAGCTTGCAGTGAGCCGAGATCCCGCCACTGCACTCCAGCCTGGGCGACAGAGCGAGACTCCGTCTCAAAAAAAAAAAAAAAAAAAAAAACATTTTATTGTGAAGCATCTGGTTTAAACTCTGCCAGCTTAATATTCATTAGACATAATTACATTCAAATAACTATTTTCTTTTGTGTGTATCCAGTAAAAGTTTCTCTCTGACATAGAAATTTCATAACTCTATGCTAACAAAGCAACTTCCTACCTGTTGACCAGCAATTTTTGTTTTAATCACTTGATATGGTTTGGCTCTATCCCCACCCAAATATCATCTCGAATTGTAATCCCCACACGTCAGAGGAGGGACATAGTGGGAGGTGATTGGATCATGGGGGTGGCTTCCTCCATGTTGTTCCCATGATAGTGAGTGAGTTCTCATGAGGTCTGATGGTTTGAAAGTGTGTGGCAGTTCCCCCCACTCCACCTGCTTTGCCATGGTAAGACATGCTTGCTTCCCTTTCACTTTCTATCATGATTGTAAATTTCCTGAGGCCTCTCAGCCATGTTTCCTGTTTAGCCTGCAGAACTGTGAGTCACTTAAACTTCTTTTCCTCATAAATTACCCAGTCTCAGGTAGTTCTTTATAGTAGTGTGAAAAAAATACACCACTTTATTCCAAACTCTGCTCAAAATCAACTTTCTCTGTGAAACCCTCCCTTTATTAAGCAGGTTAGAAGGAGGCTAGCCACTGCCCCTTAACCACTCCTATAGAAATTTATCAGACAACACCCTTGCTCATGCACTCACTCATAGGAGTTTGCAAACTTGTCCCTCGCCTCCTTCACAAAGCACACCAGAGCAAAATAGCTGCAGATGGAGCTTCAAGAGCAATGTGTCCCCTATACACAGCTCCTGATTCTTTAGAATGAAATGGGTCTAACGTTTTAGTGGGGATTACTTGGTTGAAAGTAGGAAAGACTAAGTTTGTCTAATCTAAGCCAAAAGGGAAATTACTGAAAAAAAATTGAAGGGCTTAACTGGGAAACCCAAAGAAGAAATTTGGAAGCACAAAAATCAAGGCAGCAAGAACTGCCTGAGAGTCTTGTTAGACTCTCCCTCGGCAGCCTTTGCTTCACTCTGCTCCTCATTCCATTTCCAAGAAGAACCCACAGAAATACAAAAGATCATTGAAGACTACTATGAACACCTTTATGCATGTAAACTAGAAAACCTAGAAGAGATAGATAAATTCCTGGAAAGATGCAATCCTCCTAGCTTAAATCAGGAAGAATTTCCACTGGTCCTTGCTGAACTACTGGCCCCTCTACCTCCTTGTCATAGGAAACACAGGGCAATCTATCAGCAATCCCCCTGGGCTGCACCCTCATGGTGGAGAGGGATTTACTCACATCAAAATGAGGATGCTACGGACAAAAGATGAAGGACTGTTTCAGGTAAGCAAAAATATCAGCTAATCATCCCCATACATTTTATTGGAGATAGTAGCATAGGTACCTCTAGAAGTCCCTTAGGATACATGTTGCAATAACAGGCAACATAATAAAGGAGAAAGTGCTTGAGCAGTGGAGGCAGAACCACCTGATTTACCACTTAGCAGCTGAGTGGCCAGTCCTTTCTGAGCCTCCATTTTTCTCACGGGTAACATAGACCTACCACATGAGGTGATTGTGGGGATTGTATTAGATAATACATAAGAAATACTTTGTTCAGTATCTGACATACAGTGGGCATTCTAAATACTAGTAGTTTTACTTACTTTGGTCAGTGGCATTCTTCCCCAGCAATTCTAAACATAACACTGGAGCTTGTGGTTGCTTTTAGGCAAATATTGTCTCTTTGGAAAGCCTGAACCACTTAATAGATGTCATCCCCATTTAAAGTCCTTGGTGCCTTCAGTAATTAATATTTTCTTGATCTTTTCCTAACTCTTCTATTTAATTATTGTATCTTTCATTTTATTGTTTTATTTCACCTTTGCTGTGCATTTTTAAAAATATTTTAACCTATTTCGCCAATACCACTGCTACACCTCCCACTTTCCCTGCCATGTCCCTGCACTTCCTCTGTGTATCCACATCAGCAAAGAGCACCCTCATCTATCCAATTGCTTACTAGGACTTGTGGTTATCCTACTTATCCTGACATATTTTCCTCACTATCTTGCATGGAGTCTATCAATAGCCAGGTCCTGTGGATTCTGTCTCCCAAATATTTCTTTTTTAAAAAAACTAATTTCAGTATGTATTAAAAATTTCCACAAGACATGTCATCTTTTCAAAACAAAGTAATAACTTTTAACAACAACAGACCCCAAAAATCAAAGTAAAGCTAGTTGACAATATTTTTATATCCATTTGTTCTTTAGGAATACAGAAATTTTATATACATAAAATTTAACTGTATATTTAATATTACCTCTAATTTCTTTTTTTTAATTTCCATAGGTTATTGGGGAACAGGTGTTGTTTGGTTACAAACACAAAGCTGGCTTTTTGGAAGGATAAATAAAATCAACAGACCATTGCAACGTTAACCAAGAAAATAAGAGAGAAAATCCAAATAAGCTCAATCAGAAATGAAACAGGAGATATCATAACTGACACCACAGAAATACAAAAGATCATTCAAGGCTACTATGAACACCTTTATGCAAATAAACTAGAAAACCTAGAAGAGATAGATAAATTCCTGGAAAGATACAATCCTCCTAGTTTAAATTAGGAAGAACAAGATACCCTGAACAGACCAATAACAAGCAGTGAGTTTGAAATGGTAATTAAAATTTTACCAACAAAAAAAGTCCAGGACGAAAGAGATTCACAGCAGAATTCTCCCAGACATCCGAAGGAGAATTGGTACCAATCCTACTGACACTATTCCACAAGACAGAGAAAGAGAGACCCTCCCTGAATGATTATATGAAGCCAGTATCACCCTAATACCAAAACCAGGAAGGGACATAACCAAAAAAGAAAACTACAGACCAATATCCCTGATGAACCTAGATGCTAAAATCCTTAACACAATGCTAGCTAACCGAATCCAACAACATATCAAAAAGATAATCCATCATGATCAAGTGGGTTTCATACCAAGGATGCAGGGATGGTTTAATAGATGCAAGTCAATAAATGTGATACACACATAAACAGAATTAAAAATAACAATCACATGATCATCTCTATAGATGCAGAAAAAAACATTCAACAAAATCCAGCATCCCTTATGATTAAAACCCTCAGCAAAATCAGTATACAAGGGACATACCTCAATAGAATAAAAGCTATTTATGACAAACCCACAGCATAATACTGAATGAGGAAAAACTCAAAGCATTTCCCCCGGGGATTGGAACAAGACAGGATGTCCACTCTCATCACTCCTCTTCAACACAGTACTGGAAGTCCTAGCCAGAGCAATCAGACGAGATAAAAAAATAAAGGGCATCCAAATTGGTAAAGAGAAAGTCAAACTGTCACTGTTTGCTGATGATATGATTGTTTACCTAGAAAACCCTAAGGATTCCCCCAGAAAGCCCCTAGAACTTAGATAAAAGAATTCAGCAAAGTTTCCAGATATAAAATTAATGTACACAAATCAGTAGCTTTTCTCTACACTAACAGCGACCAAGCTGAGAATGGAATCAAGAACTCAACCCCTTTTACAATAGCTGCAAAAAAAAAAAAAAAAAAACCACTTAGGAATATACCTAACCAAGGAGGTGAAAGACCTCTACAAAGAAAACTACAAAACACTGCTGAAAGAAATCATAGATGACACAAACAAATGGAAACCAAATATTTCTTGATCTATCAACTTTTTTCCTCATCTGCCACCAGCATCCCAAACACCATTGTCTCTTAAATGGGCTTCTGCAGTAGCTTTTGAATCAATTTCCTTATATCTACTTCGGCTCTCCTCCGATCGTTTTTTTCACATAATAGTCAAAATGACTTTATTAAACTGCAAAACCCTTCTCATTTTCCCCTGTTAGGAACCCATCTGGTGGCTTTTCTTTCCTTGTAGGCTCAGGACTAGGACCCATGACGTGGCAGCCAGACTCCATGTGTTCTGGATTCTCCCTACTCTAGTAGCTTCATTAGCACTTTTTCCTGGTGCTCACAACTCTGCAGGCTGGTCTGTTTCCTGGAGGTTTCTCCTCATCCTTCCCACATTGGAGGCTTCATGCTTCCAGTTGCTTCTGCCTTGAATGTTCATTCTCCAGCTAATTTTTGCCCACCCTATAGGTCCTAGCTTAGATGTTAGTTTCTTAGGGAACCCCTCCCTAATCCCCCCGTCTGAATTAGATTTTACTGCTAACTGCACTCTATACTCCTTCACAGCACTCCTTGGGATTTTTAATATAGAATAATTTGCGTAATTTGTCAGTTTGTTTATTGTTTATCATACCCATCAGGGAGCAGGCTCCTCGGGAACAGGAACTAGCTGATGCTCAAAAATATTTAATACATAAATGACTGATTATATAAACAAATATTTTCACTAGACATATATAAGGCAGCAGTTGTGAGCATGGGCAAATTAAACCAATTTAAATTAGAGTATTTTTTATCTAAAAATTGTTCTCTGCATTCACCAGATGTTTAGCTATAATGATGTTTATTCTTGTTCTTTATGCGTATTTATTTATTCATTTATTTACTTATTTATTGAGACAGAGTTTTTCTCTGTCACCCAGGATGGGGTGCAGTGGTGTGATCTTGGCTCATTGCAACCTCCATCTCTTGGGTTTGATTGATTCTCGTGCCTCAGCCTCCCAAGTAGCTGGGATTACAGGCGCCCACCACCACGCCTGGCTAACTTTTTTGTGTGTGTGTATTTTTAGTAGAGATGGAGTTGCACCATATTGGCCAGGCTGCTCTCAAACTCGCTACTTCAGGTGATCTGCCCACCTCGGCCTCCCAAAGTGCTGGGATTACAGGCATGAGCCACCACGCCTGGCCCTTTTATACCTTTATGTTCATCATTTTCAGATAATACATGAGATTGTTTTCCTTTCTGTGTTTTTTTTTAATTTATTTGCTCATTTTTATTTTATTGCTTCATATATTTGGTATAGGATCACCACCAAAAATGAGAAATGTTTTTATTTAAAAAATTAGAAAACACTCTTTAGGTTTTTAGTATATGCAATTATTTGTATTAATATTATTAGCAGCTAATATTTATTGAGGACTAAATATATATATCAGTCACCATGCCAAGCACTTCATAGGCATTTATGCTTCCCAGTCATCCCAGAAGTAAGGAACTTTTACTATTATTCTCATTTTACAGATGAACAAAAGAGGACTTAGGGAAGTTCAAAAGTTTTTAAAGGTGATGTATCTGTTTTTCAGAACAGGCCCTTGATCTCAGTCTTCTCAAACTTTAGCCCAAGTTTTTAACCACTCTGCTACACTTAAAGTGCAACTTAATATCTACAGCTTATTATGAAGTTAATCTCTCCAGTATTTTCCTTTAAAAATATCCCTGGGCATTGTTAGGGCCCATACATAAAGAACGTAAAATACTTACAAATATAAAATGCAAGGGTGAGGATAATAGTGGCTACTCTCTGTAGAGGGCTTCAACGGTCCTGTGTACCGTCTGGAGTGTTTCACATGTATTATCTCGTTTAATCCTCATAAAAGAAATCTGCTAGGCCTCATTATTCCCCATTAAGGATGTGAGAAAAGGTTTGTCAAAGTTAGTTAAATCATCTGAAGTCCCATGTTATTTAAAGGCATAAACTCAAAGTGGAAGCCGTGTACTTCTGATTCCCTGTTTCAAGGGTCAAACTCCCAACTGGTCTAAAACACGCTCCCTCTGCCCGCACTCCTACCATCCACCGCACCCATTCCCACAATTGTCCTGCTGACCCCAGCCAGCCATCATTCCCTCTGACTCCAGATCGGGCTCCAGGACTCATTGGTATTCTCAGGAGCACTGCAGAGCAGAGTAAATCATAGCATGTAGTCATACAGGGCCAGACATATTTGCCACCTTTAAAACACCTCAGAGGGTTGCTTCCATGGATGTCTTTTTAAGTCACATGTTTGTCCATGGAATTGGAACAATCGTGATTCTCTGAAAACGCCCAGGATTTTAGTCCTTCCTTCTGAGAAAGAATTCTTGTTGAAAGACACCCATTTTAATTACCCAGTAACGTTTTCCACTTAATTGTTGGAAGATTGTAAATCTCTGAATTTTAAAAGCTCAGGTAGTCAAAGGATGTAATTGTCTGCTACCACCATAAACACAGTTTATTACTTACTCTGTTATGATACTAAGCCCTGCTGTCTTTCAATCTTAAGATCAAAACACTATACACGTTTTTATTATTCTTTCAGAGCGTTATCATATCTATATGTGGTATGTGTGTATGTATGTGTACACATATAACATATATGTGTATGTGTATATGTTGGCATGTATGTGCATTTTTGTATGTTTATATGTATATATAAGTGTATATATATGAAATATATAATATATAAAGTATATCTCTTTTTTCTCAAAAGACTTCCATTTATTTATTTATTTATTTTGCTTTATCCAAGTTTGTTTGTTTAACTGGTCACAGGTAAAAGTTTTCTTTATGGGCCAGGCGCAGTGGCTCACACCTGTAATCCCAGCACTTTGGGAGGCCGAGGCAGGTGGATCACCTGAGGTCCGGAGTTCAAGACCAGCTGGGCCACTATGGTGAAACCCTGTCTCTACTAAAAATAAAAAATTAGCCAGGTGTGGTGGCATGCGCCTGTAGTCCCAGCTACTTGGAAGGCTGAGGTAGGAGAATCTCCTGAGCCCAGGAAGTGGATGTTGCAGTGAGCCGAGATCACGCCACTGTACCCCAGCCTGGGAGACAGAGTGAGACTCCATCTCAAAAAAAAAAAAAAAAAAAAAAATTCTTTAGGGTTGGCTGTCATTCAGTTCTCATCTGTCTTTGCTACCTATGATGCCAGGTCTCTAAATCCAAAGTTTGTCGGTGACTTCATGGGGGTAGTTTGAGTTGGTGGAGATGTGAGAGAAAGGTGGTGTTGTTACTTAAAAGGAATCATAAAATATGTTCCCCTGAAATTCAACTTAGAATACTCCCCCTCCCTCCCTGCACACCATCATTTCAGGACCCTCCATTTATAGAGCTCAGTTTTTGTTGTAAAAACCATATTAAATGTCCAGTGTGCTTCACTTAATACAAGAGGCTTAGTTTTCTAATGCAGGAAATTCACTACGCTTATACTGTCTGTGACCTAAATTATAATAATCACACTATACTTTATTTACCAGTCAGTCTACTTGCTTGCATGGATGACTATATAACATAAATCCTTATTCAACTTTTATTGTGTTTCTTTCTGCAGCTTTGAAACAACTTTAAAAGGACCCTAGATTCTAGTATTTATCCTAGTATTTGGGTTTAAATAACAGAGCAAGTTTATTTTCTCTCTCTAAAAATGCCACCATTTCCTTTCCATCCAGACTGTTCAGAAACAATCTTTCCCAGTGGGACCCCAACAGGAATCAATTGCTTAGGAACCAGGGTTTCTAAGCAAGTTTTGCAAAATGTTCCCATTCAGCCCAGGCCTTTAGAGACAGCTCTCACCCCTCTGTGCTCTGAGAGCTGCCTTCCCTTGCATAACCCCTAGGGTGCCAGAGCTCCCTGGCTGGCATTTGGTCCACACCAGATATCAGAGTCCCTTTCAATCTTCTTGAGGAACTGTGAACTCCTTTATTCTACCTATTGTGTGAAGCAACAAACGTCTATACAACTTTCTCATTAGCACTTGGCCAGGTGGCACAGAAACACTGGTGGTCAGATAGCCAGACTGAGACAGGCTGTCTGCCATGAACACTGGGGACTCCTTAGGCTGTGCTGCTGATCGTCCATAGATCAATTAACCCCCCTTATAGAAATCAGGGGAAGAGCAGATGAAGGGGAATGTACCCATAGCAGGAGTGGAATTGGAGGCTCCCCCTCCCTAGTGAGGAGAATGAAAACATTAAAAAGTGTAGGTACACACCATGGGTTGAAAGATTCCTGGCCAGGCCTGTGCTAAGAACTGTCATCCATGATCTCGTTTAATCCTCTCAACAAGCACACAAAGAGGTAGTACTATTACTACTATCCCCAGGTAGTCAGGTAGTCATATGAACAAAATATGAACTATATGTCATAATTATCCACAGCTTTACAGGTAGAGAAACTACAGATAAGGAAAATTTAGTAACTTTCCCATGCAGACAATTCGTGCTGACTACATGAAATCCAATGCAAACCCAAGCAGTCTATTCTGGAGCTCACACTGTGGACCACAACACTATAGCTCTGTCAAGTGGCATGCTTAAATGGAACAGCTAGATAGTCATAGGCCTTGAGGTGAAACTGAGGACTTCAATCTGTCAGTGGAGTGTTTTCTCAACTTGCCCTGTGGTCGGCCACTTCTAAGATGGCTCCCAATGATCCGTGACTCCTAATGTTCACATTCTTGTGTAATTTCCCTCCTCTGAGCATAGACCAGACTAGGGATTCCCTTCTAATGAATGGAATGTAGCAAGAGTGATGGGATGTCACTTCCAAGATTAGATCGCAAAAGACTCTGACTGCCATCTTGTTGCACTTGTTCTGCCTGGCTCTTCTTGCCTGCTTTGATGTAACCAACTGTCATGCCATGAACACCCTATGGAGAGGCCCACATGGCAAAGAACGGAGGGCAGTGTGCAGCCAGCAGCCAGTGAGGAACGGAGGTGCTTGGCCCCACAACCCAGCAGGGAATTGAATCCTGTCAGCAATTGTATGAGTGAGCATGGAAGTGGATTCTTCAGACTTCAGTCAGGTCTGGAGATGACAGCAGCCCCATCAACATCTTGATTACAGCCTTGTAAGAGACCCTGAGCCAGAGGCCCCAGTTAACCTGTGTCCAGATTCCTGACCTGAAATTATGAGATAATAAATATTGTTGTTTTAAGCCACTAAATTTTAGGGTAATTTGTTATTCAGCAAAAGATAACTGATGTGTGCCTCTTTGGTTTACCTAGAAAAATAACTCATATTAAACTCAAGATTTTATTAAGCAGCCAAAGAATCCATTGAGAATCACTAAATTCCTACTTTGAAATAAAAACTATGTATCTAATATTTAGTATTACCTGGATACTTACTGTATGCCAAACACATTGTTAAATTATTACTAATTTAAATAATTACAAATACAGTCATCCTTCAGTATCCTTGGGGAATTGGTTCTAGCACCTACAGATACCAAAATCCGGGATATTCAAGACCAGCAGTCAGCTTTGCAGAACCCATTGAAATGAAAAGTTTGTTCTTCATATACATGGGTTTCATATCCTGTGAGTACTGTATTTTTGACCTGTGTTTGGTTGCAGATGTGAAACCTGCCTATATGGCGGGCCAATTGTATTTATTGAAAAAATTCCCTGTATAAGTAGACCCATGCAGTTCAAAACCCAGTTGTTTAAGGGTCAACTGTATTGACATTTAATCTTCATGCCTCTGTGAAGTCAATTTTTAATTAGAAATGATTATATTCATCAAATTATAAGTATTTAATAATGATTTTTAATGTCCATTTCCAGTTGTCTGATTAATCAATTGTTTAAGCTCTTCCTATCTCTATTTTTATTTAGATCTTGCCTGGGTTCTCGGTCTCCCTGTGTTATCCAAGCTTGCTAAAGGTATTTTTGGTGTACACTCACTGTTCTGATCTTATGCTTTGAGATTTCTTATATTTAGAACAGGAGCAACATCACATTAAGGAAATGGTCAGTCTCTGCTTTGATGAGTGCACATAGTGCTTTAGATACAGAATCTACAGCTTACTTTTTGGGATATCAGCTGCCCAAATGATTGCTGCTTCAGGTCATTTATTACTGGGGACTGAGCTTCCTTTTACTGGTTTTATGACCCTTTCAGGTTTTTACTACTTCAATTCTGAATCTTCTATGCTTCTGAATAATGGAGCAACAAGGATGAGTGGGTGCAAACTTTTTCTTCTTTAGAATAAAAATTAGAATAAAATTGGACCCCCTACCCCACATCGCAGTAGTGGGCATAGCATCTTATCATTAACACACAAACCCCACCTGGTTGCATCAGATCGCGTTGTTCCTGCTTAAGTACTTGCTGCTCACTATAAACCCAAAGTGAATCAGTCACACTGAGTATGGCAGTTTCATTCATTGCTTGTTAAAGTCTCTAATAGGTGCAGAAAGGTACCTGTGTTGGAGAAGGTGTGCCACCATCAAGATCCTCATATGCTCAGTCTCCTAGGTTCTTCAAGGCAGTACAGACTGTGCACTCAGGATTTTCACACCAAGAGCAGAACTGAATAAGCTACATGGCATTTCTATTATTTGGGAAAAACAGTATATATTCAACACTGTGATGGTTAATTTTAAGAGTCAACTTGAATAGGCTAAGGGATGCCCAGAATGCTGGTAAAACGATATTTCTTGGTGTGTCTCTGAGGCTATTTCCGGAAGATATTAGCATTTGAATTGGCAAACTGAGTAAAGCAGACAGCCCTCCCCAATGTGGATGTATACCATTCAATCCATGGAGGGTCTAAATAGAATAAAAAGGCAGAAAAGTGAATTCATTCTCTCTCCTTGAGCTGAGATGTTCATTTTCTCCTGCCCTTGGACATCAGTATTCCTAGTTTTGGGACATCCAGACTCAGACAGGGACTTATACCACCAGCCTTCCAATTCAAAGGCCTTTAGACTCAAACTGAATTACACCATTGGTTTTCTTGGTTCTCCAGCCTGCAGAAGGCAGATCATGAGACTTCTTGACCACCATTACTACTGAGCCAATTCCTTTAACAAATCTCTTTGTATATATTATCGGTTCTGTTTCTCTGTAGAACCCTAACACAAACACATATGCATTTCATTTGCCCAGTGCAGTCTAGAGATAAACTTTCAGTCCCTTTACATTGTATAATAAAAAAGGATTTAAAAATTGGTGTTTAGTTTTTTTCTCCTTAGATAAACATTTCTAACATAATTGCTGAGCTCCTTAGATTCCATTCCATTTATTTTTTCTGTATGAGTTTTATTGAAGTTCTGTTTAAGTTCAGGCACCAGGCCACTGAAAAGCATAGAGCATTTAGGCATTAACAATTTCTTTAAGGCATGCATGCCAGATAACTATTTGTGTGTTTTAACATTAAACTCTCTTTCTTCCCCTTAACCCTTGCAATGAAAAACTTGATTTCTGAAGGGATTGATTGAAGATGAGAATTCCTCTTTCTTGGGGTTCTCTGAAAGGCTGTTCTCAAAACCACCTGTGGATGAAGAAACAATGGCTTTGGCATTATCATTGAAAAAGAGAGCCTTGCATTTTTGCACTCTGGGGCTATGTTGAAACCCCAACCAGATTGTTACACAAAATGAATGGCTTGATTTTCTAGCAATCAGTTTGGATTACTAAAAAAAAGTACATACATACATATACATACAAAATACATGGTTCTTGCATGGCAAGCAAATTGTAAAATGACCACTCTTTGGGAATGTGTGAACCACTTTAGTTTCCTCAAGGTTTGGGGAAAGGGGTATGAGGGAAGAGGAAGAATGAAGGAAGACTCAAGTGTTGTAACCACCCAATGGGTTCACCTTGCTCTCTGCCTAGACAGGGCCGATTTATCAAGACAGCGGAATTGTAATGGAGAAAGAGTAATTCATGCAGAGCTGGCTGTGTGGGAGAATGGAGTTTTTTTATTCCTCAAATCAGTCTCTCTGAGCATTCACGGATAGGAGTTTTAGGGATAACTTGGTGGATGCGAGGCAGCCAGTGAGTCAGGAGTGCTGATGGTTGTGTCGGAGATGAAATCATAGGGAGGTGAAGCTATCTTACACTGAGTTAGTTCCTAGGTGGGGTCCACAAGATCAGATGAGCCAGTTTATCCATCTGGGTGGTGCCAGCTGATCCATCAAGTGCAGGGTCTGTAAAATATCTCAAGCCCTGATCTTAGGCTTTACAATAGCCATGTTATCCCCAGGAGTAATTTAAGAAGGGTCAGAATCTTGTAGTCTCCAGCTATATGACTTCTAAACCATAATTTCTAATCTTGTGGCTAATTTGTTAGTCTTACAAAGGCAGTCTAGTCCCCAGGCAAGAAGCGCGTTTGTGTTGGGAAGGGCTGTTATCATCTCTGTTTTTAACTATACACTAAGTTCCTCCCGAAGTCAGTTCAGCCCACACCCAAGAATGAACAAGGACAGCTTGGAGGTTAAAAGTAAGATGGAGTTGGTTAGGTCAGATCTTTTTCAGTGTCTCAGTTACAATTTTGCAATGGAGGTTTCAGTGTTGGCATGTGATGGGTGGAGCCATTCACAGAGACAGGAAATCCACATGTCAGTTTTCAGTGAAAAATAGTGGGTTTCTCTGTGGATGTGTTGAATTGGAGGTGCCTGACAGACCTCTGGTTGGAAATGTCTAGCTGGCAGTTAAATATATTTGTCTGGAGTTCAGGCAAATGGTCAGGATTTGGAGTTTGTAGGAAATGGAGGGATTTGAAGTAATGAGAATGTAAATGTTTATAGATTGATTTGTTGCTATTTTTAGAAAAGGACACTTAAAGCTACAAAAGCCATATGAAAAAAATGCTTTTGGTATCAATATCTGTTAAAGAGTTTCGTGTCCATAAGCTCAACTGTATGTGACTTAATCCTTTAAAAATATTTATTTGGCTCTTACAAAAAGTGTCATCTTACTACCATGAGATTATTTAGCCACCAGGGAGAAGCTTACTCAGTTTCCAGGTGTAGATAATTAACCCTTTACATTGAATACATGTTCATCCCAATAGTCACGATTCTATACTTCTACTGAAACAACTATAAGTTAAAATCTGGAATTATTCTATTTATTTATAAGCTTTTTTTAAAAAAAATACACAGCAGGCATAAAATACATTGCTTTAAAGCATTTGCTTAGCTCACAACAGCACCTTTTAAAAATAATTTTTAAGGACATCTGTAATAGTTATCTATTGCTGTAATAATGTCACAGAACAAAGAGCCACAAAACATTAGTGGCAAACAGCCATTAATTTGTGCTCACATGTCTGGGGACAGTGGAATTTTTACTAGGTGGCTGTGCTGATCTGGTGAGCTTACTTACATGTCTGGATGTCACCCGGCTGTCACCTGGGGCAGCTGGGGTTGCTCTGCTCTATATGCCTCTTATCCTTCAGCAAGCTAGCCCTAGCATATTTTCATGGCAGTATCAGAGGCACAAGGGAGAAAGCTTGAATTTAATCCCATTTCCAGCCTCTGCTTGCATCCTATCTATGAATGTTCCATTAGCCAGAGCAAGTCATGTGGTTAAACCCAGTGAAAAAAGGTGGCATCCCATCCACAGTGAGAAGATACTGCAAAGTTGCATGGCAGAAGGTGTGGGTACAGGGGAGAGAAATTGGGCTCACATTGCTGTCTACCATGACAGAATGACTCCTGCTGTCTACTATGACAGAATGGCTCCCGTACACAATAGTGAGTCCCGGAAGCCACAAGTCAACCATGTTTCTCCTACAGTCTACTCTTGACTAATCAGGTCAGGGCAATCAGTATCCAAAGTTAAGAATCTAAGAATGTAGAGATGCAAACCAGTCTCTCCATTTGAAATCAGAATTCATATTACAGTTCCCTTATAAGCTCAGGCTTTTTCTATAGTTGAAGAAATATTTATACTGTATTGTCCTTAATAAAGCATACAAAGAGAACCCTTTTCATAAATAAATAAGCATATTCACCTATTTGCTCAGTATTTTCCATCTATCATCTTTATTGTGCATGCACTAAAAATATTAAAACATGACCTCTGCTCTCAATATGTCTAGAAAAAAATGAGAAACACGTCACATATAATGCAAGGTGATATGTGACTATAATCAGATTCAATCTAAATTCTACAGGATTTTGTTAGACTAAAGAAAGAAATAAAATGTTTTTCATCCTGTGTCAGTTGCTCTATATTTTCTGTCTCTTGCATATCAACAAATATATAAAGTATGTCTTTTTATACCTATTTGATAACTAAGGAACTGGGGCCTACACTCTTTATGAAACTTTCTTAAAATTTACTTATTTACTGAAGACCTAAGCTGAGATTTGAAACTGAATCTTGCTAAACTCAGAACCCAGGTATTTTTTTATTAAACTTAACTGCCTCTTTATGCTAGGAATCCTTTCCCCATTGTTTAACATCATTATAGTGATTCATTATGAAATTTTGATATGAGATTAGCTTTTTAATAGAAAGAAAAGAAAAAAAGCTATTTCATAATACATCGATTTTATATTGTTAAATTTTTAAATGGAAATAAGATTTTCACCCAGTTCTGACTACGTGAAATACTTTAAACTAATCTTTTTATTTCATTAC
The DNA here is from genome assembly GCF_000001405.40 of Homo sapiens. Classification (NCBI taxonomy): domain Eukaryota; kingdom Metazoa; phylum Chordata; class Mammalia; order Primates; family Hominidae; genus Homo; species Homo sapiens. The sequence goes on along the minus strand of NC_000002.12, from coordinate 221,011,695 downwards.
ATAGAATTCTATTTCAATTGCCAGTACATATTCAACATTTTTAGTAGCATAAACGGGGTATCTGTTACATCTTTAATATTTTGCTGATGAAATGAAAGTCTTCCAAGCATCTATAATAAATTCTATGGTCTCTACCCTGTGAGACCAATTAATTGGTACAACATAAACATTTAAGGAAATGAAGCACCATTGGCAAACATGAACTCTTTCACAAAAAGCTTCCAAATGACTTAGAAATAGGCATCATGAATTTAATCAGGCAAGACATATGTTTAAATAATGTGAATATTACTTGTCCAGTAAATGTATAAAGAAGAAACTTGCTTAAATGTATAATTTAGTATATTAATTATTAAACGTGGTCATTAACTCATTATTAATATAGTTATTAAAAATTAACATATGATATCTGTTGAAACTTTTGAACATTTAATCCTAAGGCAAAATAGTAAACAATCATATTAGATACTTTTGCTCTAAAATAATAAATGTTTTCAAATCAAGTGTCAAATACATAATGTATTTTAAACCAACATGTTTTAATACACTTTAGCAAGTAGTTCAGCTTCCAAACTTTTAAATTTGTCAAAATTTATGATTTTCCAAATCTGGACAGAAAAATTACAATGAATATCCTTGCTGGCTTTTTAGACCTGATGCATAGATAAAGTATAGATGCTAGACTTCCCCTTTATTAGCTTTATAGATAAATATATTTTTCTTAAGACATTTATATAAAAAAAATAGGCTCTATAATACTCCATTCTCATACTGCTACAAATAAATACATAAGACTGGGTAATTTATTTTAAAAATACTTTTAATTGGCTCAAAGTTCAGCAAGCTGTACAGGAAGCATGGCTGGGGAGGCCTCAAGAAACTTACAATCATGCCTGAAGGAGAAAGGTAAGCAGGCATGTCTTACATGGCGGGAGCAGGAGGAAGAGAGAGAGGAGAGGGGAGGTGCCACGCATCTTAAAACATCCAGATTTGTAAAAACGGTACTGTATTAGGGTTCTCTAAAGGGACAGAATAGGATAAAAGAATATATGAAGGGGAGTTTATTAGAATTGACTCACACGATCACCAGGTGAAGTCCCACAATAGGCTGTCTAAAAGCTGAGGAGCCAGGAACCCAGTCCGAGTCTCAAAACCTCAAAAGTATGGAAGCTGGTAGTTCAGCCTTCAGTCTGTGGCCAAAGGCCCGAGAGCCCCTGGCAAACCACTGGCGTAAGTCCAGTCCAAAAGCTGAAGAACATGGAGTCTGATGTTGGAGGGCAGGAAGCATCCAGCACGGGAGAAAGATGGAGGCAAGAAGACTTACCTAGTCTAGTCCTTCCACATTCTTCTGCCTGCTTTTATTCTAGCAGCACTGCAGCTGATTAGATTGTGCCCACCCAGATTGAAGGTGGGTCTGTCTTTCCGAGGCCACTGATTTAAATGTTAATCTCCTTTGGCAACATCCTCACAGACACACCCAGCATCCTTCAATCCGAACAAGTGGGCACTCAGTGTTAATCATCGCAAGCACCAAAGGGGGAAATCCGGCCCCATGATCCAATTGCCTTCCGCCAGGCTCCACATCCAACACTGGGGATTACGATTTGACATGAGATTTGGGTGGGGACACAAATCAAAACCATATTAGGCTCTTAAATCTGTATCACTACAGACATAGTGAAATATCTTAAAGATGCCAAATCTCAGCTGCCCATAACAAAATAATATGCTTTAAGACTGGCATATTTGAATAATATACCTCCTGGGGGCAGGACCACTAAAATTCTCACAGAAATTTAAGTCAGAAAACTATGTTTTGAAATTTTGCTCTTCTACCTTTAAATCTGGCTCTATATTCAAATTATGTGAGACATTTTTTAGACACATCAATTACCAGTGCCTCAGCCCAAGATGCTGAATTAATTGGTAGGGCTTGGACTGCTTTGTCAAAGTACTTCTAGGAGGTGATTCCAGGTTCACAGCTAGTTTGAGAAACAGAACACTAAAAAGAGGTCAAGTTGCTGAGTCTACATCCTCACCTAAAAAGTGAGGTTACATTGATTATTGCCTAACCAATCTTTTAGGATGTGTAAGACACTCAAATGAGATTTATACATGTGTTTTTTCAGCTTTCAGTGCCAGACCTTTAGCTCTGTTAAATTTCTGTTAGTGAATGAAATGGTATTCTGCAAGAGTTTGTAGTGTGTATGGGGATGGATGCGGGGAGTAGGGGTGGAGACAAAGCATGAGAGAAAGAGAGATTTATCAATTTGGATATCATTTCTTTCTGGTGGATTTGTCGTATTTTTCATGTAGGCCAAAATTGTATTAATGGGTTTTTTAAAACCAGGCTTTATATATAAGATTCATGTTTCTCTGGTTAGTATAGGTGAACTAATTTTATCTCTATATAAGCACCTGCTGTGATAAATTTTGTTTTTTGTGTCTCTATTTACAAATTCATTCACATTTCTACTCTCTCTTAAATATGTTTATTAGAGAATCATTTCAGAATATAAAAAACAGTATGTGCTAACAGATAATAAGCTAGAAAATATAGAAATATAGCAAAAGAAAAATAAATCAGCCATGATCCAAAGAAAAATCACTGTTGACTCTTGATTTGCTCAATTTCTCCATTTATTTTGTATTTTTAACATTTGTATGCATACATTCTATTAGAAGATGCTAACATTTAGTCTGTTACATATTTTGCAATTGTCTTCTGATTTTGTTGTCTGCTTATCTCCATCTCTTTATTTAGGTATATGCTATTTAAAATTTTTTGTAATCAAAGAAATTGACAATGGTGCTGATTTATTTTATTGCTTTCATGCCTGTATAGTGGTTCCTTGACCCAATGTTAGACACATACTTACTATATTTTTTATTTTGCTTGTGGTTTTTTTAGTTGGTTCACTGATACATTGTTCCCCAATATATGGTCCATGTATAAAGGATAAATATAATTTCAGACAGCACAGGCTCATGGTTAAATTTCCCTGAATGATATAGAGCTACATTTCTCCTTTTCTAGTTTTCTTTTAAATCTTGCAGTTAAATCAAGAAAAATGTCTAAGATTAAGTTTAGTGTGTCTCTGAAACTTTTAAAAACACTTGTTAATCTCCTTTAAACAACAAACAAACAAAAGGAGGCTCTGGGCTCAAAGCCAGGTGACAGTATCAAGCTCGCATTAAGAAATATTGCTTCATGTGTGTTGAATTTATGTTTACAAGCACTCTCTATTTTTGGTAAATCCTATACGTTTTCCATTTTTGCTAACGATATAAAGCTTCTTGTGAAAATGAATGTATTTAAATTTTAAAAACCCATTAATATAAAAAAATAAGTGAAGAGGCATAGCAGTAATATAAAATAGCAGAGTGACTAAATGCAACCAAGTGGCCTGGATTTCCATCCTTGTTGTGATATATTTTTGGCAAATGCCCCGGGTGTGTTACTTCATCTGGCTGAGACTCCAGGCCGTCACCTGTAAAATGGGAACAATCATGTAGCTATCATATAATTTGGTTGACAGAATTAAATTATTTTCCGTAAAGCATTTCTAAAAGTACTCAATAAATAATATTATTAAACATCATCCCTATTAGGATAAGTGAAACCTATTTTAATCCATCTGTAGTTTATTTCTGAGATTAAGGCAATCATTCTCAAACTGGCTGTGTTTCAGAATTATCAGAAGAGTTAACAAAGACCACTGAGCCCAGGCTTGTTGAAGTAGAACTGGGCCTGAACGTTGACATTTTTACCAATTTCCTTAAGTGATTTTGATGCCCACAAAAGCTTGGGAACCACTAAAAATCTATCAAAACTATTGTAAAATTTTTAGCTAGTTATTACATTGTTTTCCTAGGCTGTTGCCCTCTGTTGCTGTCAGATACAGTCCTGGGAGTATAGAAAGAAGCAAATAAATATTTGTGTAAGGAATAAATGAGTGAACAAATACATAACTAAATTAGTACAGATGATTATCAAACTAAAGCCCTGTTGGAGCTTACCATTGCTAGATCTGGAATAATTCAAAGTAACCACACAGAGAAGAGCCAGTTTCAACCATGTCTGTTAGTTACATTGAGAATGAGTTCAGTTAGGCAACCTGTTATAACATATATACACACAAATAAAGAGCTTTCTTTTGTGTTAACAATAACCATTTTGAAAATACAATAGAAAAATGCCCCATCCCATTTTTAATGATGTTAAAAATTAAACAAAATTAAACTTAAAAATCTTTTTCTCAAATCAGTATTTAAGATCATTCCAATTAATATCCCAAAAGATCTTTCTTGAAACTTAATAAACTCGTCAAAGTAATCTTTAATCTCACTGGAAATAATAGCCAAAGTTTCCAAGAAAATAACTTAAAAAGCAAAGTGTGAGAAAACTTTTGCAATTAGATAACAAAATATATTTTAAAGAAAACTAAATCATTTACATATAAGAGCTTAATATATAATAAATATGACCTTTCAAGTTCATGGGCATATAGCTTTTTAAATAAAGGATTCTTGCATTTCAATCTATTAAATGTATTTAAAAAGAGAAACAAAAATGAAAAATATTTATGACATACACCCAGATATATTCCAGCTGTATTAAAATTACATTTACATCAAAGTAAAATCATAAAACTAAAGGAAAATTTGGATAAATATTTATATACTATTGAGGTAGGAAAGACTTTTCTAAACATAAATCCAAATGTATTGACATAGAGAATGATAAATAAATGTATGTCCAAAAGACAAATAAAACTAATAATATATACAAAACTAGGAAAGATATAAACACAAGGAAAATGTACATTATCACAGCCACTCAAATCAGGCCAAAAAAAAGGTACCAATTTCTACTATCAAATTAGAAAATATACAGTTTTGAAAATATCTGCAAGAGGATTGGCAATTGGTAAATCTCAGGCACTGTTTTTATGTATAAATTTTCATAGCATTTCTGGGAAACAAGCTTGGCAAATTTTTTCAAAAATATTAAAAATATAAAAACTCACCAGTAATGTTTTAATAGGATTATAGTATAAGGGAGTTATCTAAACCACATAAAGATTTTGATAATTTATTTTTGTGAAAAAAAAGAAGACGAAAGAAAACTGACTAAGGAAATTACAGTACATTTTTTAATGAGATAATATAAAGTTTATATGATCATAAAATATAAGTGAGTAGAATATGTATGGTCAAAGGAAAGTGTTCACAATATCTTTCCAAGTGAAAACAATAGGAATGTTTTGTAAAAGAGAAAATGAGATAACATTTAAAGGACATATTTAAAATCTAAGCAGTGGTTAATTCTTATTTTTGCCTTTATTAACAAACAATGAATCATTTTAATATAAACACTGTTAGAGGATTGTAGCTTTTATAATTCATTGAAGTCAATGTTTGTTTTTCTTTACATAGGCTGGCAAAACTGAACTCATACTTACTAGTCTCCTTTAAATGAATGCAATAAATTAGATGAAACTAATCCTTTGATCCAGAGTATAAAGCTTATTTATAAGAAAACTTTAAGATATATTAGGCTTATCTCCATTGAAATACAAGTAGAGAAAGCATATTCATCTGCTCAGGATATAACTCCAGATTTGATGGTGTAATAGTTTTAGAATGAAAACTATTAGAATAGTTTTAGAATGAAACTATTTAGAATGAAAACTAACTGTGAATCTTGAGTTACTCTTGAGAAAGTAACATAATCTCTCTAAGCCTTAGTTTCCTCATCTACAAAACAAGGAAAATACTTGCCTGCCAATGGAAGTATCTTGAGGATTCAATGGGATTGTGTGTGTTTAAGCCTTTAAAGTGCAGTTATAAGTCAATAATAGAATGTTAGGCCTGGAAATCACCTTAAAAGCTATTTATAACCATCCCCCAATCAAGAGGACACCGCTAATCTTAGGAAGGTATACATACCCAAACGGGAGGTCTGAGTTTTGGTGCCATTCAAAAATTATCATCAAACTTGATTCAAAGGGAATCTGACCCATTATTAAAAACCCAATACCATTAGACAATTAAAGCACTGTATAAAGATAAATCAAGGAGTCATGTTTCTTCTCAAAGAAGCATACAATGTAAAAGGAATAATAAACCCTAGTGATTTAAGTCCCTATAAAATTAATGCATTGTACATGAAGAATTAGCATAAAACATACTGACATTTATAGAATTGTTTCCAAAATACACTGAAGGAATTCCTTGTTAGAGAAAACAGTGGTTTGGAATCGTTTCCTCATGTGAGCCATAAAAAGTCTTATCCTTCGGTACTTCTATTTAGTTGTTTTAAACCGCAATTGAGTTCATGTAAATTGGAGCTCAGTTCTCCAATACTTTTAATTTCTCTATTCCCACATTGGAACCAGCTACTGAATTCTAAGACTTAAGAGAAACTTCAGTGATATAAACTTGTTTGCCACCAAAGAAAAAGCAGAGAAGGTACATATTATAAAATACAGCTATTTTCTTAAGCTAAATGTCTGTGTTTAAAATGTGTACATAAACTTTGCATAAAGCTTGCACAAATTTGCAAATGTTTTTAATCAAGTCAACAGGATTGTTGTTAGGTTTATGTCAGTTTAATCAGCATTTTATTCATTGGATTTAATTGTCTACGTAAATGATTTTCATTTTCAACTTTTGAGACAAACATTAAATATAATTGCCCCTTACATCTGAGACAGAAGGATTCACCATTTTTTTCCCTAAATTGTTGTATAGGAATCATTATTTTTTATTGTGGTAAAATGCAGGTAACATAAAATTTACTGTTTCCATTATTTTAACATGTACAATTCACTGGCATTAAGTACACTCACAATGTTGTGTAGCCACCACTGCTATCTAGTTCCAGAACTTTTTTATTACCCCAAAAGGAAACCCTCTACCCATTTAGCAGTCACTGATCATTGTCCCCTGCCCCATCCCATGGCAACTACTAATCTGCTTTCTTTCTCAATGGATTTGCCTATTGTGGATAAGAATTTTTATTTTTATATGTGTTGGATAGCCTTTACCCTTCCAGATCAATTCTTTCCTCTTCTCCACTCTGCTCTGGACCTTGGGAGACTAATGTCCATGGACTGCACTAATGGGGTGCCCTTGCCCTCTGGCTTCTGGTTGGCATTGGTTAGTTGAAAGCCTGTAGGTGACTGGGTGCAGTGGCTCACGCCTGTAATCCCAACAGTTTGGGGAGGCCAAAGTGGGCTGATTGTTTGAGTCCAGGAGTTCGAGACTAGCCTGGACAACATGGCAAAACCCCACCTTTACAAAAATATACAAAAATTAGCTGGGCACAGTGGTGCATGCTTGTAGTCCCAGCTACTTGGGAGGCTGAGGTAGGAGGATTGCTTCAGCCTGGGAGGTGGAGGATGCAGTGAGCCAAGATCAAGCCAGTGCACCCACAACCTGGGCAACAGAGTGAGACCCTATCTCAATAAATAAATAAATAAATAAGAAAAGAAAAGAAAGAAAGCCTGCAGGAATATCAAGGAACAGAAGTATTTATTTCTTGAGCTTCTTCTCTGCCTTGCTGTGGGTTCAATTGACAATGGCTGTGTTCCTTTAGCCAAGGCCAAAGCTTTCTGTCAGGCATCTCTTCTCAAACATAGCTCTAGCCTCTCCAGACCTCAGTAACCCTCTATCCCTCACTTCCCTCTTCAGGCCTCTACCATGTGCTTCCTGGTGTTGCTTCCCAGTGTTAGTTGCACCTTTCCTTTTCATGTCTTGGAGCCCAGCCCCTTCATAAACAGTTCCTTCACTAAGCTCTCTTCAATTACTCCATTTGAGTGGCTGTTTCCCTGTGGAATACTGATTGATACTTGATTCTTCATCAGCATTTTTAAAAATTATTATTATTCATCTTTGAGCAGCCTTATTAAAAATGCAAGCACTTGAAAAATGGACCATTTCTCCAAGGGGATGTGGAGGGTGAGAAGAAGGTAAATATGAGGAGCTGTGGTGTCAATTCAGTGAAAATTTAAATGTGAATGCAGTTTTTAGTGCAAGGCATTCTCTTTCTGTTAGGTGTTTTTTGTTTTTGTTTTGGCCCTTTTGGATTTCACTTCAAATCCTGATTGGGCACTTCCTCTTCACACTGAGGCTGAGAAGGGCCGAGCACATGGCATCCTCACAGTAAATGTGGTGAACAAATGAAAAATGAATACATAATCAGGAGGTATAGAAACAACAAGGAAAGTACATTCCATGACTACAAGCTCAGCAAAAGAAAGATATTTTAAATAAGCAATGCCCATAAATATAGTTCTTTAAAAGAAATAGAACATGTGATAGATAAATTTTGGCCTGATCTATGCTTGGCCCATATCATAGAATATATTCAGTTGCTAAAACGTTATTATTATGCTGGCTATTCTGAACTCTCCACTCAGGTTTCAAGACTATGACCGTAGAAATTTTGTCTTTGAAATGAGGTCAAGACTTAGATTGAATTTGTAGTTATTGAAATCCCAGGCTGCGTTTTGCAGTAGATGGTATGTAATCCTTCATATTTTAACCAAATTTTAACTTGAGTGAATTCAGACTGTTTGATGGGCTTGTTCTTTCACTTCAGAGACTGGGGATCCCATCAGTTTTAAGAGAATTTAGTCAACTTTGGTATTAAAAGAGCACAGCAACCTACATTTTGAGTATATTATTAGCTTGGAAATGTCCTTGTGTTCCCTTTTTACTTTATTTTGATCTTTTGATTTTTGAAACAAAAGTAAGGATGCCAAACACTTTACGTATTAGCCAATGAATAGAAAAAATCTTGTAAGAGAATTTTGTGTAAGGCATAGCACCCTATAATCACCCCATAAAAATAAGAAATATTTACAAATGCCAGGTTTTCAGTGGTGCAATAAATATGGCAGTGACCTAAATAAGTTATTCAGCACAACCTCTACGGTAATATACGTGTAAGGATCTTAATGAGCTTTGTTTTTCAATTTTGATATGAATATGAGCTTTACAGAATTATTGAAAGGGAGAACCAACAAAACTGCAGTGGCTTTCAACTGAGCTTGGTAGTAAACTATCTTGTTTTTTGGTTTACACTCAAGAATCACAGCAAAACTTTACTGCTTCACAGAGACTTTTCAATGAGCTTTTTCCCAAGGCATGTTTTATAAAGCCTAATATCATAAATCTGTAGTAATGACAGCTGTTTATCCTCTCCAGACTGAGAGGGAAAAGACAAAGTATAAAGAGGAACACAGTTTATCCCAATATCAAGAGAAATTTACGATGTTTTGTCAGCAAAAGAACATCAGTGGATTCTGACACTAACAAGTTTCTGTCCTATAGCCTTTACCCTATAAAAACTAACATATTGAGAAGATTAAATAAAAACCAAGTTAATGATGATGTCATTAGTCAATTTATACTGAAACACTGTCTCAGATAAAAGTAGGCTACATTAATAATCCAGTGTAAAATAAAATCAATTCTTAGGATGCCAACTTCACACCTTAAAAATGTAGACCTAGTTTTTTAATAACTTTTTATGTCCCTAGAAGGAAGGATTTTATAGCACTGAAGTATTACTTTACTAAGAAGTAACTTTCTTTAAGGATATCTAGCCTGTGGATCATTTGAATGTTTGTTTGTTTGTTTTGAATATTTTAGGAGTTTTGAATTATTCATGACACTTGTCTTCTCTATCCATGTCAAACACCTCCAAAGTTATGAAAAATATTAGGAAAAGTAAAGAATTTTAAACTGTGTTCTAATTCAAAAGACTAACTTAAAATTATATTAAGCTAAGTGCTTTCTTTTAGTAGTGAATTAAATAAATTTTATGCATATAGCAGATTAATCCTTCATTAAATTGTCAGTGGCATTAGGAATGGAATAAAGCCTGAGAATGAACAAATATAAACGCTAGTCCCCAGATACAGGAAAAACAAAGAGTGTATCCAACATAAACAAATGAGGAACACATTATTGGAACTGTTGGATTCTATCTGTGTGTGTGTGTGTGTTGATAAACTGCAACAAATCTACCGACAGAAGAGAAGGGATATTGGCTTCACTTCTCTGCAATGTTCTGCAAATGCAAACACAAGAAGTAGTTTTAAGTGCTCAAGATAATAAACTTAATTGATAGCATTTGGTACTGCTCCTTCCATTAATTATCACCTTTATCTAAATCTCTCTTAAATGTCATTAAAATTTATGTCTCTACATTGGGACTCCAAGGAAAGTTCTACAGTAAAGTAATCCCAACTTGACTTCATGACTTGAGGTCCTTCCTGAAATAAAAAGATGATTTGACAACAAGGGAGAAGGACGGAGTGGGAGAGGAGAGGAGAAGGGAAGAGTAAAAGGACTAAAGGGCATAATCAAAGTTAGGAGGGCAGGTGGGGAATTGGTTGACATAGCAGAGTAGATGAGAGAAGAGGAGGTAAGAACTTACACAAACATTTTTGTTTAAAATACTCTCACGTGATTAATGTTACTTCTCGATTAAAACAAAGCCTACTGTACTATGTTGAAATCCAATGCTCATCATGCAATTTTTATAATTGAACTAATTTTGACTTTTAAACAGAGCTCACATTGCTAACAATGAGACTCTTGTATTTGGATCAGTATTGAAGGAAAACAAGGGAACAAAGTCATAGGTGTTTTTACCTTTCTCACTATATAATTGTCTCTATCATTTGAATAAACATGATAATGAAAATCAAAAGTAAAGCCACCATCTCTTCTAATTGTATACGCAGAAATCATCGTCAGTACAGCTTTCTCCAAGTCCACCAGCCTAGTTTTAAAGTACGCAAGGCCCCCAAACAAACTGTAAGTTTTCTCTCTGCTATTCTTCTTTCATAGGAAGAACCTCATCCTACAACTCCCTCTCCTCCTTTTGAATGGTTTCTCAATTACTTCGGGTGAGTTTGGGCAGTGCTTTATCCTGACCTAAAGTTTCCTCAAGATCTTTCCAGGCCAGGCACGGTGGCTCATGCCTGTAATCCCAGCACTTTGGGAGGCTGAGGTGTGTGGATCACCTGAGGTCAGGAGTTCGAGACCAGCCTGACCAATATGTTGAAACCCTGTCTCTACTAAAATTACAAAAATTAGCCAGGCATGGTGGTGTGTGCGTGTAGTCCCAGCCACTCGAGAGGCTGAGGCAGGAGAATTGCTTGAACCCGGGAGGTGGAGGTTGCAGTGAGCTGAGATCGCACCACTGCACTCCAGCCTGGGTGACAGAGCAAGACTGTCTCAAAAAAAAAGGAAAAAAAAATCTTTCCAAAATAAAGAAGAATCAGAAATTTATGTAAAGAATATTGTTTATGATTTATCTTGTTTTATATTTAGTTAACCTCAAATGTCATTTTCCTCTATAACCAAACCAGGAAATATTGTTCTTAATATCATCTTTGGGATAAGCTTTTCTATTCAATAAACAGTGACTGGGCCTTTATGTAAGATTCTATGACAGACTCTCTGAGCAATCTCAAAATGAGATTGAAAGCAAGCAGCTTTCAATCTACAGACAAAGGCAGAAAGCGTATACCAACTCAACTTATAAATGTAGAATAGTAGAAAGGAACAATTGATCCCACATACGATGACGATGATCAAAACACAGTGGCTTATGCTTGTAATTGCAGCACTTCGGGAAGCTACGATGGGAGGATTGCTTGAGCCCAGGAGTTTGAGACCAACCTGAACAACATAGTGAGACCCTGTCTCTGCAAAAAATAATTTTAAAAAATTATCTGGGTGTAATAACGCACACCTGTGACCCCAGCTACTCAGAAGGCTGAGGTGAGAAGATTGCCTGAGCCCAAGAGGGCCAGGCTACAGTGAGCTGTGATCTTGCCACTGCACTCCAGCCTGGGCGACAGAGTGAGACCCTATCTCAAGGGAAAAAAAAAAAGAAAAAGAAAAAACAGCATGAAAGTGGGTCATGAAAGTTATCTTGGATTTGAATCATTAAGTTCATTCTTGCACACATGGGGGATACCTTGGGTCTTATGCTATTTCTTGTAGATGACAAAGGCCATATTCATCACAGATCTTTAGCAGTTCCGAGGCTTTTCATCACCATTCCTATTCTCTGTTACACAAGTTAGAAGCTTCTGGCTGATTCAGTGACTTAATCAGCCAGATGCATTTTGTTTTCTGAAAATCGTGGTTAGTTGTTCAAAAGGAAAAAATTGACTGAGCACCTTGGAATACATTTCCAGGATGACTGGCTGGGATAAGTCATCATGATTAAAATGCATTTTTTCAAGTGCAGAGTTTGACCTTTATATTGCCCAAAGTGAATAAAAATGGATCAAATTTCAAAAATATACAAAACTCATTCAAATGTTGACCTAATTTCCCTTCTGATATTTGGCCCTGTCTGGCAAAGGTGAGGTTTACAGAGAAGAGTTCTGAGGTGCCCTTGGGGTATAATATCTGCATTTGTTTTTACAGGAGAGTAAAAGTTCAGGTAAGTGACACTCGATTCATATTCATTATCATTCATTTTCCGTTTTGAAGCTCATGAGCTATAATGATAAATCGAAGGAAATGACTGATTGAAAATGTCCTCATTTTATTCAATTATCCTCAGTAACATTCTTTTTACTTTAGAAAAAAGAGTCACCATCTCTACTTTTAATACCGACTCAAAACAGCTATTTGGGAATTCAATCTACTGCTGAGTGACTGGCTTGTGAACATGTAATGCTAACAATTGCAGTGACTCAGCCATGCTTGAAATATACTGGAGCCTTGACTATCAAAATATGGTGGTGGACCAGTAGCAACAGTATCACCTGGGAGCTTGACAGAAATGCAGCATCTCAGGCCCCAGTCCAGGCTTCTTGACTCAGAATCTGTATATTAACAAGATCTCAAGGTGATTTGTATGCACACTAAACTCTGAGAGGCCCTGCACCAGAGTTTGACTTAAAGGGAAAATAATAAAGAAAAGTACCACATCCTGCAGAAATGTAGGGCTAGTGTTGAAGAGAAACAGTCCCACAAATGATTAAGGATGCAGAGAAGTTTTTGCCTCTGTGTTGTTTTGCCTTGGTATTTAAACAGGGTGATTTGATCAGCAATCACTTCCATAAGGAAAAGAAGCATTGTTTCTTTTTCCTCCACCGAGATCTTTATGGTTCTATGTCACTGTTTTTGATAGGCCTGGGGCCTGCAGTTTGTCTCTGAGACAAAGAAGAATAGCTTGCTGCTGACACGAACAAGAGAGTAGGACTCTATAATTCAACTGCCACCTGCCAATTCATCCTCCTTTTAAACTCAATTCTGAAGAATCTCCAGAGCCTGGCCCATCTCCCACCTGGCCCACTGTGGCCATTCAAAGGACTCAGCTGTGATGAAAGTTGCTGATAGGACTGATGGGGCTGATTGGAGCAGACAGGACAGTGGGGAGGAGCAGAGCCCTGCAATTGTTGGCAGTTTCCCTCTGCTTACCATTAAGGGTTCTTCTAATCCATTAACAGTCCCTTTTGAACTTTGGCTCACAGACCCATCCCAAGCCAGAGCAGTCAGTATCTCCAGATCTCCATACTCTACTATGCTTTGAGCAATAGGGTTGACTTGTGAACTCATCCACTTTTATTTGAGAGAAATCAAAGTTGTACACAGATGTGAGTAAGAGAAGAAGAAAGAAACCTTCTCTCGCTGTGTGCTTCCTGAACCTTCATAAACTCCGGGGGAAGAGCGTGAGATTCCGGGTCCACTTGAAGATACTCAGGGGGACTTAGCCAGTGAACCAGATGTTAGGGTGATATTTATTAAAGGCAGGTCCTTCACATATGAGTATGACTCTTTTATGTTCTATTGCACTCATCTTACCCGTGTATATAGCCATGTGTCTTTGTGTGTGATTGGATAGGATGTTATTGAAAGGTTATGTTTCCATAACTGCCATGATCATTCATGTGGCCTGTGGCTCCTGCGGACCTAGAAAGTTGTCTCTCATGAAAACATCTCACTGAATAAAAACAAGCATATGGGCTGGTCACAAGCAAAGAACTCATCTGTGTACAGATAGTATGTAAATTCGTCTCTTCTTTGAAGGTGTCCAGCAAAAATGTGTGAGCGTTAGAGGCTGGGGTTCTAGCATTGATCTCTATGAGATCTCGGGGCTGGTATTTTGCTTCTCTGGACTTTGTTCTATTATTCTTAAACAATGAGTTTCAAATTAGTGTCCTAAGAACATTGTTCCCAGGAAATTAAGTATAGAAGAGACAGGAGTGTGCACAATGAACAATTTTTTTTTGTTTCTTTTTTTTTTTTTTTTTTTTTGAGACAGAGTCTCACTGTATCGCCCAGGATAGAGTGCAGTGGTGCGATCTTAGCTCACTGCAAGCTCCGCCTCCCGGGTTCACACCATTCTCCTGCCTCAGCCTCCCGATCAGCTGGGACTACAGGCGCCCACCACCATGCCTGGCTAATTTTTTGTATTTTTAGTAGAGACGGGGTTTCAGCGTGTTAGCCAGGATAGTCTCGATCTCCTGACCTCGTGATCCACCCGCCTCAGCCTCCCAAAGTGCTGGGATTACAGGCGTGAGCCACCACGCCCGGCCCACAATGAACAATTAAATGCAGGAAACGCTAGATTTCACACAGGTACTTGGGCTGCTTTCCCTGGAAACAACTCGCTGTTCTCAGTGTCCATTATGTGTTAGTGCAGAAAGTGAATATCTAGAGGAGATACAGCGTGCTCAGCATCCCCAAATCCTTGACTGAGACACCCTCTTCCTAGGGTACTATTTATATCCCCTGATGCATGCTGGGAAATGCTATTGTGGATAATCTCCAAGACATGTGATAGGGCTGATGTTTTATGATTCTGTGATCTTGGGGACAGCCCATGTTCCTCCTTTATTTCTTTCTGGACAGGACTGTCCAAACAGCTTAAATAGTAAGGAAGTAATTAATATTTTGGGCCACTGCACAGCTGGTCTCCTTTGCCTCGCTAACTGTGTATTTAGGTAAAAGCAATTTTCTCACAGTTAAAAGTCAACTTTGAATGCAAAATAGGTTGGATAATTATTGATCTAATGGAAGAAAGCTGCTTTTTCATTATGATTCACTCCAAAGTAAGGTTTGTATAAATTTACACCAGAGATTTAAAATGAAATTATTTGCTTGAAAAGAGAACAAAATGCCCCTCTATTACCAGTTAGTCGGTTTAAAATCTTTCTGGGGCTTCCCCTCTCAAGACTCAATCTTATATCCTTCTTTTTTCCCTAAGCAAATGATACGTTGTTATAGCCATTAAGTGGGATTATTTTATTGGGAAAATATTAAAACCAGAAAATTGTGTGCTTATGGTGTTTGTACTGAAGCTTTGTAAATGAAGGTTAATACACATACACACAAATAGAGCAGGTCAGAACTCCCGTTCTGGTCAGTAGTGGGATGGTGCCTGTGAATAGCCACTGGATTCCAGCCTGGACAACACAGCAACCCCCACCCTTTCTAAAACATAAAGTAAATTTGTTCTGCTAAAATGAATCATAATGGTATATTATTTTAAATTTTGAAGAATTATGAGATCCAAAGAATGCTAGGTTAAAAGGATAACAGACAAAGTTTCCAATTTCTTGTGGCTTCTAAGAACTGGCCTAGAATTAAAAAGAAACTCCTAATTCTGCTTTAACAGATGATGGTGTGAATGTGTTTAGATTATCATTTTTAGAGGGATTTCTCAAACTGCAAACTTATTGGCATATTTTCTTTTTCTCCTTTTCAAAAATTGGTAAACTTTTCTCTGTTTAAAATGACACATCCAGTTCCTGTCTACTTTTGGGGAAAGCTGTTAAGTTATTTAACTTCAAAATGAGCTATATTCCAGCCTTCATATGGGCGGTTCCTGGAATCAGTCTAATTTTGGGCACTTATTCCTGGCTAGGGCTTATTATTACTAGAAGAATGCGTGCTGACAGGCAGAGACAAAAAGGTCACAGGGAAGGTGACTTTTAAACAGAAGTGTGATTTATATGCTATAAAGCACTCTATTATTATTAGATAGGAATGGAAGTTCAGGGAAAGAATATGGAACTTGAAAAGTCTCTTATTTCTGCAAGTTCAGACAGATTTTAGGGAGAAATTGTGCCATGAATTTCTATTTCACCACGAATGAGACTGCATAGGCACAGTGCAGACAAAATTAGAGCCAGATATAGAAGCCAAAGTAATTTTACGTTTTAGGTCAAACTAGCTAAAATATTTGATTTTGTAAGAGTAGAGCAATGTTGCATTTATACGCATAAAAATGATTTTTTTTAAATTGCTAACTATTTGTTTGGAAATGCAAAGTCTGTTAATAAACCACTGTCTTTGCAGTGGTAAATGCCTTTGTGTGTTTTTGTATTGTTTTATTTTTCTGTTTGGAGAGAGAGAGAGAGAAAGAGAAGAGGAGGAATGGGGAGAGGAGCCTTAAGTATAGCTTAGAATCAAATATAGTTGAGAATATGATAGATTTTCAGGAGTCAAACCCAACTTTAGAGTTATATACCAAACACTAAAAAACAAAAGAAGGCTAATAAATTAAGATGACATCACAAACCACAAAATCGGCCCTGCTCCTTTACTGTAGTTAAAGATGCCGGTGATGTTGGCATGGGCAAGAGCATTTTCTTGCCTGGAGCAGTATCCCAAGTTCTACAGTTCATCCATCTGCAACCTGTTGACTGTGTTTCACATTGGTGATGAATTATACTCCGTTTCCTCAGTCTAATCCTTTTCATTTATTTATATTTTATGGAGGAAACATAAAAGACTCCTTAGAAAAATCCAACTGTTTTTGATAAACCTTGTCATGTGCAAATAATGGAGCCTTGTCAAGGCCAAGCTTTTTTGGAAATTTATACCTTCTAATAATAATTAAAAGGAAAAAACGAAAATCAGAAACAAATAAGAAATATATTGAATTGGACTCAAAGCATGTTTGTGGCTTTGAATCAGTGACAATAAAGCATTTTCTATCAAAAAGTGTTTAAACATGGCAGTGTAACTAACATCCGTGTTCAGCTTGAATTTTGGATTTTTCAAATAGTAAAACCATGACTTCAATTTTTAAGCCCAAGGAAAAAAGAAAGCATTTAGTACTCAGAAAAGCATTATAGTAACAGTCTGGTTAAGGGACAATGAGAAAGTGCTGGACAGCAGGATGAACTGTTGCCCGATAAAGGACCTTAAAATAAGCTCGGAAAAGATTCTCAGCAAGAGGTTTTTAATTATTTCTACAGAAGTTAAATTTATATAAAGAAAGATATACACTTTGGCAATTCATGGAACATACATATCTGGGTTTTGATTCTCTAAGTATTTTTTTTCCCATTTTAACCAATTGGTATCCCACCAAACAACTTTAAAAAGATTAATAATAATAATGTCTATACATTCTTGAAGGGAAAAAATGATCGGTTTTATGTTGATTTCTCTTTTGCTTCTTTGCATATTTCTATTAAATTAATAGAAACTCTTTAGCTAAGTATTAATGGTTCTATTAATTTGCTTTGAAATCCTAATAGCATATATTCCCCATTTTTACCTTTTATTTTCTCAACAATATACAGCTACTATTCATAGCAGTACTTTTCAACCTGGCTGTATAGTATAATACAATTGTCCAGGGAGCTTCTAAAAATACTGATACTTGTTCTCACTTCAGAGCAGCTGAAACCAATGTCTGGAAAGGCAACCCTGGGCATCTGTGTTTTCAAAGTTCCTCAGGTGATTCTCAATTAGAAAGAGGTTCACTCCCATTTCTTTATGAGATTAGATCAGAATTCTCTTCGACTCAAATATTACCATGGGTCCCAAAAGTTTACACTCATTTAAATGCCCAGGATTCCACCACTTTTGATCCTTAAAGGGAGTGGGGGCATGATCGGGGATGGAAATTCAGAATCCTGGGTTCAAATCCAGACTTGGCTATTTTTCTAAAATATGATATTGATCTTTCCTATAAAAGAGACTTAATAATAACTTTCTTAGAGGGCTGTGGGGAAGATTAAGATAATTTAACAATGTGTGGAGTCCTACAGTTGAATCCAGAGTGCATCTCTACTGTAGTGTAAATGGATTTGTCAGGAGGGAATCTAAACCACCATGGTAGTGAAGGGTGATACCTACGTTTTCTGTTGAAATGGTCTTTGTGGGGTAAACTCAGAAGTGAATGGAGGAACAGCTCCGTGACCAAAGGGAAACATTTTCAATTACACTCTTGTGCTGCATAACAACATTTTGGCCAACAACAGACTGCACATACAACAGTGATTCTAGAAGATTATAATACCACTTTTTTACTGTATCTTTTCTATGTTTAGATACACACATACTTACGATTGCCTGCAATATTCAGCACAGTAACATGCTGTACAGGTTTGTAGCGTAGGAGCAAGAAGCTCTACTATCTAGGTTTGTGTAAGTACATTTTGTGATATTTGCACAATGACAAAATCACCTAAGTATGCATTTCTCAGAATATATCCCCATCATTAAGCAACACATAAGTGTATTGGAAAATGAGAGAGCCTCTGAGACACTTTGTACATCAAAAAAGAGAGTCATCCAGGTTATGATGACTGAAATCCCCATGACTTGGAAGATGCTTCCATATGGAAATCATGAGGTCTGCAAGGGTAAATACAGGCAGTCACCTCACTCCCCACCCCAGATCTTCTTTCTTTGTCGAGGAAATAGAAGAGAGAGATTTTTAACAAAGATTGCTGTACTTTTGTGGGAGAGAAGACTAAGAGAAATCAGGTACTCACAGCTATTATTGGGACCCTCTGGTACACTCCAGCTGGTGTGTTCTGCATTGAGTTACTCATGTTAAACACCTGGTGGATGGGTGCCATCTCTAGATATTCCAGAAATGTTGGTTCTCTTCTATTCCCCACTATCTAGTCTTCCCTTTTATTATCTCATTTTTATATCAGTATCAGCTATCCTCATCTCTTGAAGCCTTCTTTGTATTTTCTTTACAGTCTAGAACTTCCATGTAGTTGATTGCTGAATACATTTCCATTGATTGGCTTTTAGTTTGCTAAGGCTGTGTTAAAAAAAAAAAGTACCTTAGATGGAGTGGCTTAAATAATAAAAGATTATTTTCTCACAGTACTGGAGGCTAGAAGTCTCAGGTGAAAGTGTCAACAGGGTTGGTTCCTTCTGAGAGCTTTGAGAGAAAGATCTGTTCCATTCCTCTGTCCTTGGCTAGTAGATGGTCATCTCCTGTCTGTGCCTGTGTCCAAATGTCTTCTTCTTATCGCAAGGATACCAGTCATACTGAATACTGGCTCTCCATAGTGATCTCATTTTAATTTAGTTACCCCTATAAAGACTTATGTTTAAAGATGGTCACATTCTGAGATAATGGGGGTTAGGACTTCAACATATGAATTTGGTGGGGTGAACACAATTTGGCCCATAACATTGGCTAAATGATGGATGAGTAAATATATGTTCAATAGAGAAAGAATAAATTAATGTGTACAAACCATTTTTGTACAGTCAGGAAAAATAGAGGCTTTAAAAATATTTACATGCAAACAAAATCTCCTAAACAAAAACAAAAGCAAAGAACAACCACTACAACCAAGACTTGTAAAATAAAACTTCTGTTTCAGAAGAAACCTATTTATTTATTTACCACAAGACAGGGTCTTGCTACATTGCCCAGTCTGGAGTGCAGTGGTGTGATCATAGTTCACTGGAGTCTTGAACTCCTGAGCTCAAGTGATCCTCCCACCTCAGCCTCCTGAGTAGCTGGAATTGCAGGCATACGCCACCACACCTGGCTAATATTTTTACTTTTTGCAGATACAGGGTCTCACCATATTGCCCAAGCTGGTCTCCAACTCCCGGTCTCAAGCAATCCTCCCACCTCAGCCTCCCAAAGTTTTGGAATTGCAGGTGTGAGCCACCGTGCCTGGCCAGAAACCTGTTTATTAACTTTTGTTTTTAGAACTTCCAGAAGTTTCTCTATGAAGCCAGCATATTCAGGAACACTGTTTTATACAAAGATATATATATATATTTAAATTGTATTTATTATATATATATTTTTAAATTGTATTTTTTATATATATATATATATTTAAATTGTATTTTTTATATATATATATATATTTACCTGTAGTGAAAACACAATTGGAGAACCAAAAACAAATGTTGTGGATTGTTTTCCTCTTTTCTCAAATAATTTTCAGCTGGGTCCCTTAGCAATGATACACATATTTGAGGACAAGGATAATGCCTTTTGAAATGTTTAATCTCAGACATCTCCTGCCTAATCACTTTTGCTACAGGTGATTTCACATTAAATTAGGTTTTTTTGGGGGGAAAAATGAATCCCAAGAGGAGCACAGTAGCCTCTATAGGAATTCTTTTTGGGTACTAGACTGTGGGTAGCTGGTATCCAGAAGTGGCTGAGAACAGGTTAAATGACCTTAAATTTACATCCAAGGGAGAATATCATGCAAGCCAAAATAGCAATGTCTTCTAGGAAGATCAAGAAGGACAATTCTCCACCAACCCTATTAATTTTCAAAGTGCGTGAGAACTCAGTAGATTGTTATAATGTATTAGCAAAAATATGGAATCTGGCCATCTCTGATCTCGCCAGCTGCGGATGATGAGGTCAAAGACATGAAAATAAGCCACGAAAAATACTTTTTCTCTAGAATTGTACCTATTATAGAAGACAGCACAGATAGTGTAGCATATTTTGATATTAGTGACATTACATCTGAATCACTGTGGCTAGCATACACACTGTAAGTAGAAAACTTTTCTAGGTTTCATGGAGGAGCTAGAAATGAACAAAATCACGAAATTTCTAAAAGGTGTCACTAACCGTATGTGATTATTCTCCAGATTGGACTATGTAAAATTTTAGCAATGTGTATGTAAACCAGTCCTGTCTTATAAGCACATTTATCAAGTGAACATTTTCTGTGCACCAGGAAAATTAAATAAATAATCTGTTATTCCTCCAGCTCATTAAATTGCTTTCTACTTATATTTTTATCACATTTCTTCATTTTTTCCACATAATTATACATGGAAAAATTTTATTTTTGTCTTAGTTCCTTATTTTTCAATGCAATTATACCGTTAGACTGCGAAATTTATAGCAACAACACCTCGATTGACGTTTTCAGAGACGAAATAAAACTAGTTGTTGGTACAATCAAAACTAACTTTTATTAGAGATCCATCAAAATGATCTTTTAAAATGTTGGCCATAATCATTTCAAAGTAATTTTAAGTCCTAATTTTAGTTTTCATTTTAGCCATATGAATAGCTCTGAATATAGATAAGCAGTAGCTGATCAGTAGCATTAGGACCAAAAGTTATTACAAGTGAAGAATATGTTTTAAAATAATGATGACAATATCTCCAAATTAGATATAAATCATTCTGAAGTATCTGAATTTAACCTTGATTTAGCAAGGGCTCATGCAGTAGGGAAGTGGGGGCAAAATGAAATTAACCACTGTTTCTAAAATCTATTTAAAGAGACAAATTTTTAAATTGTATTAAATCTAAAATTATAAAGCTCAATTTTTTTACATCTATGACACACCATTTTTACCAGAAACTGCCCCATATATCCCTCCATAATTCAAAAGTCTTCCATTTTCCATTCTTTGACCTTCAATCATAAAAATTCATTCTTCTACTCGTGCTTACACACATACACTTCTATTAAATGCATGCCCCACTGCCTCCACACACTGCTTAGTCTCTAATTGATTTTGAAACCTGACCATCTTTCAGTTCATTCACATTTGGAAAACCTTAATTCACATCAGAATCAACTGGAAAACATAATCCCAGCAACTTCCAGCGAAATAGAAGACCTAACAGGGAACAGAGGCACATGTTAAATACCAGAAAGGCTTGAAAAGAGAAGACTTTTACTATTCATCTGGGGAAAAATTCAAGAGGCATTTTGAGATATGGAGACATGTATTCTCCTTTCAGATACCTTAACTCTTAAAGAATGCAGCCTTTAGACTTAGGCATGGGTATCAAGCAAGTGCCTCCAGATGAGCTAATCTCCAACCAGGTGAAGTTCTCACCTGGCAATTTAGAAACTGGGATCTGAACAGCTAAATAATCAAATAGATCTGCAAACCTTGCGGTGAACCCTAGCCAATTCTTAGATGCGCTTTCAGCAAACCTGGGCTGAGTTTGGAGAAACTCAAAGCAATTTTATGGTCGCAGATGGAAACCAGTCCCAACTCAGCAGTTTAAATGAATCTGAAAGTCAAGGGCCATCTCAAGGGCTCTGAACCCAAGCAAACCAAAACAATGTAATGATTCCCAGGGAACGATGGAAGTCCTCAATGCATTGTCTTGGCAGAAGCTAAACACAGATTTGTTTTATATTATTCAAAAGTGGTAAGTGAGAAAATTAAGAAACATTTCTTAAATAGTTTGTCTGGAAGGTCTGTATTATTCAGAGGCAAAATGAATGGACTTTCAAGCATTTCTCCCTTTACATAAGCGAGTTTCTAAGAAAATAATTGAGACTTTTTAACCAACTGCAGCAGTTATATTAAGAGATTAACAATTAAACATAGATTGAAATGACTCTTTCTAAATTTCTCAAACTATTACAAGGATAAGGTTGAAGGACAGAAGTTGTCTATAACCTTTGTCTCAGGAATAGAGTTTCAGGGCTGAATTATTCTGTCTATAGTCCTTGACATCTGGATTTGAATTCCATTTCAAGTGTTCTGGTTGACCACCAGGTTCCACATGATATCAGGTCAACGCCTTGCATACTTGTAACTGGACGTTCTTATTGTGAGAACATCTGCAATACAGACAACTAGAAAAAAAATACCTTGACTTCTGAAAACATGCTCTTGAATTCTTCCTAAGGACGTTAATAAACATATGATATTAATGCCAATAGTTCATAAGAGAGGGCTGTGTGTGTGTGTGTGTGTGTGTGTGTGTGTGTCTATTTGTCTATCTGTCTTTCAGTAAAAGGATTGCAGTTTGGAAAAGAATTTTTTTTTTTTTTTTGAGACGGAGTCTCGCTCTGTCGCCAGGCTAGAGTGCAGTGGCGTGATCTCGGCTCACTGCAAGCTCCGCCTCCTGGGTTCACACCATTCTTCTGCCTCAGCCTCCCAAGTAGCTGGGACTACAGGCGCCCGCCACCACGCCCGGGTAATTTTTTGTATTTTTAGTAAAGATAGGGTTTCACCGTGTTAGCCAGGATGGTCTTGATCTCCCGACCTCGTGATCCGTCCACCTCGGCCTCCCTAAGTTCTGGGATTACAGGCGTGAGCCACCGCGTGCCCAGCCAGAAAAGAATTTTTATAACTTGACCAGCTTTTAATTCCTCAAGAAAGTCAATTAATTTTTTTATCCTAATTACTCCTGCTTTTGAAATTTATTAAAGATCAAAGTATTCCAATTTGTCTATAGAAGGGAGATAAGGGTTATAATGACCACTACATACTAGAAACTAGATATTCTCATTTGACATCTATTTCATAGACCTTTTTTTTGAGAAGTAAATACGAAAAATATCCAGTTCCCACTATATATTGAAGGCTCACTAATTGTTAACTTTCCTCATATTCACCACCACCACCTTCATCATCATCATCATCATCATCATCATCATCATCATCATTTTTGTAATCATTTCTCATCTATCGGGGCTCATTACCATGCCCTCAGCTGCCTTCTGCAAAAAAGAGGTACAGGCAGAGTAAGGTTTTCGTGCCTCCATCTCCCATTCCTCATCCTTGACCTCACCTCTGAAGCATCATTTCTAACCCCACCCCCTGAGTGTTCTCAAGTATTCTCATGTTCTTTCTACCAACTTTTCTATGAAAATTCTTCAGGTAGCCTCTAATCTGTACATGCCGATCTTTTCTTTAGGGGAAATGACTACTTCCCTTTAGCTATTCTGTGAAATATCAAATAAATAAGTCATTTAATATATTTATAACATACTCTATACCTTTAACCAGTGATCTCAAACCTTGCTGCATATTAGAAATACTTTGATAAATTAAGACAAAACCAAATAAAAATCCTAAATCTTAGGCTCTAATTAGACCAGTGAAATCATAATCTCCGAGGCTGGGATCCTGAAATTCCTTTTTAAAGCCTTTCTCACATTCCTTTACCCCTGTGATTCTAAAATATAGGCAGAGTTTAAAACTACTGCTTCATATATACCAGCATGCTTCTACCTACATTACAGACATCCAGAGATTTCCAAGACTTGAATGTTCACACATTCATTCAAAGATTGCTTTGTCACAGTATATTTTCCTACAGTGGCCTTTGGAGAGAATGCTGATGTTTGACAAGCATCATATATTTTTATATCAAGATCCTGTAGACACCTACCCCCTAAAGATAAGTATCTCCTAGTGCAGAATTTTCTAAATTTTGTCTTGAAGAATACTCTTCCATGAATACATATGTATTTCCTCCTCTTACCTTCCAAACCATCCTAGGTCAAGTAAATTTACAAAATGCTATTTTCCCTCTTGATTGTTTCTGTTTTGGTTTTTGTTTTTTAAGCTGGCTTTACTAAGCACTTACCAGGTGCCAAGCATTGCGCTAAGCTCTTGCACTCATTATTTTACATATTTCTCATGACTTAATGATGCTGGGAATGATAATTACGTACCTTTTATAGACAAGGAAACTGAAGAACACAGAGGATCAACACTCCCTGTGTGTGGCCAAACTAACATCTGAACTTCAGCTTTCCTAGTCCAGGGTGTTTGTTCATAAGCATTACACTGCAGCCTTTATGCACATTATCCTATTTGAGGCTCCAGAAAGTAATGCAGTAAAGAAAGTTGGTTAACATTATTCAAGCCCCTATTTCCTAAAGATATGCAAGCAATTTATTTTATTGTGTTTGCCACTGAGACAAACCTGTTAACCTCCTGAAAGGCGGTGTTCCTTAAAAGGGAATATTTTGAGGATTCCTGCCCTAAAGCATGGCTGTTGTTTCTTTGTATTTCCATGTCCCCATCCTTGGTGATACCTTGTATGTACTATGGTGTCTTTAGGCTGAAGATTCAAAAACGTGGCAGACTCATGTTTCTGAGTTTTTGGAAAGCTGCAGTCAGGCCCTTCTCTCCCTATGGTACAGAATGAGTTTCACATTCCCTGCTCTGATCGCCAGCAGACTGTGGCCTGCTTGCTCCTGGTGGCTATCCCAGCTCACAGCCTCACATTTGCACCATCTTGATGCCTTCTTTGTATATTCCAGTTGCTTTTATTCATGCAGAGAACAAAATAAATAGCTAAAACGTGACTGAAAGTGTGATTAAAACTACTGACCCCATCCCCAATTCTGTAATTAGTTTGATGCAGATTTGTCTGCTTTCAGCAGATTAGTTTGGCTGACTTAGTTGGATGCAGATGTAGTCTGCTTGGTCTGCAAGCAAAGGAGATGGAGAAATTCGCACTGAGAACCATTCCTAAAAATGGTGACACCATACACACAGAAGCCAGCTCAACCGGACTCCAATCTCAATGCTCCAAGTGGGTGAAATCCACATCTGAAATGATTCTCAAGCACGCCCTCTCCTCCTTTACCACAATCACTTAAAGTAACAACTCTCATCATTGCTTGCCTACGTGATTACAAAACTTCCTAATTGTTCTCCTCATTTCTGATGCCTTCTCCATCTATTTATTCTCAACAGCTGGATTAGTGGTTCTCACAGTCTGGTATGCATACAAATCATTTGAGGAATGTGTTGAAAATGCAGATTCCCAATCCCATCCGCAGTTCCGTTCATTAGGTTCAGGGTGGAAGCCAGCCATCTGAACCATGTGTATTTTAACAGTCATTCACCTTTGTGCAGGTGGCTCGAGTGCTTTGAGAATTTGCTCCAGGCTGTTATCTAAAATACAGTGGTAACACAACATGGTTTTTCCTTATGAAGAGGTGTCATTTTTTCTGTAGCAGGAAATGAGTATGCACTTGGAATGAGGACAAGGAGAAACTTTTAGCCTGAGAAGACAGAATACAGAGGTCAAGAGAATTTGTGTCGATAACCACAATTGTTCTGATACAACTTTCCTGGAGCAATGACTGTATTAATGAATTTAAAAAAATAAAATGTGAAAGCTCAAGCTGATGGTGGTGTAGAGTTTTCTATCCAAGTATAATGCTAGATAAAGTAGTCATAACTTTGGGAGAAACCTCCATTTTCTTCATCCTCTTTACTTTAAAAAATCATTGTAGATCAAACAGTGTGGTCCTTGCAGAAGTGAGCAGGGAAAACGTTGGATTTAGAGAAGTCAATTTTCTAAAAGACAATGCCACTTTTCAACATCAATGACAGAAGCAGAGACAGCAGAAAACATATGATTTCATTCTTTCACTTCGTGCATAGTCTTTTGTTCCGAGGCATGATTATTCTCTTTGGACTCATCTATACCCTACAATTCTTAGACTATCAAGACAAGTAGGGCACAGGTCTAGAGAAAGGGGTAGGAGGCCCTGCTAATCTGAACAATGAAGGCTTATCTAATTAATTTCAATATTAATATGGTATTATTCACGCTCCAAGTGATAAAAGAAGCCGTGCCCCCTGATAATGCCATTTTTCTGCTTAAAAAAAATAGACTGTCTCCTGTCTTCTCTGAATAGTTCTGATGCCCCAATATAACAGAAAAAAAATTCTCCATAGCTGGTGTCTACAAAGAGTTTCCTTCTCATCTGCCTCATTCTCAAGCTCATGAAATCTGGTTATATTGGAGGATTTACTGGTTTTTAAATTGCTGAGTGTTTTCCAATTTCCACGCTCCTTTTCTCTTGCTCTTCTCTTTACCTGAACATTCCAACTATTCATTCTTTAAAATAAGAATTAAGTGGAATATTTCTTTTAGAAAAGGCAATGAATGAATTTTCAGATGAGGAAATAGATGCAGAAAGATGCAGTCTTTCTCCTAAAGCCAAGGAGTTAATTGGTGCTAGAGAAGTGATTAGAAGCCTGGTTTTGTGATCCTGATCCCCTTCTTCATATGCCAGTGGCATCCTCATTCAAACTCTGAGTGATGCCACTTTGATCCATTTCTTCATAGGCATTGTTGTCCTGTACCTAAGGCACCTGCCCCAGCTCCTGTCGTACCTGACACACTGCATGCGTGTTGCCTTTGCAACTAAGAGACACAGTCCACCCAACCCACACCTTGGACACCCCTGGCTCTAAATGTAACAAACTAGCAATTAGAATGGTTAAAACTGATCAGTTCTCTGCCCACTAAACTGACAAGCTCTATATACCAAAATGAGATTGGCCATGAAAAGTATTTCAAATATTAGGATTGTTGTATTCCTTTGTTATTTCTCTTACCCTGGAGCATAACAGACCATGGGGATACTTTGTTCCTGAGGAGGAAGGAAGAAAGAAAAGCCGATTTCAGGACTAAAGGGCACAGAAGAGGCAAACATGGGGGCATAAGACGAACTTCACCTGAAGTAAACTCTATTTACTAAGCTACAGTTTCTATTTTTAAAAAGTATTCTGTTACAGTAAATTTTGTAAGGATAGAGGAAAATATAACTTCAGCTTGACTGATGCCCTGAGAAAATGGAATCTGATTTCGGAATTTAGGATATGTGCATTCTTGCTTCATGGATTGTCACTTTTATGCTCATTCTTAGCTGTAGCTTCTAGGTATTTCTTATGTCATTAAATACCAGTGGTGCCGCCAGGAGAATAGAGAGTGAGAGGCTTACTTTGTTTACTTTTTACATTCAGGATTTCATCTAGGAGCCCACAGGAGACTTCTGGTTGTATTCACAATGATGATGACAGAAGTTTAAATAAATGCAGTAGAATCCCACTGGTTTGCAGTGTAGTGATGCTGAACGCATGAATGGAAAGCCTCTTGGTGGGTTCTCTTTCATGGATGTAAAATGCAGCCATTGATATGTCTTTTTTCTTATAACTTTGTGGTACGAGCAAGGTCAGAGGAAGAAAACAATGGGCAAAGATGCAAAAATTCTTTCACTGGAACGCTGACTAAATTCTTAACACTTTCTATCCATTCCCCTAGAAGCTGCAGAATACAGATTCTTCAAACACAGCAAAATACTGTGTCTTTTCTGCTTAAAGCCATCGGATGTCAGAGATTTAAGGGGTCTTGGTGACTGAGTCTAACATGCTGAGTTTGCAAATGAGGCACCTCACCTAGAGGAGAAAGGATCTTTCCCAAGGTCACACAGCTAGTTGGTGGCATCTGTAGGTTTTCAGCCCAGGTCACCTAACGCTTTGCCCAGTACTTTTTTGCATCATGTTTTATGGCCTCCCCTTGAACTTGTCAGTTGACTTCTTTCCTGGAGTCTGGTGAGATGCAGGACAAAGTTGGAGAGGCAAGATGCTGGCTAGAAAGTATGTATGCACAACACTAAGAGACATGTACCTGTGGAATAATTAGGAATCACATCATATCCATAAGAATGTGATTCGGTCTTCTTATAAATTGGGTCTGCTAGAATATACACAGTCTATGCTTTTAGACAAATTAAAGACTGTGGAGTTGACATTAGGGCCAGGGACACCAGGAACCTGTATTAGACACTGGGGCAAGGTTCATTCATCTCTGGACTTTAATGAGAAGAGTTGAAGAAGGTAGGTGAATCTGTGGGCTAAAAAGAAGTTCCCAAATTTAAAAAGTCAGATCATAAATTGCAGTTTTAAGCCAGACTAAGCAAGAGCATCCAGATACAGAGGCAATGAGATAGAAACCCAATGAGAGAGAGTTAAAATTGTTCATGGAGTTTAAAACCTACAGGGATGAAAGGATCGTGGCAGCACCGTTTTACCTAGCTCCTCCAGCCGCAGACACGTGCAGAGAAGCACCTGCTCCACACTGTCAGACTGACAAAATCATTGAGAGATTCTCTGTGCTCCAGCTCAGAGGGAATCAGATCCCTGTCATCTCCCCCTCCTCACGTGAAGGCTTGTGGGCTTTTCTCTTCATGATTATTTTAGCCCATTCACCATGTAACCTGGTAGGAACCAAAGGGTTTCCATCATAATTCATGACTTTACAGGGATTTCTGTAAAAGGACAGTTGACTCAGCATTCCTAGTT
This sequence comes from Homo sapiens, assembly GCF_000001405.40. Lineage (NCBI taxonomy): Eukaryota > Metazoa > Chordata > Mammalia > Primates > Hominidae > Homo > Homo sapiens. Next base: position 220,982,571 of record NC_000002.12, on the reverse strand, counting down.
CACATGAAGCTAGATTATTTTTCTCTTCTTTATGATCTGCTTTTCTCCTATAAAAGTAAATTGAAGTAGTTCTTAATGTCCTTTTTTCTTTGTTCTTTATAGTCCAATCCAATAGCATAGTTTTTCTTTCTACCTTCCTGAGAAATGCCATGAATTAGTAGTTTAAAATGTTACATATAATTGAGATCCTGTTATTTTAAGGTTATGACTTCCATAAAACAAATGTCAATCTAAATTTTGTGAACTTTATCTTTTAATTTCTCTCCTGAGCTGTTCTTTTTCAAAGACGGTTTCTTCTATTGCCACCTAATTTGATCGTTGCTTTACGTATTTTTAAATGCAGTAGGTGAGCATTTTCTGATTGGATGTCAATTTCCTGTTATAATGAGAATAGTTCTGTGTCATCCTAACTTCTCCTCTTGTGCACTCAGCCATGTAACCTTAGGGATGACTAATCTATTCTCACCTTGCATCCTGGGAGTGCCAAAATACAGACAGACTGGTGCTAATGAACCCAGTATTTTAGGGCTTGCTAGCAGGAGGGTTCCTTATTCTGTGACTACCGTCCCACACAGAGCCATCTTGGGAGTGTGTATTGTGGGTCATAGAAAGGACAGGGCAGAGGAGCGTGATCGCAAATGTCCCAAAACCTCATCATTATGAGAAAAGCGATTCAAAATCCTGGGCCCTATTGATCGGTGGTCAGAAACATCATATTCTCAAGAAAGACTTGAATAGTACTCTGGGTAGCTATGGTTCAATATTAATTCCTTGCTTATTCCATTTCTTGTTTACACTCATTTTCTCCATTGCTTTATCATACTCAATTTCACCCTTTATTTTTCACATTGTTGTTGTTAATAGAGTAATTGATGAAGTATGTTCTGCTAAAGTGATGTGTATTTTTTATAGCTGTCTTCTCTAGGTACAGTAAAAACCTTAAAACAGCCTTGAAATTCAATGTAATATATTTGCATCCGTATAGTTTTTCTTTTAGCATCTGGAAACCATTTAGCCAGTTATTTATTTGAAAACTGGTCTTAGAGCAATAAAAGGCCACGGACTGAAGCTGTGTCTATACTGAGCTACCGAATCAAGCCCAGGCTGGAAACTATGATTGAATCCAGCCAGAAGGCTGACCCAATAGAAAAGGGCTGCTCCAATACAAACTGGAACCTTCACTGATTCATGAAAGATAAGAACCACCATCTCTGTCACCTGAGGTTCAGTTCTAACTCCAACCAACAGTAGCATAGGCACAGCAAACCAGTCAATTTCTTGCTGGTTTTCATGATTATATTTGAATGACAGTCCTCATGGGGATCCTAGGAGAAAATATTTCCTCCTGCTTAGGGGAACAAAAATCTGAACAAGTTCAATTTGCTATCAAAAGCATATGTGATACGTTTTCTACAACATTCATCTCAAGGGATTGAGGAGGGGAGTTGGATGATGTAAAATAATTGAAAATTTGGAGAAAATGCAAGAAACACACTGGGGTTGAGTTTGTAAAAAACAAGAAATACATATGAAATATATGAGAGAGTCTTTGAAAAAGTAATTGCTCACATTTCAAAATAAAGTTATAAGGTCAAATGTCTGTTAGCATCCTGCCTGGCACACAACTGTGCTTCATAAATGTCAGTTGGCTTCCACCTCACCTCTTAGCACTCCCTTCTCACTCATTCTTTATTTTTTTACTTAATAATTTTTTAGATAGGCTTACTTTTATGGTAAATTTTTATAATTAATTAAAAATGTATTAGTATACAAAAATGCAGATTGTACCCTATTTTTCAGAAGTGTCATGGCTGTGTGTGCTAAGGTACATTTTTAAGAATATAGTCATCCTTTACAACCCCATTATACTCAAGCAGACCCTTTATAAAAGAACGAGTACAATGTCAGGCTCTATAATTTTAGAAATAATCTGGAAAACTGGGAAAGGTTTCAACAATAAGCTTATAGAAAATCCTGAAGGGATGAAACCAGAGAACTAGATGAGACCTTAATCCATACCCTGTCTACTTACAGCTGAAGAAATTGATGTGAAAAAGAGGATATTTTAATTCCAGCTACTACATTATCCTTCCTGGCTCCATGCCTCTAAAGTTCACACACTTAAGAGGACTCTACCTTGTTACAGTGGTTACTTGATAAGATGTTAGCTCCCCATATTGGACAGACTCTAAGGTGACCCTTAATTATCTCCATTTTCTGGTACTGATAACCTGTGTAATTCCTTCTAGCTTTGAGTGTGGGCTGAACCTGTGATTGCTTTTAACGAACAGAATTCAGTAAAAATAATAGATTCATTTTCATTAATAAATGGTGTAAGATTCTGATTTGCATCTTCCTAGCAGACAGCCTTCCTTGTTGGCTTTCAGGAAGAAAGCTGCCATATTCTTAACTGCTCTATGGAGAGGGCCATATGACAAGAAATTGAGGGTGGCCCCTGGTTAACAGCTAGCAAGGAACTGAGAGCCATGATCCAATAGCCTTCAAGAAACTGAATTCTTCCTACAACTGGAAGAGCTTGGTCCTTCTCCATGTGAGCACTCAGATGAGACCTCAGCCCTAAGCAATATTTTGATTGCAGTTCCATGAGAGGCTTTAAGCCAAAGGACCCTGTTGCCTATATTTCTGGCCCACTGAAACTACGAAATAATAAATTTATATTGTTTTAAGCTGCTAAGTTTTATGGTAATTTGTTACACAACAATAGGTAATGAATATATACCCTCATTCCCTCATCCCTTCCCAGTGTGAGACCAGTCCTGGTTCCTAAGCCAATTTTGCTCCTGGAGTCTCACAAAAGTGGGTGTTTCTCAATCTCCCCATTACTAAGTCTCCACCCTCTGGCATCATTCTGTCTCTGGAGGCTGCATTGGACCTTGTCTCTGTACTCTACAGTCCATGTCTTTTGTTGTTTTACCTCTGTCTTCTCCCTTGAGTTCCAGCCACCTAGCTGGAGCCCTAGACTGCATTTCTCCTGCTACTGGACCACCTTAAGAAGATGGGATTTTCCCAACCACATGTGTGTTCATTTGCTAGAACATATGCCCAACTTTGTTTGCGTGGACATCTCAGATCTTAAACTCTATATGGAAGAATGTTACCTAGATCTTCCCTGCCTTCCCTAGATTAACCTAGTAATTCAGATCCTTGTCTCTATAATAATGAATTGGTGGTTATGTTTCCAACCCTATATCCACAGACTTTGCCTATATTTTTTTCAGGTGCATCTAAACTCTGATCCACAGTGTTATATCACTGAATGAAAGTATTATCAACAGTGCTTGTGATATCACTGAATCAAAGGCTTGGAAGCAAAGCTAAGACCAGACTTTGTATATTTTTTTATCCCTAGTTAAGTGATTTTTCTACAATCTTTAGTTGCTTCCCTCAAAAGATAAAAAGGCCACGGACCATCTAGCCCATACAAAACAAAGGTAATCAATGATAATTTCTAGTTATATTTACAAAGGTTGCTGGGTTTTCATTTCCATTGGTGATGGAAGAAGAGGAGAGGTGATAAAGTGGTGTGACATGTACTGAAAATTATTTCTTATGGCAATATATTCTTGAGAATGGCTATAAAAATGTTTTCTAGAGTACATTGTCTTCTATCTAAGATATATTCAGCATTGTTGTACTTGAAGGCAGAAAATGGCTCAAGTGACCTCAGGCACCCAGCATGTTGCTTCTTACTGAGGAGGTAATTTAACAAACAGTTTAAAGAAATAATAGAAATCTAACCTTGACTTACAAGGTAAATGAACCATTCAGAAATAGAAACTACACAAATAAAATTCAAGAGACAGCACAATTAGTATTTTGGTATATAATAAAATCTATTATCTATAAAGTTGGAAAATAGTATTTGAAATCTTATCTTAAACTGTCTTACTAAAAGGGTTTATGTTGATATATCTTTTTAACTTTAAACACAGGGCTACTTCCCCAAATAAGTTAAATATTTGAAAACACAGTGATCAAGAGTGAGAAGATTGGGGTAAAGTTATATCTACCTCTTATTGGAAAATAATTAGTTTTGACAAGTGTGCCTCAGACAGGATCACAATTATGTTATTTAACCACACATATGTGTGAAGTTTGATTTCATCAACTGTAATATGATTGCTTTAGATGTTGGGCAGTTTTAACAGTATTCCTCAAGTGATCAATGATATTAACAGCTAGCAGGTTTTTCCCATTTAACAGGTGCCAGGCTTTATGATAATTGTTTTCCACAAATTATCTCATTTAATCCTTATAGCAACACAATTGCATGAGAACTATGATACTGCCCATGGATCCGGTGACAGAATCAAGACTCAGAGAGGTTAAGAAACTTGCCCAAAGCCACATGGCTAAGGCATATATAGCCAGGCTACAATCTAAGCAGTCTGATTCTAGAGCTATGTACTCCTCAACACTGCAATACACTCTTCCACAGTTAATCTGAATGTAGTTTACAGCAAAGTATTTTAGTCCGTTGATTACAAAGTCACTACTGGACATTTGTTGAGCACTTATTATGATCAGGCCTTCTGAGGGCCCAAGAATGAATGAGATATGCATCCTGTTCTCAGAGGGCTTACAGCTTGCTTACAGCATTATTAGGGAAATTACAGGAAGAAGTACAAAGCCTGTGATTCTTTAAAAGTTGAGATTCCCTTCCCGAATAACCCATCACATGGTTCATTCAGCAGACACTGGCTGTGCCCTTGCATACATCTCCTCCCTACATTAAAAACCCAGCACACGCCTGAAGTGCCCTACTGCAAGTACCTATGATTAATCACCTGAGGGCTTTCTAGTGTCCCTCACTTATGCAGAGGGGAGGTAGAAAGTTCCAGGAGGTTCGTGACCCCTGGAGAAGCACTCAGCTAAAGATTGATGGCATAAAGGAAAAATATCGCAGCCTTCTCACTCTTCAGATGTGAAATCTCTGTGGTGGCCATTTACAGTGTCTTCTAGAGTTCTCCAGCAAGATTGAGCCTCACTTGCCCCAAGAGATAATTGGCTTGATAATACATAGTTTACTGACATTTGTTTCTTCCCAGTCTTACTTTCCTCATTCCTATCCCAGTGCTTTCTGGAATCTCCTCTCTAATAAACTACTTAAATTCAAATATTCGATTCAGACTCTAATTCTGGGGTAACCCAACATAGGACAATTTGTGAATTAATGTAATTGCAATGATGTGTAAACTCAGCATCTTGCTCTACTTCTCAGTGCTTCCCTTCTTGAAAAACAGTGTTTTGCTCAAAGACTGGCAGGTTTGAAAACTTAAGGTTTACATAAAGTTTATTAAATTGTTTCATGACAAAAAAAGTGAAATGCAATGGGAAATTCCTGATAGAAGAGAAGATTAAACTATCTTTGGTGTATTTCTCAAGGCTAATAAACCTATTCTGAGGCAGCCTCCAGTAGCTGTCAGAACTGAAGGCTTTGTGTGTTAACATATCAAGTTGTGACTCCAACCTACAGAGAAGAAATTCTTCCTCAAATACTTTCAAAAGAGATATGGTCTAAGAAGAGACCAGTAAGAAAGAACGAGATCAGGACAGTAGGTCAAAGAGTGGAGGCAGCTTGTTACAGTAAAAAGGTCCCCAAAGTGGAAGTGAGTAAAATTGGGTTCTAATGATTCTTTGTCCCTAAAAAGCTACATCATTCTATGAAAGCTAGTGCATTTCTCAGAGCCTTATCTTCCTGCAAAATGATGTTTGATTAGATTGATTTCTTTTTTAGTTTGTTTGTTATTTCTATTTTTTAATGAAATGATGTACTTGCAGATCAGTGGCTGCCTGGGTAATGAGGGGAGAAAGGCATGAATTACAGGGGGTGATGAGGAAACTTCTTGATTTGTTCCTCTTCTTGACTGTGGTGATGGTTTCACTGTTGTGCACATATTGTCAAAACTTATCAAATTGTATATCTTAAATAATTTTACCTCAATAAAGCTGTAAAAGTAAGAGTACATGCTCAATGGAAAATTTTAAAACAGTTTATAATGGCAAATTCCTCTTTCTCCTAATATCTCAGTGTCCTCCAACCTGCTCTCGGGAGGTTAACCATGTTTTAAACATTTTGAAACGTTTAAGTTGCCCAGGGTTTAGTTCAGGTTTCCCTTTTTATTTTATTCTCTATACTCTCTTCCTATGTGATATCATTAATCATCTTAATTTTGAATTCTATCCATATGTAAACGACTCCTAAGACTACAAACACAGGCTAGACCTCACTTCTGAGCCCCAGGCTTAAAAATAAAATTGCCTACTAAGCCCTTCCATTTGAATGTTTTATAGACAATTCAAATGTAATGTGTCCCAAGCTACTGCTAATATTACTTCCTTCACCTTCTCCTACAGTCTTTGCTACCTCTCTGTAAATGGTACCATCAAACACTTCCTCAATTAAGAAATCTTTCTGTCATCTTTTCAAAATTCAAATTAAATCACATCACTCCTTGGCTAAAATCCCACCAAGAGCAGCTGATTGTAAGTGAAATAAAATCTAACTCTTTCTCACAGTTTATAAGACTCTAGATCAGCAGTTCTTAAAGAATGATCTGCAGATCCCTAGGGTGGAGTGGGTCTCTGAACTCAGGGGTCAATTTGGTCAAAGTTATTTTCATAATACTATAAAACATCATTTGCCTTTTTACCCTGTTAATATTTTCGTGGATGCTGCAAAGGCAATAGTGAATAAAACTGTTGGCCCCTAGTATGTATCAAGGTGGTGGCAACAATCTATGCCACTGATTTTGCATTTTTCTCTGCCATACATTAGCAGTTAAAAACGTGGGGGGGAGCAAACTTCACATAAGAATGTCCTTGATGAAGCACTAAAAATTGTTAATTTTTCAAAATTTCAACTCTCGAGTACACAGTTTTTAATACTCTGTGTGACAAAATGGAAAGTACTGTACATATACACTTGTGCAATTGTTTGAGTTGTGAGCTGAACTAGCCACCTTTTTCAAGGAGCACCATTTTTATTTGAAAGAATGCCTGACAAAATTATGTTTATTCAGATTTGGATAAATCTGTCACTTTGAGGAAAGCAATTGACAGTATTTGCTGCCAATGTTAAATTCAAACTTTCAAACAAACATTCAAATTTTGAAAAACTTTTATCTACCACTGTGAGCTTGACAGCTTCCTGATGCTTTCTCCATAACGTAAGTGGTGGCTTTACTGAATGTAATTTTCTTTGATAATATACAATGGAATGTGTCAACATTTGGATGATCTGCATTATTCAGTGAACCAAGATTTTCCAAATGACCAACATGTGATGTTCAAAATCACACCAGGGAAAAGACATATTCAATGTTCAAGGTAAGCCTATGTAATTAATATAAAAATGTATTAAAAATTTATTAATATGATCTCAGATTCCAGTTTGCAACTACCTTTAAGAAAGTCCCATCTGTCAAGTTTTGGTGTAGTATCAAAGAAGATACTTTGATGTACAGTATAAACATCTGCTATAATATTACTCAAATTTCCAATTGTGTAAAGCTGAATTTTCTTCATATATTTCAACCAAAAAAAAAACATATCTCAGCAGTTTGAATTCAGTAGCACATATAGGCATGTAGCGGTCATCTACTAGGCAGACACTAAAGAGATTTGCAAAAATACAGAATAGTATCATTCTTCTCTTTCATTTGTTTGTATTTTAGAAACTATGGTTACTTTTCATAAAATGATTCTCTTTACATTGGCATGTGTATTAGTTTCCCAGGACTGATTTAATACATTCTACAAACTTAGTAGTTTAAATAACAGAAATTTGTTTTCTCACAGTTCCAAAGGTAGGAAGACTAAAACCAAGATGCTGATATTGGTTCCTTCTGAGGGATAACACCTCTCTCCAGCTTCTCACCAGTAATCCTCAGTGTTCCTTGGCTTGTAGACCCATCATTTCAATGTCTGCCTTTCTCTTCATGTAGCTTTCTCCCATGTATTTCTTTGTGTCTGTTTCCTCATGTCATCTCTCATAAGAACTTATCATTAGATTTAGGGGTTACCCTAATCCAGGATAATTTCATCTTGAGACCCTTTGTCACATCTGCAAAGACTCTTTTTCCAAAAAAGGTGACTTTTAAAGGTTCTGGAGATTAGGACATGTCAGGATTAGGAGACTTTGGAGAAATCAGCATTCAACTTACTAGGACATGTAATGTGTTTCTTATTATTTTAAAATGAAGAAATAAATACCTATTTTTACAAATTCACCATTGAATAGCCAGTGTCATAAGTATCAATAAATATGACTCATATAAACTCTTGGGATCCTCAATAATTTTCAAGAGAGTCAGAAAGTCATGAGACTAAAAGGTTTGAGAACTGCTACTCAGTGTGGTCATCTCCCCCTCCAAACTTACTCACCCCTTCCCTCCACATTCCCCTCCTTCTTTTGTTTTCTTTCTACCTGTGAATTTTCAGGTCGTGAAACACACCAAACTTTCTCACCTTTGGTACTTGCAGAATGGGAGTTTGTAAACCTGTGTTTTAAACTCTGCAATGCCCATACTGTTAACTCTCATGTTTCTTACTAGTGAATGAGAAGAAGGAGCCAAATTATCCTGTATATCAATTGAATCAAGAGTTATATTCCTCAAGTCTCAGTTGAAATGGCATCTCTTCTTGCAGTATTCTCACATCATCCTGTATATAGAGGCCACTCCTCATTCTCTGTCATAGCATCATGCATTTATCACAAGTTTTATCAATATTTTAAAATGTATTCTATTTTTTAGTTTTAAAAGATTATCTTATATATCTCTCGGTACACTGTGAGCTTCTTGAAGACTTGTACCATATCTATTTTACTTAATATTATATACATTTGATATATATATATATATATATATATATATATATATATATATATACATACATACATACACGCAGCCTATCTCAGAGGGGTCAGCTTATAGTTTCAATTAATGAATGAATAAGTGGATTCTGAGTTAAATATATAATTTCTCTGTATAAAGGCCACCCCTACATAAAGTCATATATGGATACAAAAATGTGGCTTTTTAAAATACAAAGCAAATCATGATAGAAACTGATAGCTTACCTTTTCCCCCCTTCAATACACGTTGAACAAGTTTCCATTTTAGTATATAAAAAAGTCTAGTTTATCTTTTCTTAGTGGCTCAAAGTATTCCAGAATATGAGTGTGCCATCTCATAAATAACATCCTTTTGCTTGTCTCTTTGTGCATACCTATTTAACCGAAGGTGAAGTGGCTGGGTTAGATGACGTGTGCATTTAAACTTTTGATGGCTGATGTCAAATTGAGCTCCAAAACTGCTGAACAAATTTACATTCTCACTAATGATTTAAGTAATTCAGCAGCTATCTAGAAGGTAGGACTTGAGAGGGAGCTAGGAGAGGCTGCCTTAACCAAGACTGTTTTTTTTTATAGGCAAATCACATGCTTTTCCTTAAGAGTTGGAGGTGGTGGCCGGGCGCAGTGGCTCACGCTTGTAATCCCAGCATTTGGGAGGCCGAGGCGGGCGGATCACGAGGTCAGGAGATCTAGACCATCCTGGCTAACACGGTGAAACTCCATCTCTACTAAAAATATAAAAATTTAGCCGGGGTGGGGGTGGTGGACGCCTGTAGTCCCAGCTACTCGGGAGGCTGAGGCAGGAGAGTGGCGTGAACCCGGGAGGCGGAGCTTGCAGTGAGCTGAGATCGCGCTACTGCACTCCAGCCTGGGCGACAGAGCGAGACTCCGTCTGAAAAAAAAAAAAAAAAAAGTTGAAGGTGGCTTTTATGTGCATATTACCTTGAAAGAATGACAAATTACTCTGCACTCACCAAGACAATCTGTGAGTGTTTGGAAACACAAATGAGATAAGGAATTAAAATTTTAATGAAGAGAAAGGGAACACTGGTATCCTTAGGGGAGAGGCAACTAGAATAGAACTCTTGACTGGAGTTCATCTATTGTTCCACCAGAATCAGTAGAACAACACTGGACAACTGAGAAAGAGACCCTCAGATCTCCAAAAGCCAGAATAGAGGCATACTGAAGACAGGCACTGGTCTTGGAGTTATATACTCCCTGCTGAGGCTTGAACCTTCTCAGGATTCTGAAAAACCCATTAATCCTTTCTGAGTCTCACTCCTACCACTAACCCCCGAGGGCTGGAGACTCTAGTCCCTAAAGCCCTTTCTAATCCAGAACTATGCTGAGGTTTTGCTTAAGGGCTAGTTATTGTCCCAGGATCAATTTAAGGAGGGGTGGGGATGTGTTATTAATTAAGCTGCAGAAATATAACTACTTGGAATAGTTTCTTATTATTGCAGTAATAAATTGCCACAAAATTAATGGCTTAAAATAACACAAATGTATTATGTTATATCTCTGAAAGCCAGAGGTCTGAAGCACATCTCGGTGGAATACAATCCAGAGGTACATTTCTTTTCTGGAAGTTCTAGAAGAAAATGTGCCCTTTCCTTTCCTTTTCTAGCTTTTAGGAACTACCCACATTCCTTGGTTCATAGCTCCGTCTTCTGTCTTCAATGCCAGCAGCACAGCATCCTCAAATCTCTCTGACTCTGACCTTCCTGCCTCCCTTCTTTAATTACAAGAACCCCTTCAATTAGTTTGGGTTAACCCAGATCAACCCGGATAATATCCCCATCTCAAGATCCGTCACTTGATCACAGTCCCTTCCTTTCTGCCAAGTAAGCTAACATATTCACAGGTTCTGATAATTGGGATGTGGACATCTTTGGGGGAGCCATAATTCTGCCTACCACACAAATTAAGTTTAAAAATGTACTTTCAGATGGCACAAAGCTGGAAGTCGAAATGCATGTTGTTTCCCTTTAGGAATCTTTCCAGTTATTAGTTGCTGTATAGCAAACAACCCCAAACTAGCAACAATCCTTTATTTGTTTACATATCAGCAAATTGGGCATGGCTTGGCAGGGACAACTGATCTCATGCAGTATCAATTGCAGCCACTCAAGTTATGCAGGCATATTTCTTCTGGCTGTCGTCTGAGAATTTGGTCAGGACTTTGGGCTGCCTGGGTGGGGGCCTCAGATATTCCCCATATAGACCTCTCCATGAATTATTTGGCTTTCTTTATGCAATGGTGGGTGGGTGTCAAGAGCCAGAGACCCAAGAAAAGCAGACCTAAGCTGTATCATCTTATATGACCTAGACTTGGGAGTCTCATAGAGTCACACCTCTACAATAATGACAAAGTCACCCTTGTTCAAGGAGAGGGAACACAGCCCCCACATTTCTTTGAAAAAAGTGTCAGAGTCATATTGTGAGAAAAGCATGGGGGATGAGAGGTAGTATTGCGGCCAACTTCGAAAAATAAAATTTACCATGGGGTATTCTAGACTCTTAATTCAAACTGTTTTTAGAAAGTAATATAACCAATCCTTGAAAGCTATACAACCCACAAACCATTTGAAGAGGTCTTCCTGGCATAGCCTTGAGCCAGCATATTGGAAGATTAAGTGTATCCTTGAACTAAAAAAGTTCTTCTTTTGTTATTAATCTCTCCTGGGGGAAAATTTTAAAGTTCTCATGCTAGCAATCAGAAGTGACATTCCATATCTTCTATTCAAAGGAAATCATGTTTATATTTCCTTCTGTTTAACTCTGTTGCACTCTTCACTTCCTGGCAACTGTCTTATTATATAAACTATAGGATAAATAAGCATGGGGGCTTTTATGTACAACTCCAGACTCATAACCTCACCCATTGTGTCAAAACACATCAATGGACAATGAACAAATTTAGTCATCTGCATGTTTTGTCTACCTCTATGCTAAACATCTGGATTTGGGGACACATTTGGGGAGGGAAGGAATTTTTATTTTTCACCTCAATGTCTAACCTTGGTTATGCATAGTTATTGAGTATATTATGAAGAAGCTGAAATAATTCCCAGGTATTAGCAACTACTTCTCATTATTATTATTATCATTATTATTAATATTATTATTATTATTATTATTATTTTGAGACAGAGTCTCACTCTGTCACTCAGGCTGGAGTTCAGTGTCACAATCTCAGCTCACTGCAACTTCCAACTCCTGGGTTCAAGCGATTCTCGTGCCTCAGCCTCAAGTAGCTGGGACTACAGGCGCACCCCACTACACCCAGCTAATTTTTGCATTTTTAGTAGGGATGGGGTTTTGCCATGTGGGACGGGCTGATCTGAAACTGCTGGCCTCGAGTGATCTGCCTGCCTTGACTCCCCAAAGTGCTGGGATTACAGGTGTGAGCCACCATGCCCGGCCCCCATCTTCCTATTTTTAAACTTGTTTTAACTTGGTTACTTGTACTTAGGTAGATATTCATTCATAACTAATCAAAATTAGTTTTTAAAAACTCTTTCTGTTTCTCCCTGTATCTATAGAAGAAAAAGCAAAGGAGTGCTGCTTTCCTTCCCATCCTGTAGATGACTGCACTGGACTGGGTGACTGATTTTTTTTTTTTTTTTTTGAAGTGTCTTACGTTATCCATTCTTTCTACCTTCCTTCTTTATTTCCCTTCTTCTTTCCTTCCTGTCTCCTTTTAATATATATTTGCTGAGCACGTACTATGTGGAAGTTTCTCTGCCCACGTCCAACAGGATACTGGCAATGGAGATAAAACATGGCACCTGTCCTCAATTTGTTTATGTCGTAGCGGAGAAATGGTGAAAAAGAGATATGGATGGACAACATTTCAGACAAATGTGAAAGAAAGAGTGTTTATTTCTCCTTAGTATAGAAGATGAAGTTCAAAGTAGGCTTCACAGAGAAAGTGATGACTCAAATGGGCCTTGATGGTTTTAATAGGGGTGACTGGGAAAGGAGAGCAGGTGTCACTTATTCTAGTCATTGGCCCAGTGTACAAAGAGCTATAAGCAGCAGAGGGCAGAGAAGTCTTCTATGGGCTTCATTAGAACAATCGGATGAGGATATCAGGTTTTGCATGTGAGTCAGAAAAGCAATAAAAGATAAGTTGGAGAGAAAAACAAAACAGTTTGTTCTTTGTTCTGTAGGCATTGCGTGCCAACACTTTGAAGTAGGAGAGCAATAAAGTTGGTTCGGTGTTCTAGAAGACAGAGTGAAAAAAAAAAAAGATTGGAAGCAGGAAGGAGGGCAATTCAGGTGTGGTTGTGATAAGATTTGTGGGAAAACATGACTTCTATAGCATTTTTTTTTGAGACAGAGTTTTGCTCTTGTTACCCAGGCTGGAGTGCAATGGCTCGATCTCAGCTCACCGCAACCTCTGCCTCCCGGGTTCAAGTGATTCTCCTGCCTCAGCCTTCCTGAGTAGCTGGGGTTACAGACATGCGCCACCACACCCAGCTGATTTTGTATTTTTAGTAGAGACGGGGTTTCTCCGTGTTGCTCAGGCTGGTCTCGAACTCCTGACCTCAGATGATCCGCCTGCCTAGGCCTCCCAAAGTGCTGGGATTACAGGTGTGAGCCACCATGCCCGGAACAACTTCTATAGCATTTTAAGTTAATTTCAAGTCAGTTACGCATCACCTTCATTTATGTAAACCTCATTAAATGCTGTGTCCATTAGTCCACAGCAGAACACTTAATTTGTCACAAACATGTATGTTATTTTGCAGTCAAGCTCTATACTGCCATTCTTTGAGTTGTAGCTTATAAAGGCAAGCATTTCCCATGGGTTATTTTAACTCCCATTATCTTTGTGACATGTATGCATTCATGAAAAGAGAAAGGTTATTAAATTTGTCCAGAGACAGTTTCACTAGAAAGAATAACGCGTCTGTTAATCCTAATTGGAGAATATTTGTAGGTTTGCCTGATGAGGCCTATTTAAACCAATTAAATAGATTTTGGACCATAGGCAATGACACGTCTGCATTGACAAATTCACTTGAAATAGCAACATTCAGCAAATGTTTATTAAGTTTTAACTATGTGCTAGCCACCAAGAATGCAATGGTGAGAACACTAGCATATTCAGAGGCCCACAGTCAGAAAGTAAACAAGCAGACATCCTTCTACATGGGCCAGTATTTGTTTGAAAGTGAAGTGATGATAACTTAACCATCTTTTGTGATGGTGACATGGTACATTTTCAGTGAACAACTGCTTAATTGAAAACAAGAAGTAAAATGATGTCACTGATCAGAAAAAAAAAGGCATTACTTTATCAGAAGTGACGAAGAGGAACAGAGAAAAACCTTTCTAGGAAAGACGAGAACTGCAGAGACAGAGGAAGGAGAGGTACACAGCAAGCGCTTAATAAATAGTTGTTGAATTAGGAGGTTATTTTACTTAGTGGGCAATATAACAGAGTGGTTTAGAGTGAGGACTTTCGAGCCAGACAACCTAGGTTTCAATCTTGACATTGTAATTTACACGCTGAGTGTTATGGGCCTAATTATATCCCCCCAACATTCATTTGTTGAAGTCACCTCCCAGTACTGCAGAACATGATCTTATTTGGAGAAGGTGTCATTGTAGATATTGTTAAAGTGAACTAAATATGGCCTGAGAAGGACTCTATACTTCCATATTTGAGTCCTTGTGGATGAACTGTAACCTACCTTAACAGGCAGACAAGATTGAAAACCTAACTTAGGAGCATGAGCCTGTAACAATAGCTGAGTCTTGGCCAATTCCAGCAGCCATAGTTCAATTGCTCATAGACTGCTGAGTGTTCAAGTAAGGCGAACACCAACTGTAACCAATCCAGCTGTTTCTGCACCTCACTTCTGATTTCTGTACATCACTTCCCTCTTTTTTTGTCTATAAATTTGCTCTGACTAGAAGCATCCCTGGAGTCTCTCTGAATCAGGCATGATTCTGGTGGCCGCCCGATTCACAAATTGTTCATTGCTCAATTAAACTTTAAATTTAATTCAGCTAAAGTTTTTCTTTTTGTTTTGTTTTGTTTTGTTTTGTTTTGTTTTTGAGATGGAGTCTCACTCTGCCGTCCAGGCTGGAGTGCGGTGGTATGATCTTAGCTTATTGCAACCTCCACCCCTATGTGTTCAAGCTATTCTCCTGCCTCAGCCTCCCGAGTAGCTGGGATTACAGGCACCTGCCACTGAGCCTAGCTAATTTTTGTATTTTTAGTAGAGAGGGGGTTTCACCATCTTGGCCAGGCTGGTCTTGAACTCCTGACCTCGTGACCCACCCGCCTCAGCCTCCCAAAGTGCTGGGATTATAGGCATGGGACACTGAGCCCAGCCTGAAGTTTTTCTTTTAACAATACAATTAGTTAAGAGGAGGATCTGTCTTGGTCAGCTCAGACTGCCATAATGCAATACCATAGACTGCATGGCTTAAGCATCATAAATTTATTTTCTCATGGTTCTGGAAGCTACAGGTCAGACATCAGGGTGCTGGCATAGTTGGGTTCTAGTGAGGGCCCTCTTCTTGGCCTACAGATTGCTGCCTTCTCTCTGTGTCCTCACGTGGACTTTCCTCAGTAGGGGGACATAATTCAGTCCAAAGCAGCTTCTAATCCAATATGATGTGTGTACTTAGAAGAGGAAATTTGAACAGACACAAATAGAGGGAAGATAATGTGAAGAGACACAGGGAGAAGATGGCCATCCATAAACCAAGGAGAAAGGCAGATCCCTTCCTCCTACCACCCAGAGGGAACCAGCCTTGCTGACATCTTGCTCTCAGACTTCCAGATTCCAGAACAATTAGGCTATAAATTTCTGTGGTTTAAGCCACTCAGTTTGCGGTAACTTGTTACGGCAGCCCTGGCAAGTCAATGTACCGAGTAATCTTGGACAGCTTACTTAACCCCTCTGTCTTAATTCTCTCACTTGTAGAATGGGGGATGATGATACACCTGCCTTTTAGGGCTTCTGTGAAGATTAAATGTATTAATATATGTAGAGTCCTTCAGTTAATGCATGTCACAGAGGGGGCAGTAAATAAGTCAGCTATTGTTTTAATAATGCTTCCCTTAGACACATAGAGACCTTGTATTTGTGTGAGAATGAATATAAGACAGTCTCTGCCAGAAGCCCCTCACCAGGTATAATCTCATTCAATTCCCTCCATCCCCAAAGGAATGATAAACATTTCTAACTCAACAAAGCAACACAGCTCAGTGGAAAGCCCAGCAGACCTGAGATTGGATGGTCGGGGCTATGGTAACTTCCATTTCTTCATGTGTAAAATGAGAATTAATTTCTTCCAGCATGAGAGCTTGTTGAAGAGATAAAGAGGCTGGCCTCTAGCAGGGGATCTGATGGCAGGAGTGAGGTTGAGGGCTTGGAAGTAAAGTCACCAGCCCTGACACCTTTCTGCGTCATCCTCAGGCTCTGTCCAGTGGGCAGCATCCTGCCCCGAGCTTAGGCGTCCCCTTCGCCAGAGGTTTCAGGTATGGCTTCCTAACACTCCAGGCTGCTGGCCTTCCTGCAGCTGCAACTGTTCTGCTGTTGTCCCTCTCTCAGTGTTTCTCCCCTTCGCCTGTTGGCATTTGCACATTTCTGCACAGGAGTATATGGAGTACACAGCAGTATTCTCCATCTAACTGATAACAAAAAAAAGACAAAACCCAAAACAAGTTCAGTCCAGCCACAGAAACAATAGACATGTCTCTCATTCTATCATGTGGAACTTGGTGCCCAGGTGGTCTGCACTGACTGTGTCAAGCTCTCAGAGACATCAGTTTCTGGTGCTGCAATAATTCCTGCATCTTTCTTTCATCTCCTTCTCAAGGTAGTGATTCTCTGTCTGGTCAGGCCACACCTGGACCACAGGCTCTCTAAACCTTCAATCACCTTTGCTCATATGTGAGTGGCACCAGGCAACGTGGCTGTGACGTTTAAACACACATTTTGGATTTGCTGACTATAAATCCAACTGCTACAATGACATTCTGGTCTTATACCCAGTATTCCTCATGACATTTATCCAGTCTGTTCTGAAGCATAGGTCTGGAAAGTCATTCTGTTCTTTTCAGCTTATGGGTAAGGAATCGTTACTTTCAAATCAAGTGTTATTTGAAAGGCCGAACCTCGCAAAAAACAAAAGTGCATTTTCTCTGTTTTTATTTATTGTTTTCCTTATTTAAGAGTTTGTTTATTTAACTGGCTATTGGGTTATTCCCTCCTCATCTCCTTACAGACACATTCTTCTCCTCCCAAATGTAGAACAATACACCTCACACTTGTTTACTAGCAGTTTTCTATTTGGTACTTTCACATATTTTTATGACCCCATAGTCCATTATTCGTGCATTGCATTTTCGAAAAGGAGGGTGGGAACAGACATTGGGACTATAGTATTTGTCTGTTTTCCAAAAGGCAACGGAAGGTAATACTCATGAAAAATAATCTAGGTCATTCTTGTCATTTCTGATGGATGCAAATTTACAATGGTGATCCTTGTGCATCATAGGCATTGAACAAACACAGGTTGACAATTTCAGTGAAAGAAGTTCTTTCTCCATCACACTTTGACAAAATCAAAAGATATCCATTATGCCCTAACCTATCACTTAATGGAAACACTTATGAATGTGTTTCCATTAAACACAAATGAATGACAGTATTTTTTACCTCCATATAACCATGATCTTACAAAAAATAAAAATAAATTTGCTTTTTACAAATTTTAAAGAAATTTACAACATAATGAGTAGAGCAAACTTGTATGTATAAGCAAAATGTAGTATTTAAAATTGGAGTCACTAATTTCATGGAAAAAAAACCATGTATTTAGACCATTAACTTTTTTTTGATCATCCTTAACACTGATTTAATATTTTGAGACTTTTACAATATTATAACTAATGTCTTTTAAAAGATAAAGTGCATTTGGAAACAATGGAGGAAAGGAGGAGAGACGGAGAGAGAAATGAAAAAGGAAAACCAAATGCACTCCATGTGAGGTGTTAGAGCTATAAATATTGAAGACTAGAAGACTAGAACATGTCTTGTGACACTAGATTGAAATTGGAGGTATCAATATAAACTCCTGTGTTTTACAGCTATAGATATACATATAGATACACATTAAAATATAGAGGCATAGATGTATTAAAACAGTTTTTCAACTCTGCTGAGGGTACCTAAAAGAAATGGTACTAGAAAATACCATTCTGATACCAGAAAATACCACTCTCCACTCAAAGAAACCTGGGTTCCTTCAAAAAAAGACATGTACCCAGAAATAAGAAAACTCTCAAAGAATGATGAGAATATGTAAACACACACACATTGAGGCACACGCAGGGGCACATTTGTAGAGGCTTCCAAATCCTGGATAATTTGAGCATAAAAATAAACAATGATAATAATGGATTATAACTCATTGCTTAAAATATGAACCCATGAGTCCCTATAAGAGTAATTAAATAAATTTATAAATGAATTAATGGGAGAGAAGTAAAAGCCTTTTCATACAGAAGAATGCCAACTCATCAATATAGAAGGGATGATGAAGTGAGAAAATCTCCAACAGATGGTAAAATTTGTGGGTAATATTTGAGAAAAACCTGGTAGATACCATGGTGAAATGATCAAGCTTAATATCAGTGACAACCCAGCATTATGTTCCTCCTGATGTGATACACGGAAAACACGACATCCCTTCTATGGCATTCCTGCATTTTTTATGCGTAACCTGAAACTCAACATGAAAGAACATTAGATACATCCTAATTAAGGGATATTTTACAAATTAACTGACTTTAATTCTTTTAAAATATCAAGATCAAAAATGGCAAAGAAAGGCTGGTGGGCTGTGCTAGATCAAAGGAGGCTGAAGAGACAGGACAGACAAATTAATGTGTGATCTTGTTTTAGATCCTGGCCTGAAAAAAAATGTGAATGGTGGATTAGAAAATAATACAGGCCAATGGTAAGTTTTGATAATTTGAAATACTCCTTATTCTTAGGAAACAATCGCTAAAGTATTTAGGGGTAAAGGGGCATGATATCTTCAACTCGTTCTCAAATAAAAGACATGTATTTATTTTAGAAAAAATACGTGTGTATGTTTGCGTGTGTGTGCACATGAGAGAACATGATGAAGCAAAGGGATAGGTTTGTTGTAAATAATTGGTGAACATGACTATATGGATATACAGAAATTCCTTGTGCTATTCTTGCAACTATTCAGTCAGTTTGAAATTAGAAGAAATAAGAGATATTTTTTGAAGTTCTATGTGAAAAAAAAATCATCCAATGATGACATTCCTTTTTTTAAGAAAAAAAATCAGCATGTGTAAGAAGTGATATTCCAGATGTGTGAAGCAGTAAGTTCAATGTCTGGCTGCAAAAATATTTAACTTCTCATGTGCAATAGTTCTAAATGAGGTTCAGACAAGTTGCTTTTACCAAGCATGCTGACATGCCTCAACTTAAGAATTTGTCTTTTTGAGAAAAACCAGCCTCATATATAATTGATTTTATTTATGAGATGTGTTCAAGTATTAGTAGTCCTTTATATTAAGTCCTTTCTATGGTAAACATTGGCATTGTTTAACTTCAGTCAAGGTCTTTCTGTCTTCTCAGATCTTTTTCGAAATATTCCCTTTGTAAAAATAATATTGCGCAGGAAAAAAACTGTGCAGTACTGTGAGGCCTAATCACAGAACAAAATCAGGAGCATTTGGTCATTGGAAAAGATACTTGTTATTGTCAAAACATTGAGAGAAGGCATGTGATGTAGCCACTACATTCCTTAAACTCCACAATTATCAGATTGAAGATAAGCAGTCCAAATTAGGATTTAACGCTTTCAAACATAAGTGACAAAATTGAGAGACATATATCTGGCCAAAGAAATGCAAAAATATACAGCTCTGCATTTGAGCTGTAGAGATAAAAGCCGTGGAATGTTGAACACATTGGCAGCTTTCCTGGTTTAGAGAAATAAAAAGCAACTTATGGTAGTGATAGCAGAGTGTCTTGATACTGACTACTAAGTTTATCTCAAGACCAGTATATTTTTGTTTTCATCTTGCATTTTTTAAAATTCAGTTTATGGATTTTTCACTGAAAGTACATAAAATTATTAGGAGTTAAATTTATAGGGAATAAAATTTCCAAGGCCTAGCAATATTCTATACATTGTTAAGTGCATGTTTCAGCAATAATAATTCCTTATGGATATGATGTTTTGCTGTTTGCAATTTTTTTTTTTCAAATGTTAAGTGTTATTTTATGTCTAGCTTTTTGCTAAACATTGTGAGATTCATCATGTTGTGTATGGTTGTATTACGGTTCTCCAGAGAAACAACCTCTGTGTGTGTGTGTGTGTGTGTGTGTGTGTGTGTGTGTGTGTGTGTGTGTATGAAGAGATTTATTATGAGAAACTGGCTCACGTGATTATGGAGGCTGAGAAGTCCCATCTGCAAGCTGGAGACCCAGGAAAGATGAGATTGTAAGTCCAGTCAAAGGGTAGAAGACCATTGTCCCAGCTCAGGCAGGCAGGCAGGAAGCAAAAGGCACAGATTCCTCCTTTTCCCAACTTTTGTTCCATTCTGTCCTTCAATGGATTGGATGATGTCTATCTATATTGAGGAGGGAAATTTACTTAGCCCACCAGTTCAAATGTAAATCTCATTCAGAAACATCCTCCTGGACACACCTCAAAATAATGCTTAATATGGATACCACTGGGCCCTGTCAAATTGACACATAGACTTAGCCATCACGGTGGTTGTAGTTTTTTCTCCTTTTGGAACAAATATAATACAATTTATATATCCATTCGGCTGTGATGGGCATTTAAGTTGTTTTCAGTTTGGGGCTTTTGTGCATGTCCTTTGGTGAATATATAGATGCATTTTTGTGGGTTAGTACAGTCCTTAGTGGAAAATTGCTATGTCACAATGGGACATGAATACTATTGCCAATTTCCAAAATAGTTGTACTGATTCACACTCTGTCACAACACTTGAAAGTCACAGTTGCCTCATGTTGTTGCCAACACTTGACATTATTAGTCTAATCAAGCAGGAAGGAGTAGCTTGAGGCAGACAAATGCTCATGTTGAGATCAACTCAAAACCTACATAAAACAAAAAGAAAAATTTGCTTAAAGGCATCAGAGAGCTGCTGAAACAATGAGAACTAGAAGGAATGAGATTCCAAAGAGAGGACAAATGAAGAAATGTGAGTGTATCATTTGTAGCTGCCTTTTTTCCTAAAAAGATTTGCAGATTCTTGGTGTGGGCAACAGGCCAGGGATCCAAGATCTATTCTGGGAGAAAGGCTGGGAATGGCCAACAAGTGAGACTTTTACAGTTCTCTAAAGCTGGAAAGACAAAAGTGGGGACTTTACAGTCCTCCGACACACAGCCAGTGTTTCAACACATTTGCCAAATTCTAAAGCTGTGTAGAACAGGAAATTAAAGAGCTATGCTGAAAACATCTAAAAAGTAGAGCAGAATGTTCCTCAGTCCCATACTGTTGAGTAGATGACAATGAGAGTGCAGGACCCAACAGGGGCTAGGCCCCTGTGAATACCCTTGGTCTCAGTCGCAGGGTTATGTTTCAAGAATATGGGAGAACCAGAGGTGTCAGAGGCATTCAAACCAAAGCGACCCATTTTGAGTAAGGCCTAGGAAAATGAGGCTTGGACTTGCTGGGCTGCTTTCTCAGAAAGTTAGGCATTCCCAGCCTCTAGATGCTTATGGTATGGTTAGGGGAATAAATTAATAATGTTTACTAAACAGACCCAGACTTGGGAGTGTCCAGATATCCCGATATCTGGAGAACAACAGCATTCCTAATTTTGCTTTAAAGATAATAATATCGATTCTGGCAAAATACAGTAATTAAGAAAATTAACCCTTTATCACAAACCCTTGAAGCAGAGCACATCTCCCTATATATATGAGCATTGTCCCTAGGGTGGACACATTCCTCCTCTTGCTTTCAGGAACGTCCTACTCTCGTCTATGGAGTAGCAGTTTTTTCACCACTTTACTTTTCTAATAAACTTGCTTTTTATTTGCGAGAATTGTCGCCCTGAATTCTTTCTTGGGTGAGATCCAAGAACCCTCTCTTGGGGTCTGGATCGAGTCCCCTTTCCTGTAACAGAAGTAGACCGAGCCTTAACTTTGCAATGATGGCTTCAGCTGAGTGCATAATTAGATCAAAGTGATAAGCTCCCACTTTTTCAGTCTGCTATAGGAAAGCATGGACCTGTTCTAAAGAAAATAATCTCATATAATACAGCACTATTTTTAATATGCAAATATGAATATTTGCTCTGTTGAAATTCTTATTTTTCTCTATTTTATTAATATTTTTCTTAGTTTTCTTAAAATATTAATAACTATTTAAAGTCTTTGCTAATTCCAAGAGCTGCATCATTTGTGTCTATTTCTATTGTCTATTTTTCCATTGATTTTAGTCACATTATTCTCTTTTTGCAGGCATGGGCATTTTTTATTAAACATTGAGATAGATCTCTGATTTCTTTAAATTTGCATTTTGTCATTTATTTATTTATTTGAAGTTGTTCATTTGAGTCAACTTAGGGTCTATGTCTGAAAAATCTATCCAGTTAACCTGTAACTCTGTTTCTGTTGTCTTTCAATTTTGGAATAACAATTTTGGTTGAATGCCAGGCATTCTCTATAATAAGTATGATAGAGTTTAGATGATGTTCTCTTACAATAAGGATTCACCCTATCCTACTGTTAAGTAAGAAGGGTTTATCTTAATATAGCCAGGAAATGATTTGACCCAATGCTAATTTGCAGTCTCTTTAAGTCTCAGTGTATTTTTTGTTTATTTCCAATTCCTAGAGTGAAGCTTGCCAATGGTCCAGACTAAAAGACTAGAGTGTTTACTATGACCTCTTTGCCTTGGCAGTGCTGAATTCCAGTTTTTGTTTACCCAGTGTTGTGAGGCTGCCAAAAACTCTCTTCTCCTTTTCAGCTAATTTTTCTTAGCTTCTTAACCCCTGACACTGCTCAATAAAGAATTGGCAAATGTCTAATGGAGAGTACCAGAGACTGTCAGGCTGACTTCCCCATGCCTCTTTATTTTCCATGATCTTGGTCCCCCAAGCCCTTGATTTCCTCTTGGCCTGAACTCCAGTGTTTGTCTTCCAAGCCTCATGATATTTTCAGAAGCTCTGCTGGCTCCCCTGCCCTTTGGCAGCTGTCTGCCTGGCTTCTCACACTACCACTCATACCGAAAATTAACAAATGCCCCAAGAGGAAGAGAAGTATGGAGAAGTTGAGCTTATCTTAATGACCTGCATTTTTTCCTGGGATCTTCACCCTCACATTTTGGTTACCTACACAATTTCCCAATGCCTACACACAGACTTATATATGTATGTGTATACATACACACACACACACACACACACACACACACATATATATTCTATTTGACTTTCTCAGTTATTTTTGGTGCCAGATTATTCTGCTGCAACTATGTCAATTATAGTCAGAAACAGAAATCCCTTCATATTTGTGTTTTATTCTTCCTGAGTTAAATATAATTCATTATCTCCATTTTACAAATGAGGAAAAAGATTTAATGAAGATAGGTGATTTACCCAAAGTCACATGGTTAGCAAATGGTAGATCTCGAGTCATGGTAGATTTGATTCCAAGCTGAAGCCTTTATACCACACCATAGTGACCTCTGTTCTTTCAGGAAACTGTCATTTGGTGAGTATATTGCTTGAGAGGCAAGAAAAGAATACCTCTCCACTGCCACATGTCTTTTATTGCTAGACCATGACTCTTCTGGTTTGGAACTCAAACTGTGGTAAATAATCATAATATTAATATATTCTCTACAGATTTAATCAATTTAATTTTCATGTCCATTAAACACTTTCAAAAACAATCCAAACATTTTTCAAATTACCCAACCTTTAGAACTATATATGTATTATAAATAGACTATTTATAACAAATATTAATGTATAATTTTAGTTAATTTTAAATAGCAAAAATGAATGTTTATTGATTACTTACGAGGTCTCAAATACTTTATATACAGTATTTTCTGCATAGGATATATATTTTTATTCTCATTTTATAAAATGGTAGCCCAACTTTAGGAACATTTTATAAACTTGCCTAAGAATGTACACATGATGTACATTCTTGTGGATCCAAACACCAGCCTAATCCAGAACCCATGTATTTAAATATTATGCATTGCTATCCACACATATGCAAGGTAAAATAATCTTATTTTTTTCTTTTAAGTGTTAATGTCTATTGATTTCCTATGGTTATTAATAGAGGAAAGCATTTATATAGCTGAATCAATTGAGTGTGTATCTATTATAGTTTCTGTGGTAGATACACAAAAGTCACAGAAACTTCCAATTTAACTGATAAGAAAAAACATGAACATAAGAAATATCCCACTGCAAAGTGTCATTAAAGTGTTGAGTGACACAGATAAGAAATTCAGAAATTTAGAGGACAGCAGAGGAGCTGCTGGCAGTGACTGCCTGGAGAGGGATGACTCTTGGTTGTGTGTCTTGAAGGGCTGAGCCTCGATTAGAGACAATAAGGGGCAAAGGGCCCCAGACACAGAGCCCCAGGGACACCGGGACTTTAGGGGTGACAATGTGCATGGTGTGTCTTGGCGTCAATGCACAGGCATCAAATGTCTCTTATTTGGTCTCCCATAACTGAGATTTATACCTTTTAAGAGATTAACCCGTTATCCTTTGTACATTTTAAAGAGAAAACTAAGGATGATTCCTGCAGTGCAATTTGATTAGGAAACCATCTCCTAAATATTGCTCTTCTCACTGGTCTTCATTATTCTTATCCATTCCTTTGTTTGAGTCCTCGATAGCTCTAATAAATGCCAATTCTCTTTGAAATGGATATGCCTGGATATATTATCATATATTAACAGCTTATTTTAAGCTAATCAATATATTCCCTTTGTACATTGTTTGAAATAATAGGTTATGCACTGGGTATAGAAAGAAAGGAGAAGGAATCCTATGAGAGACTAAATGGCCAGACCACATGTGACAATAGACCTCTGACCTTCAACCTCCACAGGAATCAGCCCAGAACATCCAGATTTGGTCGATGAATGATAGCTGGTCTACTCCTTGCCATCACTCCTAACTCAGGACCAACTGAGAAAGCCAAATATACTCCTCAAACCAATCACATAAGACACCTACCTCCAGCTTCCCTATGCTGACAACCTCCAATCAGAGCTTAATAATGTCTTCCCCCTTTTTCACTATAAAACTCCATCAGCCTTTGAGTCTCTGTAAAGCACAAGAGAAGGTGACTGACTCTCTTAGCTCTACCACAATCTGAAGGAAATGCCTCTGTTCTGGTTAGGGTGGTCTTAGTTTATCTCTGCACATGCTCACAGAGGTTAAACAAAATGTGTATTGAGTACTTTCCAGTGCCAAGTACTCTGTGTTGTGCTAGAGTCTGGAGTAGCAGTGAGGTTGGAATAAGATAGGACACCTGCCCTCACAGAGCTTACAGTCTGGTAGAGGAGGCAGACTGTTAAAAAAAAAAGTTAATATCAACCAGATGAATGAAATAACATAATATAATTATGTATTTCCAATTGCGTCCATTAGAGTAGAAGGGAAGTAGCTTCTTAGGCTGGTTGGGGAAGATCTCCCCAAAATAAAATTTAAGCTAAAACTTGATAAAGAGTAAGGGAGAGCCCGCCCGAAGAGAGCTGGTGAAGCAAAGAGGTGAGGGCAAGTAGGATGGTGAGGGCAAGTAGGGGGTGAGGGGGACTCCAGATGTGAGGGGGGATTTTGAAGCAAGTATTGTTTCATTGAACAGATGGGAAAAGTAAGGCTCAGAGTGACTGAGTTGCCCAGGGTTTCACAGCTTGCAACGGGCTTTCAGAGGGTCTGATCCTACTTGTTGTTGTCCTCTAGGGATCCTGGAATGAGCCGTCCTGAGTGTGGGTTAATGACTAGATTGTCACTACTGAAGAGGCTTCTTAACAGCCAGACAGTTCAAGAACACTGAATGCCCAAGGGAAGGGAAGGCAAGGGCTCTTAAAAAAGCAGAGAAAAGTGGTGAAAGAGGGATAAAGGGAAACTGCAGGCAAGTAACACAGACTTCACAATTTTGCCTGAGGGCAGCTTTGAATGAATGAGTGAGGAGAGAAGAAGAAGGATTGATGGGGAACAGCCTCTGAACTTGAAGGGTAGAAAGGTTGGACTGAAGCATTTTTGGTTTGACAAGTCTTAAAAATAAGATAACATTTAAAAAACCCATGTGTTGTTAAGAATAAGGGAGCAGTGAAAGAATTATTTTTTAATGGGTTAAATTATACCTGAAGCCTGTACTATGAATAGCTATGCTCTTTCTGATATCATTATTTAATGCAAACAAGATTATTTTAATGACATTTTACAAATGGAGACTGTTTTGAGCAAG
This sequence comes from Homo sapiens, assembly GCF_000001405.40. Taxonomy (NCBI): domain Eukaryota; kingdom Metazoa; phylum Chordata; class Mammalia; order Primates; family Hominidae; genus Homo; species Homo sapiens. Next base: position 220,956,182 of record NC_000002.12, on the reverse strand, counting down.
TTTCAGCAAAAGATTCTGAAATAGAATCACAGCTTTTCCTTCTTTTAGGAGCCAAGATGGCATCCCTGTTGGTCTCAGAGCTGTGAGGAACACACCCAGGGAAGAACCACAGCATTCTGAAAAGATGATTGCTCATAGATAACTGCCAACTTGTCTTTTGGGAACGTCAATGCCATTAGAGATATTTAGGGCTGTTTAAGTGCTGAGAGAATCCATTAAGGGAGAAAACAAAAGCCTTCTTAGGGCCCTGGTAGATTCCCTGGAATGTCTAGTCTCCAGGACCCTAGGCAGCAGACAGCCCTGACACTCTATTTAGGGATCTTGCTATTTTTAATTTTCCTTAGTTGGTTCCTGGGACTTAACTCCATATCATTTATTTAACTTTTATCCTGTTCTTCTTCTACACCTGAGGTTAAAAAAAATAAAAATGACATATATAAACTCTCTGTCTCTCTGTCTCTTCTCCCTGAGTGCCATGTCTGTGACAAATCCACACTATGAGAATTTCTTTGTTGTCCAGTAAGAACCTGCTCCTGCAGCCCTTTTCATCAGCCCAATGTCAACACTGTCTCTTTGATGCAGTGGCCCCAGTCCCTAAAAACCTCCTTCTTTGAGACTCTACACCAAGATGACAATAGCATTTAGACCATGCTGAAATGACCACAGCAGTATTGATAAGATGCTGGAGTTAGCAGACTCTTCTGGTACTGATTTTGTTGGTGGTGGTTGTGGTATTGTTGTTTTGCAAAAAGCTGTAATAGTTGTTGCAACTATTACTTCTCAGTAATTTGGCGATGATTCACTGATCTCAGATTTTCAGTGACTGCAATGCCTCTTTAAGATTATAAACATGAGGTGAGACCTACTGTCTCCTAAACCTGTTCAAGCATCCCTGCAAAGGAGCAGAAGGAAAAGTGTGCCTCCCCTTCTCGGCTCAAATAGGATAAGCATCAGCTGTCACCGTGGCTCTCAGAAGTGTTGCTTGATGCAATTGAGGAGTTTTGGAGACAAGCTTCAGGGTCCCATCACCCCACAGATAAAGAATATACACAGGAGAGACATTTTTTCTAATGTGTTGTCATATGGGCCAGAGTGCACTTTCAAACTCTTGGAGTGTGGGTGTGGTGGAAGGAGTGGTGCTTGAAAGAGACATGAGCGCATCTTTTGTGTGTGGAGTATGGCAGCTTTTTATGTTGCTGTACCTTATCTTACATGAAGAGAGGCAGAAATGGAATGCTGACAAAATCAATTATCATAATACCTGCGTACAAGTTTATTCATGAGAGCTGTTTACTTCTAGCCAAGTCCCTTAGCATTATATAATAATACTATTACCTTTATTCAAAGTTTATTGTAAGGATAAAATTCAAGAAAAAAATTTATAAGTACTTGGAAATATCAACTCTACACAATGCTAAATGTTGTTTGGTATGAACCATGTGTGAGTGACTCTGGACATTTCTCATAGAGGGTCAGGAGAAGTGGCCAAAATATGGTTTATTTGGAATTTAGAAATAGATTTAGAGAGGCATACAAGAAATAATGCAACTTTTAGAAGTATCAAAACCCAAGTCCTATCTTCAACCCTGAAAGTGCTGGCCTCCTTCTGTCTTTGGTGAAAGGCTGTACAATAAGCATATACAGCCATTTTCTAGACTGGGAACTCTAGATTCTATGAGTTAAACATTTGGCCAAGTTCAAAAAAATCACATATTGTCTGTCTACATATGAGGTGAGATTGGACAAAATTGGTAGCTGAATTGTAGACTTTCTGGAGTTTCTTCTGAGAGTCATATAACAAGTCAGTCTATTTGCTTTGTGTTTTTTCCTAAAGAATCAAAATGATTTGCTCTTCTGACCACAGCGATTTGACCCCATTCCCATACACAGCAGCACATAACTTTCTTAGTAGCACATAACTTTCTCCAGAGTTCAAATCTTAAGCCCTCTTTACACTCCACCATAGGGTTCTAATGTAGTCATGCTGGAGGAGACATCTATTGTTTTTACCATGCCAGAATTCCTTCCTCCTTCTCTGGTAACGAAACCTCTCCTTTTTCCTTTCGTAAACTGCCCTTTCACTTCCCAGTGAGGCTGTCAATCATGGTCTCATAGGTAGCTAATAATAGTATGCCAGGCCCCAGAATGCATTGATTGGTTCAGCGTAGGCATGTGACCTGAGTAAGGCCAAATGTATGCCAGGCCCCAGAATGCATTGATTGGTTCAGCGTAGGCATGTGACCTGAGTAAGGCCAATGGGCATCTTTTGAAATAATCATTTTGGATGCTCAAACAGGGAGATGTTCTCTCCCTCTGGCATGTGAGCTTGGAGGTATTTGAGTTTATTTTTTCCACCACATGGAGGGAGCCTGCTTTGACAATAAATACAGATCATAAAAAATGAGATAATAGGGAGAATAAGAGAGGAGGAGAAGTAGGAGTAGGAGGATGAGAAGGAGGAGGTTCTAATCGCATGTTTTGTACTACTGAATCAGCCAAACTTGAAAACACCTATCTATCTATCTATCTATCTATCTATCTATCTATCTATCCATCTGTCCCGTCTGTCTGTCTATGCGTCTGTACTAGTATGTTTTCATGCTGCTGATAAAGACATACCTGAAACTGGGCAATTTACAAAAGAAAGAGGTTTAATGGACTTATAGTTCCATATGGCTGGGGAGGCCTCACAATCATGGCAGAAGGCAAGGGGGAGCAAGTCACATCTTACATGGATGGCAGCAGACAAAGAGAGATCTTGTGCAGAGAAACTCCCGTTTTTAAAACCATCAGATCTCATGAGACTCATTTACTAGCATGAGAACAGCACAGGAAAGACCTAGCCCCATAATTCAATCACCTCCCACTGGGTTCCTCCTATGACACATGGGACTAGTGGGAGTTTCAATTCAAGATGAGATTTGGGTGGGGACACAGCCAAACCATTTCACCATCCATCCATCTATTTTTCTTTCTTTCTATCTATTTTTAGGGTAGTTTGAGTTGGATTTTATTAATGTAATCAAAACTCTCCCAACTAATATATATGCCCAACATAACAGACAAATACATGTGTTTATTCTCAGTGAAAAATGTGTGATATAATATTAAATACTATAACACCCAATGCATACATAGTAGGTACTCAATAAAGACATATTAAATAAATACATAAAGCCTAGTCAGTGCAGAGAGGATTGTTATAAGTTTCTTCTCAGTCCAGGGATAGGACTGAGAAAGGCAATCCTCTGAAATGGAAATTACTAAAAGCCCGCCAATTATGTATAAAATATAATGTACACTTAGGTGTGTTTTCAAAGTGCAGCTGATGAGACTAGGTCATCTACTGAATCCAATTAAGAAGACGCGGTGTTTTGCAAAAAGCTGTTAGCAGCTCAACTGGATTGTAACATGATGGAAAGAGCGACTGCCTCGCTACAGCAGAAGGGCAGTGAGCTAAATAAAATGAACCAACAGTAGGAAGTGCTAATGTGTTTCCATACACTGTAATGCTGGAAAGAGTAATTCAACTGGTGTTGTCAGGAATGCAGGTATATCTCCAAATCCCTCTACCCTATTTCTATACTTAAAAGAAACCTTTGACAGATGTATGAGTTTAATCAGGGCCAGCTTCATGAGCATGTAACCTACTCAGTTGGACAAGGCCCCCTCTCGTAGAATGGCCTTGTGCTTGGTTTAATACTCTACCATCACTACCTTGAAATTCCTGATCATTTTGAACAGAGGGCTGAATATTTTCATTTTGCACTGGGCTCTACCAATAACGTAGCTGGCCCAGAGTCTAATTTGTGCTTATGTTTCTTGTTGGAAATTAATAAATGGGGATTTCGCACTATCAATCCATCTTCTATGAGTTTGCTTAATTAAAGACGGTTTACCACCAAACATGAAAAATCGCAAGGTATGTTTATACAGTCAAGTTCCTGAGCATCTAGAACTGAAAATCAGAACTCAGACTGTGGCAGCTTTATGGACAGTCACTACTTAGAAAGCCCTAAAGAAAGAAGCTAAACCTTTAATATCTATTCTGCCTCCGAAGTAAAGTGTAAATATATGTACCACCAGTTTATGATGAATAGAAAGATAAAAATGATCCCTTCCAAAAGGCAAAACTATAACAAAAAGATATGTCATTCTCCATAGCTATATATCATTTTGTAATTTTAGATTTTGTAAATACAGCCTATGTCTTAGATCTTTAGATTATTTTTAGATTACTCACAATCCACACACACACACACAAAGCTCTCCTAAGAAGAAGCATCAGGAAACCTAACCTTTATAGAGACTATTGTGATTTCCTCTTAGAAAGTGAACTCACTTACATAGAATCTACATCATAAAAATATTTTGACTCAAAACCAATTAGGTTTTTAATGGCTATCTTCTCCGTAGTTTTGTTCAGTACAAAAAGAAAATCACTACTTTTTAGTTCAAGAGAAGACCCTGACAACCAACTATAACGTCAACTATTCAAATGCATTTTTAAAGACGTTTATGCATTATTCAGTAAGCTACCTTGAATCAAACGTATAAAAGCCCACAAAACAAAAAAATATAATATATAACCAATATTATCACCAGATGGTAGACTTTATTTGTTATCCTGATTCCATTTTACATTTAGAAAATAAACATCGACATGAATATTTAATAGATTTGCTGTAACCGAGGCAAAAGGCCAATATTATTATTATAGGAATGTAAGGCTCAGGACTACTTATCTTTAATGGTGCTATTGTTTTTATATTGCCACATGCCTTTTTTCATTGGAATGGACTAAAATGCCAGCAGATAGTTGCCTAATGATTCTAAGAAGCAACTATGTAACTTTTCTATAACACTGATCTTAAGGTCAATACATTTGTTCATAAACTAGATTCCCACATTTTGTGGCTTCCTTGGTCATCCTGCAAATTGTTCATTCCTTGGAAGGAATTAATGAGCTCACATAGGAAAATATTGTATCTTAAGATTTTGAAAGGCGAATACAAGCTAAGAAAAAGGATATGCAACAGAAGATTTCTCTCAGTTCTCCTTTTAGTAGTCCACTTATGTGGCCTTATAATTTAAAAATTACTGATGAAAATTTATTTACTGAGAATGTTTTAAAAGAAGGTGTCAGTGTGTTTCAAAGAGCTTTGGAAATGCATATTTCCTGTAAGCAGAAAAATGGACTCCTGTGTCAAGATTTGTTTACCTGTGTTCTTTTTTGCATTTTAAAGGATAACTTATTGTAAAAGGCCCAGCTATCTTGAGGTGCTCATAAGAAAAGAAGGTTTCTGGGCCAGCTGTGATGGCTCACGCCTGTAATCCCAGCACTTTGGGAGGCCAAGGCAGGTGGATCTCCTAAGGTCAGGAGTTTGAGACCAGCCTGGCCAACATGGTGAGACCCGGTCTCTACTAAAAATACAAACATTAGCTGGGTGTGGTGGCAGACACCTGTAATCTCAGCTACTCTGGAGGCTGAGGCAGAAGAATAGCTTTAACCCGGGAGGCAGAGGTTGCAGTGAGTCAAGATCACTCCACTGCACTCTAGCCTGGGCAACAGAGTGAGACTCTGTCTCAACAAAGAAAAGAAGACTTCAGTAGAGGATGAAGCCGTTTCTGCCATAAATTTCTAGTCCATTCGAATCCTAGAGATTTTGCTTTCTAGGGGTTACTTAAGGGAAGCAAAGGAAACTTTAACCTGGCATAGATTTTCCAGCTTGTTTTATTGGCTGTCATTGTAGGATTTAAGGGGCATTTAAAAAAATGTGCTTCTATTTAAGAGAATATAATCATCTCTTAATTCAATCAAGGCACATTCATTAAGTTCTTGCCCCAATGGGTGCCAGTGCTAATGGGGGAGAAAAAACCTACACTGTTGGCCAGGGTGGTTAAATGCAAAAATCATCTTGGAGACATATGGCTTCAACATGCTTTCTGAAGCTCATGCTCATCCAAAGCATGCGTGTGACATTGTGTTCTGCAGAAACTGTAAGGACAAAGTAGAATGAGCAGTTTTCTCCTTTGTAATGGGAGAATATAAATAATTATAGAGTTATTATAAAGATAAGATTAGTTTTAAACAACACAGTAGGCACATGATCCAATAAATTTAGGACACATTTATTTGTGTTGCTAAAAATGTAAATATACATAAAGACTTTTACACATACCAATCAACGTAAAATATTAGGACAATTCTCAATAGCGGTATACTACAAGTGACATAAATTTTGGAGATACCTGTAATTGAAGCTCACCAGAATTTTAGTCCTGCTGGTTCAATCCATGATCTTGAGAACTCAATGATTAAAGAGCAACAAGTAGATTTTCAAAACTGAGAGGGCCAAGCTTTGTTTGGATTTAACCCTGATTCCATTCCTCACTTGGCCTCACAAGTTAAAAAAAAAAAAAATGTTTTTCACTTGCTAATTCCCAGGACATGGTAAATTCTCTGCAGCACACTCAGGAAGAGAGGAATCCACTTACATTTATCACCTACTAGCAGACCCTGACACAGGCTTTATGTAGAAACACATGCAACCCGAGCCAGGCTATAATATTAGCAACTGTAAACCACTCAAGCAGTAGAGCAGCTGAGGAGTAATTAGTGAAATGAATTAAATCCTGACCGTATAATTAACTACAGACTAATTCTACATCTTGTTCATTTTTTGACACTGACTTTCTTCTTTCCTCTGTGACGTTTACTTTGATAAACCTAGGGTGCTCTAATTTCTCCCTTCATTTTGGACAATTAGTTACTTAACTGTATTTTAATTCAGACATGTATGAGTGCTGATCATATTCCAGGCACCTCTTGCGATCTGTCTGTTAGAATAGTTGCTCCTCAAGTGCAGGCTCTGTTTCCATTCATCTTTGTGTTGAAGGTGCCTGTTCGGTTGTTAGATGACCACTAACTTGTGTAAACATTCCTAAGTGCATCTTGGATTTTGCATGCATTATGTAATTTGATAGGATGGCTAAGGAACTCCTCCATTTTGAGGCTAGACCACACTTCTTTCTAGTCACTCGGCTCCATTGAGGGAGGTCTATCGTTGTCCTTCTTTGTCAATCAAAAGCCTAAACTACCAATGATATGAGCTTTGTCCTTACAGAAATGTTGTCAATGGACACATTTGACTGGAGAATTCCAGAGGGGTGATGGCCATACTTTGACGTGAAAGGTACAGTGGTTAACTGAGCAATGATTATAGGCCAGAGCTGTGCAGTGAACAGATTGCACAAACAAATCGTAAATGTGTACTCTTCATTAACCCAGGCCCTCGACTGCAGAGGTACAGAGATCTTCAAGAGCTCCTCTCCAAATTCAAAAAGATTAGAGCAAAGCAAATCATCCTAAGGAAGGAGGCTAGTGGAAAGGTGGATTTAAGTAACTGCTGCTCCCAAGAACCTTTGTCATGCGAATGACCACCTCCCTTCTCTATTTCCGTTTCCATCCCTCTCTCCTTTTTGGTCACATGTACTCATCCAGGCATCCTAAACTTCTCAAATAAATGTTACTTTACAACCAAATCTTTCCTAAGTGGGTAGAGATGATCTTGGGATGGAAATCAGTTAAGAAATGCTAGATATTATATTAAAACAAAGAAGAGGATGCTAGATCAAACCAAGTAAGGCAGTTGGGGGCACAGGTTTTCTTTTAGTCTGGTGAGAAACTTATTTGTATGAAGATGATCAGAATGATGCTATTTTCCAGGGGGTGGAAAATAAATATGGTAACTTCAGACAGCATGATTAAAATATTAATAGACCTTTTCTATTAAACTTATTTTAAAGTTAATTGATCCTCTACGTCTTGGGATTATATGGACTATGAAAGATAAAACACATTATAAGCTGATTTTAATAGCTTATAATTATCATTTGGAGTTTATCATTAAATTTGGAGAAGCTGAAATACTGTTAATCATATCAATAATAGTTCAATAACTGCTTTGTACTAAGAGGACAAATGGCACATCTGAGGAGGGTTTGAATGAGAAAGTAATTATGCTATAAGTGACTACTTTTAGAAGAGAATCCTATTACTCTCTTTAATAGAGGAAACCAAGTCAATCTTTCTAAAGCAACATTCAAGGGGAAAACATATATGTTATCTCCTATGTGATAATGATGCATTGGATAATTGGATCTCATGTAATAATAAGAGATAGTAATTTCCCTGGGGCAATGATGTACTTAAAATAGGTCAAAGATATGAGTAACAGAAGAGGCAGTTACAAAAATTCAGAGTCAGCTTAGAGACTGTTTGAAAACAATTTCTATCTCAGGAGACAGTTTTGTTTTCATTAATAGCCAAATAGTCCTAAACAGATGAACGAAGAATGAAGCCAGATAAATGTATGAGGATTTAAACAAGGATACCAAAATCTTATCTACATGCCACCGAGTACATCAGCTGGACAGAACAATGCAATCAGCAGAAGATGTGGTCTAATGGCTAATTTGTATTCTCTTGGCTTAAGAGAAACTAATTTTTCATCTGCAAACCAACTTTGCACTTGGTATCGTTCTAAGGCAATTGACTCTGTCCTGCTGACCACAGCTTTGACATAATTCCTGTTCACTTCTGAACCACTAAGTCCTCTGAGTCTTATCCCCAATCACATAGTCAATGTTAGCATTTATGCATAGCTATGAGAAAATGCTGAGAAATGATTTTGTTGTGTAGATATTACCAAAAAGAACTAAACATTAAAATGTTGTTTCATTCATGTCTTCTTGCTTTTGTTTCTAATTTTATTCTCTCCTGCATATAACTTATTGTATATTGACTACACTGGTTATCTTATATTTCCTGTTTCTTGGTTGGAGGTATCAGGATCTAATATAAGATCATGCATAAGGTCTGAATTCATCCAGATGCTCCACATTTAAACTTTCTAAAACAAAGATTATTCCTGTTCTTTCTGCCAATTCTCTTACCTCATGTCCCCATCACTACTTTTCTGTCTTAAACTGAAATCTTCCCTTATTTTTCACATAGGAAGACTGTGATGTAAATGAGGACATGATATAAAAATAGAGATTCAGCTGTGCATCGTGGCTCATGTCTGTAATCCCAGCACTTTGGAAGAATGAAGTGAGAGAATCACTTAAGGCCAGAAGTTCGAGACCAGCCTGGGCAACATAGCGAGACCCCATCTCTACAAAAAGTTTTTAAAAAATTAGCTGGGCATGGTGGCACATGCCTGTAGTCCCAGCTACTCAAAAGGCTGAAGAAGATCACTTGAGCCCAGGAATTTGAGACTGCAGGGAGCTGTGATTAAGCCACTGCACTCCAGCCTGCATGACAGAGCATGACTCTGTCTCATTAAAAAAAAAAAAAAAAAAAAAAACCACAAAACTAGATTCCAATAACAAAGACCTAATTATTTGTCTTTGCACCCTTTAAGGAAAACTAGAGGCCAAAGCTAGAGAAGCATCCACTAAGAACATGAAGCTGTTGATAAGCACATTCCTGATTGCAGATTAAGCCTTTGGCCATTTATTATCTGCACCCACTCCAAGTTTATATATTGAGTCACTGTAAAAGTGTCTTTCGGGCTACATATATGACTATGTGCCACATTACACATAGTTCTGACTCCATGGTCAGAAAAGTTGCTTTAAATTATATGAGGCTGGGCCGGGTGCGGTGGTTCACGCCTGTAATCCCAGCACTTTGGGAGGCTGAGGCGGGCAGATCATGAGGTCAGGAGATCCAGACCATCCTAGCTAACACAGTGAAACCCCGTCTCTACTAAAAATACAAAAAATTAGCCAGGCATGGTGGTGGGCACCTGTAGTCCCAGCTACTCAGGAGGCTGAGGCAGGAGAATGGCGTGAACCCAGGAGGGGGGGCTTGCAGTGAGTCTAGACTGCACCACTGCACTCCAGCCTGGGTGACAGAACGAGATTCTGTCTCAAAAAAAAAAAAAAAAATATATATATATATATATATATATGGCTGGATTCACTGGTTTGCTTTAAGTATAAGTGAGACAAAATTATGTCCTCCATGGCTTACTAATGTGAGCACCTAAACCTGTGCTCTGGTGGGCATTAGGTCAGCAGGTAGTTACTAAGTCCTGCCCAGTACCTAGAACATCATGGAGGATGTGATCTTGACCGACTCAGAACACTCAGCTGTAAACAATTAAAAAATATTGAGTCTCCATTAAAAATCTTCTGTTTTGTGTCAAAAGTTTCAGGACACCAGGAAGGCTGGATTGATGTGAAAAATGAACAGCAGGGTGAGTTGAGCATGAATTTAATATGCCAGCAGCAATACCATGCTGCAATAGATGTGGTGAATTAAAAAGGGCTTTGAATGAGAAGACAGCATTTGAGTTTGAATCAAGGCTCTGTCTCTCCAGCAGTTATCAATTGACCTTGGGCAACAATATGGTGCTTGGTTTTCACACCAACACACAGAGGAAGGTAGATTAAACATTCCCAGTTTACACTAACCCCTGAATGGGGGGTCAGGGAGGCAAGATGGAAAGAAGAAACAAAAAATTGAGTGACTCTGTGAAAGGAGAGGTTTACTGAGGAATCAATAGGATAATCTTAGAATAAAAGATCATGAATAGCATTGTTGAGATACTGAGATGAAATGATAGTGCCAGGTAGGTACTAAATAATCAAAAAATCTTAAGTAAGGGAATAACATGGTACTAGTATTGTTATAAGGAGATGTGAACCATGAATTCAGAAAGAAATTAAATAGAGTAGAAACAGGAGGATTTTTCAGTAACTCAATGTACTATTCTGTACTATTATAATAACAGCAAACGTATTAATTTCTTACTTTAAGTATTTTATATGCATTATATCTTTTAAGAAGCCAGTGTAAGAGACGGCTCAGCAGAAAATAAATAAATGAATAAATCAGTAGGTCTTACTTGATCATACAGAAGCTAATGTAAAAATGAGTCAATCACAATACAAAGTTTTGAGTCTGAGTACACCAGAATGATGATACTATTAAGTTCAGGGTCACCAGTCAGTTTGGGGAAAAAGATGTGGTGATAACTTTTAGCCAAGTTGAATTTGAGAGAATTTCTCTAAAGGAATATAAAAACTGGACTAGCAATTTCTGATCTATGCTTCAGAGAAGAGGCCATTTATGCCCTGAAAGCACATGAAATTTCCAAAGGAATAGAAACAGAGACAGAGCAACCTGACCAATGGGCTTGGTCTTAGGCAGAAGATGATCACAGATCAGCGAAGTGAAACCAAAGGAACAAAAAAATAGTGGGAAGGCAGTGAATGGTTATGAAAACCAAGAGAACGGAGAATTACAAAAAGATTGAGGAGAATGGACTGGGAAAGAGATCAGTAGGAAAAATTGCTGGAGAGTTCAAGGAGGGTTGCTTGAGTCTACACCAAAACTGCAGAATTTAGCCAGAAAGTCTAAATTAAAACTTTCCTTTACATTCACCAAGGTACTGACAATGGACATTGAACTTCAGTAGTATGCAAATTGGGGTTGTATCTTCATACTGCTCAATGAAACAGGTAAAATTGCTCCAGAACACTTTGTAGCTTAAAATCTTTCAAGAGAGAAATGAAACCTATTTCTGTTACATAGAATTAGAAATATGGAACAGATTCTGGTGATCTGGTGACTGCTCCAACTGCTAACCCCCAGCCCCACACTCCATCCCTCTTTCTGGCTGGCTGTGCTCTAAAGTTATCTTGGTTTCCATCTTCCTCTGCTTAAACTATTTGGTTTTATTAGGAAGTTGTTACCACTTGCAGGCCCTCGGGAATTTTTCTAACCCACTCATGGTGGCCCTACACACTTCTAGCCAGGAAGACATAAAAGGAAGTCTGCTAGGAACCTTCCAGGAAAGCTTTTCCTGACTAATAAAAAGAAACACAAGGAACAATCTGACTTTGTCCTTCTCAGACCTGGATGGGGTGCCAGGAGCTACTGCATCTATCTTATCACCATGAGGAAAGTAGCTTCTGTGGCTGAATGGCAAACCAGAGAGGTAGAAGGAACCTGGATCCAGGACACCAGGATTGAGCCAGTCACCAAACCATGCCTTATCTCTGGGATTCTTCTTTTTTTTAAGCTGTTGAAGCTCTCTGTTACTTGTAGCTGAATGCAGTATATTATAAAAACAAGATTACTTCTTGGCATTTTCTCTCTCATTCTTAATTTTCTATTATTACGTTTTATTCAGCTTTTTGTATTTTATTCCAGTGGAATTCTTTTTATAGAAGATAAAACTACTCTATACAAGTCCAAATTCTAACTCCTAATTTTGTAATTATTCTTACAATTGAATGCTTAGCTGATGACATTGGTTGGTGGCAGGTGAGAGGTAAGGAGAGTACATGAATAAAGGAATAGTTTATTATTCCCCAATTTTCCTCTCTATTGTCATGGAAGAAATTTGAAAGGTACTGTGTATAGCATTATTTCAGGGGAATTACAATAAAACCCAAAATCTTTTTTTTTGAGACGGAGTCTCGCTCTGTCACCCAGGCTGGAGTGCAATGGCATGAACTCGGCTAACTGCAATCTCCATCTCCTCCGTTCAAGCAATTCTCTGCCTCCGCCTCCTGAACAGCTGGGATTACAGGCACCCGCCACCCACCACGTCCGGCTAATTTTTCATATTTTTAGTAGAGAGAGGTTTTCACCATCTTGGCCAGGCTGGTCTTGAACTCCTGACCTCATGATCCGCCTGTCTCTGCCTCCCAAAGTGCTGGGATTACAAGCGTGAGCCACTGCACCCAGCCAAAACCCCAAATCTTTATATAAATTTCTCAAGCCTTTGTTTTGGGCTCCCATTTTATGGCTTTTTTTTTTTTTCAGGCATGGCACTTTCGTTACCATGTACAAGCAAAGCCCCATTGTTTAATATAGCTCTCTAATGAGAAAGAATAAGACTATGTATTGGGAAAGAAAATTGTACATTTTTATGTGGAAGTTTATAGACTATTACTTCTAATTGAAAATTTGAAGTTCACCTTTACAGTTAAGGTGAAAGCAGAAAATCACACATTATGTCCCTCTCTGACATAACAGACTCAAGTAGAGAATTAGGCTTTGACAAAGTGTAGCACTTACATATCAAAAGAAACATAGAGTTGGCATTGTCCTCAAAGGTTAAATTTGAGTGAAGTCCAGTGTCTATAAAGAGGACATCTGCTGAAGGAAAGGGCTTATAATTCTTGGATTTTTTTTTTTTTTTTGGCCGAAATGGAAGTTGAAGAGGAACAACTATGAAACAGCTTGCCCAGGTAATGGGGTACTGGGTTCAGGAACCCATTTTGGTGATCATAGTTTTCCCAAACTAAGAACTTTGCTGTGCAATCCAAGAGGATGCTTCAGAGCAGACCTGAAGTGTTTCTTTAAAAAATTTTAACAACTACCTCGGATAAGAGTTATGGTAATTGAGCTTTATACAACAATATTATATTTAAGAGTACTCTGAAATCTGCTGTTTCAATGCTATTAATTTACCCCATGAATTCTCAATAGGGGCAATACTGCCCCCAAGGAAGTGAAAACCAGTTATTGGGAGGGGAAGCATGAAAATATTAGTTATTACATAAAATATAGAAAGTTTATCTGTGGTATCAAAATTTGATGGGAAAGGAATTAGGAAAAAAATCTTCAAACACTGTGAGAAGATAACGATGAATTTTAAAATTTAGTCTATCCAAGGGTTTATTTACTGTGTAAAGGAAAAAAATCAAACCTGCTACTAAGTGGTCCATCAGAAGCCTCCAGAAGCCCCTCAGTGACACAGGACATATCATATAGAGTCTGCATTGGCAGAAACTTGCAACTATGTATCAAACATGTAAGCCTCCTGAAACTTTTTGACAGTGGATGTGAATCGGACTTTTCCCATTGTTTCAGAATTGCAGCTCAAGCTGTAAGGCAGGGATCCCCAACCCCTGGCCAGTGGACTGGTACCTATCTGTGACCTGTAAGGAACCAGGCAGCACAGCAGGAGGTGAGCATTACTCCCTGAGCTCTACCTCCTGGCAGATCAGTGGTGGCATTAGATTCTCACAGGAGTACGAGCCCTACTGTCAACTGCATGTGCGAGGGATCTAGGTTGCACACTCCTTATGAGAATCTAATGCCTGATGATCTGAAGTGGAACAGTTTCATCCTGAAACCATCCTCTACCCTCACCCACCATCTGTAGAAAAATTGTCTTCCATGAAACCAGTCTCTGGTGCCAAAAAGCTTGGGACTGCTGGTGTAAGGTTAAAAATAACACTGCCAGTGCCTCCTAAGCCTATCCTGGGCCTCTGACGATGTGATCAGCCAGCTCTGCTACATCCTCTTTCCTTCCAACACTTACATAATCAGAAGATACAGGGGAGAGAGGGAATTTCAAAACAGTTTAATGAGGGCTTGGCCTAGGAGGAAAGGTCAGGATTTTCCTCAGATGGGAGCAAGAGGAAGCTCCCAGGAAGATGGGATGAGGAATATCTGTAGCTGGAAGAAGCTGACATCTCAATTCCTGGTTGTAGTCCAGCTTGGGAAGCCAGCTTGTCTCCTTTTTGTCTATTTGAGCAGGTGGAAAAGGAAGTAGAAAGAGAGAAAATTCCACCATGAAACCTTCTAGACTCTCACTACTTGGCCTGTTTTACCTGTATCTTCCATCAGTCATTAAGATACTGCGAAATACAGTCAAAGGAATCATAATAACAAGCGATAACAGTGTATCTACAGGAGAGGAAGCTAAGGGGATTTCAAAAGAGGTCAAAACATAGAACATCTCTCCAGCAGAGAACTGGGAAGTAGGAAGATCCCCCCATGTTCCGCTTACTGCCTTACATAGTTCACTTAGGTTCCCTCAAGACAGTAGCTAGGCTACTGTCACACAGAGGCGCATTGATAGCCACAGGAAGACCACAAGATCCACCTAATGAAAAATAGTTTTGTCCTTTTAATCTTCACCTTCCTACTTAACCCTGAGGAGCTTAAAAAAACAGGGGTGGTGGGAAGCAGTAGAAGGGCAAAACACAACCCCTTCCCTCTCCAAGTCCAGGCCTGAGAGGAGGTAAGCTCTAAATTGAACTTGCAATAGAAGTGGTAAGCTGGCCTAAACTGGACCTGCCGCCTTAATACATAGACCTCCCCCAGCAAACGCTGAGCTTTAGAACAATAGCTGTCTACCTGCCCCACCCTTGTCACTCTAGTGAAGCAGGATATTTTCCTGACCCCTTCATGAGACTTGTGACAGGGGTTCCTTGTTTACTCAGCCCTGCAGCTCTCAACGCCTTGCAGGAGGTAGCATAGAAGCGAACAAGGCGGGAACTGGAGTGCCCAAGTGTTGGAACAAGCTGGCTGCTTCGGTGCTGGCAGGGGCAAACTCCAATCACTGGGACCCGCTACATTCCACCCCTCACGGAAGGGAGCACGCAGGTGAGTAGGTGCAGAAGCCGGGTGAGCACTTTGGGGCACTGGCAGGGGCAAAATCCTTGCAAGCCCCAAGGCAGTGTCCACGGGGATGCCTGCGACCCCTGAAGCCCCAGAGGGAGTGTTACAATGCTCTTTTAGCTTGGCCATTCACGGACAGCTTAGGTGTTAACAGCTCAATGGACCCTCTGCCTTTTCACATGAGGTGGCTGCCCTCCGCCAGAAAGGGCAAAGGGCCAGTGGGACAGCTTTGTATCGACACCGCGGCTCCTGAGTTCTTGTCCAGCATCCAGAAAAAATGACGTTGCATGAATGAATTGAAGGATGGTAAATGCGGGGGATTTTTTTGCTGATGAAAGTGGTTCTCAGTGTGAAAGGGAGCCGAAAAAGGGATGGGGTGGGAAGGTAATGTTCCCCTGAAGTCCAGCCATCTCCCGCTGGATTCTTCTCCAAAGTTATGCTGTCAAGCTGTCCCTCTGAAGTCAAGACACTTCTCTCTGACATCCAGCTACAGACCCCAACATCCAGATGCTTCTCCTCTCTGTTGCTCTGGTTCTGCTGGATTCTGGAGTTTTTTTGTTTGTTTTGTTTTGTTTTTTGTTTGTTTGTTTTGACTGAGTCTCGCTCTGTCGCCAGGCTGGAGTGCAGTGGCGCGATCTCAGCTCACTGCAACCTCCGCCTCCCGGGTTCAAGCGATTCCCCTGCTTCAGCTGCCCGAGTAGCTGGGACTGCAGGCCCGCACCACCAGGCTTAATTTTTTGTATTTTAGTAGAGACGGGGTTTCACCACGTTGGCCAGGATGGTCTCCATCTCCTGACCTTGTGATCTGAGGGAGGGGCCATGGGTGGTTTAGGAAAAGGCAGCATTTGAGCGGGAAAACTGGTATATAAGTTCTCACTTTGGGGCGTGGTCTCAGGTTTTTCAGCTTGAGGATGGGGTTTCGCCAGGGACCCGCCCCTGCCTGCCTAGAATTTATCTGCCTCCTGCCCCCATCACTAGCACCCTGCTTAGACTCTTCAATCAACAGACCATTTAGGTAAATCTCATTAAAACTGAGGAACAACTTTGACTTTCTCCGGAAACTTTTAAAGTAAAAAAAAAAAAAAAAAAAAGGGGGTGGGTGGGTGGTTAGAATTTGGTTACTATCCTTCATAGCTGTATAGTTCTTCTTTCAATACACTGGAAACCTTAGCTTAATGTTAAAATCCTTTTCTAAGGATGTTTCCCCATATTGTAAGACTGATTTAAACACAAAGAACCACAGGACTGTTTTCCATATGGCTGGGGGTGTTGTTTTCATTCTTAAGTACTGCTTCACAAACTTTATTGGCCATAAAAATTGCCTAGGAACTTTGGATCTTGTTATAAATATATAGCTTTTAAGAGCATTATGGACTGAATTATGTCCCCCTAAAATGATATGTTGAAGTTTTAACCTGTAATATATATTTGAAGATTGGGCGTTTAGGGAGGTAATTAAGGTTAAATGAGGGAATAAGGGTGAGACCCTAATCCTATGGGACTGGTGTCCCTATAAGAAGAGTAGCAGATGCCATATTTCTCTCTCTGTGCACATGTACAAAGAGGCCACTTGAACATAGACAGAGCTAGAAGGTGGTTGCTTGCAAGACAGGAAGAGAGGCCTCACCAGAAACAGAATCTATAAGCACCTTGATCTTGGAATTCCGGCCTCCAGAACTGTGAAAAAATTAATTTCTATTGTTTAAGGCTTCAGCCTGTGGAATTTTGTTATGGCAACCTGAGCAAACTAAGACAGAGAGGCCTTCCTCTGAAGTCCCGAAATTACTAAGTCTGAGATGGGTCCTAAGTGTTCATCTTGTTTTTGTTTTGTTTTGTTTTGTTTTAAGCTACTGAAATGGTTTTTATGATCTGGCAAATTTGGGAGGCACGAGTTGATGCGATTATTTTTATGAACATTTTAGTGTGTACCTATTTCAGAATTATTTTCTCACTCTTTATGGATGTTTCTCCATTTCAACAAACATTTACGGATTCTTACTTTTCTAGGTAGTGAGAATACAGTGGTGAATAAAAATAAGAGAAGATTCCTCCCTTTCAGAATTTGGCATTCTAATGGAGATAAAGATAATATTGAATAACATACATCTATTATTTAATGTCCAGTAGTGATAAGTGATGTAAAGGAAAAAAAAGACAGATAAAGTGTTCAGAGAGATAGGAGAGGTGGCAGAATGGCTCTTTCTTTGGAAAGCCAAATAAAGCCTGCCTGAGAAAGTTACAATTGACCAAGACTTGGATGAAATAAGAAAGCTGTGTGAAAATACTCAGAGAAGAGCATTTCAGGCAGAGGAAAAAGCAAGTGCAAACTAGTTCTATGTCTCTTAGGAATATGACAAAGGCTAGGATGCCTAAAAATGAGGGAGTGAGGAGGAAGAGAATGGGAGACAATCTTGAAGAAGGAGACAGGGATTGAAAGATCAGGCATTGAAAACACAAGGTAAGAGGCTGGATCGTAATGAGAGCAGTAGAAAGGTGTGGTCTGATTTATTTCTGTGTGGTAATGCTAAGGGAACAAGAGGGAAAACTGCAAACCAGTTAGGAGGCTACTGCAATTAACAGACAGGGTTAACTCCCTAAATATGGAGTTTCAGTGCATTTTAGTGTGATGTAATCAGTAGGAATAACCAGGTCAAAGAAAATTAGGAAACCAGAATCTTGCCTACAATTACTGCGATAATCTTATGTTTATTATCCTACACTTACCATCAAATTTGTAGACTGTTTGTGTTTATTCTTTCTTAGTAAAGACCCTAAATCTATACCTTCTTTTTATGCAAGAAGGTACCTTGGATCTCCCAGCCCTGTCCTCTGACTCTGCCATCAGGACATGCAAACAACTGACTTGCTTTTCATAATGTGTTTTAGTAATGAGAGGAGATCCATGAAGCACTTCCCACACTCAATTCACAATAACTCCTCCAACATTTTCCAGTTGCTTGTTTAGGTGGAGTTAGAAATACCTTCATTTGAATACAATGGAATTGCACCTGTAAGCAATTTACCTATCTCCTGGCAGAACTCACCAACTAGCTCAAACACAAAATTTCCAAATATCCACTTTTAAAGTGTTCCCATCCTCTTCATATGACAAAATGATTTGAAAAATGTGTTATTGTGTTTTAGATTGGGATTTTAAAGTGATTTAATTATAGCCACAGAATGTTGGGTTTTATGTATCCTATCGACAAATCTAAAGCTGTGTTTCTGAATTTAATGTTCTCTAAGGAGGTGTTGAGAGTATACTGGCTGCTCTTTCTTTTGGCAAAATCTTGATACTAGGTACAAATGCTTCCAGTGGTATTTTTGGACCATTCTATTTTTAACCCTAATCCTTTCCTTTGCTGTGGTTATGGCCCTGAGTCCTTAAATTATAGGCTCTCCTGCAGTTTCAAAAAGCTAATTCACACTACTGTGTGCATTAGAAAGGTGGTATATATGATATTCCACTAAGGGAAACCCTAGGAACATTAAACTCCTACTAGTAACTGGTCACGAGTCAGGGCTAGAACTGACACTAGTCATTTTTCTTCACTGACAAGTTTTCATTATGTGGCTTTCCCAGAACAATTTAGAAATTGATCTGCAACTGATGGAAGCTGGGATGAATTGGGCGCATAAGTGAACCCAAAGCATCAGAGCAAAGTCAAAGCGAACATCTGGCTCCAGCTTTGAGTACAAGGTGAGCAACTTCCCTTCTCCCTCCCCTTCCCCCAAACCTCCTTTTGCACAGGCAGCAGGGGCAGATTTTAGTCTCCGCAAAGGAACTTCTTGCTTTGGGGACATCCCTCGGGTCTGTAGAGGTTCTGTAAACTTTTCTTTCATCTTCTGTTTACTTACCTCTTGCCTAAATAGGTCAGGGGTCCACAACCCTGAGAAAACAAGTCCTCACTATGCCTCAACTGACATTAAAGAAAGGGTCTTTTGTTTTGTACAAAACTGTGAAAATCTGGTTGAGAATGGAGAGCATTGATCTGAACTGCTTTGTGTCATTCTGACATTCTTGGGGTCTGTGGGATTACCTACAAGTGTGCAAGGGTGGTGTCCTGCAACCCTGGGAAATGCTTAGGGAACAAGATGCTTCTAAGGCTGTTCTGGGGGATTGAGAGATGTCAGAATATGTTCTCACCCAAGGACAGTGAAGGATGATAATTGAGACACAGGCTGATAGAGTTTAGACAAATAGATTATTTTGTTGTTTATGGTGGCCATAGTGGAGGTGGTGGTGGTGGTGGTGGGGTGTGTGTGTGTGTGTGTGTGTGTGTGTGTTATGGGATGGAGGTAGAGGTGAAGGATAAAGGGGATTGTCTGGAATGAAGAAAGATGGGGCCCTTAAAGAGAAGCCTAGAACAACCATGCAAATAGGAGTTTATTTAAGCCAAAAATAGATTACCTTTTTACTCATTCCCTTCAGTGTTTGTGAGTCAGTACCCCCAAGTTGCCTGGAACTTGGTAAGACGTTCCACGGTGTGTTCCCTCCTCTAACAAGAAAAGTGATGGCAGCAGTTATGTTTTGAACAGCTATCGTGAACGAGACAAAGTGCTAGAGGCTTTTTTGGAATCGTAGCTAGACAGCAACTGTGAACTTTGACTCAGCACAGTCATATTCGTAAGAATTGACTCATAATGTAAATTATGAGATTAGTTGAATTAACAGGGGAGTTTCACTCCCAAATTTTCTTGATTGAAGAGGGTCATCTCCACACACACTAGAAGTATATTGGAAGTGCTTCAAGGTGACCCTGTGCCACAATGGCAGAGCAACAGAGCCCAGCCTTGAGAGCAACCTACTGGACGCTGTCCCACCTCTCAGGCAGCTGCTCGGCCAGTGTCTACCAGTCTCTATTGTGACTGGCCTTAAGTCCACAGCTATGCAAAACTCTGTGCTCCTCAAGACAAGAGTGGGAGGCTGGCAGTGCCTATAAAGAAAGGAGCTGAGACAGATCTGAGAAATGGAGTATTTTGGTGTGAGATCCTCTACTTTATAAACACCGATTTTGAGGCTTATGCTTGTAGTATCCCTATATTTTTTAAATAAATGCTTTTGTCATTTAACAATGAGCCAGTTTAGTATTTTCCATTACAGAGTCCAAAGACAAATTTTCCCACCTGGCTCCAGCAAAGTGATAGTGTATGCAAAGGCAATCATTCTGGTACTTGCTTTGATGGCAATTTTGTTAAGAAATTAAGGGCTAGAGGAGGAACTTTGTTTCCTTGGCCAGTAGGAAGTATAACAGGCCAAGAAAATTAATACAAAAAATAAATTGACTAAGAAGTATATCTTAATTGAGTTTTTAACATATTAAATACCCAGCTAATGTTATTATTACAAATAGTAAAAAATACTTTAAGCCAAAGGCCAATTTTTTTTTTTGTAATTTCTCCTTTCACTTACAAATCATGTTAATGGCAGGCTTGGTTGACAATAACCTTCTTAGTGTGAGATTTGGAAGCAACCGCAGAATCCTCTTTTGGAGATGATAAAGAAGAGATAAAAGGTGAATTGGAAAGATCCTCTCTGAAGGTTGTGTGGACAGAAACCCCAAGTAAATTTCAACTTCAATGGAATATTATGCACATGGTTTCAGCCCAAGTCCTTTCTTTCTTTTGAAGGCCAGGGTTTGGATATGAGTGAGTAAGGTGCCTATAGAACAGTTCCCCAATTTGGGAGGCTGAGACAGGCGGATCACCTGAGGTCAGGAGTTCGAGACCAGCCTGACCAGCATGGAGAAACCCCTTCTCTACTAAAAATACAAAATTAGCCGGGTGTGGTGGTGCATGCCTGTAATCCCAGCTACTTGGGAGCCTGAGGCAGGGGAATCGCTTGAACCCAGGAGGCAGAGGTTGAGGTGAGCCGAGATTGCACCATTGCACTCCAGCCTGGGCAACAAGAGTGAAACTCCATTTCAAAAAAAAAAAAAAGAACAGCTCCCTGTTGACCTAGCTTTAGTGCATGTGACTTACCTGAGGAATGGTGGTCTTAGTTGAACAGGATGCTGCTCAAGAAGGGTTTCCTGGGAGAATGAGTAAATACATGAATGAATCCGATCATCTTTGCCCTTCCAAGAAACAAGCTTTTATAAATGTAAAAGCTGATTTCAATTGTAAAGAGAAGTGATTCATATAACCCAGGTAGGTTAAAGAGTTACACCCACCTCTAGTCATTGGGAGTAAATATGCCCCTTGGAAGATTTGAAAGGCCAAAGAGCTCAACTGGGTTGTCTATCACCCTTAATGACTGATATTAGTCAGGTGATGCCAAGCCCTCTTGTTAGTATTTGTCTAATACTAACAACCTCCAGTAAGTTGTCCTTTCCAAGTTGTCCTTTGCACTTTTCATTTAGTTAGTCTTCAGGGACACTAGACATAACCAAAATAGACCAAAAATAACAATTTTAATGTTATGAATGAAAATGATCAATTTTGTTTTAATTTTGACTGGTTTCTGGTCAATTCCATATTATGGAAGTGGAAATGATTCATCTTCACTATAAAATTGTAGGAGACTACTAAGCAAGTAGTTTAGCTTGTCAGTTTGGGTACCAATACTTGTCCCTTAATTGAAAAAGGGTATGGCTGGTTATTTATATATGAGAAAATAGTATAACATTGTTGCTGAAACCACTTGAACCCCTCCCAAGCATCTATTTGGACTACATCCACGTGGATCAAAACATTTACAAACATTCACAAAGCAAAAAACTACTAAACTGTAAAGTAAGGAAATTCCCCACCACCTTTCTTAGGGCAACATTATCCTTTAATTGAAAAGGAAAACAAATCAGTGTAGTTTACTACATTGTCCAAATTGTCATTGAATAAGATGATAAATGTCAGAGGACTTTGAAAAAATTATATATAAAACTTTCAAAAATGTAGTATGGTTTCATAATTATTAGTAAGTTTCAATTTGATTTGGGGTCCTTTGGAACTGTTTTTATTGTGTACTATTTGAGATCAGATGTCTTGCTGGGTTGTATTTCTAAATTATTAACATTGATTTTTATGCTTAGAGATAATTTGATTATGTGTGCAGTAAGAGAAACATCTAGTTATTGGTCCTGTGTCTACACAGGAGCCAGCAGTCTTCCGGGCAGAGAGTGACCTATGGAGAAATTTGCGAGTGAAACCATAAGGATGTGGGAATCATTTCTAGGTTTTTTGGTTCCTAGTCTTTATTTTCACCTTTGCATAACAAAACAAAACTTCTTCAACTGAAATTAAATCTCTACAGGTGGTGTCTGGAAGCATAGTTTAAGGTCTGTATTTTCACCTTTCAGCCAAATTAATTTTTTTCTAAAATCATGTGTCAGAAATTTTCACATTTTTCTTAGTCTATGAAACTTAAAGGTCTCTAAAACTATTGGTCCACTCACTTATTGCTGCACTGCAATATTAACCAGGTCTTTGATAGGTAAAAAATAATAGAAATTTGACTACATCAGGCAAATGGTACAAATGAAACTCAATTCCAGAACTTTATGTTTGAGCAAAATTTCTTTCACTGCTTTCTAGGGCCACTTCTTCTGCTGGGCTTGGTGTTGAAATGGTTTGCTCAGACCCTCCCTAAATGTCTGCAGAGCCTGGGCTAGAGATGCAAATGGAGACATATACATTAGACATATTTTAAAGTTGCACCTCAACGTAATAAATGATTAAGTAAAACATGTACTAGTTTTCTATCTTGACACAGCCATACCTTCATAATGGTAAAATTTTTAAAATAGGCTTAATTCTGCCATTTTTATATGACTAGAAATTAAGAAAATATTACTCGTTATTCTTAATGATCTAAAAAGGTTGAGGATAATACGTAACTATAACCAAAGTATATCATATCTGCGTGTATCTTAATAAAAAGTGTAAATTAAAATTGAAATTTAACAAAGTTAATTTTTTGTGATTTTCACATTTTTTCTAAAATATTCAAAATATATAAATTGTAATTAACTTTTGTACAGTTTTAAATAAAAGTACTTAAATAAAGTTAACTTTTATCTTATTTTTTGAAAACTATTTAAAACTTATCAAACCTTTCATAGAAATAAAGCTATTACTATACTAGCACTCAGTGTCCATCCAGTGATCCTTGTAAAGAATTTGTATCCTACTTCATTTATGTTCTATCTGAACCTAAATATGTACAAATTTAAGAATAACTGAATTGTTTAATATTGCAAAATATTTCTCAGCCACTGTATCCAACTGTTCTAAGAATTGTGTTAAGTCATGTGTTCTTCCAGAATTATGGATGCAAATACAAAACAGAATCAATAAAATGAGCAGGCCGCACCAGCTGAGAAGGATATCTCATTTTGGGAGAAGTCCTCTACTCCTGCTTTCTGAAAAGATTTGACAAGTTGATGAATTTGTCTTCCCTCCTACCTAAGTGCATCTGCTGCTCAAATAGCCCTTGACTACAAAGCAGTGCCCACATCTTGGGTCAGCAGCCTAACAACCTACATACCTAACAGCCTTTGGAAGCAACTGATCATTGTCTTGGGGTAATAGAGGGAAGCATTTCCCTGGGGCCTGAAGAGGCTTAGTCACAAGAGATGTTTAGGTCATAGGTTGCATTGTGCCAGAGCTCAGCTCAGAACTATAAGTGACGAAGTACCCTGGTGTCTTTAGTAAAGTTGAGCTTCTTGTGTTCGTAATATTTGGGCCCACAGAAGCACACAGGTACAGGACTGGAGCCCAAATTTGCTTGGCTCTAAGGCATGTATTGAATGTGAGCCTGGAGTTATTGGGAGTCACTATGTGGGGCTTGATGATGAAGACAACACAGTGCAAGGCAGAGAACGATGATAGCAAGAAACTGATTCATGATGAAAATGTGTGAATTCCAAATCCCCAAGACCAGCCATTCCCTTGAGATTTTAATTTGATGAGATAATATATTACTTTTCTTTTCTTAAGCCATTTTCAGATGAGATTCTGTCATTGCAACAGCAGCAGTCACCACTGGTGTAGCAAGAAACCATTCTCTTTCCAAAGCACTAACCACCAGGAAGTGTCTTGCTAGCTTTGGCCTCAGTTAGTAGGATGTGGATAGGAATTAGAGAGAAACCACTGGGCTTGTCTTTTAGCCTCAAATTCAGGGTCACATATGGGGTGGCATCTCTTCTTGCCAGTATTACCCAACCACCCCATCCCTACTTTTGCCTTCTGGTTTTGATTTTCCTTTCTCTAGATGTCAATGCCACTTTCAATGCAGAAGTGACTCTATTAAGAGGACTGTGAAGAAGTTTGACTATGCAAAGAAGTCTTGAAAGAGTTCTTTGAAAAAGCATCATAACTGCCCCACTGACATATTTATTCATTACATGTGGAATTTCTTAAAAGGGATAAATACCTAATTTCATGTACCACTCTAGAAGACAGTATTGCATTTCTTAAGTCTAAACAACTACCCATTAATGCTTAATTCTCATGATTTGAAAATCTTTTCTAATCTCATTTTTCTTTCTGCCTCCAGCCCAGTGACTTTTTTCTCTATATATTTAATCATTAACATAGCATTGGTGTTGTAGGTAAGATAATCCTACCAAGAAGCCTGCCTGTACTCTAATAGCTTAGTTGGAGGCGACACATTCCTAATGATTATGCATTCATTTAAAACTTTCATTGCACAGTAGCAAGGTCGACTTAAAGTAAATTGTAAACTTCATTTTAGTCAGTGTATCACATATCAAGTTTTGTGTAAGTACATGTTGACTTTTTGGTAAAGACCCAAGTCCCTAATCAGTCTTCCAAGAAAGAAAAAAGAAAAGAAAAACTCACAAAAATACAGTGGGTAGAATCATGCCCTACACTAATAATCTATTTCAAAGAATACCTTCTTTCAGACTACACACAAATATAGTGCTTACATTTTTACAAACCCACAGTTTATGTAGAAATTATTTTATGTTTAGATATCACTCACCAGTAACTGGTATTGAGCCAGCCTGAGAGCTTACATAAACACCAGATTTTACATATTACAAAGCTCACACAACATTTTGCTCTAAGCTGGTTAGTTACTTATAAATCTACGTGAAGTTTAAGGTCTAACCCCATCCTGATAAATCCCTTGCTCCTACCATTTTTTTTCCAAGAAAAGCAGCAGGGAGATTGTTTTTTATACACCAAAAGGAATCATATTATACATGTGCACTTCTGTAAACTAGGAATTCCTGTTACTGTTACTGTAAATCACTACCAGATGTCAAATAGCAAAATGTTCATTACTCCCCCAAATCATCGAGTTGATTAATGAAGCACATTTACATTGTGGAATCTTGGTCTCTGTCATAACTACACAGACTTTTAAGAAGTTTTTAAAAAAGACATGCAGATGGGGAAATAACTAACTATCATGCTTCAAAGGCAGAATATGTATTAGGCATCTTGGGTCAGGATTTGGTCATCTAAGGGGTAATAACTTCCAAATGAAACTAGTCTTTATTCTTAAAGAAAAGAAATGGTAGCTGTGTCATAAGACACTAAGGAAGATATGTTTCTGGTCAGTCAGTGGCTCATAACCACTCAGTATAGAATACATACTGCGGGGGAATTTGTGTGCTATACACAAACTTTTAAAGGCAACTTTATTGCTCTGCTCTAGTTATTCAAATAATCAACTCATGATAATTCTATTTGTCCCAAAGTATTATTCTAAGGAAAATCAGATTTTTCTAACAAATAGATAGTCTTCATTTGAAAAAGAACATCTACTTTAGTGAAGTCACCAGATTGCAAACAAAGTCAGTTGCCACCTGCAAGCGACTTGTTCAAGGAGACATGCTTCACATTCTGCCCACCACTACAAGAGGAGGCTGGTTCTCAAGAATGGTGGATATTTGCAAAATGTATTAGACATCTTTCACACCTCTGTATTTGTGTTCCATTGCAGGTAGCAGGGAAAAAAATAAGGAAGAAAACTTGATATTGGCAGCTAATTTGACTCTGATATGGTTTGACTGTGTCCCCACCCAAATCCCATCTTGAATTGTAGCTCTCATAATCCCCATGCGTCCTGAGAGGGAACTGGTAAGAGGTATTTGAATCATGAGGGGCAGGTTTTTCCCATGCTGTTTTCATGATAGTGAATAAGTCTTATGAGATCTGGTGGCTTCAAAAAGGGCAGTTTGCCTGCACACTCCCTCTTGCCTGCCACCATGTAAGACATGCCTTTGCTCCTCCTTCACCTTCTGCCATGATGTGAGGCCTCCCCAGCTGATATGGTTTGGCTGTATCCCCATGCAAATTTCATCTTGAATTCCCACCTGTTGTGGGAGGCACCCGGTGGGAGGGAACTGAATCATGGGGGCAGGTCTTTTCCGTGTTGTTCTTGTGATAGTGAATAAGTCTCACAAGATCTGATGATTTAAAAAAATGGGAGTTTCCCTGCACAAGCTTGCTTCTCTTGTCTGCTGCCATGTGAGATGTGCCTTTCACCTTCTGCCATCATTCTGAGGCCTCGCCAGCCACATGGAACTGTAAGTTCAATAAACCTCTTTATTTTGTAAATTGTCCAGTCTCTGGTATTTCTTTATCAGCAGTGTGAAAATGGACTAATACAGTAAATTGGTACCAGTAGAGTGCAGTGCTGCTGAAAAGATACCCAAAAATTTAGAAGTGACTTTGGAACTGGATAAAAGGCAGAGGTTGGAACAGTTTGGAGGGCTCAGAAAAAGACAGAAAAATGTGGGAAAGTTTGGAACTCCCCAGAGACTTATTGAATGGCTTTGGCCAAAATGCTGATAATGATATGGACAATTAAATCCAGGCTGAGGTGGTCTCAGATGGAGATAAGGAACTTGTTGAGAACTGGAGCAAAGGTGACTCTTGTTATGTTTAGCAAAGAGACTGGTAGCATTTCGCCTCTGCCCTAGGGATTTGTAGAACTTTGAACTTAAGAGAGATGATTTAGGGTATCTGAAGAAATTTCTAAGCAGCAAAGCATTCAAGAGGTTACTTGGGTAATGTTAAGGGCATTCAGTTTTATAAGGAAAGCAGAGCATAAAAGTTTGGAAAATTTACAGCCTGACAATGCGCTATAAATGAAAATCTCATTTTCTGAGGAGAAATTCAAGCTGGCTGCAGAAATTTACATAAGTAATGAGGAGCTGAATGTTAATCCTTAAGACAATGGCGTATGTCTCCAGGGCTTGTCAGAGGTATTCATGGAAGCCTCTCCCATCACAGACCTAGAGGCTTAGGAGGAAAAAGTGGTTTCATTGGCCAAGCAGGGTCCCCATGCTGTGATGCTGTGTGCAGCCTAAGTACTTGGTGCCCTGAATCCCAGCTACTCCGGTTGTGGCTGAAAGGTGCCAACATAGAGCTTGCGCCATGGCTTCAGAGTGTGCAAATCCCAAGCCTTGGCAGATTCCATGTGGTGTTGAGCCTGCGAGTGCACAGAAGTCAAGAATTGGGATTTGGGAACCTCTGCCTAGATTTCAGAAGATGTATGGAAATGCCTGGATGCCTAGGCAGCAGTTTGCTGCAGGGGTGGGGCCTTCATGAAGAACCTCTGCTAGGGCAGTGCAGAAGGGAAATGTGGGATTGGTGCCCCCACACAGAGCCCCTACTAGGGCACTGACTCATGGAGCTGTGAGCAGAGGGCCGCCATCCTCTGGACCCCAGAATGGTAGATCCACCTACAGTTTGCACTGTGCACCTGGAAAAACTGCAGACACTGAACACCAGCCTGTGAAAGCAGCCAGGAAGGGGACTATACCCTGTGAAGCCACAGGGGTGGAGCTGCCTAAGGCCATGGGAGCTCACTTCTTGCATCAGCTTGACCTGGATGTGAGACAGCGTCAAAGGACATCATTTTGGAGCTTTAAGATTTGACTGCACTGCTGGATTTTTGGACTTGCATGGGGCCTGTAGCCCCTTTGTTTTGGCCAATGTCTCCCATTTGAAATGGCTATATTTACCCAATGCCTGTACCACCATTTTATCTAGGAAGTAACTAACTTGCTTTTGACCTTACAGGCTGATAGGTGAAAGGGACTTGCCTTGTCTCAGATGAGACTTTGGACTGTGGACTTTTGAGTTAATGCTGAAATGAGTTAAGACTTTGGGTACTGTCAGGAAAGCATAATTGGTTCTGAAATGTGAAGACATGAGATTTGGAAGGGGCCAAGGTTGGAATGATATGATTTGACTGTGTCCCCACCAAAATCTCATATTGAATTCCCATGTGTTGTGGGAGGAACCTGATGGGAGGTAATTGAATCATGGGGCCAGGCCTTTCCCATGCTGTCCTCATGATAGTGAAGAAGTCTCACAAGATCTGATGGTTTTAAAAATGGGAGTCTCCCTGCACAAGCTCTCTTCTCTTGTCTGCTGCCATGTGAGATGCACCTTTTACCTTCTGCCATGATTGTGAGGCCTCCCAGCCACGTGGAACCATAAGTCCAATAAACCTCTTTCTTCTGTTACTTGCCCAGTCTCAGTTATGTCTTTATAAGCAGCATGAAAATGGACTAATACACCAGCCATATGAAACTGTGAGTTCATTAAACCTCTTTTTCATTATAAACGACCCGGTCTTAGGTATGTCTTTATTAGAAGTGTGAGAATGAACTAATACAGTAAATTGGTACCACAGAGAGTGGGGCACTGCTGTAAAGATACCCAAAAATGTTTAAGCGACTTTGGAACTGGGTGACAGGCAGAGATTAGAACAGTTTGGAGGGCTTAGAAGAAGACAGGAAAATGTGGAAAAGTTTGGAACTTCCTAGAGATTTGAAGAGCTCAGAAGACAGGAAGATGTGGGACAGTTTGGAAATTCCTGGAGACTTTTTGAATAGCTTTGACAAAAATGCTGATAATGATATGGACAATAAAGTCCGGGCTGAGGTGGTCTCAGATGGAGATGAGGAACTGGTTGGGAACTGCCGCAAAGGTGACACTTGTTATGCAAAGAGACTGGCAGCATTTTGCTCCCACCCTAGAGATCTGTGGAACTTTGAACTTAAGAAAGATGATTTAGGGTATCTGGCAGAAGAAATTTCTAAGTGGCAAAGCATTTGAGAGGAAGCAGAACATAAAAGAAAGGAAAACTTGCAGCCTGATGATGCAATAGAGTAGAAAAACCCATTTTCTGGGGAGAAATTCAAGCCTGCTGCAGAAAACTGCATAAGTAACAAGGAGCTGAATGTTAGTCACCAACACAATGGGGATGATGTCTCCAGGAGACGTCAGAGACCTTCATGGCAGCCCCTCTCATAACAGGCCCAGAGGACTGGGAGGACAAAATGGTTTTGTGGGCCAGGCCCAGGGCCCTCCTGCTGTGTGCAGCCTAAGTACCTGATGCGCTGTGTCCCAGCCACTCCAGCTGTGGCTAAAAGGGGCCAAAGTACAGCTCAGGTAGTGGGTTCAGAGGGTGCAAGCCCCAAGCCTTGGCAGTTTCCGCGTGGTGTTGAGCCTGCAGTTGCAAACAGAAGCCAAAAATTGAGGTTTACGAACCTCCACCTAGATTTTAGAGGATGTATGGAAATGCCTGGGTGTCTAGGTAAAATTTTGCTGCAGTGGTGGTGCCCTCATGGAGAACCTCTGCTAGGGCAGTGCAGAAGGGAAATGTGGGATTGGAGCCCCCACACAGAGTCCCCACTGGGGCACTGCCTAGTCGATCTGTGAGAAGAGGCCCATCATCCTTTAGACCCCAGAATGGTAGATCCACTGACAGTTTGCGCTGTGTGCCTGGAAAAGCTGAAGACACTCAATGCCAGGCCATGAAAGCAGCAAGGAAAAGGGCTGTACCCCAGAGAGCCACAAGGATGGAACTGCCCAAGGCCGTGGGAGCCAACCTCTTGCATCAGCATGAACCAGATGTGAGACATGGAGTCAATGGAGATCTTTTTGGATCTTTAAGGTTTAATGACTGCCGTATTCGATTTCGGACTTGCATGGAGCCTTTAAACCCTTTTTTTCCACCAATTTCTCCCATTTGGAATGAGTGTATTTACCCAATGCCTGTTCCCCCACTGTATCCAGGAAGTAACTAACTTGCTCTTGATATTACAGGCTTATTGGTGGAAGGGAGCCTGTCTCAGATGAGACTTTGGACTGTGGACTTTTAAGTTAATGCTGAAATGAGTTATGACTTTGGGGGACTGTTGGGAAGGCATGATTGGTTTTGAAATTTGAAGACATGAGATTTGGGATGGGCCAGGGGCAGCATAATATGGTTTGGCTGTATCCCCACTCAAATCTCATCTTGTATTGTAACTTGCATAATCCCCACGTGTCATGGGAGGGACCCAGTAGGAGGTAATTAAATCATGGGAATGGGTTTTTCCCATGCTGTTCTCATGATAGTGAATAAGTCTCATGAGATCTGATGGTTTTACAAAGGGCAGTTCCTCTGCACATGCTCTCTTGCCTGCCACCATGCAAGACATGCCTTTGCTTTTTCTTTGCCTTCTGCCATGATTGTGAGGCCTCCCCAACCATGTAGAACTGTGAGTCCATTAAACTTCTTTTTCTTTATAAATTACCCAGTATCTGGTATGTCTTTATTACCAGCATGAGAACAGACTAATACAGACTCATTGGCACCTGGACGGGAGGGTTAGGTTCATACAACTTTGTTTAGACCCTTTAAAACCAGTACAGACCAGGTCACCCACAGAAACACTGTCACCTGCATTCATATATGCAACCCATTTCTCAATTAAGCATTTATTTACTTCTATGCAGACACATTTTCTGGAGTACATATATGTGTATATATGTGTGTGTATACATGTGCATTTGTGTGTGCCTTTCAATTTCTAAGTAGGCAGTGGTAGGTAATCATAAAGAATATTGACTTTAGAATCAGTCACACATAAGTTTGAACCCTAGATCCATCACTCATTATCTGTGTGGTTTTTGACAAGTAATCTAAATTTTCTGAGCTTCTGTTTCCCCATACAATGGAAATATTGACAAGCACATTGGAGAGTTATCTAAAGAATTAAATGAGATAAAGTGTATGAAATCCTTAACATTGTGTTTCACACAGAGTTAAAAGGCAATGCCCTGTCCCCAATTAATATTAATAATAGTCTTCCAACCAAAAGACCTTTCTGCATCCTGGTACATTCAGCTCAGACTCCCAGATTTTCTGTTTATTACCCCATCTGGAGTGACATGAATCAAACCAAGGGCCAGGAACATGCCAAGGATTTAGCTGCAATGGAAGTCATTAGTATTAATAATTTAAAAGTGAAATATGATCAGTATTTGAAATAATTTGAAAATTCAGTACCTAAAATTAATTTATTCATTTTTTGAGAAAAGGTCTACTCTGTTTCCCAGGCTGGAGTGCAGTGGCAAAATCACTGCTCACTGAAGCCTTAACCTCTCAGGCTTCAGTGATCCTCCCACCTTAGCCTCCCAGCTAGCTGGGACTACAGGCATGCACCACTATGCCCAGTTAATTTTTTTGATTTTTTTTTTTTAATGGAGACAGGATCTCACTATGACACCCAGGCCAGTCTCAAACTCCTGGACCCAAGTGATCCTCTTGCTAATCCTCCCAAAGTGTTGGGATTACAGGCATGAGCCACCGTACCTGGCCAATACACATAATTTAAATTATGCTCTGCCATCAGTTCCAAAGAATCACAAAGCGCTAGAAGGGAGTTTTGGATCATTAGGACAAATGCCTTTATTTTCCAACTAATGAAGCTAAAATCTGGAGAGAAAAAGTTACTTTCTCCTTTAAATTTCCCAAGAAGTTGTGCCAGGCCTACACCCAGGCTTATTCACAAAACCTGCTCTGCTGCTCCTCTTTGAGTTCACAACTAGAGCCAAACACCAGCTTTTCTGAAAACACCATACTAAGAAAAATTGATCAAGTAGAACCTGGGCCAGTCCTGTAATTGAAAGCCTAAAAACTCCGTAAGGGTGCAAATCATAGAGCATTACCTAATTAGTAGCTTATAAGGTATTGTGAGCATAAAGATAAGATAACATATGTGAAAGTAAGTCATAAGAAAGAAAGCTTTATGTAATAATGAGGATTAATATTATGCATTTCTCTTATAACCAATTGCATTCTTGTTAAATTGAATCAGATAGTAATTTGCTGAGAATACCTGGTGTTACATGGCCTCCATTCTATAGTGGAAGAAAATTTCCATTATGAAGAGGTGAGAGTGTGAAGTAAAGAGCCATGTCTCAAGAGCTCTTAACACAAAATTAATTACTATGCCCCCACCTTATAAGTAATTTCTAGTCTAAAGTCTCCTAGCATCTGGAGAAGGCTAGGTTAAACCTTTGTTATTAACAAAATAACTGAAGCCTCAGGTGATAAAATGATTGATTTAGAACATACACTGAGTCCAGGTAAAAGTTAAAGCCTAAACCTAATGCTGTTGAGCGGAGCTCAGTTAGGGGAGAAAAATATATTAGCAGCTGAATGTTAGACAGTGAAGACAATTCATAAAAAGGAGATTTGGCATGGCTAAGCGTTTGTGTTTTGCTCTCTAGATACAATTATGACATTTAATTGAATTAATGTTTTATTTTAAAAAGGAAATTCAAACCAAAAACTTTCCATATTTCTACCTATAGAGAGAATTTTGATTATACATATGTCTGATATCATTCACTCATTCTTTCGATCACCTAATTTTTAAAATGTTCTGATAGAAATTTAATCTTTCATTCAATAGAGCCAAAAGCCCTTAGATAAGAGACAAAGAATCATGCTAGCAAAAACTCTTTGGTTTTCTCAAAGAAAGAATAAAAATGGGCTCAGATTTCAAGGCCAATTGCCAGGGTCCCCAGGAGATGCCCTTCTTCCCTTTTTGGTCCCCTCCTCTGCAAAAAAATAAAAAAAATTGGAAACCTCTGAGTGGCCTGGCAATGGTCTCAATTGGCCTCAACATTTTTGAGGCTGATACTTCATGCAAACTTTTGAAAGCCATCTCTAAGAAACTTGTTCAGTATGGACAAAGGAGACACAGAAAGGGTAGTTCTCCTTCAGGAGTACAGTTGACGTAAGCCCAAGGATAAGAGTAAGATGGCATCTCTCGTTGTCCTATGATATTTGGGATTCCTTGGAGTCCTCGCTGTAGCTCACTTTCTTAGTTATCTTATCATCCAACTTTTTGGGTAGATTCAAGGACTCAACTGACCTGCTGGGATGCAACTTTGAGTATCTAAACGCTGCAGATGTTGGACCACTGGCATTTTGCCATCCTCTCTATCCATCCATCTATCCTCCAAACTATTTTTTGAGTTAATTAAGGCACCCAGTTGTTAGAGTGTTTTGTTTTGCTTTGTTTTTAATAGTCATTGATAGTCAATAGTGGCATTCTGCAAGGGGAGAATTAGAAGCTAGGTGCTGCCAGTTGAATGAATCATTCTATGTATATGTGCCAGGACAACATGTGTGAAATAAAATGACAAAGGGGCATCCATGCTGTCCATTTTTGCCTCTTTACAATGAATATTGATCACTATACATTAGTACAGCTGGAGCAATTACTGGTAATCATGGAAATAGCCAAAATGAATTGATTGACTGTTCTTTTGTCTGGTTTCCCAGCTGTGTAACCAGCTGCATAGTCACAGCCCAAGATAAATTCTGCTAATTGGGTCCTAAAGCTTTAGGATCGTGAGACCACTTGGGAAAGCTTGTTAAAAGGGTACTTGAGGATTCTGTAACAGTTAGAGCACCTTTGAGAATGGCTAACTTATGGAGGAAGTAACCGTTCATCCACCAAGATCCCATCCAGTGGCATTCCCACTACTTGATACTCACCAAGTGATAGGGTTTGGATTTGTGTCCCCACCCAAATCTCATGTCAAATGGTAATCCTCAGTGTTGGTTGTGGGTCTTGATGGGAGGTGATTGGATCATGAAGTTGGTCCTTCCTGAATGGTTTAGCACCATCTCCTTGGTGCTGTTCTCATGACGGTGTACAAGTGAGTTATCATGAGATCTTGTTGTATGAAAGTGTGTAGCACCTTCCCCCCACCCTCTTGCTCCTATTCCAAACATGTGATGTGTGTGTTTCTCCTTCACCTCCTGCCACAATTGTAAGTGACACGAGGCCTTTGCAGAAGCCGAGCAGATGCCAGCGTCATGCTTTCTGTACAGCCTGTGGAATCATGAGCAAATTACACCTCTTTTCTTTATAAATGACCCAGTCTCAGGTATTTCTTTATAGCAATGTGAGAATGGACTAATATATCAAGGTGAAGACAAATTTAACATATGTGGAAAATACTCCAAATCAAGCAAGTATTTGAACTCTAGGATTGTTTATTTCCCCCTGTGTTGTCTGGTGAAGTTTAAAAACAAATTCATTTAGGAGGCAGGCATGGTGATTCATACCTATAATTCCAATGACTTGGGAGGCTGAGGTGGGAGAATCATTTGAGGCCAGGAATTTGAGGCTGCAGTGAATTATAATGATGACAGCCACTACACTCCAGCTTGGCCAACCTAGAATGAGACCTTGCTTCTAAAAGTAATAATTTAAGTGCTTTACTTACAGTAAATTTATACTCATTAGTTTCTAAATGGATTAAAGATAGAGACATGCACATACACACATACATAGATGCACACATATATTAAGAAAAACAGATGCCACCATTTTTCTCATCTACTGATATTGCTTATGACATGTGGGTGGCTAAACAGTATTTAAAGTCATGTGAACTGCCAGATGAGACTTTTACCACTGACAAGTTCTGTTATTTATTAAAGAAGTTTCATTAGTTAGCATTAGTTCTGCGTGAACAATAGTTTTATATTTTCCTAGTCATCTTTTTTGCTTACATGAAAATAGGACAACCTTAGCACAATGGCAACCAACTCTGACCTCCCTTATGCTTTCCAGCTGCATGACATTCATCAAACCATAGAGTTTGGAATCTGCAGTCTTTGTGTGCAGTTTATCTACAAAAGTGGGGGATGGGGCGTGGAAGCACTAACAAGCCTCTCCTAGAGCACCCAAATGGCTTCTAGCACCATCCCAGGGATTTGGGTCCATGAAAGACCAAAGTCAGCCTGACAACTTATCTTCAAAAAAGGGCAAGCTTTGGTTTGAAAATGGGTCTGCGTCTGCTGCTCTTACCCTGTGGAATCCTGAGTCGCTGAGGTTGTTATAGTTTGAAATAGAGGTCTCATATTTCTCCCACAATGGATTAGAATGTTCAGGTTGTCCTCCTCACTTTCTTTGGGGGAGTATTAGAGCTTTGGGATAAACTCTGGCTTGAGTGAACTTCCAAGATGGGAGAATGGGAATGATGATCTGTTATCCAAACAACTTAACTGGGAGCTTAGTGAATATTTTCCTTAAAAAAAATAGTAAACATTCGTGGAACACATGGCCTAATAACAGGACAGGATATTGGCAATCAGGACTGCCCTGGAAGTCAGAACTCTTCTTGAAAATCCAAAACACGTGGCTTCAATAGTAATAATCCAAATTGATTTCCAAATGGTGCTATGGTAATTGCAAAATATTTACAATTCTAACACCTGAAAAGGTTAGATAAAATCAATTGTTTGGGCCAATAAATATTTATATTACTAGGTTTAAAATGTTTTTGGTATATTTATGTATGACTGCTTTTTTAAGGCATTTGGATTTAGATGTGCAAAACATGAGCATCTACATTCCTTTTCTGGTGAAATGTAATTGTGGTTTTCTATAATTTCTACTTTTCAACAAGTTAACATTTGAGTGTGGTCTTTATTACAAAAGACAGAAAGAATTTATTATGACATGTGATGTTCTCCCATCAGCTAATTTTATCATTAGTCCTTAATCATTAGTGTTAATGAGGAGAAACAATCCAAAAATAATCCCAAAATAGTAGGTAATCCAAAAGGCATGTAAACTTGAGTTTAAAATGTTTTGTATTTATTTTTGGATATGAGTATGTCTGACATTATTGGCATTCTTATTACTTTAGATAGTATAATTAAGTTATATTACAAAGAAATACCTCAGAATGAGCAATATAATATTTTGGAAACTATTTTATTGGGAACATAGTGCATCGTCATGAATCTAGGCAATGCTAGTACCGTTCTGAGAAATATTGGCACGAGACGTTTACAATCAGCCCCTCTCCTTGCTTTAGGGTCAATCCCCCAATTCCATTCATACCTTTGTTGTTTACTTAAACTTTAAATCCCCAACACTAACGGTTCACTCAGCTCTGTCCAATTTGATAAACACACCCATCTAATTAATAAATAGCCTATGTCATACTCACAATTTGATTTGAATGAGCAAGAAGACTAAAAATAAATTCAAAAAACCATGGTTTCTACATCCAGGATCTTATAGTTGAAAAAGCCAAGATTTGACTTTAGAACCCCTGAATGAAAGTCTTAGTTTTGGTGAACACTGTCTGTGAGATGTTACAAGAATCAACTCTTTTGGATTATAGATTCCTCACTAGTGAAATGAATGGTTTGAAACAGATTTGTGCTTTCCTAAGGGGTCGTGAACAGCCTTAAACTGCAAGGCAGTCCTTGAGAAAAGAGGATGAGAAGGTCAAAACCAAATAGGCAGGGTCCCAAGTCCTTTCTCCTTGCTTCAGAAAAAGTAATTATATGCTTACTTGGTGATACATTGGTTACATTGATGTTCCATGTAACATTGTGTCTAGGGGGTAAAAGACTTGAGAGGAGGGATGTATACTTGAAGACTGGATAACTCCCTTCAGTTCAAACATGCTTAAGGTATAATCTGGTTAATTGAACTATCCATTAAACCCTTGAGAGTGTTTACAAAGCAATATAGGGTAGTTTAGACACCTCATAACAATTATGATTGAAGATGTAAGGTTGAGTAATGTCAGACTTTATGGACTCAGGGTTGGGAGAACTTGATTAAACTGAAAACTTTGAAACCTACAGATAGAGAAACACATAGATACGAGAGAGAACTTTTATAAACACAATTTTAAAATAAAGAATATTAAGAAAAAATCAATGACATTATTTACATCTTAAATGAGCATTAAATATAACAATTGATTTTCATAGATTTTTGCCTTGAGACAATGAGGGTCCCTTGCTGCTTTCAGTGGTGACATGTAGTGAAGACAAGGACGAAAGATTGGTACAGATAACAAGAAGCTTCTGACCTCTCCCTCTTCTAGCCCATGGGTTTTCACACTTTCTGAGACACTCAAATTTGATAATAAAATCATAGGGCTATTGACCATATTTGAATGATCCACTCTCTTCCAAAGAAGATTTTTCTGTCCTTTTAAAAAGAACATAATATATAAACTGACTAGAGATGTTTGGAATGTCCATTCCCACCTCTTTATATATTTTCCACAAATCATTTTTGCCCTTTCTAAAGGGATCCATTTCCATCTCTTTACCAACGTATTCAAAAAAATAGAGTAAGAAATGGTTCAAGGATTAAGAGACAGCTGAGTTTTTGGTCTTAAATTCTTCTGTTTCTCTTCATCATCACAGAATGATCACAAGGTCTTCTGATAGAATATGAGAGTGAAAATCAAGATATTAGGCAATCACTTTACTCAATGTGTTTGAATATCTCTGGAACCAAATGTTTTAGAAATACTTCATGTAAAAAAATATATATGTGTGTTTGTATGCTGGCGAGAAAGGATAAGAGAGTGCAAAACAAGTCAAAGCTGGAAAAGAAGCTTTCATTGGAGAATATGGGTGGAATGATTTCTTTTCTTTCTCTACCAATACATTCTTTTCTTAAGGACTCAAGCTCTCTTTCTCTCAGTTCCTTTTGGCAATAGCTCCCTTAGAGAATCAAAAAGTCAAAGGATGCTCACTTTTTTGCAAAAATCACTGGTTGAACAGAGGTGGAAAAAACAAAAAACAAGATTGTGTTGTTTTCATTAAAAGAAGAAAACAAGGGGCTGGGCGCAGTGGCTCACTCCTGTAATTCCAGCACTTTGGGAGGCCAAGGCAGGTGGGTCATGACGTCAGGAGATCGAGACCATCCTGGCTAACACGGTGAAACCCTGTCTCTACTAAAAATACAAAAAATTAGCTGGTCGTGGTGGTGGGCGCCTGTAGTCCCAGCTACGTGGGAGGCTGAGGCAGGAGAATTGTGTGAACCCGGGAGGTGGAGCTTGCAGTGAGCCGAGATGGTGCCACTGCACTCCAGCCTAGGTGACAGAGCAAGACTCTTGTCAAAAAAAAAAAAAAAAAAAGAAAAAAGAAAACAACTCCCAGAAATCTTTCTCTTTACCTACCATAGATGCTCTTCCCTTCTTTCATTTTATGCCCCTTCCATACAATGCCCTGCTAATATATATATATAATATTATATATAAATATATGTAATAAATACATTATAGATAAATATATATATTATATAACCATATATATTTTATATATCTGTGTAGACAATGAGGAGAGTTGTCCATTGGGAAAAGAAAACAGTTAAAAATAAAACTTTAATATTTAAACTTGAAGTAACTTTATAAATCTTCTGCTTAAACCCCTGCATTAGTCTGTTCTCACATAGCTATAAGGAAAAGGAAATACCTGAGACTGGATAATTTATAAAAAAAGAAGTTTAATTGACTCACAGTTCTGCATGGCTGGGCGGCTTCAAGAAACTTACAATCATAGCAGAAAGCACCTCTTCGCACAGCGGCAGGAGAGAGAATGAGTGCCAGCAGGGGAAATGCCAGAAGCTTACAAAACCATCAGATCTCATGAGACTCACTCACTATCATGAGAACAGCATAGGGGAAACTGCCCCCATGATCCAATTACCTCCACCTGGTCCCACCCTTGACACGAGGGGATTATGGGGATTACAATTAAAAGTGAGATTTGGGCTGGGTGCGGAGGCTCACGCCTGTAATCCCAGCACTTTGGGAGGCTGAGATGGGTAGATCATGAGGTCAAGAGATCGAGACCATCCTGGCCAACATGGTGAGACCCTGTCTCTACTAAAAGTACAAAAATTAGCTGGGCGTGGTGGCACACACCTATAACCCCAGCTACTCGGCAGGCTAGGCAGAAGAATCCTTGAACCCAGGAGGCAGAGGTTGCAGTGAGCTGAGATCGCACCACTGCACTCCAGCCTGGTGACAGAGCAAGACTCCATCTCAAAACAAAACAAAACAAAACAAAACAAAACAAAAAGCAGTGAGATTTGCGTGGGGACACAGAGCCAAACCCTATCAACCCCTAAAGACTCAAGAGCATTGTTTCAGTCAAGTCCCAGCTTCTTAACACACCTTTATCAATCCCCTCATGATCTATCCTTTCTTTACATATCCAGCCTTACCTCCTTAACAGGCATCCTTCCAGGTACCACCTGCAGCCTTGCCGAATATGCCCATTTTGGGATTGCCAATCTCTTTGTCACTTCTTGAGCTGAAAAAAAGGGATACTCTCCACCTGGATCACCTGCCCCTTGTCTCCCCCTAGTCTTGTTTGGTTTCGGCAAAGTTATATCTCCTCTGAAGACTTCTTTTATTCTGCATTTGAACTTCCTACTCTATCCCCAGTTAAGGTCTTACTCTACCCTGTTGTGACTATATGGGTAGTAGCTGTAATCTTTTCACAATTTACAAACTCAGATAACAACAGTAATTTAAAAATATATTTCTATTATGCACCTTAATTTCTACTTCATATCCCCATTTCTACCCAAGAACAAAACAGACAAAAAATGCCATTTCTTCCTTTCTAGGTAAAGTCAGTCAAAGTCATGATTATTTTGTGATTCAGTGTTCTAATCTCAGTTAGTGATCTACTCTGCTCAGGTCTCTGTCCCTCCCCAGCCCTAGGGATTGTCTAAATTTATAGGGTAATTTGCAATAACAGGCCAATTAGAATAGCTAACTTTTAACAGGCCCTGTTAAAAGCTTTTCCATATTTGTTCAGTCTTCACAATAGCAGAGGAAGAAGTAACATCATTTGCACAGCTAATAGGAGACTCAGCCTGGATTTGAACCCTGGCACTCTGGGTCAAGAGTCTTACTGACTATTCTATAAGATCTCCATGAAGCTGGATTCCCAAACAAGCTGCACAAGAATCTCTCCTTCCCAATATGTATAGCAAATTATCCATCAATATCAGATAAGTAGAAAGAACAATAGAGATAAAAAACATGAAAAAGGAGACAGTAAAAAAGCCAGCAAGGTGCTATGAGAAGGGAACAGAATTGCCTGTCCCCTTCCTAAATGAGTCTTCCATGGCTTTCTACGGGAGCAATCTGCACATTCAGTGCAGAACAGTCAATCATTAGCTTACAGGTTCCTGCTTGCTGAGAAGATACAGGGGTATAAATCTGTGTATGCTCAATGTCTGCATTTTTGAAAGGAATTATGTTGTCACTGAGTTCATAAATTCTTAGGTCTGAGATGGTTGGCAGAGGTAAAAGCAGATGCAGAGAGTGGAGTGGGTGTGACCCATAGGCCTACCTACCGGAGATTTTCTGACTCAGATCTGGGAAGTGGAGAGAGGACACTCAGAAGGAAGCCAAATTAAGAGACAGCTGGAGTGTTCAGGGTAGCTGGTGATTGCAATGCACTGTGGGGGATACTGGAAAGTGAGGGAGTTTCTACTTGCTGGCAACTTCAACACTAACTTACATGTGATCTTGAGCAGCTTGTTGAGTCTGCTTTTTGCTCACCTAAGATGGAGGCCATGATCTGAGGCTTTGTGCTCCATGCAGCCTTGATTTTCTAGGCACCGACTCCCCTTGCGTAGGGGTGACTCCTCTTTTCACCCACAGCTATTGCTGAATGTTTTTTCCATTCTCTCCCAGAAAAATGTACTGCTCAGGAAGTAGAAAGGATAAACCTTTCATGGCACTTGCATTTGCTCCTCCCAGATTAGTTCTAGGATTTCCTAATCCTAGAAAGAATAATTTCCACACATTCCATTGGCTGTTCTATGTTGTTAGGCATTCTCTTTAAGAGCCATTTTCAGGCTTGAATGCTCAGTGGCTAATTCCAAAATATCAAGAAATGTGGCAACTGTAAGAATATTATAGTTTTTTCTATTGTATTGATATTTCAATTAATAAAAGCAAACTGAACAATTGAACTAGGAAGATTTTCCTCCCTCTTTTGCATTGAGCTATACTCAAGAAATTGTTTAAAAAAAAGTTGAAGTAAAAAAAATGGTAAAAAAGAAAATAATTCTCTTTTTACTTGATTTTTTAAAAAAAGATACATCAAATGATTTCCCATAATTAATAACTGCAATAACTGAAACACAATCGTCTTCTATTCTATTCTATTCTATTCTATTCTATTCTATTCTATTCATCTCACTGGGTATCACTGGGTATTTGGAATTTTTACTAGATCATCTCATAAAATATGTTTTTAAAAATGGAAGTCACTGGTTAATATTGATGCTATTGGCCAGGTGAGGTGGCTCACGCCTGTAATCCTAGCACTGATTGTCTGAGCTCAGGAGTTTGAGACCAGCTTGGGCA
Organism: Homo sapiens; assembly: GCF_000001405.40. Classification (NCBI taxonomy): domain Eukaryota; kingdom Metazoa; phylum Chordata; class Mammalia; order Primates; family Hominidae; genus Homo; species Homo sapiens. The sequence continues at coordinate 220,914,298 of NC_000002.12, read as the reverse complement.
ACAGGGTGAAACCCCATCTCTACTAAAAAAAAAAAATACAAAAAATTAGCCAGCCTTAGTGGCGCATGCCTGTAGTCCCAGTCACTCAGGAGGCTGAGGCAGGAGAATTGCTAGAACCCAGGAGGTGGAGGCTGCTGCGAGCAGAGATTTCACCACTCCATTCCAGTCTGGGTGAGAGAGCGAGACTCTGTCTCTAAAAAAAATAAAAATAAATAAATAAAAACAAATAAAATTGATGCTATCAATGTGAGGCTTCAGTGGTAGATTATTGTCCTCAACAATAATCTTTAATAAGCCTGAACAAGAACACACTCTGAAGTCAAACAAGGTGGGAAACAAGTTATTCTACATGATAGCCTCTACAGATATGAGGTGCTAAGCCACTTTCCCTTTATTTCTCTTGACCTCCAAGCTACATGCAGCCATTTCTGGCAAGTTTATTATATTCAGCATGATAGAGCAATATTTTGTCACATGTACTTTGTGGTAGGCAGCCTCTAGAAGAACCCCACAATATTCCTTATCTCCTAGTATTCATGCCCTGTGTAATCCCCTCCCCTTGCATGTCAGCTACACTACTGTCTCTTTCTGAGATATAAAATATGGGAGAAATGGTGAAAAGCCACTTCTGAGATTAGGTTATTAAAAAAAATAGACTGTGACTTCCATCTTGAGCATTTGAAGTTTCTCTCTCTCTCCCTCTCTCTGGATTACTCATGCTGGGTGAAGTAAAGCTATTATGCTGTGAGGATTCCTCACAGCATGATGAGGAATAAAGGCCCCAAATCCAACTATAACCTGCTAATATCACATGAGTGAGCTTGAAGGCAGATCCTTCAGGCCCATTTGAGCCTTGAGATGACTGTAGCCCCTGAAGACAGTGTAACTGCAATATCATCAGAGACCTTGCACCAGCGGTAGCTAGCTAAAAGCACACCCAGTATCCTGACCCACTGAAAGTGTGAATTAATATTTGCTGTTTTGAGCTGCTAAGTTTTGGGGTAATTTGTTATGCAGCAATAGATCATGAATACACAGAGACTGTAATTTATATGATCACTCATTCAACAGATATTAAATCGCTCATTCAACAGCATTTGCTATGTACTACTGTAAGGAGGAATATGAATCCTGCCTCTTCTTCATAACCTATCTTTATATCTAAGAATGAACATTTTTGGCATGCAGAACATTCTCACTATAATTATTTTGGAAGAAAGAAAAATGGATTTCCTCAGATATACAGCAGAAGGGACCCACGATTAGAACTCTCACTAATCTGTGTGTTCGATAACTCTGTAATATGGCCAGTTTAACAAAGTATAGCTAATGGTAGTCCCTATACCTTTGCACTGAATGAATTTTGGTGAAACTCTCAGAGCTATGCAGGAATATGTTGGCACAGAAAGCCAGGCTAAAAGCAGCTAGAGAAACACAGTCCTCCATGCATGCTTCAACAGTTACAATCTACTAGAATAAATAAGACAGATGCATAAATAACCATGAAATAACATGCATTAGAGGAGGTTGTAGGAGAGAAGGATTCCTTTGCCAAAGAACACAAAGGCCTTGAAAATTTCAGAATCTGAAAAACAAATATGGGAGACATTAAGGGAATTTCAGAAAGCAGAAATACCTTAGTCTAAGGTACAGTTTTGTTTTGTTTAATTTAATATTAGTGATATTGAGTTGCATATTACTATCAGTACCAGGCAGGGAGTAATTGTGAAGCACTGATCTTTGACTGCACATATGTGAGATCAGCTGTGTGTAGAGGTGACTTTCCTTCTCTTGTCACCTTAATTACATTTTTGGCAATGGTGGCTCCACATGCAGTTGAATTTTCACTAAAGATTAAAATTCAATTTTTCAAGTAAAATTTATTTTTAACATTATAACAGAATGTGGAGTCAAAACGAAAATGCATTCTCTATGGAGCAGGTTACCTGCAACTAAAAACAATAGAAATAGCTAAAACTCTTGGAAATCATCATCAAATGTTGAAAGGTAGGAGAACTTAATATAATCTGTTCTTGAATTCTGAAAGCTTAAGGGAGATGAACATCTGTCAATATCTTCTGACTGACATTTAAGAGACCTTGTAGAACTTCTAAAAGTAGGTAATCGATGAAGAACAAAAAATGTAACACAGTAATATAGTTTACCAAATAGAAATGCAGATTATATATCTTAGTATTTTTTGTATATGCTGAAATACTATCAATCTTAAAAGTACTAAAGACATGAAGGTGGAGAACACGGGCTTGGGGGAAAAAAGTTATTTTGAAGCCCTACATAATGACAAACATCAAAATGATTCAACAAATATTAATCTTTTGATTATAAAAATAATTAGACTCAAACTTTGCAATACAGAAGAAAATAGGTTGTATAATTACAGGGATACATATTTATTTTATGATTAGTAAATTCAAAAGTGGATACTTTAAGGTTTCTTTTTTTGAGAAAAATCTTGTTATTCAAGTAATGGTTCATTTTAGAGTTGGAAACAAATTCCAGCACGAGTGAAGAAATATTAAAAGGAAAAAGATAGAAAACATCCTAACCAAAATATAGGTAGCAAGAAATTATTTCAAGGATATTGCTCTTCTGTCATATTGTTTGCTTTGATACTCCAGAATTGTTTCACAATCAATGTTAACACATTGAATTTTTTTACATAAATTATCTTTTATTATCTGTCATATATTAGTTAGATATACCTATTAGTAACCAAATCTAAGTACTTTTGATTTCTTTTATGAAAGGCTATTATAATGAGAAATTATGAAAATGAATATAATTATCTTTGCTTGATTTATCTTACGCAGGGCAGAGTTTTATTAATCTTTATTTCGTAAGGACATTAGACAAATTCTTAAACTCAAATTTAAAAAATTCGGGCTTCCGGCAGATCTAAGACTACCCGTTGCAGCACTAGAGAGCATTTATAATGCCAATGTGTAATAGTCAGGTAATGACCTCAGACCTAAGATTGAATTCAGCATCAATGAACTGAATGCAATTACAGTCAGTTCTTCATTACCCACACAAATGAAGGAGAACCAAAATATGGATAACGCAAAAGCTAATACAGATATAGCATAGGGTAGTTATGGCCATTTTTTCTCTTATTGTTTCTGAGTTTCATCCCATATTATAGTTTGTGAATTATAATGTTAGTATTAATGCATATCAATCAAACACTAAGATCTGATGGCAAGATGATAGTTTTTTTCCATGCAGGCAGTGAGTACTTCCAGTTGCGGGGAGTAAAAACTGCAATAAAATTTGACTTATCAAGTAACATTTGAAATCTACTTTACATAGTAAGATATTATACTGATAGGTGACATAAAAGTTGTATTTCTAAGAAGAAAATTACATTTTAGATGTATTTAAGGCCTATGTAAGTGAACTCTTTTGTAGAACACTACTTTTGTATTCCATTATGCACTGCTTTGCTTTTTCTCTCTCTCTTTTTTTATTCTTTGGTTTTTAACATGGCCATTCATAACGAAATGGAGAAATAAGTTATCAACTTTGGGCTGGGTGTGGTGGCTCACACCTGTAATCCCAGAACTTTGGGAGGCTGGAGCAGGAGAATCGCTTGAGCCCAGGAGTTTGAACCAGCCTTGGCAACATAGTGAGACTGCCGTCTCTGCAAAAAAATAGAAATAAAATTTAAAAATTGTGAACTTTGAAGTGTGTTCCCTTCACAAGTGTGTTCCCTTGTGTTGTATCTGGAAAAGCTTTCAGGGCAAAAATAGCAATATGGGGCCCTGGGTTGTTATTCCAAATATTTAGAAGAGAGTTCTAGAAAATTGTATTTTCATTTCTAAAGTAATGATTCCTCTTTTGTGAGACCTACTCTACCCTATTACCGAGTAATTAAATGGGATATTTTGTAACGTCTCAGCCATGTCCTCCCTACACACTCCCATAAGCAGCAAGGTCTATAAAAAATGCATTTATAGGCATTTTCATGAGCCAATGGATTGGACCAGTCTGTTTCTTAGTTATGTCCCAGGAAGTCATGGTCAGGCTGCTGGGGCTTAACATGAAGAACCCTGCTCCAGCTGGTTAAAATGACCATTATATACGCTACTTGAAAGTTACTATTTTTACATAAAAGACCCGAAAGTAGCAGACATCTATAATGTGAAATTATTCTTAGCACATGGAGGTAGCTTTATGGCAAGGTTTTGAAAGAATTACATTCCCTTCATTTCTTCAGCATCTTTTTTATCCTCTTTTAAGATATTCTCTGCCTGATCTTCCTCACAAAGGAAAAGTCACCCAATGTCTCTGGGAAATTAGGGTAAGGTCATATAGGACCATCTAAAGATTTGCTTTAGACAAAGCTCTTTTCATAGCTGTCTAAAAGGCCGTAGACCATTGAAAATGGACAGAGAACAGGACCACTCAAATCCATGTTGCTTAAAGAGAAGTATTTTAGGTGACCTTTACCCCTTCCTTATCAATGAACCCTCTGAAGGTTTGGAGATCACTAGTGCAGATATGTCACCTACGAATACACCTTTTCATACACAATTTTTGCTCTTATATTTTCAGAACTCACCTAGATTCTCAAGAGTCATGTTAAACAGTTATTGAAAATCATATTGATTACCCCAGAGCCAGCACTGTGTCTGTAATTATCAAATAACTTCCAGTAACATCTCTGGCAGTTAGGCTGCAAGAAAAGTCTTTGATACTTCCCCCACTTTTTTTTTTTCTAAAATATAAAGACCTTAGGACTTCAGAATCTGCTAAATAAACTTCTCAGTGATGAGAGCTATTGTCTTTATAATTTCCATCCTTCTAGGTATGTCAGTGGAAAATAACGGTTTATAATACATTTCCATAGAACAGTGGTTTTCTTTTTAAAGTAATTAATTTAACTTTTTTAATTGACAAATAATAATTTACAAATTCATTGGACAGATCATGATGTTTCCATTCATATAATGTATAGTGAGTGACCAGATTAGGGTAATTAGCACATTCATTACCTCAAACAATTGTCATTTTTGTGTGTGTGTTGGAAACATTTAATATCCTCCTTCTAGCAAGGTTTTCTTAAAGTGAAGTCTTAAAGGCTAAATCGTTTGTTTGATCAGGTGGTTTATCAAACCATGTTCTAGAGACTGCAGAATTCTAGAGGAATATTTCTGTCAAAGCAATTTACAGTATTTGTTAGCACAAGTAATACATTCTATTTAAGAATGCATCTTCTACTTTTCCGTGTACATTAAAATAAGATTCAGATGTGGAGGGCTGCTTGCATCTAGAAGCTGCATAACTTTGAACATGTTATTATACCTGTGTGTGCCTTGGTTTTCCCATCTACACAATGGGGATAATAATAGTATCTATCTCATGGGGTTTGGGGGGGGGATTACATCCGTTCATTTATGTGCCCTCAGTGAATGTCACCTCTTGCTAATTGCTATCTCCAAGTGTTTCTCATCAGTATAGTCACACATCTGGCCTTCTTTCAGATTCCGCTTCCTTTGAAGTTCATTTTTTGAACTAAAGGTACACTTAGATCTTTCATTTAATTAAGATTTAAATTATTTATAACTTGCTTAAATTATTTCTCCTTTCAAATATATTCACATTTAAAGATACACTTAAAACCCTAGATTCATGTATATTAAAAACCTAGGTTCTGGAGTTAGGCAGGTCTCTCTTCTGTGACTGACTAATTGTCTTGGACTAGTGAGTTAACTTAGTTTTCTCCTCTGAGTCTCAGATATTTAATTTGTTAAATGAAGATAATAATATTTAACTTACAGATTATTCTGAGAAAATTAACTGGAACTTATGAAATAAAGATGTATTAGTCAACATACTTTTAGTTGCAAGAGAGAGAAACTCTAACTTAACATGGCTTAGCCAACAAAGGGATTTACCAACTCACTTACCCGAAAAGTCCATGGAAGAACTGGCCTTCGGCACACTTGGAGCCATCTCTCAACTTATAAACTCGGACTGGCTTCTCTCCATTCTTTAACTGGGCTTTCCAATGGGTAAGCTCCATTCTTGGGTGGCCTCCTCTGCAGTCCCAGATGCATGCAATAGACACGCATCTTCATAGCTTCAAGTCTAATGATGCAAGTGTCTTCTTTTCCCAAAGGTTCTAATGAAAGTCTGTACCACAGCTCATGGCCCTGGTGTGGTTCATATGTCCATCCAAGACGAAATAACTGCTGACAGTGGTGGCCAAGTGACCTGCTTATCCATGCCTGGCTTCTGTGCCCACTGCTGCCCCAGCTTACAGAGGAGGGGATGGGGTTAACTTGCTTAAGCTACAAGTGGGTTCCCCAAGGAAAATTCCAATGGTTTTATCTCAAGGATGAGTAATGTGCACTGGCTGGGCAACCACCACCAAAGTCCTTTACAAAATATTGTTCTCTTTCAAAAATAGAATATTGATACACATCAGGGGAACAATTTTCAAGGACACAGGGCTTTTTAAATCCCTTTAATATATGGCATGAGCAAGTCAAATTGGAAATGAGAGAGCCTCATTCAATTTCCTCAATAATTAAAATTATTGTAACTATTTTATATATGTGTGTATATATACATACACACATCATAAATAGTGAAATATGTTGTGTATGTTATATATATATATAAATATGTATGGTATATAATGAATATATGTGTGCTGCATGTGGTATGTATTATACAGCTTTTTCTTAAACGTCTTGTTTTAAAGAAAGATGCCACCTTTGTACATTGGTATTTGAGAGTAGTAATAGTGGATGGTAAAGTAGAGGGAAAGTTTTACAGGCTAATTTTACATCTGGCACTACTGGTTTATTGGAGTAAATACAAAACTCATATGAATGTGGTTAATACAGGGTATTGCATTTGGTAATGCATATTGTTCATTTTATGCCCCCTTTAAAGTGCATATCTGTGCATGTCACTTTCAAACTAGCACCGTGGGCTTTATAAACATTATAGTACCACTATACAAAGCTGCCAAATGAGTATTTTGAAATTTAACTACAATACAGCTGGCCACAGATCTAGAAGTGGGAAAAAAAAAAGAAAAAAGAAAAAGAAACAACAGGTCTGGCATCTTTATTAGTGGGGCCAGGTAGAAACATTTGTTCAGAGGGCTTTATCTGATGACCAGCAATTGTTCCTTGAGTTTTTCCTTTGGTTCTGTACCACAGAGCATATTAAAACCCACAGCCTTTTTCTAGGGTGTAGTGTGGAAACTTGAGATCACAAAGTTTCTTGTCTAAAGAAGACCAGAAGGTTCTCATTAGAAAATCATTCCTCAACTACCCTAAAGGAGAAAACAAAAGACCCCTGGTCTTCCTATACAATAAGACTCTTGATGATTGATGCTCAGATGCTCAGCGCCTAGTAGGGATGGCTAAGAAATCAACAGCCCATCCACACGGGAGGCCAGCTTTTCATGATAAAAACATGATTTAGACTTAAGTGTTTGCAAGGAACAGATCAGTAAGGCAAGTGTTCCAAAGCCACTCTTATTACTTTATTAATATTATTTCTGTTCTAACTCCCCTTTTTTAAAAAATACTCTTTTGCCCTCTGCAATTCAACACTGAAATGTGGTTTTGTCATTATCAGATTGCAGATATCTTGTTTCAGGGTTTTCTCTCTCTTTTTTTAAATCTATATTTCCCAGAAAGAAGAAAACTGTTAGCTATTCCCTTACAACCCAGATTCAGAGAAATTGTCCTTGGCCCTCACAGACTGCCACCTGAAGCCTGGTAATGAGCTGGCTGAGCCGTATTTGTTCAACTATTCGCCTGGCAGCATTAGGCACCCCTTAGGTCCCTGGTGAAATCCCATCATACCCTCCTGACTGTTTTCCATGGTAGCTCTTGCATGTGGACCTCTTTGATCCTCTGAAGTGCTGATTCAAAGGGAAGGGGAGAGCAGAGAAGGCATAGAGTTCACCCGGAAAGCGCCGGGCTTTGTGGAAGCCAGAAGAGTGGCTGGATCCAAACTTCAGTGAAACCAGCCTCTGGGCCTGGCCAGAGATGACCCTGATAGCTGGCAGGAACTTCTCTACAACCTAAATTTTCTCAGGATCTTGCTTTGAGGCAACATTGAGGCATTAACTTACCCCCAAACAGATAAGCCTTTCATTATAGGGCTTCCATGGAAAGCAAGTTTGACAAGTTTGATATTTATACCGGGACCGTGAAGTTTACTGGCAAGTTCAAAGGCATAATCCATTACTTCGAGCAGCTGCAAGTGGAAAGATGTTTAGCTGTATTTTCACATGAGTGATGGAAACACTCAAGAAGGCATGATTTTTCTAAGGAAAAGGCCGAGGTTAGGTATGCAATATTTGGGTTATAACAACTGCTATAATATTGTGCACAATTGCAAATAGGGAAATGTGTATTCAGTGCTTTGGGCTTCCCCTTATTTTATGCTATATTTGTCTTACCTAATGCATTTCTACTGCAAAACTCAGAAATCTAGACTCACTTACATTTACATTTATACACGTGCACAGCACACACACACATACGCACATTCTTAAGAAAGCTATGTTCACTCCCAGACCACTATTAAATTCTGTTTCTCCCTTTTCCTGTGAAAATACTCAAGAAAATAATTAGACATATTAATTATACATGACTTTTGAAAATATGTCAGTCTTATATCATCTTATATCTTTATTGGAATTATTTGCATGTAAACCTTAGCAGAATCTAAAAATAAAAATGACCTTCCCGGGATTTATGATGTAACAAGGGAGACTGAGCAAGAAATAATACAAGTGAAGGCTATGAAAAGGAAACATAGCTAGTTCTGATACCAGTTTATTGTTGATTTCGAACAAATCATGGCTTCACTTTCTTTTTTCTATGAAATGAGAATATTGGCATGGTGGTTCCCAACTTTTCCAAACACATGCCTCAGCGACAAAAGAGAATGAATATATTCCCTAAGATATCCCTAAGGTATTAGTCCCTAAGAGAGGAATGCAAGCAAAAATTTTCTTTGGAATCTTACTTTTATGTTACAAAGTCCAGTCAAATTGTGTGCCCTGCTCCATAATATTTAAATATAAATATAAACATGTACTTTTCTTTCATACTTTTTATTTTTATTTTTATTTATTTATTTATTTTGAGATGGAGTCTTGCTTTGTCCTCCAGGCTGGAGTGCAGTGGCGTGATCTCCGCAGACTGCTACCTCCGCCTCCCGGGTTCAAACAACTCTCCTGCCTCACCCTCCAGAGTAGCTGGCATTAAAGGCACGTGACACCATGCCCGGCTAATTTTTTGTACTTTTGCAGAGACGGAGTTTCACCATGTTGGCCAGGCTGGTTTCGGACTCCTGACCTCAGGTGATCCACACCCGCCTTGGCCTCCCAAAGTGCTGGGATTACAGGCGTGAGCCCCCACACCCGGCCTCTTTCGTACTTTCGTACTTTTTTTTTTTTTTTTTTTTTGAGATGGAGTCTTGCTCTGTCGCGGAGGCTGGAGTGCAGTGGTGCGATCTCAGGGCTCACTGCAACCTCTGCCTTCTGGATTCAAGCGATTCTCCTGCCTCAGCTTCCCAAGTAGCTGGGACTACAGGCGCCTGCCACCCTGCCCGGCTAATTTTTTTTTTTTTTTTTTTTTTTGTATTTTTAGTAGAGACGGGGTTTCACCATATTAGCCAGGATGGTCTAGATCTCCTGACCTCATGATCCGCCAGCCTCAGCCTCCCAAAATGCTGGGATTACAGGCGTGAGCCACCGTGCCCGGCCACTCTTTCGTGCTTTTAAAAGCAAATTTCATGTTGCAGAAAATTGTGCCTCACTTAAATCTTATGGGCTTAGGTACCTCCCTGGTACAATTACCAGGTAATCCTTGAGCTACGTATGAACCAATTTAAATAGCAATAGATTATTCTTGGGTTTCATGTCATCTGAGGCCTCATAGGTCTATGATTTGGAGTGATGGGTAGTTAAAATGTCATATGAACAGATATGACTGGTCTGTTTTGGTTAGGAGCACATTCATATGGCGGTGAAAATCTTGGCGTCTTTGTCATGCTAAGGCACCACTTTGGGCTCAAGAAGATTCTGTAGTGGTTACTCAGAAGGCCTAGGAATTCAGGGATTCCAGAACAAAGGGTGATTCCAGGGGCTCTTTGAATTTGTGGCTGGTTTCAGAGATGTACAGATACAATAGTAAAACAATTTGCTTGGAGTTATGAAACTCTGCCTTAGAGAGTTCCAGACCACTAACATTAAGCACTGAGACACCCCAGAACTGAATGCTGTTTGGGTATAAGCAGAGCTATCAGTGACCCAGTTTCAGGGGTTAGATGGGCATCACAATGGGCCTGCATTTCAAATGCACTAAGTCAGGACTCCCTTTGCTCAGGAGATGGGCTTGGAGTTCATGCCAGTTTGTGAAGGTTGACCCGGGCTCTGCTTTGAGGACAGGCATTTTTGCTAGAATGAAAAAAGAGCAGCAGGTTAAAAAGCACTCCTTGGGGTAGCATTTATTCAATTCATCATATTGACTATTGTCAGGCTCTGAAAATGAATCGGTTTATTTTTCATATATCTCTGTTGCACGATCAAGAGGCAGAAGGCCTCAACCTAAAAATTTGTGCACTCTCTCTCTCGCTTTTTAAATGAAATCCTGCTGAAGAATAGAAGCTTTGCTAATGTTCTGTTTACATCAATCTTCTGTTTTTGAAAAAAGGAAACCTCTGTTCCCTGTGGGACATATTCTCACATCTCTGTTAACTCTAACTGTTACGTAGCCACCTGTATAATATCCTTGAAACTCCTGACGGGTCTGTCTAACTCTATATAACACACAGACATCAACTTTTGGAGAGAGCCAGAAATGGTTTACCCAGTAATCAATTCTGTAGGGACACAGAAAAGTAGTAAATAAAAACCTTAAGTCAAGAGACACACATGATTAAGGAGATTAGGTTTCAAATATATACAGGCTCTGGACTTTGGTCGGGGTAGGGAGGAATAAACTTAAGGTGATGTAGTTTCAAGATGTGGTCCTTCTATTTAGCTCTGTAAGATAAATCACAAAGCAGTAGGTAGAACTGAACAGCCTTTTTTGATCCTTGGGTTCTCTATTACACAAGACTATCAAATTTAAGTTAATATTGTAATTGGGACAAGTAGGTGCACAGAGAGGTTTTGGAGGGTGTTTAATACATCATTTTATAAAGAATGAATATTTCCAAATACAGTCTGTGCAGCACATAGAAATCACTAGTGTCTTCTTACTAAAATGCAGATTCTTGGACCTCACCTTTTACCAACTGAATTTCTGGAAAGCCTGCTAATTAATATATTTTTCACATCTCTAGGTAGTATTTTAACCCCAAATTCTGAGAACCACTTCATGAGAAATTGAAGGTTTTCTGGATTAATTGAGAATGATTTTACTTGGCTGCTTTCTTCCAAAGGACATTAGTTTTAACTGTCTTCCCAGTTGGATGCTAAATCAAGAATTAACCAAGAGATGGGTCTGGTAGGATAACAACAGGATAGAGGCAGACTACATTAAACTGATTTTTGAATCTTACTCAACTATGTGGTTTCCAAAGCAACCTACAAAAGAAATTTTAACCCACAAACGAATGCTTGTTAAAATGAGTGTAAAGTAACTACAGTACTTGAAAGTCTAAGAAACAGCGTTGTGCTTTGGGAATCTGTATCCTGGTTACATGTCAAATTAACCAGTTAATTGCTGTATCCTGAATTTCTAAACAGAAAATTGCTCTTTGTACTTCAGATGGTTTAGTGCTATGTTTAATTGACCTTCTTTAATTAGGTTGGCTTGGTGATTCTCTCATTAAAAAATCCCAATATTGTGATTACTTCTTTTGCTCCTTTACAGGGAAAACTTAGCCTGAAGCTGGCTACAGATAGAGTTTATTAAGAATCAACAAATAGTGAAAGAACCTAGTTTAGAATAAGAGGTTTTTAAATAGGTAAAGCAAAAAAATCATTTTGGAAATGGACAAAGAAAATGCAACATTGCATGATAGAGCATATTAGAGGCCTTACTCTTATTGCTAGCCCTGGAACTAATTTTTCTGTGACAAGCCACATATCATCTCTGTGTGTCAATTTCTTACATACGTCATGAAAACGACCATATCAATGACAAGGTTGACTTACTGGTATTTAGTGGCTAAGACCCTTTAGGAAACTTCAGGGGTCAGCTGAGAAGCTAGCCAATGAGAGAAATCATTTCACATAGGCAGGGTGATTTAGAAATAACATACTGATGGCCATTCAAGGATTGTTTAAGGACGTAAGATGAAACACCAGGTATTGAGATATAATCAGGTTTAGAGACCTAGGACTGAATGGGCTGGCTTTTCCTGTACTTAAGCACTGAGACTACCTATACTTAAGCACTGAGACTAGCTATACTTAAGCACTGCCTGCTCAGCTTAGCCCAGTCCTTGAACCAATCACAGGCTAACATGTGATATTATTAAGAGTCATATCCCAATAACTTGATGTCATTGAACAGTAGCACCACCTACTAACCCTCACCTTTGGGGTTAAGGCCACATGCTCAACTGTGCTTGTGCACTATTTCGAATGCCAAATAACCTTGGGTGGTGTTACCTGTTACTAGAATCGGTGTATGGCACAGTAAACCCCATACCCCTTACTCTAGACCCCAGACTAGGGCCCTATTTTAGCTCAAATGGACCCCCGGCCATCTCTGTAATTGCAACAGAATTGTCTTTGGTGTCCAGAGACTCCTAAGGCTGGGGTCCTTGCCGATGTGGTCAGATGAAGCCCACTTAGACAGCTCAGATCTCAGATCACAGACAGAGTAATTAGGGTCATCATGTCTTCTTTTTGGGCATCATCTCCCCTGCAAGGCTAGCGCTCTTAGCCCTGGGTTTGCCATACTCATGGACTTATTGCCAGTTTTCCATGATGCTCCAGGTGTTCTCATGGTAATTTGCATAAGCCACACCACTCAGATCCTGGGATTGGGGAAGAAGCAAGATTGGTTGTTTTTTCCCCACACAGGTGGCATGCCACACTTGGATAATCCAGTTTGTTATCCCTTTAAAAGGCCATACATTGAGCCCTAAAGTCTGCATTTATTCTAGTAAGAGACAAAAAAATTAAATTATTCATTTAATTTATTGCCAAAATATGAGAAATTTCTAGAAAATAAATTAAACATTTATTGAGTACTTACCACATGTAAAGCACTGACATATAAACATTATAGTTATATTTAATTTCTATCTAGAGGAAGAATGATATCTGCCCTAATGAGATCCACACTCTACCTAGGGAACATTTATTCTGATAATGGATAATGTTTATGGATTTTTGTGAGCATTTTGGGGCAAAAAAATCTTCTTGCTCGTGAAAATAGCGTGTGTTGCATTTTATTTAAAAGCTGAGCAATTCAACAAAGTTTATATTACCGAAGCAAGCTGTTCTACCTGCAAGTCTTCTACCTTCAATTATTAGTAATGATCATCCTTCACAATTCTTGAAATAGTAACAATACTGGGTAGGTTCATGGCTAATTTTGAATTTATTTATTTAATCCACGTTTCATGGGCATGTACAGTAGTTTCCTCCTACTGCAGGTGTTGTGGAAAAACAGAAATGATAAAATCCTAAAAGGATTTTTAATCCAATTCAGAAGATCAAGCATAAAAATAAACAGTACACGTATAAGAAAGAAACAAGAATGAACACCATAATAAGTGTTTGAGTTAATTGCAATGAGACTTCAAAAGTGGAGATAATTAGGGGGAGTTATTGAAGAACTTCTGACCTAATTGAAACTGTTTTCCCTCAATGTTTAGGATAATGATGGTGTCATATCTTAGCGGTTTCTCTTTGGCAATATTGGATATCATGTCAAATCTCAAAATATGCCACAGGTTGAATGATGCACAGATGCTGCAGAAAGAATACTATGTGTTTCCTCATTCCACTGCAAACCGTTGATAACTTACTCCAGGGATGAAATGAAAACCCGCAGGTAAAAGAATTAGGTTATGCAATAAATAAAACATACATTTTTCTATTTCCCTCTTATAGGAAAGTTTAAATTTTTGAAAAGATTTAGCTTCTCTGATGGTGTCCACGTGGCTATAATCAATATGAATAGGAAATGTTAGGACATGGTTTAGATTTTCAGGTTCAGAGTGACCCAAATCATTCATGGGAGCATTTCCAGGTGTCTCTCAGAGTCTGCTGAAAAGTGCCTTGAACAGTTGCTGCCTAGGCTCTCAGTGAGCGTTAAATATTCCATCCTAGCAATTGATTATAAATTCAGCTTAGGTTAAATATGCAAAGAGCAAAGGCAGGTCTGGCCCTTCTTCCCTGCTAGAGAAGATGTATTGTTATGTCCTTCAGGGCTAGAAAAGAAATTTGGTGAAGTGTATTTCTGTTCAACCAGTTCTGCAAGAGTTAATAAAGAATTACCAAAGGACAGAAAATATCTTTGAGTGAGAAAATGGTCAGAGATAAGGTATGACAGTCCTGCTTCAACTCATGCCTTCATTCTGACCTTGCTCCCTTATTTACAACAAAGTAGCCTTGATAAGGGAGCAATGATCCAGTCAACCAAGGCAGCTCTATTTACTGGAATCTGTTGCTAGAGTTAGGTTATAGCATGGCTTGCTAGCTAGTGGGCCTTGCGAGGCATTGTACTCTGAACCATAGTTGGAGGCAAATTTTTTTTGATGCCTCTTCTGGGATCCTATTCAATAAAATAAAATGTGGAATAAAAATGTAATGCTTAATGTTTTTCTTCAAAGGTGGTAAAACAACAGAATTATTAATAAGCATGTGTGATTTCATTGTATGGAGAAAGCGTAGCTCAAACACACAGGAGGATTCTATTAAATGGATTTTTAAAGCCACGAGGAAATTTATTGTTTAAAAAAGTTAAATTTATCAAAGTATAGCCTAATATTTTTATCCTACTATTTTAGAAGCTTGTACTAAAATGAGAAAGGAAAAAAATTATAGAGAGGATCTGAACTGTAGAACAACTATGCCAGACAATTTCATTGTCAAAGAAATTATGGGCTGGGCGTGGTATCTCATGCCTGTAATCCCAGCACTTTGGGAGGCCGAAGTGGGTGGTTCACTTAAGGCCAGGAGTTCCAGCCTACTGGCCAATATGGTGAAACTCCTTCTTTACTAAACAATACAAAACCTAGCTGGACGTGGAGGCATGTGCCTGTAATCCCAGCTACTCGAGAGGGTGAGGCAGAAGAATCACTTGAACCCAGGAGGCGGAGGTTACAGTGAGCTGAGATCGTGCCACTGCACTCCAGCCTGGGAAACAGAGCAAGAGCCTGTCAAAAAACATATATGAATATATATATATTTTTATATATGAATTTATATATGAATTTTTTATATATGAATATATATATATTCCATATATATATATGGAAATGGAAAATGCAAAATTCTTCATTTCTTCACAAATATAGTCCATAAATTGATCAATTAGAGTCTAAGTTATCTATGAAAAGTGTTAGCTATTTTCCTCTAGTGTTCCCAGCAAAGTGGATGAAATTCTTGGGGAGTATTGAACTTCCCCTATTTTATTTTATTTTATATTTTATTTTATTTACAAAATAACTCTCCAGGTAAAGAGCATTTTTTGCATGTGAGCAAAGTACACAGGACCTTTGGTCTCCCACTGTAGGAAATCCCAGTGATTTTCCTACTTTATGTAAATCAGTCACCACCAGCAAATTCACCCACAAGTCTGAAGGACAAGCATGCGTGCTCTCATCATGGAGTTCCTGAGCCCTGTGGTACTCCAAGTTCTGGGATAAAATGCACACATCACCAAGGGGCAGATACACAGCACAAGCTGCGTCTGAGCTGCTGAGCTGCAGTGCGATTGGAGAAGGTATGAGGGGGTGGAGACCACAGCAGTCCTGCTTTAGGCTAACAAAAAGTGTACATGGGGCTGTGTGGGAGTGCTCCAGCCTCATGGCTTTTCACTTGCTCTTTCTGCTTCCCATTTCTCAACAAGGATGTTACTGGCATTTTTTTTGTCGGACTCTTCTTGAGTTCTTCATTGTCTGTGGATGTCCTGTGCATCCCAGGATTTTGAGGTTCCTTGCTTCTGTCACCTATTTACCAACAAGAGTGCCTCCTTTATCCCTCACCCCTTACCAGTTATTGTGACAACCAAACACACACCTACACAGTTGAAAATGGCCCCTGGGAGGAGGAATCTCCCTTTAGGTTGAGAAGCCTATGGCTTGTAGCACTTTATTTATTTATTTATTTTTCAATTTTGTTTTTGGAGATGGAGTTTCACAGTCACCTGGGCTGGAGTGCAGTGGCACAATCTCAGCTCACTCCAACCTCCGTCTCCTGGGTACCAGTGATTCTTCTCGCCTCAGCTTCTCAAGTAGCCGGGATTACAGGCTCCCGCCACCACACCCTGCTAATTTTTTTTTTTTTTTTTGTATTTTTAGTAGAGATGGGGTTTCACTATGTTGGCCGGGCTGGTCTCGAACTCCTGACCTCATGATCCATCTGCCTTGGCCTCCCAAAGTGGTAGGATTACAGGCATGATCCACCGTGCCCGGCCATGCTTGTAGGCTGTTAGTCTACCACTCTATGTGATTCCCCCTCACTTCCTTCAGCCTTTGCTGAAAAGATACCCCCTGGTGAGGTCTCCATGACCAGCATGTCTCAAATGGGAAGTCTGACTCTGCACTCATGGATCTCTCTCTGCATTGCCTCATTGCTGTGTCCCAAGGAGGAGTAGGAGCATGGTTGGGACTCAGCAAAGTTTCCCAGCTGCATGCGTGGCTAAGAAGCAGCAGATGTGCCTGCAGCCAGCTCTGGACAGAGAAGACACCTGCAGCTCACAGCCACGACCCTGCTTTCTGGGCATCACATAACTTTCCAAGTATTTGGTCTGACTTGATCAGGAGTCAGGTCAGAGAAAGGGAACAAGAGTAGCAATTTCTAAGATTGACTGTCTCATCTTTCGACAAGGATGGAGGCTTCATATTATTCAGTTTCATTTAAATAAAATAAATGGACATTTCTTGCATGCCTTTTTTTTTAGTAGACTTTAGGTTCATGCTGGATAAATATGAATCTTTTCAAAATGACCACTGTGTTTGTAAACAACAGTAAGTAGACTGTATTACTTATGTTCCATTACATTTTCACTTTCCCTCATCTTTTTAACTTAAGGATCTAATGGTAGTTAACACACAGACTCCTAAAAGAGGTAATGCTACTGTATCAGTCATTCATCCAACAACAGTATGAATGGAGAGTAGTCTGGAAGGAGAGGCCAGAAGGGCAGCGGGAACTGAAGTAGAAGGACGAATGCATCAGATGGAACATTGATAGCACAAAGATACTTACAGGATTCTTGAGAATAGAGATTCTGGAGAACAACCACAAAAATTCTATGTATTACAAAGAATAGGGGATAAGACAGGAGTGGCAATTAGATAAAACTTTTAGGTTGCTTCCTAATTTTCATCACCCTAATTGCATGAAGGCCCAGAGTGTACCCCAAGGTAAGCACAATCCAAATGTGCCTTGCTAGAAAATCCCCATGTCTGTTCCATCCTTCTATGTCTGCTGCATCCCCTGCCTTGTACTCTGTCACTGTCTTTCTCATTAGTGAGACCTGCATCTCGCCAGCCTCCCTTGCAAAGGAGGCATAAAGGGTGTGCTCCACATGGCTCTATGTCAGGCTGCGGCTTCCTCTGGCCCCAGAAGTTACAAATTCTAGATTCTGCCTTTTGCTCTTCTCCCCACCTCTTTGAGCCTGCCTTTCCATTCCTCCCACACCCCTGTTGAGACAAGTCCCAGGTGCATCTATACACTTGCCCTACCTCCTCCCACCTCTGCCGCACCCCCGCCACCGTCATTGATCCCTGACATTTAAAAATTGTGTGGATCATTCTGGCGAGGCGATTGACCTTTGGAGGAATGTCCCAGATGAAGTCATAGAAAAATAAAGAAAGGGACAGGAGAAAATGCTGATGGAGGCCTAGATGAAACAGTATCTCAAAGGGATTTCTAATTAAAAAATGAAATGTGTATAACCAAAATATGTTCTAGTCTACTTAATCCACTTGAAGGTCTTAAATTGAAATGCATTTTTGTGTTTTGCTTTTTCATTTTCTTCATGTCATCTTTCTTAGGGTGACACGTTTTTCCTACCACCTTCTCTATATGAAGTTTCCATTTTACATCAGCTGTATTTAAACATTTTAAGGCAAATGGAGTGAATTTGGCTGCCAGTATTCCAGGTTGCCTTCCTGATTGTAATCTATGTTTCTGGCCATGTACTGCCTATGTTGTTAGCATCCTGAAGCAAGCATATATATGAGCCAATTTCCTTAATTGCATAGATTAAGAAGAGTTTCATTTATTCTGTCAGAGGCCAGCCATTAATTTATCAAGAGAATTAAATATCTCTTGGGAGAACAGTCCAAACATTATTTTTAATCCTGGCAGCAAAAATTGACAAAATGTCGATCATCCATGATAGCAACATTCTTTTTGATTTATGTACTTTATGGGGTGAAAATAAAAATGGCAAATAGTAACATATTGCTGAAATAGTCCACAAGAGAATGTAGTCACATTAAGAACACCGCTCTAAAGGTGCGTGAAATGTCATCAGTCAGTCATAAGCCTCTAGAGGTAGTTCAAAGGGCTTAACAAGCCAATCATTTCTAAATGAATTTGCTTGTTTAAAAGAGGTCTTTGATGACAGCTTACTAAGATGATGCAAATAGGCTGAATACTTGTCCTTTTGTATTTCTGTTTTGGACAGGCCAGGACGCCCTTTCATCAGCCAGCACTTTGCCTATCAGAATCTACATGCTTTAGTCAAGGAGCACATTCAATAAATATTTATTGAGGGTCTCCTGAGTTCCAGGCACAGTGCTGGTCTAGAGATTCAGAGTGATAAGGCAGATCCAGTCATGATTCTCATGAAGCCTCTGGTCCAGGGAAATAAACCACAAACCAATCAACCGGGCTGTAAGGTATTTCTTTGTGTTAAGTCATACAAAGAAAATAATGGAATAGAAAGTAACTGAAAATGATCACAACATATAGGATGGTCAGAGACCTTTCTGAGAAGAAAATATTGGAGGTAAGACCTGCCTAATAAGAACGAGCCATGCTTGCAAAAATTTGGGGGAAATGTATTCCATCCAAGTGAATAACAGTGGGAAATAAACTGAAAACAACTTTTGAGTATCTAAAGTAAAAGCAACAGGCCCATCTGGATAGATCATGGTGAAAAGGGAGGAGAGTGGTATGAAATAAAAAGCAGAAGTAGACCTGACCCAGAGAATGACATCGATTTTATCCTAATGTAGTAGAATGTCACCTGAAGCTTTATCAGTGGAGCAATATGATCTGATGTACATTTTTAAAATATCCTTCTAGGCTATATAAAGAATAGACCATAACAGTGTAAGATAGAAAGCTGGGAGCCCATTTAGGAAGCAATTGCACCCTCCAGGCAGGAAAAAGATGATGAGGGCTGAGACTGAGATTTTGATAAAGATAGACAGAAATGTATAGGTTTGAGATATAATTGGGCAGATAAACCAGCAGGATGGAGTGATGGATTGGATGTGGAGAGGATGAAGGAAAGAAACAGAAGGAAGAGCTAACTCTTGGCTTTTGACTTGGACACCTAAGTAGATTGTACTGAAGTTACTTCCATGGCCATCTAAACAGGCTACTACAATGGAACCAGAGGTAGTCTTCTTAGTAGTCAAACAATATGTAAATGAAATTTTGCTTGATTTTTAAATCAGTAACTTTGTAGAGTCATTACTAAATTAAAATATTTACTCTAATATATTTTCTTGATATAGTGTTAAACTATTTTGACTCAGAGCAGCACAACTCTGTTCAAACTATTCAATGCCCTTAGGTGTTAGGGATAAGCCATGATTCTTTCAAGGAAAACATCTTGAGTGAGTAGAATAGTATGCCTGAATTTTTGCCAAGATGTGTTAGGATTTCTCTAGAATCATTTCCTCTTTTTAAAGGTCAAGAGGAAGCTATTTGGATGACATGGAACATATGCCAAATGCTGATTCTTATCCAAGGTTAACGTATCTTGAGTTCCATTCAGCAAATTGATTTCTTCTTGAGATTTCACTTAAAAAGAAAAATTTTATTGCATAATGAGGTAAATTAATGCCCTACAAATGTAATATGCCTCTGTGATATACAGAGTATTTTAGTTTTTTTAGCAAAGCATTTATCCTATTATCACATAATCACTCCTAACCTAAATAAAGAATCTAGAGCTTAATGCACAATGAATCCTATCTTTTAGCAGTTTTATTGCTATATCGGCTATTAATTTAAATTTGTGTCATTTTTAGTTAACAAGAAAGATAGCTTAAAGATTTGTTTGCCTAGATTATATTGAAAATCCCGTATGTTGGAGTAGTTAACATTGCAAGAATAAGCTATGATATTATTATTGCAAGCTAGACATTCTTATAGTGCGCTTAATCCTCCAGCATCCAAAAGTGCTTTAAAAACCATAAATACAAGGGACTTGTTAAACTCTCAAGTGGTAAAGAAGTCTAGCAGATAGGTATCTGAGTCACAGAGTGGGGAGGCTCCTGGTGGTTAATGGTCTAATAGCTCACACTATGCTTAGCACATGACACCTCCATAAGTATGAGCAAGATTAATTAGATTACACTCAGCAAGAACTTAGAGCTCCGTGATAAAGACCCAAAGACATACCAAGTACTTCTCATCTTTCTTGCTTTGAAAGCCTATTTCCTGAAATGGATTTCAGAGCCCTTCACCCCTAACTTCATTTTTCCTTGAGCCTGTATCTTTATGGTAATAGCTACAGCCTCAATTCCCAATCACCTATGAAAGGCAGACACTTTATGGACATTTTCTTATGAAATCCTCTGTACTTATGAACTTTCATAGATGTGATGTTCAGTCCCATTTTACAGATGACGTTTCCCAGAGTTTCAGTAAGTTGCCCAGTTTCTAATTTTAAAATACTCAATGTGTGTGTGTGTGTGTGTGGTTTGGGGTAGAATGCAGTGCTCAGAGAACCTTAACTTTAATGCTAAATATGTGGCAAAAGAATCTTGAGATATTATTTTTCTCTTGATAATTTCTGTGATTTCTTTTCAACTCTATCCCCAATCAGAAAAGGTCCTTCTGGGCCAAAAATGAAGAGGTAGATTTATGCCAGTTAAGGTGTGGATCATGGAAGAGGACCCATGGGTATGACTAGTCCTCAATAAAATGAGTACAGATATTAGGAGGAAGCATTTAGAAATGTTTATCAAAATTGGACATGGTAATTTTATGTCTAATGACCCAGATATAAAAAATAAGCTTGTCTTTTTTATATTTTACTTTTATTTATTACTTTTTTATTTATAAAAGTATCAGTCCATCCATGGCAAAGTGAAGAATTGGGGGCTGGCTGGGCATGGTGGCTCACATCTGTAATCCTAACATTTTGGGAGGCACAGGCAGGAGGATCACTTGGGCCCAGGAGTTCAAGACCAGCCTAGGCAACATAGGATGACCCCATCTCGACAGAAAAATAAAAAAATTAGCTGGGCTTGGTGCTGTATGCCTGTGGTCCCAGCTACTTGGGAGGCTGAGATAAGATAGCTTGAGACCCAGAGGTTGAGGCTGCAGTGAGCCATGATTGCAACAATGCACTCCAGCCTAGGCAATAGAATAAGACTCTGAAAAAAAAAAAAAAAAAAAAAAAAAGAAGGAAGGAAAGGAAAGGAAAGGAAGAAAGAAAGAAAAAGAGAGAGAAAGAAAGAGGGAGGGAAAGAAAGGAAGGAAGAAAGGAAGAGAAAGGAAGGAAAGAGAAAAAGAAAAACGAGTAGAGGAGCGATTTTTCATCAGTTTGAGGGGCCCAGGTTAGTATCAGTGAGCCCCAGCTAATGGGGCTTGGCTGCCTCCTTTTTAAGGGAGGCAAACAAACCCCAGAAAAGGGGCAGCTGCACAGTGGATTGGGGTGGTTGGAACCCTAGCCAACTGGCAGAGATTTCTATGACCCAGCAAGCCAGGCATGCTGCAGACACAAGCCCACAAGCAAAGCAGAGACATCGCTGGAGGAGAAAACGGCCATGCAACAGTTCGTTGGGAGAGAATGAGGGTTATTTCAGCAGCTACCTTTGTGGGTCCCCAGAACATGACTGATATCTCAGAGGCCACCTGGAAAGATGACTTGAAGCCCAGATTGTGGCTGCCTTTCCCCCATGCTTCTGGCCACACCTTAAACACTCAAAATTTAGGTATGATTTTAGTAAAACTATTGTGGCTCAAAAACCTGTGTAGAAAATGTTGCTACCCTGGCTCAAGTGAGCTCAAAATAGAAATTAAGTTGAAATAGATTTATAAATATATAATATAATAATATATAATATATATAATATATAATATATAATAATATATATAAATATATATAATAATATATATAAATATATATAATAATATATATAAATATATATATATATACATATATATATTTAGTTTGTGGACCCATGACACAGACCCAAAACAAACATGTACCCAAGACCAGCTAGCAGATGATCTAAGGCATTAGCAATAGGAGGCTAAATCCCTTTACATGCCTCAGGGATGATGTCATCCTAAGAACCAAAGGCATCAGCTTTTCCTGGTAGGGAATGAGTTCGCAGGATGCCAGGATCTTGGTGATTCTGACTCCAGAAGGTCTGACAGCATCATTGATTCCATGTTCTTTATCCACTCCTTTTCCAAATCAGTTATAGTTTTCTGCCAGCTTTTCCTTGACATGCTTCTCATATGTGTTCTGACTTTTGTATTTCTAATGCAATCAAATGAATTTATATTTTTTAATTTCCTCAAACATTAATTAGGAAAATATCTGATCTCTCAGACTCTAGTCTGCTCTATCTCCTATCCAACTTTTTTATGACCTAAAATGAAAATATTCTTTAGATCATGACAGGACCCTGCTCAAAATCCATTGGTTCTTATTGTTAACAGAATAAAATTTAAATGCGTGGGTTTGATCCAACTAGCCTTTCTTATCTCCCTGCTGTCTTTCGGATGCATTAGGCTTAATCTAGCCTCATTTCCTTGTTCCTCCAGAGCTTTCTTCTTGGAATGCCTCCTTCCTCCTGCCTCAGCATTTCCTCCCTAATCTTAAATCCGTAGAGTTCCACCTAATCCAGAATGACTTCCCTCACAATTCTGCTTCATCTATATGACTTCTCTTTATTTTCCACCACTCTTGGCCCTCACCCTTGCTTGATACTCAACAGTGACAAACTCATCCTTGGTTACCTGAGGCTCTTCTAGTTTTAACACTGAAAGCTCTTTCTTGGGAATTTCTTCAGTCCTATCATTATGTTTTGGGGCTATCTGCCTTCTCTTCTCAACTGAATTGGAACCTTGGTGAAGGTAGGAAATGTACCACATTTTCATTTTCTAATGTCACTTAAAGTTTTCAACCATGAGAAATGTTCAGCTAGCCATATATTGAAGATTATGTCTTACATTTACCCAGTACACATTCTACCAATGTACCACTTAAATGAAATGCTCAATAAGAACCAAAGAATTGGCTGGGCACCATGCCTCATGCCTGCAGTCCAAGCATTTTGGGTGGCTGAGGCAGGAGGAGCTCTTGAGCCCAGAAGTTTGAGACCAGCCTGGGCAACACAGGGAGACCCCTTCTCTACAAAAAAAAAAAAAAAGTTAAAAAAAAAAAAAAAAAGCCACGCTCGATGGCACGTGTCTGTGGGCCTCCCAAGCAGTACTTGGGAAATTGAGGTGGGAGGATTGCTGGAGACCAGGTTGAGGCTGCAGTGAACTATGATTGCACCATTGCACTCCAGCATGGGCAACAGAGTGAGATGCTGTTCCCCTGTGCCCCCACCACAAAAATACCCCAAAGAATTGAGAAAGAAAAAAAATTCATCAGAGGAATGCAAGCCCTTTGAAATTATCAGGCTCAGAAAGTCATTTAAAATGTACCAACAGTCACATCTCACTCTCCCTTGAGCTAAATAATTAAGTCTTGAAACCACTTGCTATGCAGGCTCTAGACTAACTGATTCCAAGTATCTATAAAACCCTATACTCCCTATAGTTCAGCAATGTATAGCCAATCATTAACCAATGTGATTTCTGTAAACCAATGAGAATTCCCAATGAACAACTTTCATAATTGCCCTTCTCCTGATTCATCCTTTTTTTTCCTTAAAAACTTGAGCCTCTCTTTTCGTCTCCAGGGCATTCCCCAAGGCAACTTGGAAGTGTATGCTGGGCTGGGATGCAGTCCTCAACATTTGCACTTGAATAAACTCTCTTTAAACTAGATTCTGACCTTTTGGGTTATTTTAGGTTGACAAAATTATTGAGCTCTTTAATGTGTGTTCCATTTGTCTGGTCCTCAGTTCTTCCCATCTCTTATTTTTACACTGTGATAGAAAGAGTTTGAGAGATTAGGAGGTAAGGTAGCACCTCCCAGAAAGAAATTTGCAACCAATCATCTGACACCAGTCTTTGTTGGTTGGGGGGCGGGGGTCTAGAATATTTTGGAAGTTCTAAAATAAACTTTGCGCCTTCAGGTGAAAATTTTCTCTAACTCTGTGTCAGAAAGCCTCCTCTTCTCTGCCTGTTCTGTTCTTCCCAAGAGTCCAGTGATAGTGAAATGATGATGGAAGACAGTGAGGAGGAGGGGCTGGAGGGGGAGGGCTGTGAGTGTGTCCTGGGAAGCTTATGCAAGCAGCATGGGCAGAGATGCCCTGGACAGAGATGCTCTTCTCAAAATGGAGGAGAAAGTTCTCAAAAGCTTCACAGGAGATTTGATATATGCTCCATACAGCTCCCCTATCCCTACAGAGAACCTCTGTAGCCAACTTTTAAAATGTTATCTCTAATATATAAGGTTTATGGCAAACCAGATTCCATCCAAATTGAAAATGTTCGTTAGACATTTTACAGCCAATAATTCCATTATGATAAATGTCTCTTCTGTGCTGTAGAGAAAGGTTTCTTGCCTTTCCAGCTAGACTACCTTATATTCCCTTGTGATACGTACGTACCTAAGGCTCTAAGACCTTTTAATTGACTAGAAATCAATGTATCTATCCTTACAAGCTCAGAATATTAATAGAAACTGAAGGATATGGGTGCTTGGATTAATACAGAGTTTTAGAAGAAAGTTTCTTCATAAATAGAATCTTTGGGAAAAAAAAATCAGAAAAGACTGAGGGTGAATGGGGCAAAGTGTGTGTATTAGTCAGGGTTCTCCAGAGAAACAGAACCCAGAGGATACATATATATGCAAACACACACACATACACACATACCACACACACACCACACACACCCACAGGGGGAGAGAGAGAGAGAAGTTTCAAGTAATTGGTTCATGCGTTTGTGGGGACTCACAAGTTGAAAATCTACAGGGCAGGCTAGAAATTCTGGTAAGAATTGATGTCGCAGTCTTGATGGTAAAAGCTAGAAATTCTGTCGTGCAGTCTGGAGGCAAAACTTCCTTTCTCTTTGTGGGTCCTTGTCTTTTAAGGCCTTTGTCTGACTTACTAAAGCCCACCCATATTATATAGGATAACCTGCTTTTCAAATTCTATTAATTTAAATGTTAATCACATCTAAAAAATACCTTCACAGCAATATCTAGACTGGTGTTTGACCAAACAACTGGTCATCATAACCTAACCAAATTGACACATAAAATTAATCATCACAGTGGGACGCAATACTATTTGGTGTCAGATAATAAATTTTTACCTAGTATAAGCAAAATGTAAATTCAAGGTGAGAGTTATAAAATAAAATCTAAAGTAGTCTAGAGATAGCAACAACTATAAAATTTCCTGAGGGCGTATCCTCAAAGGTGAATTAGATCTGAACATAGAGTAAGATTAATTAATTTTCTTTTTTTTTTTTACTCCTTTCCCCTCAAATGTGAATGTAGAGCTCCTCACTTTGCCTGGTTTAACAAAGCAGGCCAAGAGAACTCATGAGGTGCAGCATTCGTAAAGTGAACAGAAAAACACTGCGCGGGGGGAGGGGAATGTCTCAAAGCCACATAGTAAGGTAAATACTAGGTTGTAATCTAATTAGCAAAAGATAATAGAAGCCAATGGAAAACAGGCCACATGCCCAAGAACTACAATTCCCTGGGGAAATAAATGATTGATCGCTTGGAGACAGGAAACAGGGGAAAGCATGTTCTTGCCTTTGACCTGAAACATAGATCACGACTTCCAACCCGAGTAAAGGCATTTGTAAAAAACCAAATGTTTTACATTCCAGCAGTTTGTCATTTATAGAGAAGACTGGTGAAGTCCTTCCATAGAACATCAGTGACTTTTGCTATTAAATGTCTAACTTACCTAAGAAAAATTGTTAAATGTAGAACTGCATTAGCAAGATATTTTTTTCAATCCAAACATAAAAGGACTGGTTATTTTTATCCCTCCGCCCATTTCACTGCCCTCTGTTGCTCATACACAAAGACGCACAAAACCACAGTTAGAGAGAAGCCATAGCTACTCATCTCCCCAGTCACTGTTTAAAATGCTGTTTCTTAAGGAAAATCACCATTGGAATGTTAGTGCTTTCTGTGACTTCGACAGCTCTGCGTAGAGAAGGAATGATCTGCTTACAAGATAGGACTCAGTGGAAGGATTTAGCTCTCTTTCCTGAAGAGAGAAAAGAAAGAGAATTATGTCAGAGTGAGAACAAAGTGAACAACATTTAACAGGAATGTTTGATGACATTTTACTGTAAGATTGTGGAATGGTGGCATTGGAAACCCTTCTGAGTACATAGCTCTCTGGCCACAGTTTGGATAAGGCTGATATGGTTTGGCTGTATCCCCACCCAAATCTTATGTTGAATTGTAGTTCCCACAATTCCCAAGTGTTGTGGGAGGGATCTGGTGCGAGATCATTGAATCACGGGGACAGGTCTTTCCCATGCTATTCTGTTGACAGTGAATAATTCTCACAAGATCTGATGGTTTTATAAAGGGGAGTTTCCCTGCACGAACTCTCTTCTCTTGTCTGCCGCCATGTGAGATATACCTTTCACCTTCCACCATGATTGTGAGGCCTCTCCAGCCAGGTGGAGCTGTGAGTCCATTAAACCTCTTTTGTAAATTGCCCAGTCTCGGGTATGTGTTTATCAACAGCATGAAAATGGACTAATACAGGAGTGATTAACCTGAAGCAACAGGTATCATCCAGAAGTGGCTGTGAGTGAATGAGCTGGGAGAATTTAGGCAGCTAAACAAGAAACTGGACGAATAAAACTGAGAGCACAAAAATGTTTAGAAAATAGAGGGATAACTTGCTTTGTGTTACAGATTAAAGTGAACCCAATAGTAGGGAAGGACAAAAGAAGAATGCATCTCCTTTGTCCAGACCACATGGATATTTGCATCAGAAAAATGAAGAGAGAGCCTAAATTCACTTAAGAATTGGAAGAAAAAGCAAACAAGAAAAATCCTGAAGACCACTTCTAAAGGAAAGCTAAAAGATCTGGCATGTTCTCTCTAGTCAGAAAAGTCACACTAAAATTGACGTATAACTTAATCAAGGATAAAATAACTCTTCAAAATGGAAATTCCAAGAAAATTACCCCCTTCTCATTACATTTCCCTTCAATTACCTTCTCTTATATTTAGTCAGCAATTCTCATAGATGAACATTAACTACATGTAGTCACAACTATCTGGAACTAGGTAAAACTTAAAATCAGGTTTGAAAACAGGCAGAAGTTATATGTATTGAGAGCCACAAAAATACTCACTCTGATTCATTGAGTCTGCCTCTGTACTTCTAGGGAAACAAATTGGTTAGACGCATAAATAAAATGCTCTTTCATGTTCATTTATCAAATGTGTGCTATTCATACCCTTGGAAATAGTCTGAATATCCCCAATTAGGAAACTGTTCAAATAAATTATATGATTGTCCTTTAGTAGGGAATCATGAAACCAATAATATTTATGAAGTTTTGTATTAAATGGGAAATGCTTATAATAAAATACTGAGAAAAGTGAAGAAAAAATTAAAAATGCATTGTATGATTTTTACCTCTAAAAAGGCAGGAAAGGAAAAGGGTTGAGTGGAAGTACTAAAAATGCTAACAGTGGATACCTTTGGATAATGATATTGTGAGTGTTGTTATATCATGAGTTTTCATGTCCAGTAGAATTTTCTGTATTTCCCAAATGTTATAATTAGAGAAACATCAACAAACTAATTTTAAAAAGAAGATGGATAAAAGATATAAAGATGGTAACGAGGCATAGTTTTTCCCCGGCGGGAAGAGAGAAGTCAAATTGTACATAGATAAGTAATGACTGCCAAATTTCAAGAGATAACTAGAGTGTAAACAGCTCACATGTAGCCACGATTGAACCACAAATGTGAACTCTCAGGGTCATAGCATAGCCAGACTTCACACTTATTTTCTGATGTGTCATGTCAGGTATCAGTGAGGTCCTTCTTGAACAGCAGTGGCTTGAAAGGAGAAAAAACAAAAAAAGAAAATTGAGGAACTAAAAGTGCCAGGAGCTATTGGTATCATTATTATTTGTAAAACTCTGTATGTTTCTCAATCTAATTTCAGGGCCTGATAAAAGAGCTGTAGGGTTTTGACCAAGTTGTAGTTCTGAAGGCATTTCTTTACTCACATTTGGTGGCAGGATTTTCTCTGCTCCTGCATAGGGGATATGCCACAGTATGGCCCCTAGGAGAACAGTCACTGCTAAATACCAAGAGGAACATGGCCAGGAAGTGGGACAGGACAGGAACCAGTTGTTCTTTAGGGGTGTCACAGAGTAAAAAAAAAAAAAAAAAAGGGAAGATATAGGAATGTAGACAGAGTGAAATGAATATGTGTGTCAATAAAACAAATATTAGTCAATTTTTTTAAATTATTTTTTTGAGACGGAGTCTCGCTCTGTCGCCTAGGCTGGAGTGCAGTGGCACAATCTTGGCTCACTGCAACCTCTGCCTCTCCTCTGGGGTTCAAGTGATTCTCCTGTCTCAGCCTCCCGACTAGCTGGGATTACAGACATGAGCCACCATGCTTTGCTAATTTTTGTATTTTTTTTTTTGGTAGAGACGGGGTTTCACCATATTGACTAGGCTGGTCTTGAACTCCCAACCTCAGGTGATCCATCCGCCTCGGCCTCCCAAAGTGCTGGGATTGCAGGTGTGAGCCACTGTGCCCAGCCAGCCCATTGGTTTTTAATCAGTCTTTCTCTTTCCCTTCTCTCTCTTTCTACTATACACATGTAGTTACAAAGAAATGTCACTTATTTTGTGTGTGGCTATAAACTAGTCCCATTATTATATATAACTAAATCATGTTTTATGCCAAGTATTGCAGTTATCCCTGCCCTTAAAATTTTAGGAGTAATTTTACATTTGTTGCTAATATGCATAACACCATAAATGGAATATTTTGATTTCAAAAAGTAGAGTTATTGAAACTGATTTGTTTGAAATGTAAAAATTTAGTACAGGTAGTAAAGATTAAAAAAGGTGAAGATGAAAATAGAAGTAGAAATTTGTAGGACTTGTAATGAAATAGAAGTAGTAGAGTCTCAGCAAATCATATAATTTGGTTGGATCTCTGCTTATTTGAGAAAACTCCTCTGAAAAGCCATAACGATTTACCAACTTCACAGAAAATTATTTGCTAGAGTCATCTCCTATAGGATGAGGTGCCTGTGCATAGTGAAGGTGAAGTAATAAATAGTCTTCAGCATACTGGAGACAGCTGAGTTCAGTACAGGACTCTTGTAAAATTGGGAGAGGAAGAGGCTGCAGTAGATTTTGTAGGTTATGATGAATGATCCAGGTGCCATAGCCTTTGAATGGATAATTTTTCATATCTATTTTCTCATTATTTATTTACCTCTATGCAGTGTTACATGGTTCAGTGGTCCCCAAACCTCTCTGCAAACTAGAAAAAACTGATTTTTGTTTTGTTTTTAATGTAGATTTTGGAGGTCCCATCCTTGGAATTCTATTTTAGAAGGAGTAATAGACTAAGGTAGAGCCTGACATCAGTATTTGTATCAATTCTGACATAGGTTGTACTGAGGGCACAATTTGAGAAACAGAGGAAGGAGGTAACAGGAGAAGCAAAAGTATTAGGCTTGTTTAGAAAGAGTTTCTCCAGCTACAAATCCTACTTAAACCTTTCCATTCTTCTTTTTTTTTTTTTTTTTTGAGACGGAGTCTCGCTCTGTTGCTCAGGCTGGAGTGCAGTGGCGCAATCTTGGCTCCCTGCAAGCTCCGCCTCCTGGGTTCACGCCATTCTCGTGCCTCAGCCTCCCGAGTAGCTGGGACTACAGGTGCCAGCCACCATGCCCGGCTAATTTTTTTTATTTTTTTTAGTAGAGACGGGGTTTCACTGTGTTAGCCAGGATGGTCTCTATCTCCTGACCTTGTGATCCGCCCGCCTCAGCCTCCCAAAGTGCTGGGATTACAGGCGTGAGCCACCGTGCCCAGCCTCCATTCTTCTCTTTATCCTTTCCTCCCCACTCTTTTCCTCCCTCTAAGGAAAGAGAAGCCATTAGATCATCAAGAAGTGAGCTGAGACAAGTTCAAGTTTAGCACGTAGGGGAGTTGGAACCAAGGGAGAAGTGTCTCTCAGAAAAGTCAAAAACAGTGAGGGAGTCCGTGATGCATAGAGCAAGAGGTGGGATGAAAACTATGCTGGTTTCTCATGAAAGCTACAAAACTCTATTAATAAGTGAGTGAGTGTGTGTGTGTGTGTGTGTGTGTGTGTGTGTGTTTCGGGGCAGTGCTGGTAATGGGGAGCTCACAGTGTTAAATGTTAAATATATATCAAAGATAGAAAAATGATGACCTGGAACAAGCTATGGAAATAATAACTTGATGTCTAGCAGATGAGGGTGCTTTTGAAGAATCTGACGTGGGGAAATAAAACAGCCAGTAAATTGTGAGGGAGTTAAGGTAAAAGTTAAGCTAGTCTATATGCATTACTATTTATTCACCCATTTACTGTTTCCATTCGTTTATTTGACACATACCTGTTGAGCATCTACTGTGGCTGGGCAGCCTTTAGAAAATGGGAACACCAATGAATCAGACACTGCCCTACCCTCATGGATCTTATAAAAGCTATTCTTTGACAAGATGAGACTTTTCTTCTTCAATTCTGGTAGATTCAGCGGGCCATATAATTCATTTCAAAATGTTTTCATGTAGGAGAGATTTGTGTATGATTGAGAGCAAGGAAAAAAGGCTTTGAAGGGGAATTCAAATATTGAAGACACAAGAGAAAAAATAAATAATAAAATACTGTGATCTCTTTGAAATTGAGAATGAAGTGAAATGAAAGAAATATAAAAAGCTAGTTTGGCCCTGTAGGAAAGATGATCTGTTCTTCCTCTGACACAGAAAGGAAGGAAGAAAGAACATGCTGGAAGCAGAGCAAAGAAGAGGTAAGACATTGTAGTTATTTTAAATACCCACCTGTTGATATACACAGCTTAGAGATATTACTGAAAGTATAAGCCATTTTTAACATCCTGGAAGCAGAGCAAAGAAGAAGTAAGACACTGTAGTTATTTTAAATTTCCACCTGTTGATATACACAGCTTAGAGACATTACTGAAAGTATAAGCCATTTTTAAAGATAAAAAGTGCTCATATATGTATATGTTACAACCAAAGCCCATAGTGTCTAAACATACCAATGCTCAATTATTATTTAAATAATAAATTAAAATTTGGTTGATATTTTACTTTTGTTTATTATTAACTAATCATTGCTTAACTCATCACTACAATCTTACTGGTGGCTTTGATATCAACATGTGGTTTAACGAAACTCCCATAGTGATGAATCGTTCTTTGATTCCCCAGGTTAATTTGAAAATGATCCAAAGATACACACACAGGGTGTCTTATTCTGTTTGTGCTGCTATAACAAAATCCTATCAATGGGTAATTTATAAAGAACAGAAATTTATTTCTTACAGTTATGAAGGCTGGGAAGTTCAGAATCAAGTTAATGGTAGTTTTAGTGTTTGATGAGGGGCCCAGCTTCACCTTCCTAGATGCATTCTCTGAAAGGCAGGAATGCTGTGCCTTTACAAGGCCAAAGGAATAGAACAGGGAAAGAACTGAATGCTATGTGGAGTCTCTTTAATAAGGACCTAATCCCATTCATAAGAAAGGAGTTTTCATGATGTAATTACTTCTTAAAGGCTCCATACCTTAATTCTATCACACTGGCCATTAAATTTCAGCACATGAACTTTGGAGAAGACTCATTCAAACCAAAGCATAGGGAAAACTTCAGGCTAAGTGTATAGGTTGCTTTGTTTGGGACCTATATATGGATCTCGTCAGTCATTTAGGACTGAGAACTGTTGAAATGTTCAACCTAATATTTGAGGATGGCATTTTGTGGCTCTTGAGAAGGGAAGTTCATTATTTAGGGAGACATTTGATTTAGGTGGTTGCTATGACCCAACCTAACTCTAGAGGTCTACAAGTCAATGGATCTCTCCCTGTTTTTGCTTCATCCAACAAAGCATGCTTTGGTCTATCCAGGCTGGTTGTCAGAGTTTCTGAAATAATTGATTTGTCCAAGAGACCATCAGCTCAATGCTCCATTTCGTAGTTTAATAGGAGACATTATAACCCTCTTAAACCTCATTCTATCCCTTCAGAAAAATAGCATTCATTTCAGTAGCTACAGCTGGCCTCTGTCTTTATAACTCTTTGGTGTTCAGCAAGACAGCCATACTGTAGCTGCAAGCTATTACAACAACACACTGACTTTCAGATTTACAACTGTGTGCTTGTCATTTCCAGATGTAGTTTTACTAAGACAGTTGTGCAGGAAACATTGTGAGAAGCAGCAGATTTCCAGTAAAACATGCCTATAAACACTATGGTTTCTGGCAAAGAGGGGAAAAAAAGGTTTACACCCAGATTCCTTAAAAATATATAGTCTACCCTTTGTTCATATTTACCCTGAGGGTTTAAATGTGATCTACAGCTTTTGTTTTTGTTTTGTTTGTCCCGCCCTGACACAGGAACAACCTATCTAGACCCTTGTGTCCTGTAAATGGTTTGAACACTGTTTTCTGCCTATTGTTCTACTAACAACTTAGGAATCTTCTAATAGAAAATAAGAATCTTAACTACACAAGCAATTGCTATAGGTTTTTTGAATTGATCTCCATAATCTATAAGCCTCTGAGCAGCACTTGGACAGGTTAATTTGAAAGCAGAAACCAAAACTTCCTGTGGGAAGTCACAGACCCACGATTTCATGAATATTTTTCTACATTCCATTGAATATGCTGCCTTTTTCTGTTAGCACAAGCCTACATGATTCAAAAGACATGTTTTGGCAGGAAGTAAATTAACACATATGGGTGTGGGTGGCAGTGTCTTAATGCCCCACATGGGTTCACCCTTATTATCAGCCATGGCTGTATCTATATAATACTAAGTCAAGGAAGAAATTGGTTGTGACAGACTCATCCCTCAGCAAAGTTAGGAAGTAGATGAAATATACTGACTCCATGTCTGTTATCCTTAATTTTCTCTGAAACCAACCTCTCTTCTTTAGGGATCCACTATAATGTTGCTGGCATGTCAGTGTTCCCCTCAACTGGGGCATTACCACCTCCTCTACCCCTTGCTCCAGACTTATCTTTTCCCATTTTCTCCTTCATCAATACATACCTGCTTTCAGTCATCCATCCATCTCTCCACTCACTCACCCATTTCTATATATTCTTACTAATTAAAATGAGTAACCTCTAGAGTATTAGTGACATAGGAATATACCACAAGGAATGATTGAACCTGAAGAGATGATTCTTATACATTTAATAATTCAATGTCTTAATTTTTTTCAAACA
Source organism: Homo sapiens (assembly GCF_000001405.40). Classification (NCBI taxonomy): domain Eukaryota; kingdom Metazoa; phylum Chordata; class Mammalia; order Primates; family Hominidae; genus Homo; species Homo sapiens. Next base: position 220,880,312 of record NC_000002.12, on the reverse strand, counting down.
TTTATTTTTGCAGAGACTTGTGTTTCCATGGAATAATCTTGGGATCCATGTGGAGTGCAAGAGATTGGAACAGAAGGAGTTCTCAAAAAATAAAAACTTCGGGCGGGTGCGGTGGCTCACGCCTGTAATCCCAGGACTTTGGGAGGCCGAGGTGGGCGGATCACGAGGTCAGGAGATCGAGACCATCCTGGCTAACATGGTGAAACCCCATCTCTACTAAAAATACAAAAAAAAAAAAAAAAAAAAATAGCTGGGCGTGGTGGCAGGTGCCTGTAGTTCCAGCTACTTGGGAGGCTGAGGCAGGAGAATGGCGTGAACATGGGAGGTGGAGCTTGCAGTGAGCCTAGATTGCGCCACTGCACTCCAGCCTGGACGACAGAGTGAGACTCCATCTCAAAAAATAAATAAATAAATAAATAAATAAATAAATAATAAAAAATTCTTGTTTGCTCTACAAGAGTAGCTTAACTTCTTTTCAAAGTACATTTCTGGATTCATGTGAGATTTATAGTTTAAACTGGGGTTATAAAAGAAAAAAAAGAAAGAATGCCACCACCTTAATCCAAAGAAATAAATCATATTAAGATTGTGTCACATTAGTGATATAGGTAGGCTGGAATATCTTCTAACAGGCTCTTAATATAAATGTGTAATTCACATTGGTCTCAATTATCTGTGAACGCATCATCCTCATAGTTTAAACCTAAGTGCCTGAAGTGCAATCAAACCGCCTTGCTTCCTTGGCAATACTGAGTTGAGGTCATATTCCACGTAGTCAAAAATTGTGAAAAGAGGATAGAAAGCTGATGAGTACCTGTTTCACTTCATCCAACAAAGCACCTTGGTCAATCCAAGCTGGCTGTCAAGGTTTCTGAAATAGGGTATCCCTTCCAGAGGGCAAAATAGATCTTAGATAATGGTCCTAGGCTCCGCAAACAACTAGCTGGGCAGCTTCTATTCTTAATTGTTTAGGGTCATGGGTTATTCTGATTTGCCAGGCCTGTGTCACTTGTCTACTCTCTATATAAACAGAATTACTATGGGGTGAAGGAGAAATGCAAATAAAAATTATGCTAATAAAGCATTTGAATTAGGCAATATTTTCTCAAAATAAATGATGCTGGGTAAACGTGTGCATACATGCAGTAGAATAACAGAGCAAAATATTTGTAGTGGATGGCTTTGACTTCAGACAGAAACACAGTATCCATTTCCCAAAGATGTTTTTTAAAACTAGTTTAAAAACCAATGTGGGTATGATTCTTTTCTGAGTTTTTAAATAATATGCTGAATGACAGATTTCTGCATTGTGTACCTTCTTTCAAAAAAGGGTCTTATTTCTCATGTTGTAATTCCTATCTCTTTGGTCAACAACCTCAAAACAATGGGTCAACAATACAAAGAATTGTTAAATGGCCAAATCGGGCTTGGAATTGAAATTCTTACTTTTAAGGCCGTGCTGAAGAAAAAGAATATCCGCCAGGCAGAACTAATTAAATAAGAAGCACTATTAGTAGAATGTTTATTTGCATTTCATAAGCCTCTAAAGTAAAATGATGCAAATATATTGACTAAAGTTGGCAGTTATTATGGAGAAGTATTGCCCTGTGGATTGCCAAGTGATTGACAGTGACATAATATTCAACATAATAGGCTCAGAGTAGTATCATTTGTTAATGGTGACATTCCTTTTCCTAAAACTAAGGGAAAGAGTCATTTATTTAGCAGCCTTTGTGAAAAAGTTTCTTTTTCTCTCTATTTCTGTTTTTCTAGAACAGCTTTTCATTCTTCATTCTATATTCATTAATTACAATAATTTTTTCTTTACTAATTAGTTATAAAACAATGCATTCTTCCAAATAGAAAAGGTCTTTAGGTCAACATAAACCAGTTGAAATGAGAAACACGTAACCCACGATATCAAAGCAAAACAAGAAAATAAACCTAACCCACTCAAGAAATCTCACAGGGGCTTTAACCAACAAGATTGCCTTCAGAATATAAAAATGAATGGCTCGTTAGGGGAGTCTTGGTGGGCAGATCATGGAGGAGAAAGAGAAGGAAACAAAGAGAAGACGAGTAAGAGGAGGAAATGAAAAGGGAGGATAGGAAAAGGGAGAGGCTAAGGGTACCTGTGTTTTAAATACATGAAGAGAGAAAGCAATATGATCTGCATGCTTTATTTTCATGTGTTCAAGCTATTACATCACACAGGAGAGGTATAATAAAGTGTACTAGTGAGTGGTTAGGTCACCCTAATGAATACAAATAAAATATCTCTTTCTCCTAAAGAGGCGGAGCATTTTATTAACTAGCATTTGGAGAGTGTTATTATTTTTTATGTCTAAGATTTTATGGATCCTATTTTCCTGGGAGGCTGTGGAAGCAGTGACAAATGTTGCAGAGACGAGAAATTCCTTTTTTGTGTTTCTAAAACAAATCAAGGAAATCACAGAAGAGAAAAACAAATCAGTTAACCTACAGCTTTATTTATGAAGTTTAGATGGCAGCATACTTTGTAAAACCTGCCACCCCTCTCATGGTTAAAATAGCACCAGTGAATCCAGGGAAATGATTTATTATAAGACAGTATCATGGATCTTTGAAGTCATATGTGTATTCATGAATCCTCGGGATGTTGTGAGTATAAAATGAAGTCGTATGCATAAAAAATGAGCTCTATAGATGAGGTCATCTAGAGATGGAGGTAGTGCAACAGGAAAAGTTAAAGCTGAAAAATCTCTGAAGGATTGGATTTTTAGAAAAAAATAGAAATTGATATTATATGAACAATATTGAAAACATTGTACTTTGTATATAATAGAGGGAGGTAAAACAATAGTATTTTATACTTTAATTAGAATATACAAAGTTTCGATAGAATCATTTAAAGTTTATTCATGATTTAGCTAATAAATAATATATGTTATATAATTTTTACATACACATATATGCATATATATACAATCATATACATTTATATGTATATGAATATTACATATTTTTATTTATTCTTTGATCATTTTCCATTATGTGAAAACACTACTGATTTAAGAAATGAGAGTGCATGAAATTATCCCTTGTAGTAATAAACATCTGGTATATTTGGTATAAGTCTTCTAAAAAGCCTATATAATACCAAACCTCTAAATATTGTTCTAATAAGAGTAAGCTATGCCACTATATATAGAATCACAACATTCTAGATTTCTATATATTTTTCAAATCTTCAAGTAAAGAGAAACCAAGTCCATTTTTCCACTTACGTAAAAAAACTTTCTTACTAGGAAAACATGGTGATGGCCTTGTTAGCCTTCATCAGATAGAGTCAGACGATAGAGGGTGTTCATATTGAATCGAGCTGCCTAGTGTTCCACCTTGTAAATATAATATTACATTTCGTTGGTGACGGAATTATTCCAATTTGCCATGGCGCTGCTTTTCTGAAACTATCTGTGGACCCATGTAGGTCAAGGGGAAGAAAAATTAAGGGTCATCCTAAGTTTATACCATATAGTGTTTTCATTTTCTATCCAGCTAAGTACATCCAGGCTCCCTGTTGGGCAAGCCTTTTTTTCCCTTGTCTCTTATTTTCAGAAAAAGGGCTACATATGACAGTCTCAGAATCTTACCAGCCTGAACACAGATGGTAAAGATTACAGCACGCTGAGTATTGACCTTTAGAAGCTGCCTTTCTTCTCAAGGTTCTTCTAGTTTGACAGTTAGACTGGCTTTTTCTCAATTAATTTCATTACCAACACTAGTTTTGCCTTTTGTTTTGCCTCTGATAAGTGTTAGCTACACTTATCAACAAAGTTGAGTCTTACTCTGAGCAGTTGGCAGACCCAATCATTACAAATCATTATATTTCACTCCTTTGACGTACTGGCTTCAAGAGCTTGGAGATAATGTAGACATTGTTTAAACGCTGGCTTTCCTTTTCCAACAGATACCTAAGCTAATGAATTTCAACTGGTTGCCTGAGATGAGCAATGAGTGGGGACCTGGGAGAAAGAGGTCATGGACAGCAAGTAGGAGGCCCACCATAAATCACAAGATAGGGCATTTATGAGCTGGTTGTAAATTGTCAGCATAAGGCTACAAAGTGAACCTATACTTTGATCATAAATAAAGAAGAAAGCTAAAACAATATAAACTGGGTGCCCAAATTAAATGGAGGATACCATTGCACTGTTCATGGAGACAAACATGCCATTTCAGGTCTTCAATGTAAGAAATAGTTGGAAAATTCAGAACAGAGATTAGAGTACAAATATTTTCTTTAGCACTAAGCTAAAGGAATAATACTATTATTCCAGCAAACTCTCACATGTGCTAGATTTTTACAATCACTCACATGTAACAGTGGGTACTATTTTACATCATAAAACTTGGGAGAGAGATGAGAGCAAATCCCTTTTTCATTATGAAGATGTTATTTGGTAGATTATTTTCTGATGGAAAATTTAGACCCATTAAGTTTTCAAGTTAAGAATCTGCTTCCTACTTTACTTCAAACAGTGATAAAAATCACTACGATAATATCTTAGTACTATAAAATATGTTGAAATACAGCAATAAACCATCATCTGTATTGTTTTATTTTGCTCAAATAAATTAAAGCTCAACCATTGATCTGAGATAAAAATTACCATCTTAATATGCACTTAAAATTTGGTAGAATTTTAGAAGGCAATACAGTTAGACTTTTGATCTCAAATGAGCAGGTGATAAAAGTGTCATGTAAGATTTGCTTATATTTTACAATTTCATTAAAAGGGGATTAACTTTTCAGAGAAAATATGAGAAAAAAACTAATTAAAATTGAGAGCCTCAATAAATTTACCTTAGCAGTGTCACATAACATTTCGCAAGTGCAACAGAATGGTGGTAGGAAAGTGAATCATTCTAGGAAGTCTTAAAACAAATATAAGAAAATCCTTTCTTATACAAGTCAGAGAAATTGCTCTCATTTATCAGTCACTCAGAGAAATAGTAAAAAAGAAGCCAGTAGTTGACTCCATCAGTAGATGCTAAAAAGACCAGAGGTGCCTGTGTTACCAAAGGAAAGTGGAAACATTCTTCTAATTTCCTTTTACAATTTTGCCCCAGACCATAAATCAAATCTATTTCTTTTTTTTTTTTTTTTTTTTTTGAGACGGAGTCTCACTCTTTCGCCCAAGCTGGACTGCAGTGGCGCTATCCCGGCTCACTGCAAGCTCTGCCTCTTGGGTTCATGCCATTCTCCTGCCTCAGCCTCCCGAGTAGCTGGGATTACAGGCGCCCACCACCACGCCCGGCTAATTTTTTGTATTTTTAGTAGAGACGGGGTTTCACCGTGTTAGCCAGGATGGTCTCGATCTCCTGACCTCGTGATCCGCCCGCCTCAGCCTCCCAAAGTGCTGGGATTACAGGCGTGAGCCACCGCGCCCGGCCAAATCTATTTCTTTAAATGTGTCCCCCAAAATAGAACTGAAAGCCAGTATCTCAGGCACAAGATATTTTAGAGATATAAAGTTAAGATTTTAGGTTTTAACAAGACCTTAGAAATCAGATCACCTTGTCAAATACACTCATTTGAACAATAAAAGTGACTTGTTTACCAAGGACACAAAACTAGTAGAATTTAAATTGGAACCCAGCTACCCTGGTTCCCTGTTAGAAGTTATTTTATACATATGCTTGCTATCTGCCCAGCCCCATTTCTTCTCATTTCCTTTTTTAAAAAAATTTACATCTGGGCTCTCATATAATTCTACAAAGCCTGATGGCACCCCCAGATTCAGGAGTGGGCTCTGTCTTGCTCAAGCCATTCCATTCTACTAGCTATGGTAATGGATTCAGGGATGGATATGTGGTCCAATTTGGGACAATAAGATTTTAGAAGCTGTTTTCTGGGGACTGAAATGAAAATATAACAACTTTTCTGATGCCTTCAAGAGCACAGCCAAAAGATACAATTTCTTGCAAATGAAAAACACCAACCAAGGAGATTCCTCTGTAGCTTCTGTCTGCCATTTTGCCCCCATAAGGATAGCTAGCCTGAGGACAAATCCAATACAAAAGAGATGACAGAACTGAAAACAGTAGAGAAATCGAGTTGAAATCCTGACCAAACTGCAGCTGAAACCTTTTTTTTTTTTTTTTTTTGAGACAGAGTCTTGCTCTGTCGCCCAGGCTGGAGTGCGGTGGCGCGGTCTCGGCTCACTGCAGGCTCCGCCTCCTGGGTTCACGCCATTCTCCTGCCTCAGCCCGCCGAGTAGCTGGGACTACAGGCTCCCGCCATGGCGCCCGGCTAATTTTTTTTTTTTTTTTTTTTTTTTTTTTAGTACAGACGAGGTTTCACCGTGTTGGCCAGGATGATCTCGATCTCCTGACCTCGTGATCCGCCCGCCTCGGCCTTCCAAAGTGCTGGGATTACAGGCGTGAGCCACCGCGCCCAGCCAGCTGAAACCTCTTATGCCTCTAGATTTCCCATTACATATAAGCCAATACATCTCGAATATGGTTTGTCTCTGTGTCCCCACCCAAATCTCATATCGAATTATAATCCATCCCCATAATCCCTATCTGTTCAAGAAGGAACCTGGTGGGAGGTGATTGGATCATGGGGGCAGTTTCCCCCATGCTGGTCTTGTGATAGTAAGTTCTCATGAGATCTGATGGTTTTATAAGTGTTAAGTGTTTGACAGTTCCTCCTTCACACGCTCTCTCTCTGCTGCCGCCGCAGTAAGAAAGTGGCTGCCTCTCCTTCTGCCATGATTGTAAGTTTCCTGAGGCCTCCCCAACCATGCAGCACTGTGAGTTAATTAAAACCCTTTCCTTTATAAATTACCAAGTCTCGGGTATTTCTTTATAGCAATAAAAATGAACCAATACAATCTCCTTATTGTTTAGACCAGTTTCAGTTTTATTTCCTGCCACTCAAAGCATATTATTTATACAATTTCTTCTTCTCATCATGTTTCCTGAGTACATAGCTATTTTTTGTCATAAAGGCCAGCTCCTATTTGATAACACTAGAAAAAATTTATTAAAAAAAATTGTCCTGATGAATCCTGACTGCCTATAGTACTTGCTAAAGATTACTCTTTCAAGGGATAGGTTTTTCTCCTCTCATGTATTTTAACCAGGTCCCAATTTTCTTACAGAGTATGATGATAGTATATTAAATTAAGAGGCTATATTTTTGAATAAAAGTGAAAAGGCCAATAACCAAACATTTATACATCTAAAGAAGTCTGATTGCGGTGGAAGTATCTATTCACCACGGTGAGTCTGGGTTAAAAAAATAGATTAGGCAGTCAGAATTAGTATTGAGTGGTCCTCCATGGTGCAGCAAAGAAATAAGCTCCTTTACATGGTTTGCTGTCATTTGCCCCATTATTATTCATATCTTTCTCTTGACTGTCTTTCCACGTTGCAGGTGCTCTTACTGGTCCCTCCATTGCTTGCAACTGTTGTATTGCCTCTGGCCTAGGCCAATTGTCCTCACCCTTGGCTACCTATTAGAATCACCTGGAGACCCTTTAACTGATGCCCAGGCAATTACTCAGACCAATTAAATCAGAATCTCTGGAAGTGGGGCCCAGGTATCAGTAGTTTTAAAATCTACCCAGGTGATGCAATATACAGCTAAATTTGAGAACCAGTGGCCTAGATTATCCAGCATCACCAATTCTAGGAAGGCCATGTAGGAATCACAGGCAGGTCCACAGGAAAAGGTGTGTGGAGAGGGCCACATCTGTTTCAAGTCTGAATTGCAGGGCTCTGTTTTTTCCTTTTGCATGCATCTTCTCACTGTGCAGAAATGCAGAGGGCCGGCCAGGCGCAGTGCCTCACACCTGTAATCCCAGCACTTTGGGAGGCCAAGGAGGGTGGATCACCTGAGGTCAGGAGTTCAAAACCAGCCTGGCCAACATGGCAAAACCCCGTTTCTACTAAAAATATAAAAATTAGCTGTGCGTGGTGGTGGGTGCCTGTAGTCACAGCTACTCGGGAGGCTGAGGCAGGAGAATGGCGTGAACTCAGGAGACGGAACTTGCAGTGAGCCGAGATAGCTCCATTGCACTCCAGCCTGGGCAACAGAGCGAGACTGTCTCAAAAAAAAAAAAAAAAAAAAAAAAACCGGAAGGAAGGAAGACAGAAATGCAGAGGGCCAAATTCCGGGGCTGGCCTGGGTGAAAGGAACAATGACAGAGACCAGTTAAACCTGTTTCTGAACCAGTAACCTGTTTCTGAACTTGCAATAAGAAGGTAAAGAGAGGCTTGGGGCTTATTAAGCTCATTTGACCTTCTCAAGTGCAGAATATCCTATGGTGATTTGAACACAAAATTCTATCTAGTAATAGATTGTGTCCTATGTCCTTGGAGACTCCTCTGTGTATCCAGTCTCCTGGAATCTAGTATGGGGAAGAGAAACAGCATATGAATATCTGGTTCTGACCATCTCCATCAAAACTAACCAGGATACCATTCCCATCTCCAGTCTCCATGGCATGCTTCCTTTGTGGGTAACCCAGCCATGCTCTTTCTGAAGACAAGTTTGCCATTGTTACCAGTCTTAGTCTTCTCTCCCAATGTACACCTCACCTGCACACACCGGGTTTGGCTTTCAAACATCTTTGTAAACATATGCAAACTGACTTTCATATGTGAGAATATTAGCATGCTTTCTTTTATGCCTTCCTGTCAGGTGCTTTTTTTCCACTTTTAATAATAAATACTATAAGGAATCCAGGTTATTTTATCTTTGCATTTTCTCTCTTAGAACTTTTACTTATGACCTAGGTCATTTAGACCCTTGCTGATCTGCCTCTTGGTTTCCATAATCACTAATAAGTTCTGCATATTAAAATTCTAGACCATTCAACATTGCCATCATGGTGAAGTACATCTCTATATGTCAATAGAGCCAGCTGAGTAAATATTAAAGCATAATTGAATTTTTCAAGCAATGACATTTTAATTAAGAAATGTTCTTGGGCTTTTAAGAGTTCAATATATTTCCTTGTAAGAATTTGCCCTTTCAGAATTTTCTTGCAAAAATATCATTGGGCCTAATACTGAAAAAGCTTGCCATTGTTTTGCCTTAGTTGTGTGAGCAAAACTTATCATTTGGGGTCAATGGAATATGTATAATTTTGCTGGTCAATACTAATTAGTACAAAATTGCAAGCACAAAATGGAGGCCATGAAGTATGCCAATACAAGTACTTTACGAGAGGCCTTTAGTTACTTTAGACGTCTAGATCTACAAGTTAAACTGATACATACATATATATATATATATATATATATATATATATATATATATTTAACAGCAGGTGGGTCTGGTTTCAGCTTCGAGTAAAATGGCATCTCTTTCCTTATGTTCCTGGGGGAAAATAGTGCATGCTATTAAGATAGTCACGTATGGTATTATTTTAAGTAGATATTATAGTTGCATTGAGTATGCTTTTAAAGAAATGAAACAGCTAGGTTCGATTTTCAGTCCTTAATGGTTATGATTTTCATTTATTTTTACCTTAGATTTCAAAGACAGAAATCCATGAGTCTTTTTCATACCTACTAGTTTCAATGCCACACTCTCTGATCTTGCCCATCCCTTGATATTCATAGTTTTCTTCACAGTTGTGGGTTACTTCTAACATCTCGGCCTTTCTTTTTACTCATGAATCAATTGGTGCTCAAGGAGCTATTGACCTAAAGGATCAATAAATCAATAGTTACTTATCAGGGACATATTCTGTACAGCATCGTCTGTTTGGAGTTAAAGAGGATGCTAGATTTATAAGATACATTCTCTTCGCTTATGAAGCTTGCCATATTGTCAGAACTGTATGTTGTAGTAAACATATAAAAGAGATGAGAGGCATAAATGAATTTAAGCCAGATAAATAAAATAATACATCTCTTCTATGGCTCTTCTCCCAAAGCCTGAAAGATCTTTCTCCTTTATGTATATGTGTATATATTCATGCATAATTCTATGTATCTACGTATCTATTTTTCTGTCTAGCATAAAATCTTGTTGCAGGTTTTACAGGGGAAATTTGTCATTTTTTTCATGCTAATGTCTAAAACTTCCTCTAATGTTTGTAAAATATTATTTTTTGCCTTCAACTTTCCCAAATTGCTGGCATGTAGAGCTCAAATGCAAAATCAAAGTTGAGACACTCCAATGTTCTCACCTTGAACTTTGAGTTTAAATGGAGTGATGCACAGACGCAGGGACAGAAGACCACTCATATTCACCCAGTGGTTCTGTGGCAGCGGTGCTGGCATTGGTGGACATTATCCAGCAATGGTGGCAGCAGCAGTAGTGATAGTATTAGTTGCAGTGTGGTTGCCATCATGGGACCATGGCCAGGGCATTTTTAATCAGGTTACTTTTGTTGTGGGATCTTGTCAGTCTTCCTGGCTGCCCTTGCTTTCTGCTAATTTTTAAAATCGTGTTCTCCTGGTTTCCTGTTGATTCTCTGAACTACCCAATATTTTCCTATATAGTCCTTTTCTGATTAAATTAATCAGAGTTAGTTGTTTGCAATCATAGCCCTTCTTATTGGTGGAGAGGTTGGGACTGGCAGTGGACAGCAGGCACCAAAGCAAGACATGGAGGAAATGGAAGAAGTCTGGAATGAGTTCTCTGGTCTAGAAAACTGAAGGCACTAAAAATCCATCTATTCAAGGATTGGGATACACATGACATGTGGTGGTGAAACAGCTATTTAAATTATTGCCTTGGTTGTGAAAAGAAGTTCATACTGAAGGCAATCTTTGGAAAAATGACTTTTGGCTCCCATATGAAAATGAGAAAAGGGAATTTAACCTTTTTCCTGTTTAGAAAAAAAAAGGTGCTCAGGAGTTCGAGACCAGTCTGGGCAACACGATGAAACCCCATCTCTACTAAATACAAAAAAATTAGCCAGGCATGGCAGTGTGTGCCTGTAGTCCCAGCTACTTGGGAGGCTGAGGCAGGAGAATTGCTTGAATCCCGGAGGTGGAGGTTGCAGTGAGCCGAGATCATGCCACTGCACTCCAGCCTGGGCAACAGAGCAAGACTCTGTCTCAATTAAAAAAAAAAAGTGCATCTCGCTGCCAGGACTCATTTAATTTTACATAAACATGCTCTTTGAGTCTTGATATGGTTTGGCTGTTTCCTCACCTAAATCTCATCTTGAATTGTAGTTCCCATAGTCCCCATGTGTTGTGGGAGGGACCTGGTAGACGGTAATTTAATCATGGGGGCAGTTACCTCCATGCTGTTCTCATGATAGCGAGTCCTCATGAGATTTGATGGTTTTATAAGTGGCTTTTCCCCCCCTTTGCTCAGCCCTTCTCTCTCCTGCTGCCTTTTGAAGAAGGACATGTTTTCTTCCCCTTCTGCCATGATTGTAAGTTTCCCGAGATCTCCCCAGCCATGCTGAACTGTGTGTCAATTAAACCTGTTTTCTTTATAAATTACCCAGTGTTGGGTACTTCTTCATAGCAGCGTGAGAATGGAAAAATACAAGGCTGAAGCAAATCTGACTGATTTTTAATGTGAAAATAAAATATAAATCTGTTCTTGGAGTTATTTCTAAACAGAACTGACATCAGAATTGTCTGAAGCATCAGAATCATCTGTTTCAGAAAACTCGAACTTATCAAATGAATCTTTGACCAACAACTTTTTGAGAATGATGCTAACATCAGGTAATAATATAGAAATGCTACATTTTTCTTTTTGCAAATTTAACTAATTTACTTTAGGAGATGGGGTCTTGTTATGTTGTCCAGGCTGGTCTCAAACTCCTGGGCTCAAGCAATCCACTCACCTCAGCCTCCCAAAATGCTGGGACTACAGGCATGAGCCACCATGCCCCAAAGGAATGCTACATTTTCTAGGATTTGACATTTTCAGTGATTGAGATTTACTATGTTTTGTAAATAGAAATACCACCACTAAGCACAGAATAAATAGAATGATGTCTATTGTTTCCAAAGTCGATATATTAGAGCAATGCAAAAATAATAATAAAAATGAGATCCATCATAGCAAAGTTATCTCAGAGTAAATGCTGCAGCCGTAAGCACCACTGGCAAGTATTCTCAAGGCATTAAGGACTATGTTTAGTAAACTGGCTTTTTCTATCAGCAGTGGCAACTTAAGAACTTGTCAGAGTCTACCATGTTTTATTCTGATTTTGTTAGGTATTATTAAAAATGAATGTTACGTACATTGCTTCATGCCCAAGAGGGATAAGCTGCCCTTCCAAAAGTGATACAACCAGACACATCCCCATCTGACACACAGCCTGGAGAGATTGGCTATATTGAAAAGACACAAGTTGAAGTCAGCCTTGGCATCACATTAGAAAGAAACATTTCAATTACATTAACCAATTCTTCAACTCTACAACATATCTCCCATGGATCCAGCATTCCCAATATAAATATGCTGCAGATCTTACAATCTGGACACTCAGTTCACCTGGAGATCTAGCTCTGAGGCTCACTAAAATGCCTCAGAAGAGTTTTGGCCCAGTAGTAGACAGTTATATCAAGTATCTGAGGGTCAAGACTATATCAGTTGTAGACATCTTTCTAAGACCATTGAATCAAAATCTATGATCAGAATAATAATGTCTTATGTTTTCTTCTTTTCTTTCTTACGTTTTATTATTTTTTCCCTCTGGCTGTGTATGAGATAGAAAAAAACAATTTTTCCTTCTCTCACACTTAACAGAGCACAGGACACTTCTGTGACCAGGTGTTTGGGGTTTCTTCCTACTAAGCAGCAGTTCTGCAGTGGACACCAACTAGATGTCCTATAATTCAATTAAAATTCTGACAGTCACTATCTGAAGATAGCATTGGGTCCTACAGGTTAAAGGCTCCACCCTTCAAGACTGCCCACCACTTCAGATGACACAAGTGGCAATTGTGACCTGTTCTTCTGACTGGCTATAAATGGCTCCCATGGCTGTCCCTCCTTGGGTTTGATAACTTGCTAGGACAGCTCACAGAATTCAGGGAAACATTTTTCCAATTTATTATGAAGAATACGGATGAATGGCCAGATGAAGAAGTACATACAGAATGAAGTCAGGAAGGATCCCAAGCACAGGAGCTTCTGTCCCTGTGGAGTTGGAGCCTGCCATCTTCCCAGCACAGGGATGTGTTCATCAGCCCAGAAAGGGTTGCTTGAATTTCATTCAGATAAAGCTACATTCATTTCTCTATTTTTTTCTTTCTTTCTCTTCTTCTTCTTCTTCTTCTTCTTCTTCTTCTTCTTCTTCTTCTTCTTCTTTTCTTTTCTCCTTTTCTTTCTTTTTTTTTTTTTTTTTGAGATGGAGTCTTGCTCTGTCACCTAGGCTGGAGAGGAGTGGTTCCATCTTGGCTCACTACAACCTCCGTCTCTTGGGTTCAAGTGATTTTTCTGCCTCAGCCTCCTGAGTAGCTGGGATTACAGGCACCCACCACCATGCCCAGCTAATTTTTGTATTTGTAGTAGAGACAGGATTTCACCTTGTTGGCCAGGCTGGTCTCGAACTCCTGACCTCAAGTGATCCACACACCTCGGCCTCCCAAAGTGCTGGGATTAGAGGCATGAGCCACCGTGCCTGGCCTACGTTCATTTCTTAGAAGTCTAAGATACTGGAATTCACTGGCTTGTAAGAAATTCTACGTTGTCTAGCATCTCCCCAAGTAAACAATGTGTTCTGTAATTTATCCCTGACTCTGGTCCAGATAGAAATTAAACAGGATAACTTTTAGAGGCCTGATACAGCAGTATGTATTAACCAATTAAAGTAGTTCGAGGCAATAAAAGTTGCCCACAACCATAGAGACTGGCCATCAAATGTGGAGCCTATGTAATTACTAAAATATCTTGTTTCATCTGGGAAAGCAATTTAGGAAGTAAAACAATTAATTAAGATGAACAGTCATCTGGTTATCTAAAGTCAGCCAAAATGAGTCTTAGAGACAGAGTTTTGCTCTGCCTCCCAGGCCAAAGTGCAGTGGTGTGATCACAGCTCACTGTAACTTCAAACTCCTAGGCTCAAGCAATACTCCTGCCTTGGCCTCCTAAAGCACTGGGAGCCACCATGCCTGGCCAGAACTGTTTTTTTGGTTATGCCTAGGTGAATCAAAAAACTGAAACCAAGTAAGTCCTAAATGTTTCTTATAATGTCATTCATATTTCTTGCCTTTCTCCACTATTTGATTTGCAATTACTTTAAGATGCTACGCAGCCATTATCCTGAGCTGACATGCAGCTGATTACACCATTTCTAAGACAGAAGTCCTCATGGTCACCTTAGTTCCTTTGGAAGCTGAGGTTGACCAGAAGAGGAAAATGAGAATCACAATGACGGAGAAGCTGTAGCCTTAGCTTAAGGAGGAGGCACTCATTTAAGGACCAATCACTCTTCTACCTAGAGAGCAGAAGGTTCTGGAAAACCTTCAAAGACCTCCTCTTCTCTCCTCAATAACTCTTCCAGTCTGCTCAAGGGAAAATTGCCCTCCTTGGTAACTTTAGTCAATCAATTTACCCTAGGAGAAAATAAAATAAGATTTTCTATTTCATAGTCCATCTGCAGATTTTGCCTTTTAAAATTCTACCTTTCGGAGAGACAGTCTACATATGATTGAACTCCCTCTTAGGTGAGTAAACTTCAGCTGAGTTCTAGCTAAATTGCCTATGAGCCATTCTTTGACAACCAGTATTTGAGTGGTCACTTTTTTTTGAGAAGTGTTTTGCGTGTTTTAAATGCATCGTTAGGTGATCCTCACAGCTTGGGAACTAAGTACTCTTCTATGGCCATCTTCCATATAAAGAGTGAGGCACAGTACAGGTAAATAACCTGCCCAAGATTACTTAATTAGTAAGTGTGGGACATAGACCCAAGTACTCTGACCTCCAGAGCCAAGGTTTATTGGTTTTGTTTTTGTTTTTGTGTTTTTTTCTGATTTTTAAGCTTACTGCTTTTTTATTATTATTATTTTACCTTAAGTTCTGAGATACATGTGCAGAATGTGAAGGTTTGTTAAATAGGTATACATGTGCCATGGTGGTTTGCTGCACCTATCAACCCATCATCTAGGCTTTAAGCCCTGCATGCCTTAGGTATTTGTCCTAATGCTTAAAAAGTATAATATACATACACAAAAATGAATACATTACAAATGTACGGCTTGGTAAATTTTTACACACGGAACCCATATTAGTAGCCAGCACTCAGTTCAAGAAACATAACATTATCAACACCCCAGAAGCATTCCTGCTGCTTTCCTTTTAGTGCCTCCCCTTCCCTCCTGAAACACGATCCTAAACCAGCTAAACCACTATCATGGCTTCTACCAGCATAGATTATCTTTGCCTGTTTTGCACTTTGTAAATAATTGGAAGCATTATAGCATGTGCTCTTTTGTATTTGACTTTTTCAAATTCAGTATTTTATTGGTGAGATTCATTGATATTTTTTATGTGGGTGCGTATTGTTCTTTTTTTTTTTTTTTTTTTTTTTGAGATAGGGTCTCATCCTGTTGTCCAGGCTGGAGCGCAGTGGCATGATCATGGCTCACTGCAGCCTCAACCTCCTGGGCTCAAGTAATCCTCCTACCTCAGCCTCCCAAGTAGCTGGGACTACAGGAACGTGCCACCAGGCCCAGCTAATTTTTTTTGTTTTGTAGAGACAGAGTTTTGCGTGTTGCCCAAGGCTGGTCTTAAACTCCTGGGCTCAAGCAATCCTCCAGCCTTGGCTTCCTAAAGTGCTAGATTACAGGCTTCCACCGCCACACTTGGCCTATTTATTCTTATTGTATAATTCCACTGTATGAATATATGGCAATTTCCTCATCCATATTAAAATTGATGGGCATTTGAGCTGTTTCTAGTTTGGGACTGGACTCCTTGCTTCTGCATATGCACTTAGGAGTGGAGCTGCTGCATACATAATAGGATCTTAATAGGATCTATGTGTGTTTATCTATAGAAGATACAAAGAGGATAAACCACTTACACCCCCATGAATAGTATATAGGGTTCCAGTTGTTCCACATCCTTGTCAACACTTGGCATTAAATGTCTTTTACATTTTGGTTATTATGATGGATATTCAGTTTTATCACATTACGGTTTTCATAGGTATTTCCCTAATGACTAATAAATATGAGCACCTTATCATATACTTGTCATTTAATATCTTCTGTTTTTAAGGGTCTATTCAAGTGTCTTTTGACTTTTTTTATTCTATGGTCTGTCTTT
Source organism: Homo sapiens (assembly GCF_000001405.40). Taxonomy (NCBI): domain Eukaryota; kingdom Metazoa; phylum Chordata; class Mammalia; order Primates; family Hominidae; genus Homo; species Homo sapiens. The sequence continues at coordinate 220,864,057 of NC_000002.12, read as the reverse complement.
TTTATTATTATTAATTTGTTGGGATTGTTTATGTATTCTGGATGTGACTTATTGCCAGATACACATATTGAGAATAACTTCAACTACTTTTGGGGCTGTATTTTTACTCAGTGATGTCTTTTGATGAACGCAAGTTCTTGATGTTAAAATAAATTTGTCTTTGATCTGTCTTTTTTGTTTGTTTATAGTTAGGTCCTTTTGTGTCCTGTTTATGAAATCATTGCCAACACCAAGGTCACAAGAATGTCCTCCTGTATTTTCCTCTAAAAGCTTTATTGTTTCTCCTTCCACATTTAGATCTGCAATCCATCTGGAGTTGCATTTTGTATATGATACAAAATAGAAGCCAAGACACACGTTACTAATCCATGTGGATAACAAGTTGACCCAGCATTGCTCATTGAAAAGGCCATCTTTTCTATTCCACTCTAGTGTTGTTTTGGTGTAAATCATGTGTTTGCACATGTGTATTGATTTGTGGACTCTATTCAGTACTATTAGTTTGTCTTTCCTTGTACCAGTATAAAACTGCTATAATTACAGCCTGATTCAGTCTTACTATCTCTTACTGTTAGTCTCCCAACTTTGACATTTAAAATAGTCTTGGTTATTTTCAGCACTTTTCATCACCATATGCATTTTAGGAAGACTTTTCCATTTTCTATTAGTATGATATGAAATCCATAGGTTAAATTTGTGGAGAATAAAAATATTTACAATGATGAGTTTTCTAATCCATGAACATATTATAGTCTCTATTTATTTATGTCTTTAAAAATTTCTCCCAATAATGTTTTGAGTTTTCAGTGTGAATGTCTTAAACACTTGTTCATTTCTTGGATGAATGTGCACAAGATCAGTGTTATTTCTACCACCGCGTTTGGAAGAATCAGTGAAGCTAAATAACCCCAGAATTATTTATGTGAGGACGTTTTTAATAAGTTTCAATTTCTTACAAGAACTTTTTTGTGAGTTTTGGTAAGTCTTTTTTTAAAAGAATTTTAAAAACTTAATCCAAATTGTCATATTACTGCTACTCTTATTCTTAATAACATTTTGATGTCTGCAGTGTCTGTAATGAGAGTCTCTTTTATTCCTGATATTGAAAATCTCTCTATATTTTAATCTATCTTCCTCAAGAGCTACCGTTTTGTTATCTTTTAAACAGACTTTTGCTTTGTTGAATCTTCAACGGTATATTTTTTTCTATATTTTTAAATTCATTTCTCTTTTTAATCTTTGTAATTTACTTTCTTCCCTTAATTTGCTATTTTTGTTGTCATGGCTTGAAATGGAGGCTTAAGTATTTTAGTCGTTTTATGTAATATGTACATTTCAAGTGTACTTTTTTCTAAGTACTCCTTTGGCTGCATTTTTTTTTTTTTTTTAGACAGAGTTGTGCTCTGTCTCCAGGCTGAAGTGCAGCGGCATGATCTTGGCTCACAGCAACCTCCGCTTCCCTGGTTCAAGAGATTCTCCTGCCTCAGCCTCCCAAGTAGCTGGGACACAGGCGCAATGACCACGCCCAGCTAATTTTTGTATTTTTAGTAGAGACGGGGTTTCACCATGTTGGCCAGGATGGTCTCTATCTCTTGACCTCATGATCCACCCGCCTTGGCCTCCCAAACTACTGGGATTACAGGCGTGAGCCACCACACCTGGCCCTTTGGCTGCATTTTTGAAATGATGTACCACTCCCTTTAAAATTATCCCTATTTTTATTTTGTTTTCTTCTTTCACTCATGTTTGAATTGTAATGTTTAATGTTTTATTTACTGTTTAGGTGATTTGGGATTTCTAGTTGTTTAGTTCCAGCTTACTGCCAATATAATCAGAGAATATACCCTAAATTATCCCGAATTTTGAAAAATAATTGAGGCTTAATTTATGACTAACTATATGATTGATTTTTGTAGTTCTATGTGCTCATGAAAGGAATATGAGCACAATCATATTTACAAGAATGAGGCCAATTTTATTAATTTTCAGATCTTTGTAAATTATTTAGATCTTCCAAATCGTGGCTCATTTCATGTCTGCCTGCCCTGTCAACTGGTGTGAAAGGTGTGTTAAAGTCTTTCGCTGTGTTTGTAGGTTTATCTACCAATCTTTTGTTATTCTATCAGTTTCACTTACATATTTTGAAGCTTTGGTATCAGGATTATGCAAATTACATTTATGATATATTCCAAATGTCTGTTTTTAACTCTAGTCATTATGAAATATCCCCCCTTACCTCTTGTATTTCTCCTTGCCTTACAGTCTATTTTTAGCTAGGTTAGTGTAGATTCTGTAGCTCTGTATCAGCATTTATAATGTCTGATCTTGCTCAGCATCATAAGTCAGACATTATTGCAGTAACTTCTACATAATAACATCTACCAAATATTTGTGGAAGGAAAGAGAGTGTGAAGAAAAGTAGTATATAGATTCCCTGTAGTCTGGATCTGTGGTCTTTGGTTCGATATTAGGGTTATTCATAGAAACAGAAGCAATAGGGTGTGTGTGTGTGTGTGTGTGTGTGTGTGTGTGTGTGTGTGTGCATGTGTGTGTATACAGATGTTCCTTGACTTATAGAATTACACCCCAATAAATCCACTGTAAGTTGAATGTATTGTGAGTCAAAAATGCATTTAACACACCTAACCTACCAAACATCCTAGCTTAGCCTAACTTATATTAAATGTGCTCAGAACACTTACATTACCCTACAGTTGGGCAAAATTATCCAACACTAAGCCTACTTTATAATAAAGTGTTGAATATCTTCTGTAATTTATTGAATATTATTTTAAAAGCAAAAGCCAGAATGGTTGTATGGGTACCACCATAAAGCCAAACAAATTGTTAAGTTGAACCATTGTGAGAAGGGCACCAGTGAAAGAGAGAGAAAGAGAGAAAGAAAGATATTTTAAAGAGTTGTCTCACAGGATCATGGAGGCAAACATGTCCAAAATCTGTAAGGTAGGCTGGAAGGCTGGAGGCCCAGGAAGAGTTGCACCTTGAGTACAGAGGCAGTCTGGTGCAAAAGTCTCTTTTCCTCCAGGAACATCAGTCCTTGCTTTATTAAGGACCTCAACTCAATTAGATAAGATCAACCCATATTATGGAGGGTAATCTGCTTTGCTCAATGTCTACTCATTTAACTGTTATTCTCATCTAAAAAATACTTTCACAGAAACATCTAAAATAATGCTTGGCCAAATATTTGGGTACCCCAGCCTAGTCAAGTTGACATGTAAAATTAACCATCAAAGGTCTGTTGAAATCTTGTTTTGGTAATGATATTGTCTGTATTAGTCAGGGCTCTCTAAAGGGACGAAACTAATAGAATAGATGTATATATGAAAGGGAGTTTACTAAGGAGAATTGATGCACATGATTACAAAGTGAAGTCCTACAACAGGCCATCTGCAAGCTGAGGGGCAAGGAAGCCAGTCCTGAGTCCCAGAACCTCAAAAGTAGAGAATCTGAAAGTGCAGCCTTTAGTGTGTGACCAAAGGACTGACAGCCCCTGGTAAACCACTGACATAAGTTCAAGAGTCCAAAATCTGAAGAACTTGGAGTCCGAGAGCAGGAAGCATCCAGCATGGGAGAAAGATGAAGGCCAGAAGACTCAGCAAGTCTGCTCCTTCCACCTTCTTTTGCCACTTTATTCTAGCCATTATGGCAGCCGATTAGATGGTGCCCACTCTGATTGAGGGTGGGTCTCTCCCAGTCCACTGACTCAAATATTAATCTCCTTTGGCAATACCTTCATAGACACACCCAGGAACAATACTGCACATGATTCAATCCAATCAAGTTGACACTCTATTAACCATCACATTGTCTTTGGAGTTCCAGCCACCATGGAGGCCAAAGGTTAGCCGGATTTGGGCAGAGGACATAATATTCCAAAATTCTTAAGTTTCTCTAAAAACCACTCTGTTACAAAATTGTTTTCACCCCTCAAGACCTCCCAAAAGATAATGTGAAAGTTGTCAGAATCAAAATGAAGTCACTAATGTTAGAAAAATCCTGACAGCTAGAGCTGAGGAAGGCTATGGAGAGTTCTCACGCATGTATACCTGACAACAAAAACTATCACAAAAGACTGCAAACAACACAACCTTGTGCAAAGGCCATCACAACCTTACACAGAAAAGACTTCTGCAAGACATCTGCCTAACAGCTGCCTGTCCAACCTCAGACTGGCATCACCCTTGCTGTAGATCTTTGTAGTCAAGGATAATTATTTCAAAACAAGTATGCAATCCTCCTTATTTGCTTTAAAAACCCTTTGTCTTTCTTTCTTTCTTTCTTTCTTTTTTTTTTTTTTTTTTTTTGAGGCAGAGTCTTGCTCTGTTGCCCAGGCTGGAGTGCAATGGTGCAATCTCGGCTCACTGCAACCTCTGCCTCCTGGGTTCAAGCAATTCTCCTGTCTCAGCCTCCCAAGTAGCTGGGACTACACAGGTGCACGTCACCATGCCTTACTATTTTCTGTATTGTTAGTAGAGATGGAGTTTCACCATATTGGTCAGGCTGGTCTCAAACTCCTGACCTCAGGTGATCCACCCGCTTGGCTTCCCAAAGTGCTGAGATTACAGGTGTGAGCCACCGCGCCCAGCACCTTTGTCTTTCTTCACCAACCTGAATACACACATAGTTTACTATGGCATGCGTATTCACTTCAATGCACTATTCCCCAGTAAACATCATTTTCTTTTAGAGAGCCTCTCTTTGTTATTTAGATTGACAATGAAATATTATAGCTACCAAAGTTAATGTATAAAGCATATTTAGAAAATAAAATATCTGCTCTTAACCATATTATTTTATTATTTCTCCTGGGCTATTTCAAACTTGACTAAGTCTTCCTCCCATCTCTGTTTGCATGTGCAGAAAGTACCCTGCTAGAGGGTCAGGGAACAAACAGGTCTAACAAGGAGAGCTATAATCTCTTCTTTTCTCCAGAAGTATCTCTCAAAAGTAAAAATAAAAATTATTCCCACTGTATTTTAAACCCATGGTTAAAGACCCCCCTTTTAAACTTGTCAATTCTTTTTAATAAAGAATACCAACACAGATTTAAGTCAACTTCTCCCGCCACGCAATTAGTGAGCTAAATTTGTGATGTTGTAAAATGTTATTTTATATATATATGTGTGTGTGTATATATATATGTATATATATGTGTGTATATATATATGTGTATATATATATGTGTGTATATATATATATACACATATAGCTCAAAGTCATCAATCATACTCTAGGTATGCAGAACATTTTATTAATGTTATCATAAAAATCTATGTAAAATTTATCAAAAGATGTGTTAATTTTAAATAGTTTTTGCTCAGTAGATACTAATCTCTCTTCAACTCCTATTTGTTGAAAGCCTTTAGGAAATTGAATTAGCATTTAACCACTTTCTGTTTTACATTAACAAAGGCTACTGAATTGCTAGAATGTACTCCTAACTAATCTATAATTTTCTTTTTCTTGAAAACCCAGATCAAAACTCACCTCCAGCCATTCCTAACTAATGACTCCCTTCCCTTTAACACACAAACACACACGTAACTAAGATTGTGTCCTCTGAACATTTGGGCTTGTTTATGTCTTCCTTTTTAAGTGCATTTATGTCCCTTTCACAAGTGTTGGTTTTCTTAATGCTCACTTGTAAATTACGTACCTTTGAAAATCCCAATAACTTTCTAAATACCCTAAGGCTGTATTTAATACACCACAGTAGTAACATGCTGATAGCTCCCTAGTGGTTTTAAACAGTTAATGCAGCATCATAAGAGGCCTAATTTATTATTAGGGAGTAGTTCAGACACAGGGGAAATGTACTATGTAAGAAGTTTTCATGACTATACATCAAAATCTCCAAGTATCTTTAATCTGGTGCTCCCTCAAATAACATGATAATTTATCTTTATACTTCTATATCAGTTTCTTAATAGTAGCACTATAGACATTTTGGACTGATCATTCGTTGTTGTGGGATAATGGGCTGCTGTAAGCATTACAGGATGTTTAACAGCATCCCTGGCCTCTACTTACTAGATGCCCATAGCCCACTTCCTGCCCAGGTGTAACACCAAAAATGTCTCCAGACACTGGCACATGCCCCCTGGGGTCATGGGAAAAAAATTGACTTTCAGTAAGTCCCACTGGTGTACACCTTCCATCTCTATTTTAAAGAAATTAACAATTACTTTTGTTACAGGAAAATTTTTATTAAAGATCAATGCCGTTAGCATTAATTAACTCAAATTTCTTGGCACTCAGAATTTCCCTGCTAAAAAGGTTTTGAGATCATTCAAGGATGCCAATTTGAATAATCCATGGTCTTATTGGTTTAATATCACTAATACAGTCAAAGCAGCAACTTCAGAGTAATCCAAAATCTCTCAGGCACTGATCTGATGCAGCTTAAATAGAGGCAGCTGCCAAAAACTTGGCAGTGTGTGTGAGAGACTCAAGATAAAAGAGTTATCTGCTCTTCCTGTCTTCTGGGAATGCTCCCTGACCTCCATGGGTAGAACCTCTCCGCCTATTGCCAAATGATGTTTCACAGGAGAATTTAAATTTTAATTCTACTGGAAATATTTAAAAATGCTAATTTCATCAGGAATTCCTGGAATGACTACTGTCCTTAATGACTTGTTCCTAGCCTATACTCCTATCTCCTTCTGAAGCACCTCACAGTGGGGACATTTGCCCCCTCTTAGAACTATTTTTAAAATTTTCTTTTATTTGAAAGTCGTTTGTGATATTTAAATAACAACAACTCCCTTTATTTTTGCAACTCCTTTTATTTTTTTACTTAGTTCATTTCACAAACATTTATGAAACATTTTCTATGTAGTGTGGCAGCTCCCATTGTCACACCAATAAAAGATAATAAAATTAAGTCATATTCTTCCTGGCATAGATTTCTCTCTGTGCTTTGACAACTAAAACAGCTCAATGAGTAAATATGAAAAACATGTTCTAATTTTTCAGCGTTCTCATATAGAATGGGACAACTATAATGGGCAGATTAAAATTATTATTCTAAAGAACGTTTTTGCTGTGATCTTTTTTATCACAATACATTATTGAATTATTTGGGCTGTACTGTAAAAATGTCCTTATTTTATCAATTCAATTTTCCTGATGTTTATTAACTTATATTTCTATTTTTTCCTCTAAAGCAACTTAGGCAGGATTGTCATAATACACAAAATATAATTGGGGAAGTTAGTTGTGTAACCCTCTTAATTATGGAAGACTCTGGTAGTCTGATCAAGAGGAAAGTGAACAGCATTTCTGGAATGTTGTTTCCATAGGCATTCTGGAAAACAATCGTTCCTTTTTTTTACTTCCTTTGAGACTAAAGGATAGTTGGGACTAGAGTTAGTTTTGTCATTCCTCTTCTCCTTGATGTGTTTGGTCAAGTTTTTACATGTCACCATCGCTTGAAAAGGCTTAGAAAAAAATGCTTTACTATGGAATTTTGCCTTAGTATGTGTTCACCATTTTGACTGCCTCCATCATTTCCACTAAGAGCTCACCACTGGCTTATTCTCCAGCTCCACTTTCAATCTCCCCTTTGACTTTCTCCTGCTACTCCCAGAACCATATCTCAGTCTACTCTGCTGTTAGCACCTCCTTTCCTGGCAGTTATTTTCTCATTGTTCCAATTCCTCTCTTGATTCTTAGGTTTCTTATGTAACAAGTTTCTGTGGGCATGCTCATTGACTGATCTTCTCCAGTTCAACTCTATTTCTCACAAATTACAGACAACTCTACCTGTTTGAAATGAAAGGAAAGCACGAAGGGGAAAGGGAGCTGGGCTTATTGACATGGGGTCACTTACCCCGTTCCCAGATGACTCCAACCTAGATTCTGAGCTGCAGTCTGCCTTCTGGACTCAGCAGACACAGGCCTGAAGAGAGTGGTCATTCAAGGCCTACAACCCTTTCATAAAAGGGGAGGATTCAATGATGATAAGGAAAAGGAAGGGAATTTAGCTCATTATAAACCTATCACGGTAACTTGTTAAAGATTTTAACTGCTTCATATGTTGTGTTTTTATACTCTTGACACATCCTAGTATCATCTTATTCTACATATTTCTACCTTCTAAGAGAGAAATAAGAGAGACAAGTCATGCAAGCAAATTCTCCTTTTTATATAATAACTTACCTAGGATGTCCCCTTAAAACTCCTGTTTTCCATGAAAGCCTGAAGAATCCTCTTTTAAACATTCCTGGGGAGTATTATATGGCTTCCCCTTCCTGTTAGATCCATTTCTGCACCCATTAGAATAGGTAACCAGATGTGCCTGTCACATATGAATGAGGACAATTTGTAACCAAGAGAGAAGAAGGAGAATAAAGCACAGAAAACAGTTCCCCTATTAATTTGCACACATGCAGGTCTTGTCCAGATACCTAAAAAGCAATAGTTTCCCTTCCTGAAATCTCCAAGGCTATTGTGGTTGACCATGAGGTCAGGGGAAGGGCTAATTGCAAGAGCAGCTGTCATCGACCCAGAGAGTTAGCTGAAGAGTCAAGTACAAAGGCCTACTGATGCTCAAAACATTCCTCAAAGCACTCACTGGAGTCTCAGGACTCAGTGTTAAGGAGATTAGTGATGGGTGAACCACAAACATGTTTAGGCATGTTTTCCCTTCTTATATTTAACAATACGGATAGTCACTTATATCCTAGATATATCTAACCTGATTACTATCCACCAGAAAGTTATGTCTAAATTTAATATTTAGCACAACAAAAAAGCCATTTTAAAGTACTTGAGCTGCCAAATTCAGGACTTAGCCTTGGTTATAGTAATATAATCAAGAATCTCCATTATTTCAATATGGTCTTAGCAATGAATATCCATAGCTATATTATAGTTGTATTTATTCTCTAACTGTACATAAATAGACAAGACTCTTCGTCTTAAATTAGGTAGAAGACATTGTCAGCCTTAAAATAAGAATTATTAGTTATTAAAATTATAAATCTGAAAGCTACTTAGAAAAACTAAGAAAAAATTATGATCCACTGTGGAGAAGAAGCAGAATATATGAAATGTAACTAGGAAAATATGCATTTCCTTGGATAATAATGAGGAAATATGAAAAAATGAATACTTAGTGTTTCAGGAATTAAGGAATACTGAGAATTTATTATCAGGATGTTCTTTAATATGATTGGTATATCATAATTTAAAAAAAATTAAATGATGACTTCCAGAAATGTTGGAGTTTGAGTCCAGCTTCTTCATGGAAAGGGGATCAGGAGAAATTCAGGGGTAATAGATTAAAAACTCTCTTTTCTTATTCAGCTCAATTCTAAAGATGAACAACATAATTACCTCAAATGAAACAGCACTCACAAAGGTTACATCTTGCTGTAAGTACACTTGTACTTACCCTACTCACAATGGTATGTGTCTGCAGGATAAATGGATGGTGACGCATATTTGTATGTGGCATTTCAATTGTTTTCATGTGTTTGCAATGTGAATGAAGCAGTGTATCTCTTAAGGTGAGTAAACTCTCTCCAGCAATGAGAAATAAGACCTTTGAGAAGATTCCGGGGTGGGGGGTTCACATGACAGATAGTTAACCAGTTAGCATGCCTGGTCTGAATGCTTGGTAATCAAAAAGCACCTATACTTTCTCCTAGAGCTCTGTGACACAAGTGTCTCCAGAGAGTAGAAAGTGATTTGTTCCACAACAGTTTCTTTCTCCTAGCTCTCCCAGCCCATGTATAGTATCTTGACCCAGCGACATTAACAAATGTTAACTAGTGAATTAAAACCAGGCATCCACTCCCAGAACATCTGGCTTAAAGAGAATGTTATCATTAAGGCAAGGTAGGAAAAGAAGTCACAGATAGTCAATCAGTCTATTATAATTACTAACAGCAGTATTGATACTAATACTTGCTATTAACATATATATTAATGAGTGCTTGCTCTGGTATCCCAAATTTAATTTTTGCTCTGATCTCTTCAGATTTGTCTTTGGGTATACAGCACTTCTTCATGTCTCTGCTGTTGGCCAAGACTTTTGGTCTTCACACTGTGTTCCCTGAGTCCCTACTCACTCCAGCCTCTACTTCGCAATTACAGCCTGGCCTCCATGCAAAATGAAGAAAGTTTTCCAACACCACCATGGGGGATAATACTGGGGAAGCCACTGGCTTTTGCATGGCGCCACTGGAGTACGAACCCAGAGCTCCAGCACTCTCGAACTTCATCTCCGGCCCTGGCCTCATCTGCCCTTACTCTGAATTTGCTTCCCCTCCATTTCCCTGCCCTGAATTGTTTCTTCCTCTGTATTATCATCTCCTAGTCTCATTCTGCTGATGTTCCATTACAGATTAATAAAGGAGTCTCTCCATATCCTCTCTGTCCACGTTCGTTGTGGACGGGGTCACCAGGAAGATGGTTCCTGGGTGATGAGAGTGTCCAGGACATTGTCTTCGGTGGACTACTGGCACAGGGACCTGAATAAGACACTGGGATTTACAAAGTGGAAAAGAAATCACTGAGGGATCCCTCAAGCCACTGAAAACATGTACCATTTGCCATAAAACAGCATTAAACATTAAGTCAACAGATTGCACATGAATATCAACAATCCTGCAAAAAAAGCCAGTCCCTTAAGAAACATCAAGATTGACAGTTGTCATCAGAGAAATGATGAGGACCAGGATCTTCAGGGTACCATCTGGTGCTGTGAGTACCACCTTTTCCTCTCCTCTATGTTGGGAGTCTCTATTTTTTACCCAGTATCACTTCTGTATTTTTTTTTCTCTAACTTGGTGCTTTTCATCATTTTCTTCATTTAAAAAAATAACAAACTATATTTTATTGGTTATAAAGGAAGTAAACGATCTATGTAGAACATCATCTGTCACTACTCTGGAGCTGAGCTGGCTTCTGCGTCCTCACTAGCTACACAGACAGAGTTGGACATTGATCCATGCCAAAAATACATAGCAGATTCTCAGACCACCACAAATCCGTGGTGGTCTTCTTAGCCACACATGATTTCTGTGTAATTCTATCAATAATCTTTACATCAGATGCACAGTGATCTCATCATTTTTACCCTTTTCTGCTTCTGCCTCCTCCACTAAATTCACACTTCCTTGGATAGCAGTCCTCCTCACAGACATTATATTTGAGGTAGGAATCAATGCTATTTTTAAATACGCCCTTGTTGACCACTGAATTCCATTATGCTTCTCTTTTTCAGTTGGAAAATACTAGAATTTTTATTATTTTATTATCTGCCAAACTCAGCAGACCTTAAAACAAAGCATTTCATGAGGAATTCAACTAATGGGAAAGCAAAAGTTATAATAATTACGCTATTTATAGCAAATGAACATTGCTCTTAAACACATAGACTTCATAAGCTATTATACCTCATGTTGTTTAGTATAACTTGAGGTATAGTTATTTACATAGTGGGTTATTTGGTTAGCATTAAACATTTGTTTTACATCAGATGACCTCAAAATGCCCAGAATAAAACCAACTCTTCACAACTTCTTTATATGATGTTATATTTACAAAAGGATATCATTCATGTTTAAATATTTACAGAAAACTTAAAATTCATGTTTATAACTTCGGAACATTGAAATAGAGAAATTTTTGATAAGCATACTCATGTACACCATTAAAAAGTCCTTAAAGTCTAAAACAGGGCATATATTTCTTTGTCTTCAAAACGTGTAATTGTTAACCCTACTCCCACTATGGTTGTGGCTTCTCCTGGGAGAAGAGTTCCATTTGCCTTTCCATAACAGTTCTTTCCCATGGTTTGGGAGTTAAGGATCCTAGTTTGGCCTCAGCCACGTAAAAACTCATGACGTGACAAGCCATAGTATATTGGGGCCTCAACTGATTTCCTGTAGACTATTAAGAAGGCTCTACATGATTTCTACAGAAGTCTGGAGATTCTGCTGATGCCTTTCTGGATTCTGTGTGTCCTAGCCTGACATTAGTAAACAACTCTTTGCTTTACTGGCAGCTTTTTTTTTTTTTTCTGAGATGGAGTCTCACTCTGTCGCCCAGGCTGGAGTGCAGTGGCGCGATCTAAGCTCACTGCAACCTCCGCCTCCCAGGTTCAAGTGATTCTCCTGCCTCAGCCTCCTGAGTAGCTGGGATTACAGGCATGCACCACCACACCAGCTAATTTTTGTATTTTTAGTAGAAACGGGGTTTCACCATATTAGTCAGGCTGGTCTTGAACTCCTGACCTCATGATCCATCCACCTCAGCCTCCCAAAGTGCTAGGATTACAGGCGTGAGCCACTGTGCCCAGCCAACGGCATGTTTTTGGAAGTGTTTTTTCACAGATAGCCAAGATGGCTTCCTGTAGGTGTTACAACAGGTTTCTCTTACCTCAAATGGCTTTTTCAAAAAAATGATATAAGTACATTTGCTACATGACTCAATTCCATTTCTGGGTATTTACCCTAGAGAAATGAAAACTTATGTTTACAGAATAAGTGTGATGAGAATGTTTATAGCAGTTCTATTAATAATTGCTAAAAACTGGAGAAAAAAAAAACAAAAAACAAATGTTCACCCACTGGTGAATGGATAAGCTGAAGGGATTACATCAATAAAATGGAAAACTACTCAAAAAAATAATGATATTTGCAAAAACTTGGATGAATCTCAAAGACATTGTACTGAGATAAAGAAGACTGTCTCAAAAGATTACATATGGCATGATTCCATTTAGATTAGACACTCTTGAAAAGAGAAAGACACAGTGATGGAGAATAGATCAGCAGTTTCCAGGGACTATGGGAAGGGGAAGGTTTAACTGCAAAGGGATGGCACCAGAGAGCTTTTGAGATGATGGATGTGTTGTGTATTCTGATTGTGGTAAATGTTACAGAAGTTTATACCTGTGTTAAAAATCATAGAACTGTATACCAAAAAAAGACCATTTTACTGCATATAAATTCAAAAATTAAATTAAATCAAGCAAAGTATAAATGGACAAGTATATAATGATAATAGCATAGGTTAGCAGACTGATTTACCATTGATTCAGAAATAACGTCAAAGCAGAAAAATACAGTGATTAATATCTCAGTTTTAGAGTCAGTAACTGGCATCTTTTTCAGCTGCTTAATAGTTTTGTGATGCTGAGAGAGATGTTGAACTATACTGAGACTCACTTCCTTGTGTATCAACTGTGGATGATAACGGTGCCCACCTCAAATAATTGTTGCAAGGGTAAATGGCATGTATAGTATGTAACTATTAATAGCTTTAGTAATACCGCTAATATTATGGTGGAAATAGTTATATACATTTCCCTATTTAGCTCTTTTATGATAAAGAAAATCTGGCTATTCCTGCCCCCCCAACACACACAGATGGACAACTACTATCATTATTCTTCTCACCATTGTTACACACAACACACTTGAGGTGCATTAGAAACTCAACTTTCTAGAGAAATTTGTTAACTACTGCTAAGTAACATATTGGCAACTTCTGTCTTAAGAATATTGCAAACAGTCCTACAATATTTTGGAAGAAAAGAAATGCACTTGGTGAAGCAGTGACTATTTAGAAGTCCAAGATTTTCACTCCCAAAAGAAAGACATTAGGGCTTTTGTCCTTGACTTTCCTCTTTCCCTTTGCAATCATTCCCTTAACACTCTCATCTCATCTGTCAGCTTCAGTGATTGCATCTAGGCAGCGGATGACTCTCGAATCTATATTTACCATCTTGGTCTCTCTCCTGGGTTTCAAGATTGGATTTCTAACTCCTGTTGGAGTTAGATTATCTGAATCGTGATCTCTAAGGCATTATCTGGAGCTGAGCTCATTCATTTTCCATTGCAAAGCTTCCCCTTTTTCTGATTTCCCAGTTCTGTTAATGTTTTAGCCTCTCTGGGAACTCACCCCAAATTCCTGGTATCATTGTCTCTCTGCTGTGCCTGGGACAAGCAAGCTTTTGCCCTGTTACTTCTTATTTAAACTACAGCAATGTTCTCTCTACAGGTCTCCTTATCAATGTACCTTACATATACACAACTGTCATATTAATCCTAAATACAGCCCCTGTATAACTTGTTTGATCAGTAGACACATAAAACCTTCAACAGTTATGTAAAGAAAGAACCCCAAACAACTTATTCTTACATAATTTTCACCCTGAATCCTTACTCTATCCTTTTAGCCAGCTAAGTCATTTCATATGCCAATTTTATACTTCTTCAATTTTGTGCTTTTGTTAATATTGTTTGTGTTATTATACATTTATTAAAATAATATTCCTCTTGTCTGAAATGGCCGACACCACCCCATGCCCCACATTTCTTTAATTCTGGCTTAAAAGCCTCACGTGCTCGTCATCTCTGGAGTGATTTTAGACTCCTTTCAGCTGACACAGCTCATTTGCTATCACTCCTTTACGCAATGTATTACTTTCTGCCATTCATTAAGAGTATTTACAGGTGCATATTATATCCAGTGAAGGTAATACACACGTCTAAGTCAAAGTGCTGAAGTGCCTGGGCTTACACCTTGTATTAATAGGTGCTCAACATGTATTTACTCCTAAGAAAAATGAATCAGTATTATTTTCTCCCGTCTGGCCAGGTTATTTTCCCCTGGCTCCCCTCCACCCTCTAGCCCTGTAGCTGCACTGTGATTTTTTTCCTTTGTTACCAGTTACCAGCGTGATCTAGGCTAATTCGATGGTCAGATAAACAGCACCTCCGGACACTTATTCTTTGAAAAGATATTCAAAGCTGGCCTAATATGGGTGTTCATTTTAAGCCCCAGTCATTGACCTTAACTACCTTTTAGTATCCTATGCTGTTTTACTTGCTTACTGATAAGGTTTGGCTGTGTCCTCACCCAAATCTCATATTGAATTACCACGTGTTGTGGGAGGGGCCTGGTGGGAGGTAATTGAATCATGGGGGCAGGTCTTTCCCCTGCTCTTCTCCTGATAGTAAGTCTCACAAGATCTGGTGGTTATTATAAGGGGGAGTTTTAGTGCACAAACTCTCTTTGTGAGCTGCCATCCATGTAAGATGTGACTTGCTCCTCCTTGCCTTCTGCCATGATTGTGAGGCCTCCCCAGCCACATGGAACTGTGAGTCCAGTTAAACCTCTTTTTTTGTAAATTGCCTAGTCTCAGGTACGTCTTTATCAGCAGTGTGAAAATGGACTAATAGACTTACTCAGAGCCCAGATATGTGGAGTTTATGATTATAATACTTTCAGTACATAGTTATTTTACCTACAAAAATATGTTTTTCCCTTAAAAAGACTGTTGTTGCCGTTACACAGAGGGGAGCCAAAAATAAGTTAATGACTAAAGTGTTCCTAGACTCAATGTGGCTATTTAGCACTGATATCTTTCTTTAAGTTCTGGAGGATAAGGCCCAGTTCCTAGAATTTGGGTCTTCTCCAATGACAGTGAGGAAACTTGTCTTAGATGTTCTGTTATCAATAAAGTCTTATGAAGACAAAGATCTAATAATTAACATGTGCTCCATCAACCTGGAGTCTTCCAGAATTCTCTAAATCAATAAATTATTTTTGCTGCATTTATTTGGATATCCAAAACAGGTTTGAGAGTTTCAGAAGATGCTTAACTTCATTTTCAATGTTCCTTATTTTCACATGCAGCCAAATTCCCACATTTTAATACCTCCCCTCCTCATCTCCTAAATGAAAGCTAAACAAATTTTGGAAAATAAAGAATTCACGTTTGTGTATATTTTGGGTCAGAGCCTGAGATTATTTCGTTGCTGAACCACAAACAACTTAGGCATTTATTCACACGCTGCAGAGCACCTGCATGGCTCAGAACAATGAACAATGTTAAATTCAGTGTTTCTAACAGCAGTTCAGCCACCACACAGCAATAAAAGTATCAGCTATGATACTCAAAGTTATGTTTAATTTGCACTGTAAGAATTATGCAAGATGGATTCCTTGCTAACAAAAATGTATCTAATCTTCAGGGACACTCATCTCCCCCAAACCTTATGAACATCAGCAGCACAATGAGACAGCTTGTCCAAGGGAAATATTAGAGAAGGAGGAGTAATTGCTGTGCACTGGTGAGTCATAAAGTTGATGGAGTGAGGCGAGGAGCTCATGTAAATATCCGCCCCACCCACTGAGACCAGCCTTCCCGCCTCCTCTTCCCTTCTCATTCCTCTCCATCATCTGCACCCTAAGGCTCCACCACTGTCTGTGGGAGTCATTTCACTCTTCCTGGGGGAAAGCAGATACATAGCTGAGCTATTTTATGTTATTTTTCTCTCTTAATGAATACCATACACATGACTGTTGAATGTGCATGGTACTAGCAATGAGTAATTAAGTCTTGTGGGAAGGAAAGTTCGGGTGGAGGTAGAGTAAATAGATCTGGCACAGAAACAATGCTGTCTGGTTTCAGGAGAGCTTTCTTTTGAGTGGCAGTGTGGCGTGGTTGCCTGGAGTTAAATCTCCTCCACTCTGGTCTCAGTGTTATCATGCACCAACTAATCTTGCAGATGCAACTCCTGCTGCTCCTAGTCTCAATTGTCTTAACCTGCCAAATTGAGACAATATTTTCTGCCTGCCTCATAGGATGATAAAAAACTGGCAACTGTGATAAAAAGGTAAGGTATCACTATGCTTGATTTACCTTTAAAATGCTTCCACCTTTCTTTATTTTAACATTTCAGTTCAAAGTCTCTTTACTGAACACCTGGCCTAAATAAGCCACACAAGGAGCATCCAAATTTGAACTTGCATCATCCTAACAGATGCTTTTCTTGGAATCAAGCCATTGATAAAACTTAATTCCTTTCAACAAGCCTTTATTGAGCAACTACAATGTGCTGAGTGCCTATTCAATCATTAAAACGTGGGCCGTCTAAAGGGAGCATTTCATCTCTCTCAGTGGGAATTCCATAAAATCTGCAAAATCTTTTCAGCATTACGAGTGAACATAAAGGGAGCAATGCTGAGAGCTTCTTTTCACATCAAAAATATCAAAGAAGCATTCGGATCTGCATGTCGTTTTACACTGAGCTCAGTAACTTGGAAGCCAAAGTAATTTCACTTAGACCATAGGCAGCACCAAGGCTTCTAAAACACATCTCTTCAGGGTCCTCCGTGTTTTGTCTTCCTGGAGTAAATGATTAAATATTTGGAACTTAAATGAATGCATTGGTGAGGATGTACCTGAACTTCAGAAATGTAGCTGGTTAGGGTAGGAGAGTGGAGAAGTAACAGCAGGAATATTTTATCTTCCCGAGCTCAAAGCTTTTGTCCAAAATGATACCTTAATAACTATTGGCCAGGCCATATGCTGACATGGAGTTTATTAAGATGACTATTTAAACAATTTTAGAGAAAGTGGCGGAAAAATGAGACCATATGTATTTGGGAAGATGGCTATGTCTGTTCCAAGCATCCCTTGACTCCCTGTGGCAGGAGAGGTGTATAACTTTGGTCTTCTAAGATTAAAAAAAGTTAACGATCATTTCAGAATAAAATGTTCACTTTCATGTGGACTAAAATAATGGTTAATGATGTGAGTTTGGGAATTAGACCTCCAGTTACCATTTTCTAACTGTACAAAATGTGTGCAAATTACTTAATTTTCCTCAGTTTTCTTATCTGTGAAATGGAGGTAATAATATCAACCATCTCATAGGGTGCTTAAGTGATTGAAAGAAGATGATACAAATAAAGAAATTAAAACAATGCTTGCCATATGACAAGTGCTTAATAAATATTAGCTACCGTTGTTATTTTATGCAAATATTTTAAGAAACTAATTTTAGTATCAGATGCCTAGATATTTGGGAATCAGGTACCATTTAGCAGACTTTATATCACTCAGTTCAAATACTCTGTAATTTATAGTTCAAACCTTAGATCTATATTCAGGAAAATATATTGCCCAAGGAGCTATTACAAAGTTTTTACTTTGGATTCCTCTTATTACTCCTAAATTCTTAAATAGCAGCCCTCTTTCCCTCTCCCTTCCTTCCCTCCTTCCCTTCCCTTCCCTTCCTTTCCCTTTTCCTTTCCATTTCCCTTTCCCTTTCCCTTTTCCTTTCCCTTTCCCTTCCCTCATTTCTTCTTTTTTTCCTATGCTGGTCCTTTGATTTTAGGTTATCTGAACAGTATATTTTCACAAAAATCATTACATTTGTTTAAAGATAATTCCAATGTGTTCATCTTAATAAACTTGAAATGATTAATCATAGATGTTCATAACCACATGCAATTAACAAAAATTAATCTGGTTTTCCCTTACTGCCAAATAAAAATTTTGCTTAAAAAAAGTAAAAAGTCATATTCATTGCATCATATTTGAAAACTGGTAATCTTGTTCCAAGGTTAAAACTCCCCCCTCCACAAAATACTTTTAATGAATGCATTTGTTATGCGGCTATACAATTGTTTCCTTCCTCTGTAGATGATAGAGTCATAATTATTTCTCTGATGTTAATTAAAAATAAACCCTTTCATTTGTAAAAGAATAGTAACTATTTGAAAATCACACAAATCAATTAGTAGTTTCACATAGAAAAAATATCCAGTTATTTAAATAATTTTAACTGCCACTAAAAAGAAACAAGCACCTGGATTGGAAAAAGAAAGGCTATCATTATTTTTGAAAGCATTTTCTCATTGTCTCCTTATAAAGTTACAAGGTCATATATTATTTGTAGTAGTATATGGAATTACATATTTGATGAATTCAGAAACAGAATAGGGATTTAATATATTTTTAAAATTTCTATACAGGAAGCTTATTTTAAAAAACCTTAGGGACTTTTACATATGCAAATGTTCACTAACAAAAAAATAATCAACCTTCTAACACTTTGCATGGAAAAGGTGAGTGTGATGTGCAATATGAAACTAAAAGAAATCTCGAAAACATCTTGACCTGGTAGAGCGCAGACATGATTTACAGGCTGTGAAACACAAATTGCCACTAAACCTCCTTTCTCTTTGGGGTCTGCTGACTTAGAACAAGGATTCTAAGCCCTCTGCTTGGACTCTACCTCCTCTATGCCCTCACTCCCTGACTTCACTAGCACCACTCTCCCATTCCTTTTGCTCATGTTACTTAAAAAGATTTAGCAGTATTTAAGACAAGACTATTGGCCATCCAGATTTCAAAGGTGAGAGCTAACTTCAGCTAGGACTGGGGATTTGGAGCTATCACCCTCCCTGGAGAGCCCAAGATAATTTCACTATTTCCAAAGAAGCTTAATCAGTGTATACCCAAGGTGAATATTGGCTGGAGTACTTTGAAAATTCCAGGTCTGATAAGAAATAATTCTATGGAGATGCCTGAACTTAGGCTTTCTTTCAGTCAATATTTTCTCATAAATATGGCAGAAACAGACTTAGAAAGTTTGGACTCCCTGAAAAAAGAAAACCTAGTTTGTACCTCAGATGTTCAGAGAGAATTTGATTACAAATAAGCGAGCTAATCTTCTGGAGACAGTATCATTGACCTAACACTTTATTTCTAGAGATGGACTCTGCAGAGGGTGTTGTAAATGCTGACCTGATTCAGTCAACGAACATCTGATAACCATCTGTTTTATGCAAACAATGAGCTGAACTGTAGAGATGAAAGGACTCAGAAATATCTTGCAGGAACTTAAATAGTATAAGAAAGAAAACTACACAGGTTGCACCTCTTTGGGCCACTGGGGTAATTTACAGAAGCCAACATAGTAGATCCACTCTGAAAGTCTTTGCTGAATGAATGCATAAGTGAATGGATACAAGAAGGCATGATATAATGGTAGCATAGAAATAAAAGTCAATGGTTGTAGAAGAGAAAATTAGGATGTAATGAATTCTTTATAGGATGACAGGTCACCAGAAAATCTCTAATGGTGGCAGAAGCTTTTGAGATGAACTTTATAGTGTTTCAATACATAAAGAAGGAAGAAGCAAGAGGTGTTTAGACAAAGAGACAAATATGAGTAAAGGTACAGAAGAGGCTGGGTGTGGTGGCTCATGCCTGTAATCTCAGCACTTTGAAAGGCCAAGGCAGACGGATTACTTGAGGTCAGGAGTTCGAGACCAGCCTGGTCAACATGGCAAAACCCTATCTCAATTAAAAATACAGGAAAAAAAATAGCTGAGTGGAATACTTGTGCACACCGGTAATTCCAGCTACTCGGGAGGCTGAGACATGAAAATCACTTGAACCTGGGAGGCAAAGGTTTCAGTGAGCGGAGATCATGCCACTGCACTCCAGCCTGGGTGATAGAGCAACCAAGCAAGCAAGCAAGCAAGAAAGAGAGACAGAAGTATATTGTTTGAATTGATTAGAGCATAGAGCTGGTGGTAAGGAATAAGGCTGGAAGGAGAGATGGGATCCTGATTGTAGAAGTCCTGGGCTTAAGTGTTAATGAATTCACGAATTTGGAAATTATTAGGATGGCAATGGGAGCGAATAAATGCTATTGAGATAGAGGGCAAGGAGACTAGTGAGGGCTATTGTCATAATCCAATTTAGAAAAGATGAGGTTCTTGAAAGAAGGGAGTGAAATAAGAGATGATTCAGCAAAATAATTGGTAGGTTCTGATACTCTTATTAATAAAGGCATTTTGTGGGGGAAAGCAATTATAAGAATAGAAAGAAATAAACTTACACAAAGGTTTCTAGTCTCAGTGTCCAGTAAGATTATTTTAAAAAATCTTTTCACATCTTACTGAGTTATTTACATATATATAAATCTCATCAACCATTAGGGAACATTATAATTACTAACATTTACCTCTTTGATGATGAATCTAATATTCTGGTAGTTTTAACAATTTTCCCAAAGACATAGCTCTTAAATTTGGGGAATTACCTTTCCACCCTATATGCACAGATGAGATGAGTTCATTCTCTGGCAGATGATGTAAGTGAGATATGAAACCCAGGATGGGGAGAAAGTTGTAGCGATAACAGTTACGTGATCAGTATTTTACATACAGAGTTTAAGTTACCCAAGAAAGATTGATGGGTAGCTCTCTGGCTTATAAACTAGAAATTGAGTGCAGAAAATTATGAGAGTGACTAGGATGAATATTTGTGAATCTTCTGCTTAGAAATGTGCAAGTTGTATCACTGAGTATTGTTAGAGCCGCTCAGGAAAATAGTATGCTTAAGACAGCTCAAGAGAAAATTTGTATAGATGCCTTCAATTAAGGAACTAATAAGGAGCAGAATAAAATTAAATAAAGTACAGAATAATTACAGAAGTAGGAGAGGAAGCAACAGAGTGTAATGTCATAGAAGGTGAGAATTTCAAAGAAGGGCCATAAGCATAACGGTGGCAAATGCTACAGAAAGTCAAGTACAATCAAAACTCAAGTGGGGTTGCTGAGTTTAACAATTAGTAAGTCACTGATGAGATTTGCGAGTGTTGTTTTTATGAAGTGGTAGGGACAGAAATTGGGTTGCAGTAATTAGTAAGGAAGGAGAAGATGAAGAATTGTTAAAGGTAAATGAATACTGCTCTTTAAAAACAAAAATGAAAAAATAATAGATGAAATATGATTTTGTAATAATTATAATACAGACTTAGAATTTAAAAATCTTAAAAATTCCCATTCACTACCCATTGAATCCCACTCACTTCCCCATGGTTACTGGTTAATAATAGATTGTGAAACTTTCAGAATATTTCAATGCATTTTATGCCTATATATAAATACACACCCACATATATGTGTATACATATTTAAATGTATGCATACATACTCTGGCAAAGAGTTAACAGTGACCAAATATTTAGCGGTTTATTTATTTATTTATTTATTTTGAGATGGAGTCTCGCTCTGTCACTGAGGCTGGAGTGCAGTGGCGTGATCTCGGCTCACTGCAACCTCCACCTCCCTGGTTCAAGGCATTCTGCTGCTTCAGCCTCCCGTGTAGCTGGGACTACAGGCGTGTACCACTACGCCCGGCTAATTTTTTGTATTTTTAGTAGAGATGGGGTTTCACCATGTTAGCCAGGCTGGTCTTGATCTCCTGACCTCATGATCCACCCGCCTCAGCCTCCCAAAGTGCTGGGATTACAGGTGTGAGCCACCACATGCAGCCTATGGATATTTTGAAATCAAAAATCCAAAACCAAAAAAAATGTAAGAGAGTTACAGTTCTTTGCTCTTTCTTTTCCATTGTGATTGTTACATTTTTTTCCCCATAAAACATTTTTATACCTAGTAGCCAGCGTTTTTGAACTGGGAGGGGCCAGATTATTCAGACCCAGGGAGGAGATAGATTCTCAGGTTATAGACTTAAACCAATTAAATTAGGTCATCTTGAAAGGTAACCAAGGCTATTCTTGGGCTTAGGGCTACATAAGCCATGAGTTTGTAGGTGTACAAGAAGCTGGACTATTTTCTGAACCATTTAGTAGGATTAATAATAGCAATTGCTGCCATTTATTGAATTCTATGAGACATGCAATCAAAATTATTTATATTGTTTCATATTCAAAATAATGTGCTAAATTAAGAACTTTTATTGACACTTTGTAGTTAAGGAAACTGTAGCTTAAAGAATTCAAGCAACTCATCCAATGCCATGGAGACAAAATGCAGCAGAACTAAGATCTGAATTGCAGTTCAGGACTATCTGGCTCCAAGCCTGATATTTTCTTTTCTAAATACTGCACCATCAAAGCAGACCTATCAAGCTTGTCCTTCTGAGAAGAAGATAATGGAATCCACATGGAGAAAAACAGGATTTCCCCCCTTTTTCCCTAATATAGATGAAGCCCACATGCCCATGGGACCTGTGCATATTTGGTTTTCCTTTTCATTCAGCCACCTCCCCTCTTCTTTAGCATCTCATACCCTCAGTGAGAGCAGCTTAATGAGCTACCATGCAACCATCAAGAAATGAGATCTTGTAAAGAATTGTGGGAGGTACACAAGCTGTTTTGTTTTCTCTGTAGGAAGGAATGCACTGAGCCCTGTGAAGATTAAAAGGATAAATGAAAGATTGATAAAGGAATCCCAGGAGGTGGGGAGAGAAGACTTGTAAATAAGCAGGAACACACATGTGGTCCCAGAATGCAATTAAACATGAACAGCTCCATTGGAACTGACACGTGGACCAAGATTCTAAATAGTAGAATGCCTGGTTCATATTATCTTTCTGGATATAAATTATAGCACCTAATCAGTATCTTGATTAAATGACTCCAAATTAACATTCTGACTATTTAAACTATTTGAAGTACTGATTCCAGGTAACCATTAATAGTTTGTTGTACTATCCTCTTTCCCTCAGCCAACCAAATTCTCAAAGTAAAAAAATAAATAAATAAATAAATAAAATAAAAGCCACACAATGTGTTAATGAATTACTGTATTACCTAATACATTATGTCTGTAAAGTTTTCAGGTTGTCTAATAAAATTATATTACACTAGGAAGTTTCACATATGTTCATACACAACTAACACAATGTAGGTTGCTAGGTAGGAAACATTGACTCTTTGTAAATCCTTTAAAATGAGCTAAAACTTCAGAAGCAATTAGGTGTGGTTGACATTTGCATTTTAAGGACTTTTTGAGGGCTAGAGACATTAAGCCTCACAGGTATATCAAAATGATAGCTTTATCCCAACTTAAACCATCTTGCCCATCTGCAATAAAATCTCCATCATCCCAGGTCTAGAAAATGTGCTGAGCTTATAGACTAAACATTCAACAGTTGTATGCACTCAGCAGCTTTATGACTTCTTTTGGTGCCTTTGTGGAATCATCCTGGAATCAATTTATCTTCATGCTTCAAAGAATCCTAATTCAAAAGTGCTCCAAATGTTTGGGACTATTTTAAGATTATTTTTCTTCTGGAAGTTTAAACGTAAACTCGAACGAATGCTTTCTTTATAATTTTATACTGTTTTGCACTAACAGTTAAAGTTCACCTTATGTTCAAACGATTGCTTTCATGCCTAAATGCATTTTTACTTCTTCGATTATTCTATTATTGAAAAACTAGTCTTTTAATAACACTTACTTTCCAGCTCTTCTTTCACATCTTATGATAGGAATGGCCAAGCCAAGTCAGTTGTAGAATGAATTACGTTTTTCCTAAAATTGAGACCTGTTTTTTACTTGTTCTAAAGAGAAAAGAAATAAAAATGACAGTAAGTGGAGAATTTAGGTGTAGCAGAAATATGTTCAGGCATGGTGGTGATTTTTTAGCACTAGAACGGTTACTCTGGCTTACATTTTCAGACGAATTCAGCAAGTCAGTCTTTGTCCTTTGCGGCATTTTGCCGCTCCAGAATCTTTCTCTCTACTGATATTGACAGACTCACTGCTGTCTCTGGACTATAAGAATGTCTCCCATGATTTTTTTTCACCGAAACTAGGAGCATTTTGTCTTCCTTTCTTATTTTTCAGAAGGCATTCTCTATTACAGTGCCTAAGAGAGCTTAGCTTCCCTATGATCGGTAGAATCATTCATCTAATTGATCCAGCTTGGAAATCTTATTTAAGATTTTAAATTATTTAGGGTGAATCAGTTTGCCTAGATCACATCAGTATTTTGAAATTTCCCAAAGCCACATTTATACAGACTAAGGGATAACTGTATCCTTCTTCTTTCTCCTCTCCCTTCCTTATTTCCCCTCCTTCTCATGAAATGTTTGCTTTCAAGGAGTGAATACTAACCATGAAGCACCTTGTCTTGCAGGATGACTTGAAGTTGTTTTTCTCCTGACTAAAGTATTTTCTAAAAGCTGTTATGAGAATTATAGCTACATAAAAAGACCAGTGTTCATTTTAGATAAAAATTGAGGATTGTGAAGGAACGGTTTTTTTTCTTGGACATAGCTATCCGAAGCATGTGCAGGGGATGTCAGAGCACAGAAGGTGCTAGCAAAATACCAGTAGCGGGTCTAGAAGAGGATGTGCCTATTCATTCCTTAGAGACCTAAAGAGAGTGGCAGGCTGTCTCCAAAGCAAGGTGAACTAAATATTCAACTTATTCTACTTCTTTTTCCCAACGCCACTACAGCCTTCTGTTGCTATCTGGAGCATTGAATAGGGTCAGGGAAGTCAGTATAGGTAAGTAAGAGAGATGAGGGACAGGGAGGAGAAAGATTTATTTATGCAAATTTTTTGTTTAAATATAAAAGCACATAATATTTTTATGCATTTATGACACCTAGAATTAATTATCATTAACACTGAGAGGTGCATATATATGCATATAGAGAGATAGATACTATATATATGAATATATATACACATACATGTATGCACAGAGTTTAAAAAGAATTATATAAATGTATATTTCCATTATTAACAAACACAATTATTTGCAGACATTGCATACTTGAAGTTCTTTTAAACTTACATGTAGTAATGCATTAATATTTGTTAATTTATATATTAATATTTATAACTTATTAATATTTATGAGCACATGATTCCTAATATATCCATCATATAAATACCCTAGAATGTCTCTAATACTCTTTTATTAAAAGTAGGTTTTGATAATTTCCAATATTATAAAATCTGCAATGAGCATTGCTTTTCACAACTGTATTGTGAACTCAACACCAAATTTCATGGGATAAATTTCTAAAAGCGGAATCACTAAATAATGTCAGCTTTGTAATTCCCAAAAGTTTGTAAAATAATTTATTTCCCACAAGCATTTTAGAGTTTTCTTACCCTTCATTTCTAACAATATCTCTATAAACTGGTCTTATTTGAGATTGATAAGTCTATACATATTTTAATTTGCAATCATTTCATTTCTAGTAAGATTAAGCATTCATATTTGTACCATTTGTATTTATTTTCCATTATCTATAGCAGCATTTTCTTGCGATATATAAGAACCTTTTATACAGCAAGGTTATTAATTTTTTCCAAACGTGTGTGTTGCAAATTCTTTTCAGTTTTTATTTATCTTTTTAAATTTTTTTCATGGTATATATCTCTATAAAATGTTTTACATCCCTATTATTAAATATATCAGTATCTTATTTTAATGATTTAATCTTTAATGTTTTAAAATGCTTCCTACATAGATGATTTAGAACCTAATTTTTATCACATTTTAAACAGTTACATATAGGAATGACATAAACTATTGTTGAGAATTCACCACTATATTTCCCAAGAAAAACTGCATTCTGTCTTCTATGCTCATTTTAGTTCACTAATAATAATAGTTGTGAAAACCCAGTAGTACTTTTGCCTACCAAAAGAAAGACAACATTCTGGTTCAGGAAGAAACATAATCGTTCATGTATTTATATATGAGTTTAGATTTGTGAACATGACATGTTATACCACTTCAGTGAATCATTTAGGGAAATATTTATTCTAAGAAGCCTGGTTACTTAGAGCAGGAAGGTTTGGAGGGGGGCCTGCTGCATGGCTGTCCTAGAGACAGCCCACTATCTCTCCAGAGCTCCCCTGAACACTTTTCACCTTTGACTTGATGCTCTGTGTGTGGTGACTGAGCCAGTATCCTGCAGAAGGGCTGGAGAAGTCAATAACATGGTTAGGGATCCAGAGGTCTTTTGCAAGCAGCTGTTGCTAAAAATTCCCAGGGCAGAGAGGAGGAAGGGAGCACCCTGGAGAGCTCAATCCCACTTAGGAAAAGTGCTGCCGCCATGAGAGAGGCATTGCTCTATGTTGCAGCTCTAGACATTGTCCCTTCTTCTTCGTCCCCTTGCTTCCCCTCCCTGCCTGCTTCTCTCCTTCACCCCTCCTCTACTTCTCCCTCTCCCCTTTAATATCAAAACAAGACAGACTGTTTAGAGATTTATGAGGAATTTTGTTTCCAATTCATAATATGAGGTGAGACATTACTTCAGGACCCGTTGTCTCCCAATACAGTTGGTTAACAAGAAATTAATAGAGTGACCATATTTTCAGAGGAGAAAAAGAGGAAAATATGAGTTCAAAAAAAACCAGCTCTCACTTTGTCATTTTTTCTTAACTCTGCCACCCACTTACAACTCCTCGACATTCCCAGCCTTGACAAGCCCACCAGCCATTCGGCACCAAGAGACTTAAATAGCGTCAGAAGCTTTCTCGCTCTGTGTGCCATTCAACCTCAGGCATTCCTATCTGAAACACAAACATCAGTAAAGCAAATAGTCACCTTAAGTTTCTTTCAGCTTATGAAACATATGATCCCACACCATCAACATTAAAATGCTAAGGAAAAGGTACAATCCTTTACAAAATAATTGCCTCCTTTATCTTACAACAATGCTGCCTTCATGCAAGTCATATGGATAAACTCTATATTCCACATTTGAGCAGAGGAATGCCTGATGAATTTGGATCTAAGTCTCTTCAGAGTCAAACTAGCAGTGACAATAGCATGATTCTCCATCTGACTCCCTGCATGTCGGGTAGGATTGATTTGACTGCAACCTATTAGAATCCACAGGGCATTTTTTACTTTCCTCTCAGGGCCAAGCCAGTGCCCCAGACAGTATTGCCACAGGGGGTGTGTGGCATTTGGACACCACGTATTTTAATAGGAGGAACATTTGATTCTCACATCCAGTTTATGTTAAGGCTTACAACAACAACCATTGCCATTTTTTTTTTTTTTTTTTGAGATAGAGTCTCTGTTGCCCAGGTCTCTGTTGCCCACTCTGTTGCCCAGGCTGGAGTGCAGTGGTGCAATCTCGGCTCACTGCAGCCTTCATCTCCCAGGTTCAAGCAATTCTCCTTCCTTAGCCTCCCGAGTAACTGGGACTACAGGCGCATACCACCATGCCTGGCTTAATTTTTGTATTTTTAGTAGTGATGGGGTTTCACCATGTTGGCCAGGATGGTCTTGATCTCCTGACCTTGTGATCTGCCCGCCTCGGCCTCCCAAAGTGCTGGGATTACAGGTGTGAGCCACTGCACCTGGCCCAACCATTGCCATTTTGATGTTATTATTGTTTTTTCTTTATCAAATAAGATGTATCATTCACCCTGTCTCTGAGCCTGACCTATCTATCACTGATAGCTGCTTCTCTCAACTACAGGATGCAGCTCAGGATGGAGCTGATTTCTGGGGGAATAAGAATAAAGGAGAAGGTGACAATAAATGACCAATGAAAGGGTAGGAGTCCGGGCTACAGTGAGTATGAGGGGTGAGGGTCAGGGATGAGGTCAATTGCAGGGATGTGGCTGAAGTCATGGGTACAGTGGGAGGCTGGGAGAAAGGATCCCAGAATACTTACAGTACCAGATGAGCCACGTCACAATGTCCTGCTCTGTCATGAGTCATCGTGACTTTCATGATTTTGAATTTTTGATACAGGAAATGGCATCACTAATCTCGAGTGTCAGTTCTGTAGACCTGTACAGTTCCTTTTACTCTTTGTAGTAAATTGGATATCTCCACATGTCTTCTGAAATCTTACAAAGGACAGAGAATATAAAAATGTCCACCGTGTCTTAGTTTCCTTTGGAGTTTTAAATTTTGCGTCTGAGTTGAGCACAAATGAAGTGCTAAGTCCCACAGTCTCTGCATTCCTTTGTTGATCCCTTTCCCCAGAATTCAATTACATTTTTCCCAAATTTGATTACTACAAAAACCTAATTTATGTGATTATTTGCACTGTGTAGTGCCGTCTTTCTAAGGACCTGTAATTCCTTTGTAAATGCCCTTCCCCCACTAGGAATTGATGAAATATTATGTAAATTTACTCAGATTTGTCACAGAATGTGGCTGCCAGAGCATATAATCTTCAACTTCTATAGTGCTGAAGGGAAATACATCATTCTAAAATTACCAATGGCATTTGACTAAAGAATAAAACTCCTATTGCCTAACAGACTATTTAAACTGTTGTCTTAAAAATTATTACAGCCTGGTAAACTGAATGTCAACTTTCAGACTACAGTATAATTTATTTTTTAACACAAAATGGAAAACCTGAGAAAAAGTAGAGATGTGACAGACTGGAATACAACGTTGAAAACAAGTTCTTGCATTACTGGTTTTGACATTCTCTTTCCATTCATAACTTGCAACAAGTTTCTTAAAAGTTCTCCTGTTGAGTCAACGTAAAGTTGTTGAATATGATGAACTGACCAAAAGTGCCACATTAAGGAACACGACTAGACTGTTTGCCAACCAACATAAATGAAAGCATAAGAAACAAAAAAATAGTAGCTTTCATGTTTGTATTTTGAATTGTCTTCAGTGTAATATTAAACATGCTATTTACGTAAAAGCACGCACTTTACATAAACTCTTAACTGATCTTACACAAAAGGAAACAAAGTTATGGCACTTGAATTTTTGGCAAAGATAATATTTGCTTAGTAAACAGCAAACACATCTGTATAGACACAACTGCGTTTATGTTTACAAAGTGCTAAGGGGCCAAACACTTTGACTCCCACTTTCATGCTTCCCACATATTTTTAGTTCAATTAGTGACTTCATTTTTTTTTTTTTTTTTTTTTTTTGAGACGGAGTCTTGCTCTGTCCCCCAGGCTGGAGTGCAATGGTGCAATCTCGGCTCACTGCAACCTCTGCCTCCCGGTCTCAAGAGAGTCTCCTGCCTCAGCCTCCCAAGTAGCTGGGATTATAGGCATGTGCCACCATGCCCAGCTACTTTTTGTATTTTTAGTAGAGACAGGGTTTCACCATGTTGGCCAGGCTGGTCTTGAACTCCTGACCTCAGGTGATCCACCCGCCTTCAGCCTCCCAAAGTGCTGGGATTACAGGTGTGAGCCACCATGCCCAGCCATCAATTAGTGACTTCTTTATTCCCACCAACCTAGGGGGATCATGTGATATAAGATAATCTCAGTGGACTAACCCATAACGTAAACCTTTTGATATTTCTCAATTTTCACCAATTATAAAAGACTAAAATGATCTCAAATATAAATCTGAATCATTTTTAATGTTTATTAGTATGAGTCAACCCACGGAGGACAATGGATTAATAGTATGTAATTAATACTTCTTATAACAATAATGGCTGCTGCTGTAAATATATCTATATAAGGATTCATGCCATGTCATAATAATTAATGCTAGATGTCATTCTGTAATATTTCACCTTGTGCCCTGATTCATAGCCTGTAGAAGTGATGGAATATTTGTGATGTAGTGATTTCAATTCTCCAGCTAGGGGGAGAAGGTGAATTTAAATGTTGATGTTTTTAGTTCTTCTAGTCACAGGGCACTCAATACAGAATTATTCCCACAGTGATAAGTAAAGAAGCATATCTTGTCTTGGGAAGTAGCTATTGGAGAAATAATAATAAAGCTGCTGTCTCTTTTTAACACTAATTAATTGCAAAACAGATGCCATGCGGTATATTTGCATTTCCTACAGTACTGGCAATGAAAAGTGTTTATGAAAGAGATCCCTTTTATAGATACAGAGGCCAATAGAATGTGTGCACTTGAGCCAAATTTAAAAAAAAAAAAAAAGCAGTTCACATAAGGACCTACAATATTATCCAGGGGACTGGAAAACAGGGCTGATTGTAAGGGAAACTGAAACTTAACAGTTTCAAATTTTGTTCAAACATTAAAATAATTGTGTGTGTGTGTGTGTGTGTGTGTGTATGTGTGTGTTTAAATTACCTATGTGACATAGCCAAGACTGGTCAAATTGTAAAAGTAAAATTAAAAGTGAGTCTTTCTGTAATCCCAGCACTTTGGGAGGCCGAGGCGGGTGGATCACGAGGTCAGGAGATTGAGACCATCCTGGCTAACATGGTGAAACCCCGTCTCTACTAAAAATACAAAAAATTAGCCGGGCGTGGTGGTGGGCGCCTGTAGTCCCAGCTACTCGGGAGGCTGAGGCAGGAGAATGGCGTGAACCTGGGAGGCAGAGGTTGCAGTGAGCGGAGACCGCTCCACTGCACTCCAGCCTGGGTGACAGAGCAAGACTCTGTCCCAAAAAAAGGAAAAAAAAAGTGAGTCTTCTTTTATTCTAAGGTGCCTAATTTTTTCTCTACTTCTATGTCATCTAAACATTATTTCTTCAGTTTATCAAATGTAAGCCATTTGAGCTTTATTGATTCGTCTTATCTCCCTTTATATAGGGTTAAATGAAATATGTATTTCAAGAACCATGGGTGTGTTCTTGGATATAGGGCATCCCAGTTTCCAGTCACCCATTGTAATAATCTAATACCCACCTAAATTTTTCTTACCACATATTTTATTCTGGATTATCCCAAGTGGTCCTCAGCTAATGTGTATTCAAAACATATAGATTTATCTTAATCTTTTTTTTTTTTTTTTTTTTTTTTTTTGAGACTGAGTCTCGCTCTGTCGCCCAGGCTGGAGTGCAGTGGCGCAAATCTCGGCTCACTGCAAGCTCCACCTCCAGGGTTCACGCCATTCTCCTGCCTCAGCCTCCCGAGTAGCTGGGACTACAGGCGCCCGCCACCACGCCCAGCTAATTTTTTGTATTTTTAGTAGAGATGGGGTTTCACCGTGTTAGCCAGGATGGTCTCGATCTCCTGACCTCATGATCCGCCCGCCTCGGCCTCCCAAAGTGCTGGGATTACAGGCGTGAGCCACCGCACCCAGCCGATTTATCTTAATCTTGACCTAAGACAATGATAATTAAAAGATAAGCCTGAAATTAAATTTACAATATATAATGTATTCTAAACCCCAAAGCAGAATGCCTTAGACTAACTAGATGCTTAGATGGGCAGGAGATGTGTGGCAACAACACACGGATTAGAGCCAGCGAGATCCATCCTTAAAGCCTAGGTGCACAACTTATCCACTGTGCAAACTTAATATGTGATCATAGCATAGTCATGATAACTAAAAGAAAGGAGGAATGAAAAGTATTTAGTTTAATCCTTGACAGACAGCAAACACTCCTTAAATAGAAACCCTATAAATCATCATGATTTAAAATTTTCTGTTCTCTTACTATTGCAGATTTTGTTTCTCTGAATTGTTTTGGTTGGGAAATGGTTAAGTATTGTTCATTATCATTGCGGTTTTGGTCATTTTACCATTGAACTGCAAAGGGAGTTGAGGGTCTATATGTCTTTCAAGTACTGTCAATTCACTGAATAAATAAAACCATATATTTCATAAATAATTTTTTCAAGTACATGTGGATGCAATTGTAATTAACAGAATAACAATTTTATTTATTTATTTATTTATTTATTTTATTTTATTTATTTATTTTGAGACGGAGTCTTGCTTTGTGGACCAGGATGGAGTGCAGTGGTGCAATCTCGACTCACTGCAACCTCCACCTCCCAGGATCAAGCAATTCTCCTGTCTCAGCCTCCCGATTAGCTGGTATTACAGGCACACGCCACCACCCCTGGCCAATTTTTTTGTACTTTTAGTAGACATAAGGTTTCACCATATTGGCCAGGCTGGTCTCGAACTCCTGACTTCGTGATCTGCCCACCTCGGCCTCCTAGAGTGCTGGGATTACAGGCATGAGCCACAGTGCCCGGCCACAAATTAAACATGTTAATTGGGCATATAATAGTTGGACTTTAAATATCCATTGCTTGAGAAAATATGTAATCTTACAATACTACAGTGAAGTCCATGATAGTTCTATCATAAAAAAAGAAGTCTTCAAAAGTAAGAAGTCTGGAAATCACTGCTCTAAAAAAAACCATAGAGTGTACAACACCAAAGAGGGAACCCTAATATAAACTATGGACTCTGGGTAGCAATGATGTATCAAAGTAGCTTCATCAATTGCAGCAAACCTACTCTTCTGCAGGAGGATGTTGATAATGGAGGTTAGGCATGGGTGGGAGCATGGGGGAAATAGGAAGTTTCTGTACTTTCCTCTCAATTTTGCTGTGAACCTGAAACTACTCTGAATAATGGTCTTTTTCTTGTAATGGGAAGCAGAGTTTTTAACTTTACACCTTGTGTACCTTTCAAACTTTGAAATGTGTGGTTAGCGATTCATAAACTAAAGTTTGATAATGTTAATTTTTATTAGCATGAAATTGTACTTAACACAAAAAAAACAAAAAATTAAATGTTAGTTTTGTTTAAATATGACTTAAGACTTTTGCTTCATCTAGTGAGGATTTGGCCCACAGATGTCAATTTTGTACTGCAGGTGTCATTATTTCTTTCTTCTGCATCCATGTCAGGTATTAATAATCAAGTGCACCATTCCTTTTCATTGAGTTTAGTCTTAGACTTATTATCCTTTTCAAGAGAATGCTTCAAGCAGCCACTAACAGCCACATGCAGCTGATGCAAAAGATAAAACCTATTTTCTCATCACAGACTGTCTTTCCAATACCCTATTAATGTATACCTCAGCAATAATTCAATAAAAGTTTGGATCTATTTTTAACTTATTTATTTATTTATTGGGTTTTATTTTACTTTAAGTTCTGGGATACAAGTGCAGAACGTGCAGGTTTGTTACCATAGGTATACATGTGCCATGGTGGTTTGCTGCACCCATCAACCTGTCACCTACATTAGGTATTTCTCCTAGTGCTATCCCTCCCCTGACTGGTATGTGATGTTCCCCTCCCTGTGTTTGTGTGTTCTCATTGTTCAACTCCCACTTATGAGTGAGAACATGCGGTGTTTGGTTTTCTGTTCCTGTGTTAGTTTGCTGAGAATGATGGTTTCCAGCTTCATCCATGTCCCTGCAAAGGACATGAACTCATCCTTTTTATGGCTGCATAGTATTCCATGGTGTAGATGTGCCACATTTTCTTTATCCAGTCTATCATTGATGGGCATTTGGGTTGGTTCCAAGTCTTTGCTATTGTGAATAGTGCTGCAATAAACATACATGTGCATGTGTCTTTATAGTGGAATGATTTGTAATCCTTTGGGTGTATACCCAGTTATGGGATTGCTGGGTCACATGGCATTTCTGCTTCTAGATCCTTAAGGAATTGCCACACTGTCTTCCACAACAGTTGAACTAATTTACACTCCCACCAACAGTGTAAAAGCGTTCCTATTTCTCCACATCCTCTCCAGCATCTGTTGTTTCCTGACTTTTTAATGATCACCATTCTAACTGGCATGAGATGGTATCTCATTATGGTTTTGATTTGCATTTCTCTAATGACGAGTGATGAGGAGCTTTTTTTTCATATGTTTGTTGGCTGCATAAATGTCTTCTTTTGAAAAGTGTCTGCTCATATCCTTCACCCACTTTTTGATGGGGTTGTATTTTTCTTGTAAATTTGTTCAAGTTCCTTGTACATTCTGGATATTAGCCCTTTGTCAGGTGGATAGATTGCAAAAATTTTCTCCCATTCTGTAGGTTGCCTGTTCACTCTGATGATAGTTTCTTTTTCTGTGCAGAAGCTCTTAAGTTTATTTAGATCCCATTTGTCTATTTTGGCTTTTGTTGCAATTGCTTTTGGTGTTTTAGACATGAAGTCCTTACCCATGCCTATGTCCTGAATGGTATTGCCTAGGTTTTCTTCTAGGGTTTTTATGGTTGTAGGTCTTACCATTTAAGTCTTTAATCCATCTTGAGTTAATTTTTATATAAGGTGTAAGGAAGGGGCCCAGTTTCAGTTTTCTGCATATGGCTAGTCAGTTTTTCCAACACCGTTTATTAAATGGGGAATCCTTTCCCCATTGCTTGTTTTCGTCAGGTTTGTCAAAGATCAGACATTTGTAGATGTGAGGTGTTATTTCTAAGGCTTCTGTTCTGTTCCATTGGTCTATATACCTGTTTTGGTACCAGTACCATGCTGTTTTGGTTACTGTAGCCTTGTAGTATAGCTTGAAGTCAGGTAGCGTGATGCCTCCAGCTTTGCTCTTTTTGCTTAGGATTGTCTTGGCTATATGGGCTCTTTTTTGGTTCCATATGAAATTTAAAGTAGATTTTCTAATTCTGTGAAGAAAGTCAATGGTATCTTGATGGGGATAGCATTGAATCTATAAATTACTTTAGGCAGTATGGCCATTTTCACGAAATTGATTCTTCCTGTGCATGAGCATGGAATGTTTTTCCATTTGTTTGTGTCCTCTTTTGTTTCTTTGAGCAGTGGTTTGTAGTTCTCCTTGAAGAGGTCCTTCCCATCCCTTGTTAGTTGTATTCTTAGGTATTTTATTCTCTTTGTAGCAATTGTGAATAGGAATTCACTCATGATTTGGCTCTCTGTCTATTGGTGTATAGGAATGCTTGTGATTTTTGCACATTGGCTTTGTATCCTTAGACTTTGCTGAAGTTGCTTATCAGCTTAAGGAGATTTTGGGCTGAGACGATGGGGTTTTCTAAATATACAATCATGTCATCTGCAAACAGAGAAAATTTAACTTCCTCTCTTTCTATTTGTATATCCTTTATTTCTTTCTCTTGCCTGATTGCCCTGGCCAGAACTTCCAATACTATGTTGAATAGGAGTGGTGAGAGTGGGCATTCTTGTTTTGTGCTGGTTTTCAGAGGGAATGCTTCCAGCTTTTGCCCATTCAATATGATATTGGCTGTGGGTTTTGTCGTAAATAGCTCTTATTATTGTGAGATACGTTTTATCAATGCCTAGTTTATTGAGAGTTTTTAATATGAAGGGGTGTTGAATTTTGTCAAAGGCCTTTTCTGCATCTGTTGAGATAGTCACGTGGTTTTTGTCATCAGTTCTGTTTATGTGATGGATTATGTTTATTGATTTGCATATGTTGAACCAGCCTTGCATCCCAGGGATGAAGCCGACTTGATCGTGGTGGATAAGCTTTATAATATGCTGCTGGATTTGCTTTGCCAGTATTTTATTGAGGATTTTCGCATTGATGTTCATGAGGGATATTGGCCTGAAATTTTCTTTTTTTGTTGTGTTTCTGCCAGGTTTTGGTATCAGGATGATGCTGGCCTCATAAAATGAGTTAGGGAGGAGTCCCTCTTTGTCTGTTGTTTGGAATTGTTTCAGAAGGAACGGTACCAGCTTCTCTTTGTACCTCTGGTAAAATTTGGTTGTGAATCCGTCTGGTCCTGGGTTTTTTTGGTTGGTAGGCTATTAATTACTGCCTCAATTTCAGAGCTTGTTATCATATTTTTAACTCCTTAACAACACATGCCAAAGATTATGTTTAGCTATTTTCAAAATATTGCTGCTTCTGAAATACCAAGAAGGTATTAAACATAATCTGAAAACCATAAAAATATATGCATAACACTTTAAAAAGGATAATTAATGAATTGATGAAATGAAAATATAAATTCATGTATAAATATAGATATAAAATCCCTTACAGAGGATATTTATTACATTATCATATAAAACTTCCTGTACATCTGTAACTTTTTATAATTAAAAAAAACTAACTGCAAAAACTTTCTGAGTTTAAAAAATACAGAAATCAGATTGTTATAAATATACAAATCATTTTCTGTAGATCATAAATAACCAATTAGAAAATGGATAAAAATCCAATAACAGCCCCAAATTGGACCTAGACCTATATGAACAAAACTATAAAACTGAAACACAATGTCAAAGAAGATTTGAAGATTTGGAGAGACAGGTCATATTCCCAAAGACAAAACGTGAATATTATAAAAATTCTATTTGTTTCCAAGATAATACATAGAATCCAAAAAACTTCAAGTGAATTTTAAGGATTTTGATGGTGGACAGTAAGGAAGGAGCAGAGATGGCATAGTGAACTATTAATCCATTCAGTCTGCTCTAGCAAAATACTGTAAACTGGGTGGTTTGTAAACCAGAGACATTTTATTTCTCACACTTCTAGAGTCTGGATCAAGATGCTGTCAGATTTGATGTCTGTCTAGGGCCTACCTCCTAGTTCATAGATGGCACCTTCTCATCATTTCCTAGCATGGTAGAAGAACAACTGAGCTCCCCTGGGCCTCTTTTATGAGGCCACTAATTCCACTCATGAAGCCTTCAGATCCAATCACCTCCCAAAGGCCACACCTACTAATCCCATCATCTTTGGCACCAGGATTTCAATGTATGAATTTTGGGAAGACAGAAACATTCATATGATAGCAACAGCTATTCTCAAGTTTTATTTATATAATATTTATATTACATAAAATGTTAGGCTATTGTTATAACATTGAAAAAGAAGAATAAAGGGTGGGGCCTTCTTACCAGGTATTTTTAAACTGCAATAATTAAAATAGTCTTACTATTGCATAAATAGATCAGTAGATCCATGAAATTGATTAGATAACCCAGGAAACACATACACACATATTCACACACAATAGTCATATAAAAATATATAGTCAGAACATATTAGTATATACTAGGTATCTGTTATATATACATTTCATGTATACAGCAATGTTTATAGGCATAATGTATATAAGTGTGTATATACATTTAAATAAGTTTTATATATGGATATTATAAGTATATATAATAAACATAATATATAAATGAATACATAAGGTGTTTTACATAAACAGTTAATAAACTTGGTAAATATGTAATAGAAGAATACTAAACATTGGTGAAAAATGGGATACTTAAACATGCTATAGAAAATTAAGTTATAAGGAAATAAAAACTTTATTTAGAATTCTAGACAACACTATACTCTCAAGAACATTCTAGTACCATGCAAATAATTAAACCATAAAAATCTCACATATAATTATACATTTATGTAGATGAAGAAGTATTTGATAAATATAAAAGGAGAATGAATTATTATAAACCAAAAGGATAAATTTTTGAATTTTTAAAAATTACATTTAAAATTTCATAAATTTTAAAAAATACAAATAATAAATGTTTATGTCTTTCATACCTAAAGAGTTCATTGCCAAGACACCAGCAGAAAAAAAAACCTCCTCCCAAAATACTAATGTAGACAGTTCACCAAAAGCAGATATACAAATAACTAACACCTGTAAATGATAAATTTTCAACTTATTAAGGAAATGCCAAATTTTCAACTTATTATCAAGGAAATGCCAGTTTAAAAGTCAGATACTAACTTTTTCCAATCAAACTAGCAGATTTCAAAAATAGTCATTGATACTAATGAGTGGACACTGACATTGTCATTTTCATATGATACACATGAAAATACGAGTTAGTGCTAACTTCTAGGAAACAATTTGCCAAGTATAGTTAAGAATCTTAAACATTTTTAATAATATTTATGAGGTATGTACCTTTGAGCCAATAATGCTGATTTAAGGGAAAAATCTTAATAGATGTGGACAGTATTTATATATAAAAATTTTTTTACCATAACTTTATATATATGTAGAAATTTGCAACAGCAACAAAAAACATTTCTGGAAAGGTTAAATAAGTTATAGGAATAAATATTATATATTTGAAGGCCTTTTAATGCTGTGAACTACTGCTTATAATATAATGTTGAGCCGGAAAGAAAGATATAAATTATAAACATTTTACAAATGTAAAATGGAATGTTATTTCTATAAATTTGGTAAAGAAAATGACTAGAGGGAAATTTACACAACTGAAGAGTAACCATTTCTGAAGTGGGACATCAGTAATTATTTGTATGTTCTTATAGGTTTCTGTTTTCTGAACTTTCCTCAATAAAGATTTATCACACTTTTAATAAGTATTAAAACAAATATGGAAAATTTCAGACAAATATCCATCTGTCAAATAAGATAAGCTTCCTCATTTGAGGGCATAATAGTTCTAATGAGGACACCAACCTAACATGCTAGGGGAGATGAAATCGCTGCCATGGGTTTGCATTCCTTTGAGGTTCCTGAGTGTGTAATGGTGCCCAGAAAAAGAGAAGACACCCTACTTAGAGGAGGCAAGACTGGAGCTGAGTTCCATTACAAGGGCAGTGAGAAAAGGGAGTTCTAGGGAGAGAGAATACTCATCACAGAAGCCCAGGGACACAGGCAGAGAATTTAGTCTTGGATTGAAGGCAGAAATGTTTTCCACTGAGAAAATGTACCGAGAAAAGAAATGTTGAGTAGGATTGCAGAAGCCTTTGTAGACCAGAGTAGAAAGATGAGAGAGTTGCAATAGACAGCTCTAGTTTCTCTCTTCTCAGAAGAGTTAGCTGGTGGGTTCCACAAAAGGTTACTAGCAAGACTTGGAAAAAAAATGGAAAAAGGTTGGCATGCTCATTCTGAGTAAAGGGAAAAGAGCCTTACTGGTAAAAGTCAAAGGGATGCAGAGAGAAGCTCTGGATACTGGGTATTCAAGGATACACTCATCTGAGAAGCTGGCACAGCATGCTCTGATGAATCCCAACTACTTCTTTACTTCTGTGATTCTAAGGGAACCAGGTGCTCTTTCATCACACCTGGAAGGAAAGCAATTGATATATATTTATTGAGCTGCTACCAAATGGCCACATGGTATCAGATGCCATAATCTTTCTCCTTAGTTGTCACTTTTATTACAAATATTCAGGAACATCACCTGGCCTGAAGCCCTGTTTAGAAAACATGTCAAGAAGCACCCCATACATTATACAGTTCATCTTTACAATGGCAGCACTAAAGAGAAAATATAATGATTCAGGCCAAGAAAGTACTTTTGTGTTATTTTCAACTTGTTATAACTTTGTTATTCTGAATCAAAAGCACATTTGAAAGGATATCCAGAATTAGGTATTATGGTGGGCAAGGAGGCAGTCCCACACAACTTAGCCATTAATTACATAACGTTGTATTGTAAACTGATGATTTCAGGTATACTAATACTGCCCTTCCGATGGCAGACTGTTAATTTCATACCTGCAATGTATTTTATATTCCTTTCCTATCTCTCAAAGCACTTGAAACAGGGCTAAGTCTTTGGAAATTCTTGCATTTTTTTTCACTTCTTTAAACCCAGACTAATTGGAGAGAGAAAGGGAATTAGTCACTGTATTAAATAATCCTTGTTGTTCCTCTTTTGCATTCAGTTGAAAAATTATGCATTTCAATCTGCTTGGAGAAGAGTACAGGCTCTTTTCACAGTGCAATATACTAAGGATCATGAAGATGAATTTCTCTTCTTAAGCTATTGGTGCTGATCAAATAGAGTAGAATAAAGGCTTCAAGGAATTGTGAGGGTAATTAATTTCAGAGCCTGGAGAAAAAGAAAGAAGACAGAGAGAGAGAGGAAGGGAGGGAGGAAGGAAAGAAGGAAGGAAGGAAGGGGAGGAAGGGAGGGAGGGAGGGAAGAAGGAAGGAAGGGGAGGAAAAGGAGGAAGGAGAGGAAGGGGAGGGAGGAAGAAGAGGAAGGGGAGGGAGGAAGGAGAGGAAGGGGAGGAAGGAAGAGGAGGAAGGAAAGGAGGGAGGGAGGGAGGAAGGAAAGGGAGGGAGGAAGGAAAGGAGGGAGGGAGGAAGGAAAGGAGGGAGGGAGGAAGGAAAGGAGGAAGGGAGGAAAGAAAGGAGGGAGGGAGGAAGGAAAGGAGGGAGGGAGGGAGGAAAGGGAGGGAGGAAGGAAAGGAGGAAGGGAGGAAAGAAAGGAGGGAGGGAGGAAGGAAAGGAGGGAGGGAGGGAGGAAAGGAAGGAAGGGAGGGGAGGAAGGGGAGGAAGGAAGGAAGAAGAGGGATGGAGGGAGGTAGGGAGGGAGGGAGGAGGGAAGGAAGGAAATAAGAAAGAAAGAAAGGAAAGAAAGAAAGGAGAGAGAGAAAAGAGAGAAAGGAAAGGAAAGGGAAGAAGGAAAAGGAAGGAAGGAAGGAAGGCTAAACACCATGCATAAAGCAGTAGAGTGGAGAGGCTTGGAGAGGTGGTTCATATATATATATATATTTATTTATTTATTTATTTATTTATTTATTTATTTAATTTTTTGAGACAGAGTCTCACTCTGTCGCCCAGGCTGGAGTGCAGTGGCGCGATCTCGGCTCACTGCAAGCTCCGCCTCTCGGGTTCAAGCCATTCTCCCGCCTCAGCCTCCCGAGTAGCTGGGACCACAGGCGCCCGCCACCACGCCCGGCTAATTTTTTTGTATTTTTAGTAGAGACAGGGTTTCACTGTGTTAGCCAGGGTGGTCTCGATCTCCTGACCTCATGATCCGCCCTCCTCGGCCTCCCAAAGTGCTGGGATTACAGGCGTGAGCCACCGCGCCTGGCCTGAGGTGATTCTTTTTTTTTCTTCTTGAGACGGAGTCTCGCTCTGTCACCCAGGCGGGAGTGCAGTGGCGAGATCCCCGGCTCACTGCAAGCTCCGCCTCCCTGGTTCACGCCATTCTCCTGCCTCAGGTGATTCTTGATGGTCAGAGACTTGGAGCTATTCCTGGCTCTGTCACTTACTCTGTGTGCAACTTGTTTTCGCAATTTGCAGCTTTGCAGGGGATTCTGTGGCATAATCTCTTAATAATTGGCAAAACCATAGGTTGCCAGAATCATGAAATTTTAGATATACATGATATTTGGGACATCATCTAGTCCAAACATTATATTTTCAAATGAAATAATTCAAGCCCAGGAGGAAGAGGATCTTATACAAGGTCTAGTTTGTATCAGGAAATTGTTGTCTGAGGATAAGCAAGTAGCAGAGACTTGCCTGGAGGGACAGATGAGGAAGGGGATCAGGGAGAAGAAGGCGGTACTTGAAACAAGATTAAGAGGGGGAAAAAAAAACTGAAAGGAATCACGAAGGATGACAAAAGCAAGAGATAAAAGCAACTCAAAGGCTCGAGCACTGGCATTAGTGGTATTGCTTCCAAAAGAAAAAAAATAAATAAAGGAAGTACATTTCATTTACTTCTCTAACCTAGGCAATAAATTGTGATTTTACTCTATTGTTTTAAGCATTTTGCAACAAAATTAAAATCAAAACCAATTTTTAAAAAACCTGCATTTTCTAGAAATTTCATATACATTTTTGGTGCTGTTGGAACAATTGCAGGGACAACCTAGTGTTGGGTCCATGATGAAATTTCCAGCTCCAAACAACAAATTTTACCCATTTGTGTATTTTACCAACATATATATGCATTATAAATTTTGTCCTACTGTATTTTTTCTTTATTGCATTTCAACAAAAAGATGATAAACAACAAGAACACATTGTTTATGTCAAGGGCACACAGGAGCCAATTGAAAGATCTCTCAATGGCCAAAAATGGACCAAGTTGAGCAACAAAATAAATGAAGTAGTGTTGGATTATAAGCTGAATATAAATAAATATTCATGAGTCCACAAGGATATAAATAAACCATTGAATAAACAAATGAGGATGAATAGACAAATTCCCATGCAGAAGAATTTCAAATTATTTATGTAGATACTCTTGCCCTCAAGGAGGTGGAGAATAACATCTCACTCCTAAAGTGTGGGCTATAATAATATCTTTCCAAAGAGGATAGGGTGGAAAAGGAAGGAGAAAAAAGTAATGTTAAGGGAGAGAAACCTGACGAACACTACCTCAGTCAAGTGATCAAGATTAACATCAACAGAGATCACTCATATTGTTCATATATACCCTTTGTGAGATATAATGAGAATGGCTATTTATTTATCTTATCTTTATTTTTTGAGACAAGGTTTCACTTCCATCACCCAGAGTGAAGTACAATGGTGCAATCTTGGCTCACTGCAACCTTCGCCTCCCGGGCTCAAGTTATTCTCCTGCCTTAGCCTCCCAAGTAGCTGGAACTACAGGTGTCTGCCATCACGCCTGGCTAATTTTTGTAGTTTTTGTAGAGATGGGGGTCTCACTATGTTGACTAGGCTGGTCTCAAACTCCTGGCCTCAAGCGATCCACCCACCTCGGCCTCCTCCCAAAATGCTGGGATTACAGGGATGAGCCACCATGCCCAGCTGAAAATGGCCTTTTAATTCTGTGTGTTTTCTTCCCAAAATCTATAATCACAGCCTAATTATGAGAAAAACCATCAGACAAATTCAACTGAGAGAAAAACCTACAAGATTCCTATCAAAGTCATCTAAAAGAAGGAAAGTTTGTGACACTGTCCATGCAAG
This sequence comes from Homo sapiens, assembly GCF_000001405.40. NCBI lineage: Eukaryota > Metazoa > Chordata > Mammalia > Primates > Hominidae > Homo > Homo sapiens. The sequence continues at coordinate 220,821,164 of NC_000002.12, read as the reverse complement.
AGGAACCTAAGAAGCAATGATGACTAAATGTGGTTTGTTATCCTCTGCAGGGTCGGAGAAAGGACATTAGTAAAATCTTAAAATGGCTGAATAAAATATGGCCTGTAGTGAATAATAATATATAAATATTAGTTTGTTAATTGTGACAAATATACCATGCTAATAAAACTGCTGATAATAAGGGAGACTGGGTGTGAGGTACACAGGACGTCTCTGTACTGCCTTTGCAACTTTTCTGTAAATCTAAATAGATTCCAAAATATTAGGTTTATTTTAAAAAATTAAAAGGTCCTTATTTAGTTGTAAAATAACGTTAACATTGTCTAAATAATTCAACTTGCTTCTTGTCAAATCTTACCTCCCTCACCCCTACTGGGAGTTTCATTAGTATTTTGCATGAATGCCTAGCTGGGTACACATAAAGAAAGAATCAATCCCATTTTTTATCTTTTGACTTGAGAATGGGTTTTCTGACATTTCAACAGAAGAACGGATGTTCAAAAACAAACCAAAATGGCCAAATGTTATTGTACTTTCTGAACCTCAGACAACATGGGCTGGAATATGACCTGAGTCTGTAAGTTTAATGCCTTGAAGAGGAGTTATCCTCCAGAGGACTATAAATATATACGACTGCAGAGTGAACAGAATTTTTTTGAAAGCTGGTCTAGCTAAAAATCTAAAATAGACCATAAGATTGCAAATGTGAATGTAGCTTGACTACAGTCTCCAAGGTACAGAAGAAGAGAAAGACACTAAAAACTGTGGGATAACGAGACACGTTGAGATTACATCCTTGGCTAATAATTTTCCTTTTGCCTGATACTTTCCCTCCTGATATTTGAAAGACATAGGGAATAAAATTTAATTGAAAATGGGAATTCCTAATGTAATTTAAATTCTCAATACACAAATGAGTGTATCAGGAAAATTTTACTAATCTTTAATGTTGCTAAAATAAGAAAAAGGTAAACCCCAGTTATATTATATACAAGTCTTTTGTATCCCTAGAGAGTTACAACAATACCAAAATCAAAACCAAGATGGCGGAGAAGGGCTTTTCCTTGGCTCCTTTTGGAGCAGGTTCCAGGGGACAGTCCAAGACAGAGATCGTAAGTCAGTTCATTTGTCATTTAGATAACAGAGTATTGTATTTTTTTTGAAGTAGGTAATTAGTGCAGTTTAATTTATGGATATATTTCAAGGTTTTCTCTTTTTTAGTAGAGGCGAGATTCCTGTGTTCCTCAAACAAATTTAATGTGGAAATTTTCATGATAAAATTTGAACATAAAAGACCATTTTGCTAATCCTAGTCTAAAATTGTTTTATATTCCTTTATCTAGAAAAATGATATTATACAAAGGAATTCTGAGTTATCTAGATAATTTGGCATGTAATCTTTTGGAGACAGAAAGTACCCATCATAGAAATGCTATTTAAACTTCAGTTACTGGGAGTCCTAGCAGTGTGAGGCATGCCCTTCCTCTGGAAGCAAGTGGAAATATGACAGGCCCTAGAGAGAAGGACATTTGAAGAATATAATGATGTTTTCACACATGCTTGAGACTTAGCCACTGATTCCTTGCAATAGCATCTGATCATAGTCTTCATGCTTCATAATTTAAAAACAGAGCACTTTAACTCTCTCCCTCTCTCTCCATCTGCCTGATTCTACTTAAACTTTCAGGTGTATACTTAACATCAATTGCTCCAAGAGGCCTTTTTTGAACCTCTAAACTATGGCAGCTTCTCTCTTACACACACACACACACACACACACAAACAGTACAGTATTTATTTTGAAATTTCGAAATCACATGTTAAATGTTTGTCCAACTCTTTAAAGCCATAAATTGCAATAATTCTGCTGCTTGCCATGATGATGTAACTGATCAAGACTACCCTCTCCCATTAAAAAAAGAACATAAAATTTGAGAAATTATGAGGCAACTATTTCCGTACATTAAAAAAAAAAGTCTACGTAAGATTGTGATCTTTGAGAAAAGGGAATAAACATGAGTTTAGCGTCATGTTTGCTTACTCTGGCTTTCTTCCTGGGAATACATTCTAAACCAGTGCGCACAGAAGTAGATCTCAGGCAGAGTGAGGTGGTCTTGCTGAGCCAAGAAGGCTGAGATTTAAATATGGTGTTGCTGGAAGGGATGGAAATAGTAGAGCCAAGGAGAAAGGAGCTCAGGAAAAGTCTGCATAAGAGTTTCCAGTAGGTTCTGGACTGAAGGTTGAGCTGTGCCTTCATAGGGAGAGAACTCACAAAGCCAAGGAGAAGGTGGCAGCACCTGCTACAGGACTGAGAGCTTCACAGTGGTAGATGATTTTTGCATAGAACTGGAAGATGATGGAGGTCTGGTCCAACCAGTGTGTTCGTGGATTGGAAGACTCAATGTTATTAACAGTTAAGATAACAATTCTCACCAAATTGATGTACAGATTTAATGAAATCCTAGTTGCAACCAAAGCAACTGTTTTTACCAAAATGGGCGAATCAATTTTAAAACTTAATATGGAAATAAAAAAGACCTATAAAAAGCCGAAACAGTCTTGAAAAATAAGGGGAGAAATGGAGGCTGTATACATTTGATTTCACAGCTTACCTTAAGTTGCAACAGTGGTATTGGCACATGGATGGACAAATAGATCAATGAAAGAAAATAGAATCCAGAAATAAATTCTCAAATATCAAGTCAATTGATTTTAAGTAAAGATTCAAGGCAATTTAATGGAGAAAGTTGTTTTTTTTTTTTTTTCACCTACAAATGGCACTGCATCAACTAGATAAATGACTGGAAAAGTATGTACATTGATCCCTACCTCACATCACACAAAATGTATTTGAAGTGTATCATAGACCTACATATAAAAGCTAATATTATAAAGCTTTTTGAAAATGTATTTATTATCTTATAGTAAGAAACAAATTTATTGGAAAATACAAAAATCCCTAACTATAAAAAATAGAAGTTATAAAGTGACTTCACCAAATTTAAATGACTTTCCTCATCAAAAACATAGTATTAAGAAAATATAAAAGACAAGCCCCAAACTGAGAGAAATATTTGAAATACATATACCTAACAGATTATTTATATTCAGAATGTATTTTTAGAAACTCTTAAAACTTAGTGATAACACGACTCAAGTTTAAAAATTGTACGACTTGAACAGAAGCTTTACAAAAGAAGAAATGTCTAACAAGCACATGAAAAGGGAAACTTCACTGACCACAGCAAACGTTGATGATGACATGGAACAATTGGAAGGATCAAACATTTCTGGTTACATCTGTAATCCCAGCATTTTGGGAGGTCTAGGTGAGCAGACCGCTTGAGCCCAAAAGTTCGAGACCAGCCTGGACAACATGGCAAGACACTGTCTCTACAAAAAATACAAAAATCAGCTGGGCGTGGTGGTGCATGCCTGTAGTCTCAGCTACTCAGGAGGCTGAGGTGGGAGGACTGCTTCAGCCAGGAAGGTTGAGGCTGTGGTGAGCTGAGATCACACCACTGTACTCCAGCCTGGGTGACATAGTGAGACCCTGTCTCAAACCAAACAAACGAAAAATACATTTCTGGTTAAAGTGTAAAATGTTACAATTATGTTGGAAAACTGGCAATTTCCTTTAAAGTTAAACATGCTCTTACCATACAATTCAACTATTCCCTTCTAGGTATATACCCAAGGGAAATAAAAACATATTCATAAAAAGTCCATTATTGAATATTTGTAGCAGCTTTATAAATTATAGCCAAAACAGGAAATAACACAAATTTTCAAAAACAAATACTATAGTGACATATTTATACAATGGAATACCACCCAAGTAATAAAAAAAAAATGAACATGAGAAGGAAAAAATGAATCTTGAGAATGTTACATTAGATGAAAGCAAAAGATGCTAGACACAAAAGAATATGAATTGTAGGAATCCCCCTTCATGAATTTCTAAGACAGGCCAAAAGAATCTGTGTTGATAGAAATCAGGGCAGAGTTTGCCCATGAGGGTTGGAAATCCACTGAAAGGAGCATGGGGAAACTTCGGCAATGGATAGAAGCTGCATCTTAAATGGGTTGCTGGTTCCTAAAGAAAAACTGCTCCTCTGTTCACACTTCTGGCACCAAATGTGAAAGTGTGGAAGTTGGTTTTGTTTTGTTTTCCAAACCAACCAACCAACTGGGTGTCCAACAATTCAGTTTAATTCTGACACTAATTCTACATAGAGTTAGAGCAAAGTCACAGATTAAGAACTCAGTCCTGGCCGGGCGCGGTGGCTCATGCCTGTAATCCCAGCACTTTGGAAGGCCGAGTCGGGCAGATCATGAGGTCAAGAGATCGAGAGCATCCTGGCCAAGAGAGTGAAACCCCATCTCTACTAAAAATACAAAAAATAGCTGGGCATGGTGGCGGGTGCCTGTAGTCCCAGCTACTCAGGAAACTGAGGCAGGAGAATTGCTTGAACCGGGAAGGTGGAGGTTGCAGTGAGCCGAGATTGTGCAACTGCACTCCAGCCTGGCAACAGAGCGAGACTCTGTCTCAAACAAACAAACAAAACCCACCTCAGTCCCACAAGATTGCCTCCCATTTCTGATGCTGATTGCAAGTAGTAGATTCCAGGGTGCCCACATTTCTGTCCAACTTGTCTACACATCAGTGGTTCCCACAACCTCCTCCTCAGTTTCAATAATTTACTGTAATTACTCACAAAACTGAAAGAAACATTTTACTTACGTTTTCTGGTTTATTATAAAGGATACATATAAATAGGCAGAGGAAGAGGTACATAGGGTGTGTTCTGGAAAGGTCTGGAGCACAGGAATATCTATCCCCGTGGAGCTGGAATGTACCACTCTGCTGTCATGTGGACACATTTACCAACCCAGAAATTCTCTGAACTCTAAACTTTATGGATTTTTTATGGAAGCTTCATGATGTAGGCATGTTCCATTATTAACTCAAATCAATCTCCAGCCCCTCTTCCTTTCTGGAGGGTGAGGATGAGGCTAAAATCTACTCCAAACCTTCAATCATGGCTTGGTCTTTCTGGTAACCCGACTATCCAGGAGTCCAGCTAGAGTCGTCAAATTAGAACAAAGGCTGCTTCTTCCACCCAAAAGTTCCAAAGGCTTTAGGAGCTCTTTGTAAGTCACTCCTATTTCTCCATCATTCAGGAAATTACAAGGGTTTTAGAAACTCTATATCAGGAACCGAGATAAAAGACCAAAGATACATGTTTTATTGTGACACATGTGAATACACTTGTGACACATGTGAATACACTTGTCAATATTCATGCAATTGTCCATTTAATTTCTGAGCATTGTACTATGTATATTTTGCCTTAATTGAAAACAAAAACAAAAAGCTATGGTTTCTTTGTAGTCAGAGATATTGTCTACCTTATCTTTTCTCTGAAATTTCAAAGATGACTACAGTGCTTGGTACATATTAAATACTCATTAAATACATATTGAATAAAGTGTTTTGTTAAAATAGGAAGGCAAGGCCTAATTCTTATCAGTGCACTGGATTCTGCTGAGAAATCTGATGATGTGGAAACCTTTTTAGAGTCTGTTTAGATGACTTCCTGCTTCCTGGTACTTTGGGTCCCCAACGTCCTCTTAGCTCTTGTCATGCCATTGAGCATCATGAGAATCAAATTTAAAGGAAACATGGGAAAGGCGGTTTAACTTTCAAATGAATGTAGATTTCACTAAATGGCACGTAAAAAGTTTATGACTAATGGCATTTATTTTGATTATTGACAAAGTAATTGGGATTCTTGAGGAATAATTAAACTGATTGAAAATGTTCTGATTGGTCAAGAGGTCAACATTTATAATTAATGGAAAATTACAATGGTTTACAAAATGACATTGTCCAGAATTAAAAGTGATCATCCTAATTATTGTGATGAGTTCTTAAATGAATGCCCAAGCAGCCAGTCATGACGAGGCCCTTATTATAAGTCATACATATGTATGTTTAAAAGAGATGTTTAAAATTTGGTCTAGTTTACATCAGTCTAATTTTTTGAGAGGCTTGATCTTCAAATATTACATTTTTATTTAGGAAGTACTTCTAGTCTTGATGGGATTTATTGCAAATAAAATCTAATAGAATATTTCATCAGCACTGAAGGCCTAGACTAAATGTCAGATTTTTATTACTTTGAATATTGATGGCATGTCCTATGAATTGTTTATCATGGGGATCAAGAATATCTCATTTATGATAATTTTAATTTTATTTTTCAAGAGACCTTTACACACCCATTATGCTATAACCTTATGCTTTAAATACAAAAACTGTAAAAACATCAATCTTACTTATGAAGAAGTTGAGACACAAAGGTTACCTAAGTTATCTAAAGTCGTAAAACTGCTTAACCACAAAAAACAGGAATAGGGCATGAATCTTCATGTGCCCCATTGAGAATTTTTTCCATCAGATCATGGTGTTTCTGTGGTAACGTAACTCCATGCCAAAACTAATTTCCGCAATTTCAGTGACTCTATAACTGAGATTCAAGTCATTTTGATTGAACATGTTTGTTTAAGTATGAGATGACTTTAATGATCACATCATTCTCAAACATTTTTGTTGAGAGTTATTGTACTTAATTTTGCTTCAGCATAATCATCCCAGGAATAAGAAAGATAAAAATGATATATCACCCAGACCCTGTCTAACTCTCCAGTTCCCGTTTCTCACAATTCCTTGCCTGATACTGTTGCTCCAAAAGGAAGCAACTACTTCTTGTAATTCTTAGTGCAAGCTCCCTGTTCTCTTAACGTGCTTGAATGCAGGTTTTCTACTATCTAGAAGGTACCTCTTTATTCTATACTCTATCTGTACCCCTTCATAGGTGCTGGAATGTTATTACTCTATACACATTTCTTCACATGACTAACTCCTGCCCTATAATGAGGGCACAATTCATAAACAAAGCTGTAATAACTATGAACCATTACAGGACAAACAATTCAGTATTTTAATTTACCTATACACACACACACACACACACACACACACACACATATTTATCAAGAGAAAAATGAAAGCAAAAAATGTAGCAAAATCACAATAGTAGTAGGAGGAGGTATTGACACACATCACCTTAAATAAGGTGAACCAAATAGGATAAGAACTATAGGATGTCTGAATATATATTAAGTGAATTTGAGTAGATGCTATTTACCATCTAAGGAAAATTAAAAGTAGGAAAAAAGTTCAATTAAAAATGTTTCAAGTTGGGACTACACTTTCTTGGTAAATGTGGACGTTAGGTTTGATTGAGACTTGTGGTAGTTGTTAGTGTTGGTTGCCAAATATTTCTCACTTTCTTCCTTTTGGAATATAGCTGGCTTGTGCTTCCCACTTCTTGCAGCTAGATGCGGCCATATGACTTACTTTGGCCTACAAAATACATTTCATTTTTGGGTGGACACTTGATGAGGCAGTGTATGTTTCCTCATGTTTCCTTTGTACTCCTTCGAAAATCATGGAAACCTGGAAATAGAGACATGCTACACACCCGTATCCCTGTATGGACCCTGATATGAGAAAATCAAACCGTTCTTAAGTCACCAAGATTGGGGGGTGAATGTGTTTCATGGGTTAGCCTTTATTTATCCTGATTTAAAGTAGAACTCTTCAGTAGTTACTGAAGTGAAATTAAGAGGAAGATGGTGGAAATGTTAACATTAATTAAGCAAAAAACATGTAAAGTTTGTTTTCCCTCAATGTTGCTTCTAATGCCTTTATAACCTGTATGAACATATATTAATTGTTCAATGAAATTAAACAAGATGGTACTTTGACCAACCAGAAGCATTGTTTCCATTTTCAGGGGAAAACATGCTCAGTATTCTTTTCTGATTGTGCACCTCTTCTTATGAGGAATATCTTATGGGTAGGAGAGTGGATGACCACGGTCCCTTTAGTTCTCCTCTACCACGTCTCAGAATGCTAGGTTGGTACAAAAGCAATTGAGGTTTTTGCAATTACTTTCAATGGCAAAAACCACAATTAGTTTTGCACAAACCTAATAGAATAAAACATGTGAGGTATGGAAAAGAGACCTGGATGAATTTGGTCGGCTTCACCATTGTTTGTATAGGGAGTATGTACAAATTGCTTCATGGCACTAGTCTCTGTGTCTTTTGCTTCCTTTCATTTTTTTGGCTTTTAATATTTTTTCTACCTCCTCCCCTCTAGGTGTTTGAAGAAAATGAGAATGAGAGATATTTCCTCAATAGATGAAACTATTGGCCCCAGCTCCAAATTCACACTTGTTGCAGCAGTTAATTCTGCAAAATCACAGAAGGAAAAAAAGTCAGGCCAAGGTAGGTGGACCACGAGGTCAAGAGATCAAGACCATCCTGGCCAACATGGTAAAATCCCATCTCTACTAAAAATACAAAAATTAGCTGGGCATGGTGGCACAAGCCTATAGTCTCAGCTACTCGGAAGGCTGAGGCAGGAGAATCGCTTGAACCCGGAAGGTGAAGGTTGCAGTGAGCTGAGACTGTGCCACTGCACTCCAGCCTGGTGACAGAGTGAGACTCTGTCTCAAAAAAAAAAAAAAAAAAAAAAAAAAAAAAAAAAAAAACTCAGGAAAACTCCTCTTCTTTTTTCTTTTTTTTTGTCCCAGGCTAAGCAGAAATGTACTGACTCATTTTGTGGTTATATGCATTATTATTCTCGTCTCAGGTCAGGACTGCTAGACTTAGAAAGAATTCTGATATGAATTGTGATATCATTGTCTAACAGAAAGTGTATTGGAAGTTGTTCACAATCTCCAGACACTTGGCAGGTCACAGAGAGAGGTGCAGAGAGCTGCCTTTTTTCTTTCTTTTGGGTTCAGGATTGCATTTCTGAAGTTTGTCCTTTACCATTTATTGTACACTGACTTTTGCTGTTAGATAACTGGTTTCCAAAATTAGTGTGTACACAAATTACCTGAGTCATTTATTAAACATTTCCTGGCCTCCCCCTAGGGCAATTTATTTGTAGATTTCAGGTGAATCCTAGTCATCAACAATTTAGCTAATACCACCCTTTCCCAGAGAGATCCTGAGATGGGTGATCTGAAAACACCTCATTTGAAACATTCTAGGTTAGTGAATTGAGTTTATTGTTTTACATATAAATTATTTTCACTATGCTTTATCATAGAGCTTGACCTGTTCCCAGAGGAAATCTATAGGCATAAAATGAACACATGTGTTCTCAACGGCTTTAATTAAAAGAGTGGCATGCATATTTCATTGCTATTAACAAAAACAAAATTGATTTGCTTTTCTAGATAATTGAATGTATGAAAATCTCAGTGCCTTCCTTCTGTAACTTAACTCTATAAATTCTGCATCATTTTCATTTTATAAGTGCTGGCATGTATTGTGAATTTCTTTACAGCAAGAAGAATGACTTAATGTTTTAGAGTTAGTTTTGTTTTTTTGTTTTGTCCCATTTTTTACCAAACATAAAATGGCCTAAAATGAGTGCACAATAAAAGTGTGACACCTTAAACTAAAGTAACATCAATCTTTTCCATAAAGTATTTTGTTCTGTGATGGCAGATACCACCATATGATTGAAACATTTCTAAGTGTGCCGTATATTAAAGACTGAGCCCCTTCTCCTAAATACACATATTTTTGAATGATGTATATAAAATATATTAAGGCAAAAGCAAATGGCAAACATAGGTCACTTTTTTTTTTTTTTTTTTTTTTTGCAGTTACAGTAGTTTCCAGACAGCCACTTCTGTTCCTGTTCCAAAAACTATGACTAACATTTGTCTGTCTGGATGGTATCATTAAATGAAAGGACTAATAGTCTCTATGATGCCACCTGAATTTCTTATCGTTGTTTATTTGTTCTCTCATGAAACATGCATCATATATTTACCACATGCTGATTATGTAGAAGATAAAAAGATGAAAAAGAGAACCCCAGAATGAATTTTCCCTCTCAGGATGGTATGACATTAAACAAAACTAATCACAATGCAAAAGAGTAAGTGCAGTACTCAGCTTTCAAGATGACCCTCAACGATTGCCCCCTGGTTTTTACCCCTTTGTGTAGTCCCCTCCTGTGCTGAATTGTGGCTGCCTGTGTTACCAATAAAATACCAACAAAATGACAGGGAGTGACTTCTGAGATTTAGTCATAAAAAATATTCTAGGTTCTGCCTTGCTCTTTCTTGAATCACCTGCTCTGGAGGAAGCCAGTTGCATGGGAAGACATCCAAGCAGCCATGGGTTGTGTAGAGAGAAACTGAGGCCTGCCATCAGTAGCCAGCATCAGCCTGCCAGCCATGCAAGGAGCCAGTGTGGAAGCCAATATTCCAGAGCCAGTCAAGCTGACTTCTTGACTGAAACTCCAGGAGAGACCCTGAAACAGAAGGACAAAACCACTCCTGAGTTCCTGACTGATAGAAACTGTGAGATGATAAATGTTTTTGTCATTTAAACTAGTAAGGTTTGGAGTAATGTTTTGCAGCAATAATTAATTAAATAGTAAAGAAAAAAATGCACTAAGAAAAATCCAAAGTGATATAGGGGTTATGAGGAAAGGTTTCATGGAAGACATAGCATTTGAGTGAAGCCTTGAAAAATAACAGGATTTAGAAATGCAGGGATGAGAAAGAAGCCCATTCCAGGTAGATGGAACAATGTGTGCAAAGCTACAGAGGTGACGATTTGCCAGGGATTAGGCAAACATCAAATAATCTTGTTTGATTGCAACATTAGTCCCTCTCATTTGCTCCAAGGTTGTCACTTTTGTGGTGCTGAGGCTAGATGTAGGACGATCTCTTGTTTGAAGCCAAAAAAGAGATAAACACATAAAGCTGAGCCTAAAATTTAGCAAAGTAAGCTCAGTAAGTCAGAGAAAGAGTCCAAATAGATCGCCTTCTATCTCTCTTATCCAAGAAATAAGCAAGCCTTGTATGCCACTCTTTTAAGAGATCTATTTGGACTCCTTAAGAAGGGTCCATGGGGCAGCCCGAGAAAAAGGGAGCAAGGAACTCAGAAATGGCATCTATTCAGAATGCAAATCTTATGGATGAGTTTCTCTCTAAATCTACATGTGACTTGATATATTTGGCAGACTAACTCCATTGAAAGATAACTCATTTTATAATATGGCATTTACACAAACATCAGAGAGGAATAGTAAAAGAAAGTAAAATTATAGTATAGGACAGTATTAATTATGAATATAGATACAAAAATCACAAAAACCAAATTCAGCATTATAGGTAAAACAAATAGGGTTTATTTGAGAAATATTGGGGTAGTTTAACCATGGAAAATCTGTATATGCAATTACATTAGCTGCTACAGAAAGAAAAACCTTTTGGAAAAGTTCAACATGCATTTATATTAAGAATTCTTAGAAAATCAGGAACAGAAAGAAACTTCTTTAACCTAAAGAACAATAGCTATACAAACTTTAGAAAACATACTTTTTGTAAAATAATAGAATTATTTATGGAATAAGACAGTGTATTAGCTAGGGGCAATGCTTGCTGTTAGCAGATAAATCTCACATTATCAGAATTTTAATGCAACCAGCAAAGTTGTTTCTGGTCAACAGGTAACACTGCCACGCCTAACTAAAAGAGGTTGAGAAATTTAGACTATTTGAAAATGTAGACTGAAATTTGGACCAGAAAGAAGAGAAAATGAGTTGGCTATTCACCTAGCAGTTACTGATTGAGTCTTTATTTTGTAGTTACCAAATACCTATTTCATTAAAACATATTAAATTAAATTAAACTCTTAAATTAAATTGTTCATTAAAACATCATGCATAAAGCATATCCACTCTTGCTCAGAGAAACATCCAAAGTCCTATCTTGTGGGAAATTCAGTTCAAAGTCAGCGTTCCAGGTGACATGCATTCCTCTGCATTAGGTCTGAATGGGGCTTTTTGTCATCCAGTGATTTATGAATCAAAAGGAAAATCATATACTCCCTCCCGTCCCCACCTCCACTATCATCATGGATAGTATAACTCCAAAAAACATATCCATTCACAAAAGTGACAATGGGAGCACATACCAGGAAGAAAGCCATCTAATTCTGTTGGGTGGGTATTATGAGTTCCCTCTGCCTGACATTGGAATCATTTTTTGGTTATATCTCAATTCTGCTCTTTGGGAGGAATTATCTTGTCCTCAGCACCCCTAGAGATTCCTTTTGCCCATCATTCTTTCTAAAATGTCTGAAATGGGTTAGGAAGTGTATAATCCTTGGGGGCTATATAGAAACTGGATCTTGCTTCCTGCTTATATAACTTTGGGGACTCAAGAATTGTATTAGAGCTCAAATGGTCAGAGATATTTTTTATGCCAGTCTTGCAATATCTTTCAATTTAGTTATCTCAAAAAAATAGCAGGGGGAAAATATGGCAGTCCCTTACAAATTTGAACATGTGTTTACCATATGACTTAGCCATTATACTCTACAGCACTAATGCCAGGGAAGTGAAAATATATGTTCATTCAAAAACCTGAAGGAAAATGTACGTAGTGGGTTTATTTGTAACAGCCCAAAACTAGAAATGACCCAAATATCCTTCAACAGAAGAATAATTAAACTCTGTGGTACCTCCACACCATGGAATACTACTCAGCAATCAAAATAGAAAAACTAGGGACACGTGCACAGAATAGATTGATTTTGTATTAGCTTCCTATTGCTTCTGTAATGACCACAAATACAGTGGCTTAAAACAGCACAAATTTCTTCTCTGACAGTTCTGGAGGTTGAAATTATAAAATCAACATTTTAGCTAGGCTAACTCCCTTCCAGAGGCTTCAGGGAAGAAGCTGTTTCCTTCCCCCTTTTCAGCTTCTAGAAGCTGCCTGCAATCATTGGCTCATGACCCTTTCCTTATATCACTCTAATTTCTTGCTTCCATTGTCACATCTCCTACTTTTCTTTAACCTTTTTTTTTTTTTTTTTTTGAGACAGAGTCGTGCTCTGTACCAGGCTGGAGTGCAGTGGCATAATCTCGGCTCACTGCAACCTCTGCCTTCCAGGTTCAAGCGATTCCCCTGCCTCAGCCTCCCTACTAGCTGGGAGTACAGGCACTCGCCATCACACTCAGCTAATTATTTATATTTTAGTAGAGACGGGGTTTCACCATGTTGGTCAGGATGGCCTTGATCTCCTGACCTCGTGATCTGCCCACCTCGGCCTCCCAAAGTGCTGGGATTACAGGCGGAAGCCACTGCGCTGGGCCTATCTCCCTCTTAAAAGGGCCGTTGGGATTATTTTAAGTCCACCTGGAGAGCCCAGGATGCTCTTCTCATCTCAAAGTCCTTAATCACAGCAATGATATCTCTTTTGCTGTATTTTCTATATTCATAGTTTCAGAGAATAAAAACGTGGACATCTTTTGAGGTGGGGAAGCATTATGCTGTCTACCATAGATCAAAGCAATTAGGCTGAATGAAAAAAAGCCATCCTCAAATGTTATCTAGTCATGACTCCATTTATACAGCAAAATACCTGTTTGTTAACAAAAAAGACAAAACTCAAAAATGTAGCTCAGATCTGCTAAATGGATTTTAGGTTTAGGCAAATTCAACCACCTTGCCACAGGTAATCCCAGCAAGAAGTTGCAGATACAAACTTGAGCTTTCTGCAGTCAGATTCATTCCCCAGAGAAAGGCAGGAGAAACTGAGCTCCACATTCCAAGGTTTTCCAATCTGCTAATTACTCCACCTCTCAAGATACATTAGTGCGTTATGCCAACTGGGTGCCCCTTGCATGAAAAGAAATAAAAGATATAGGGAAGAACTATTCCTTTTAACAATTGTATTGTTTAATTTTGTTTAGGCTTAGCAGTGCATGAGACTCTTATACTTTTTGAAGGTTGTACATATTTCACAATAAAATTAAAATTCGAAATAATCAAGAGAAGGCCCTAAGACTGTAAGAAGTACGTTCATTGTGGAGGGCTTTCATGACAATTCTAAATTTGGGACTTTTGAGGGTATAAAATGGAAAGCAATTGAGACTTTGTAATCGAGGAAGTAACAAGTTCAGAGCTGCATTGGGAGATGACTGCAATGACTGTATAAGATAAGGATGAATACCGAGGGTGTATAACAAGATCAGCGAGAAGAGGATTGCCATTGTTCCACCTGGACCAGGTTAGTGACCACAGGGAGGGGAAGCAGGGAGACTTAGGAGTATATTGTGATATACTAGGGAAGAGTATCTCAGTGTTAGGAAATGTCAGCTTTGTAAGTTTTTATCAAGCAGCTCCTGGTATAGTGTATGGGTTCAGTAAGACATGGAAACAGATTAGTTGTATGAAGAAGGGGGCATTAAAGATGAGGTTAAGATTTAATGGTATGGGGAATGTTGGGATCATTAATATGAAGAAATTAGGAGGAGGGGTGTTAGTGAATAGGAGCACCAATGGTGAGTTTTTGACAGTCTTTGCCAGCTTAAGTTTGTATCTAGCCACATAGCGAGATGAGGCATTAACTTATAATAAAGATAAATCAAAAGCTCCCCATGTTCCATGAATATCTATTCTCATATCCCGGCTGTTTAAGACTTTCACCAAAATTTCTTGTTTATCCTTCATATAGATCTCGCATATTTTTCAGGATTAATTTTACTCCTACATATGGTAATAGTTTCTATTGAGATGATAAATGAAATCTTCGTATCCATTATAAAATGATAAGTAGTTATTACAAGTCTTTAGGAAAGCTCTCATTTTTTGTGTGTTTCACATGAATCAGTGTTCTGCTCTATTGCTCTGAGTATGGCTGGCACAGAAAGAGTTAAGTTGGGGAGGAAAGCTCTTGGTTTCTATGTTTTTTGTAAAATGGCATTCTGTTCTATTGCTGTAAGAGCCTAGCGGGAGAAAAACAAGCAGGGCCAGGGTGCAACAGCGGCTGGACAGGGAGAAAGCAGCAGTCAAGGAGCATTCAGGGCACAAGGTAAGAGGTTCACATTGCTTTTTTGTTTGTTTTCTTAACGTTCACCATTCTTTTCTTATACTCTATTAGTAATGAGAAAACACTAATATATAAGTGTATCTGAAGCTTTCAGGAATGGAAATGGATTTTCTATGACTATCAGTCTCTGAAAACAAGCATGGATAGGCTGGTGTATGACCCTTGAGACCTGTGATGATGGGAGTGATCCCCTTCTTGATGGGTCCTCAGTAAATCCAACACCCTGCAGACACAGTATGCTATTTTTACAGGAAAGGTGTCCCAATCCAGACCCCAAAAGAGCGTTCGTGGATCTTGTGCAAGAAAGAATTTGAGGCTAATCCAGAGAATAAAGTGAAAGCAAGTTTATTAAGAAAGTAAAGAAATAATTCATAGGCAGAGCAGAAGCATGGGCCTCTGATTGCCCCTTTTTATGATTATTTCTTGATTATATGCTAAACAAGGGGTGGGTGGATTTTCCATGAATTTCCTGGAAAAAACACGGGTAATTCCAGAGCTGAGGGTTCCTCCACTTTTTAGACCACATGGGGTAATCTCTGGACGTTGCCATGACATTTGTAAACTGTCCTGGCGCTGATGGGAGTGTACCAGTGAGGATGACCAGAGGTCACTCCCATCACCATTTTGGTTTTGATGGGTTTTAGCTGGTTTCTTTACTCCAATCTGTTTTATCAGCAAGGTCTTCATGACCTGTATCTTGTACCGACCTCCTATCTCATCCTATGACTTAGAATGCCTAACTATCTGGGACTGCAGCCCAGTAGGTCTCAGCCTTATTTTACCCAGCATCTGTTCAAGATGGAGTTGCTCTGGTTCAAATGCCTCTGACACTATGAGGGTGCTTTGGCAGGAATTATCTTTGGACCACTTTGGCTTTGATCTCCCAGGGAGTGATCATGTCATAGAAATGGAAGTAAGCATGTATTTTGTCTCTCCAACTGAACTGTTCAGAAACAGTTAATAATTTCATAATAATATTACTAGTAATTGTAGCAGCAGTATGTGGTTAATCGAGGTTCCATGTGCATTTCTTTCACGGTGTCTTAATTTTCACATGAAGTCCATGTTTCAGGGGTTGTTATGCCTGCTTTACAGATGAACAAATTGAAATGTTAAATAACCTAAATAACCTTGCCTAAGAGCTTATGAGAGTGTTGGGGCTGGGATGAGAACCTGGTCTTACCTGAATTCAGCACTCAGGTGCCAAAACACTGTGAGAAATAGAGGTAGTTTATTTCTTAAATGATAAAATCATTTAAATGTTCCCAGTATCATACCTAGCATTTAATAGAGACTCAGTACATTTTAGTTCTCTCTTTCTCTCTTTGAAACAACTAACAAAACAAACAAAAACTTGCCACAGTTCCAAATTAGAGGGATATGTGAAACTCAAAGGCATAGTAAAATAATGGACTTTAGGAATTTAGGAGCTCCAGATGACAACCAAGAAGTCTAGGGGTGAGGGCTCCTCCAGAGTAGCCCAGAAGAGCTATGCTAGACACGTCCAAGGCAAGGAAGGAGAGGGCAGGAAGAGGCCGTGAGGGAGGCAGTGACCACCAAGAGGGGAAATGGGCAGAGAGATAATCCAGATAACCAGAATAACCAAAGAACACATTAGAAGAGCTAATGTCTATTATTCAAGACTAAGTTGTCTCCAATTCTGAAGTATCAGAATGTCTCCTCACTGTACCCTGACATCATTATGAACACTCAAATTTTGAGTAAAAATTTGCCACCTACAAAGACCCTGGGCAGCTAGAGTTTTTCCTAAAGGCTGAAGGAGGATGGGTGGCCCACCCATGCAGTTAAAGGTACTGAAGACAAACAATGTCCAGTAACAGCAGGAAGCAGGCTGCTCTCTTGGCCATTCTGCAGTAGACACAGATGAGCCTTCCTTTCCCATCGAACTAGAAGGTGACCCTTTATGTCAGAGTAAAATAAACCCAACCCTGCTGGTTCTGTGAAAGGAGACTTCTAGGGGGCAGGTCTATACAATTGTTCCCATGCTGTCTTGTCCTCATGCCTAACCAGGGACCACTACTAGGGGCAGGCACCATACATGCTTGGACAACTAACAGGGATTGGTTTCCAGCAGCCTTGAGGGAGATTGGGTAAAATGTTTTGTCAAGATGAATCCCCCTGGAATCATGAACGCGATGACACACCATCTCTAAATGGCTGTTTCCCGCATGTAATGTCAGGTTTTTCTTTTCTCTTTTCCCCTAATCCTCTAGGACTGTCCGTAAGTGGAAGCATCTACTGAGGCTTAGACGAATATAACCATGAATATCAATAAGATCCTTGATCCTTCTCAGCATAGGTGAGTGTGCTGGGGCCATTTCCCAGCTCTTTGAGAGATGAGGGGCTATTACGCCCTTGCACTTTTTAACCTCCTATTCTGTAGAGACAGCAATCACACACTGCCATAATTCCATTAGTTAATGAATACTCTGAGAACTTGTCCATCATAAAGATACACTTAAAAGTTAATCAATTATCTCTTTTCTTAATGTTTTCTCCCGTTTCTTATACCTTCTCATTTAATGAAACCATACTGGAAATATTTGATTAATTCTTGAATTTAAGATTTTCATGTGCTTGTACAGATAGGTTGAGAAAGGAAAAAAGTATTTCTGATTTTTCCCCTGTTTTTGCTCCATATTCCCATTTCAAATTCTTGGGTAGTGTGGTCTAGTGGGGAAATTGCAAATTTGAGATGAGCAGTTCACCTCTGCCCCATGGCAAGCTGATGATTTTTTTTTTTTTTTTTTTTTTTTTTGAGATGGAGTCTCACTCTGTCACCCAGTCTGAAGGCAGTGGGACAGGATCTCCACTCACTGTAACCTTCACCTGCTGGGTTCAAGCAGTTCGCCTGTCTCAGCCTTCCTAGTAGCTAGGATAACAGGGGTGCACCACCATGCCCAGCTAGTTTTTTTGTATTTTTAGTAAAGACGAGGTTTCGCCATATTGGCCAGTCTGGTCTAGAACTCCTGAACCTCGAGTGATCCGCCCGCCTGGGCCTCCCAAAGTGCTGGGATTACAGACGTGAGCCACCACACCTGGCCAGGCTGATGACTTTTGTGCTCTTCTTTGCTGAGCCTAGACTCGGCTTCAGAACCCTAATCAATTCAGGAAACCAGGCAAACATTAGCAATCAATCAGTTCCCAAAGGTAGATGTAATTAGCCAATTTCCATCTAATAGGAGGAAACCCTAAATTAGGACTGGGATATCAAACTCATTTCTTTCAGTAGCTAGCTGTGACTTTAGGCAAATTACTTAACTTCCCTTTGCCTGTATCCCTCCTGATCTTTACCTGGAGAGACTTCAGTAGCATTATGTCATATGAGCATTTGACTTTGCAAATTCAACTATACATATTCAGCAAATAACAGCAGCACTGATAGTTTTCCTACCACAAAGCCCCAAATGCATATAAACTACATCTTCTGGTACGCAACCAAAAAAAAAAAAAGTAATCTTTTTCAATGCAGTAGGAAAACTGGTTACATTGCCCTCATAAGGAAGACAAAATAAACACAAAATCATTTGTGCTACATTTTATGAGCTTTTAAAGAGATTTTTGAAGGGCAATTTTAATTCTACACAATTTTTGCCTGATGTGCTGATTTTAGATTTAATCTCATTTAAGTAATGAATGCACTCTAGTAAATGTCAGAGCTAATGAGTGGCTGTGAGGTTAAGTGAACAAGAGGGGTGATAGCACTTTTGAAAGTTAAAAAAAAAAGTGCTACCCAAATATATGGCGATAGTGTGATGATGGAGGTGGTGATAATAAGAAAGACACCCTGGGCACCCTGAGTGTCAAGAGAACATTAACATTTTGCTAATGAGACATTATCATCTGTGGTCACCAGCTTATATAGTTTGGATATTTGTCCCACTCAAATCTCATATTGAATTGTAATCCCTAATATTGGAGGTGGGGCCTGGTGGGAGGTGACTGGATCATGGTGGTGGATATCTCATAAGTAAATTTCACTATCCACATGGTGCTCTCTTCACGATAGTGAGTTCTCACTAGATCTGGCTGTTTAAAAGTGTGTGGCACCGGCCAGGCACGGTGGCTCACGCCTGTAATCCCAACACTTTGGGAGGCCCAGGTCGGGGGATCACAAGGTCAGGAGATCGAGACCATCCTGGCTAACACGGTGAAACCCTGTCTCTACTAAAAAATACAAAAAATTAGCCGGGCGTGGTGTCATGCGCCTGTAGTCCCAGCTACTCGGGAGGCTGAGGCAGTCAAATCACTTGAACCCTGGAGGCCAAGGCTGCAGTGAGCTGAGATCACGCCACTGCACTCCAGCCTGGGTGACAGAGTGAGACTCTGTCTCAAAAAAAAAAAAAAGTGTGTGGTACCTGGCTCACTCACTCTTGCTCATGATATGCCTGTTCCCACTTCACCTTCTGCCATTATTTTATACCCCTTGAGGTCTCCCCAGAAGCAGATGCCATTATGCTTCCTATATAGCCTGCAGAACTGTGAGCCAATTAAACCTCTTTTCTCTACAAATTACCTAGTTTCAGGTATTTCTTTATAGCAATGCAAGAACAGCCTAATACACCACCTAAAAACCATTATGTTTGGTTTTCCTTAAAGTGATTCCCCCCATGGATTCTCTCACATTCTCTTCATAAATCCATGAACTCCTAGAGAATCCTTGAGGTAGAGTCTCGCCTGCCTACAATCAGTTCAGTAATTTAAAGGTGATACTGAGGGAAGGTAGGAAGAGGTTGGATGTGCGCATGAACTTCCAAAAACTTTGCTGTTGTGCTGGAAGATAACCTGAAGATCCTGGAGATGTACAAAGAAGGAACTCAGACATGCTGCCCCTTCAACACAGGCAGCAATAGATAAATGGGTTGGTTTATTGATTCCAAGTCTGGGGGTTGTTTGGGGCATTAGCAACATGAATAGGGTTGTGTAGAAATCAGCCAAGGGCAGAGCCCAGGAGAAATGGAGATCTTCTTTCAAACACTGAGGATGAAACATCAACCAGACCATCTTATCTCCAAGATGATGGAAAAGATCTTAGGACTGATTGCCAGAAGTAGTAAAATCTAGAAAGGAAAGCCAGTATTGACCTAAAGATGGGATTCTCTAAGAAAGGAGGGACTTAGAAAGGATCAGAAAGCTCAGAACGCATCCTGGCATAAAATTAGGGGATGTACTGGATGGAGGAAAGGCCCCATCTCAGAAACTTTACGGGAGTTACCAGAAAGCCATGATGGATTAAGAAAGAAGTTAATTCTCACAGGTTTCACAAATGAACCCAATCCAAAATAGACATCAATCTAACATGCCAAAAGGTTGGGGATGGAAATCAGAAAATGGTCATCACTGGCCACGAATTTCTAAGTTGCTGGAAATAAAGATCTTAATAATCACCATGTTGGTCACATGGCTTTGGATTCATTAAGAAAACCATAAATCCAGTTCTGGGGCCTAGAAAACAAATTCCTCAAGAATCAAGGGTGGGATGGACGATGAATGCCATTGCACGCATAATATAAGCATTTTCACCATGCAGCAACGAGGAGCAACTTTGTGGTTTCCAGTAATTTTCAAACTCCCCCAATTGATAACTTGCTGATTGGCTGCCACCCAAATGCCTGTCCATACCAGAAAGCAATATTAGGGATGAGAAAAATAAAGGAATATTAGGCAAAGAAACTTTTAGCATTTAGAGGAACAAGAAATGTGAATAAGCTGTCTCCAATCTCCTGAAATTCATTTTTTTTTTTTCTGAAGATAGATATTCCTTAGTAGTAAGGAGTGTGTGTGTGTGTGTGTGTGTGTGTGTGTGTGTGTGTGTAGGGTTTTTGGTTAGTTTTATTTTACTGTGCTATAGATATTTAAAACATTACTCAGAGAATTCTGAGTACTTTTTTAATGGTAGGACTCAAAAATACTGGCAGGCACAAACTTACCTCATTTTCTAGGAAATCTTTTAGTGTTCAAGCCTTCTTTCATGTTTTTAAAATCATACTAAAGAATTTCAAGCAGGCCGGGCGCAGTGGCTCACGCCTGTAATCCCAGCACTTTGGGAGCCCTAGGTGAGTGGATCACCTGAGGTCAGGACCTCAAGACCAGCCTGGCCAACATGGTGAAACCCGTCTCTACTAAAAATACAAAAATTAGCCGGGTGTGGTGGCACACGCATGTAGTCCCAGCTACTTGGGAGGCTGAGACAGGAGAAACAGTTGAACCTGGGAGGCGGAGGTTGCACTGAGCCGAGATTGTGCCACTGCACTCCAGCCTGGGTGAAAGAGTGAGACTCCATCTCAAAAAGAAAAAAAAAGAGAATTTCAAGGAGACTTAAGTTACAGTAAAAGACAATTTATAGCATTTGACTGTTTCACACACACACACACACACACACACACACACACACACCCTTCTCTGCTTTTATAATTTCCGTTGCAAAGAAATTAAAGAGATTTGGCAGAGACCCCAAATATATCTAGGTGGTGATCTATTAAATTTATGCCCAGATGAAAATGTATAAAATCATATTTTGCAAATTGAAATTTTATTAGGCCATTTTAATGTTTTTTTCTTTCATCTTTCTCAAATCTAGCATCTTTCTTTCAATGATTCTTCTAACACTGTATGTGGAAATGCTACTCACAGATCTGACAGACTATGGCTCCCAATTTACACAAATAGATTTATTGCAAAAAAGATACAGCCTATGGGGATCATGTAAAAAAATGCTGTCCTTTGAAGACTGGTTTTAATGTTTCATTAATAATCCATTTAAAAATTTTTGCATAGAGACAGCTAATGTTCTCCCTCACGTTCTGCCTGTTATCTGAGATCCCATATATATGTATATAAGGCTGCTTTTAGGTATTATATGGACTGGGTTAAATAGACCTGATTCAATTAAGAAATGTCTTGGAGGTATAAATGAACACATGATTGAACAGGCAAGCAACCGCACAGGCACTGCATAGGAAATGCCCCTACCTCACACCTTTATTTCAGTGCACTCCTTCATTAACGCTGTGATGACCCATTTCTAATGCTTGGCTGTAGCCAGAAATGAGAAGCATATTCGCCAGCCTTGTAAAGCCAAAAATGAATAACAATAATTTAAAAAACCTGGCCATGATGATCTTTCACTTAAAATAAATACTAGCAAAAGAAGTGCTTTCCTTTAAAATATCCAAAGAAGGTATTTATTCACCCAGCATTTATCAAAATGACAAACAATGTAAAGAGACTCTTTTTAAGATGTGTATTACTGGGACAACACTCTGATTTAGTGTGGCCTCTGGGGTTTAGGAATCGGCCTTGTTAACAAATGCCCCCAGGTGACTCTGATCCAGGTAATCTTTGATTACCGGTTTGAGAAATCCCATCTTCTTAAATGCTTCAAGAGGGAAAGTTATGTTAGCTTTCAGGCTTAATTTTCTAGAATATTTTCTTGCTTTTTAGACATCAGCCTAGTTCAATTACTCCACAAAGATAGAACTCCATGGAAACTTACCCCAAAATAAATGAAAATGAAGGACAGAGTATAAAATATTTTTTTTGGAAAATTATGCCCAGTTTTCTTTTGGTCTGCCATCTGATATCTTTTAGATCTCATTCTTTTTTAAGATCTCCAAATTAGCATTTCTTTAAAATATTTCAAAGCATTTGATTTAAGGGAGTTCTCTGCGATAAAATTTTTTTAATGCTTTTATTGTTTTCAAGTGTTAGAGAACCTGAAAATAACTTTGATTCTACAGAAATGTTCTAAATTTATTTCTATTTTTCCACATTCATTAGCAGGTGATCTCTGCAAAAGCTCATGAGAAAGGAAATACTTATGCTAATGTTTGTATATTATACTGAACACAATAACGTTTACATGCTTACATTTCCACTGTATTTTTGAGCAAATATATGAAAAAATAACAATTGTAATGATAGTAGAATGGTAGTGGCAATAATTAATATTTTTGGAGCAACTACTGCATTCAAGGCATGGTGTTAATTACTTTATATGCACTGTCTAAGGTATTTGTCTTACCAAACTCATAAGGAAGGTACAGCTTTATTTTAACTTATGGGGAGAAAACTAAGGCTTACAGAAGTTAAGTAACTTGCCCATGGTCATGGAGATTGTAAATGATGCAGCAGGGACATGAACCCTCAGGCCACCTGCCTCAAATGCCCTTGCTTTTAACCACTCTGTGGTCCATGGGTCAGCAGTAAAATAATCGTCAATGCAGTTAAACTCTGGTACTGTATTTACAGTATTAAACAAAATGCCTTCAGCTGCTAAAGCCTGCTAGCTACAGTTCAGGATTTTCATGCCACCCTAACATTGATCACTCATGCAACATCCCAAATGACATTTTAGAAACTGTTGCACATAGTTATCCTTAATAAATATATTTCCGAAATTTTTTATGAGCAAACTATTTAACCAGTGGGGATGAGGCAAATCTCTCTCTTGCTTGGCTTCTCCTTACTAGCTCAGGTGCCTCCTAGTTGACAACACTGAGGTCATTGCCTTGGAACAGAAAGACAATTTGTGGAAGAGGCAGTCACTGGGATGGCTTCACATTCTCCACCCCAAATAAATCTCTTCCTCTTTCTTCAAGCTGAGTAGTGAAGGCAAAGTCCTCTCGTTTCATACTGGAGGCAAATCTTAAAATTCAAACACTGAAGAGTCCTAAAATAAAAAGACTTAATTAAGGAACCATCAGATCCTCCCTAGGAATAGGCTTCAATATGTAGGAGTGAGCAGAATGTGACTGGATGGCAGCGGGGGAAAATTAGATGAAAGAGTATGGAAGCAGAACAACCTCACCTAGTTCACTATGTACCTAGGTAACCTTTGGTTGACCTCTCAGAGCATATTCAGGCATGTTACCTCCATAAAGGTATTCAAGACTTGTATAGTGTCAACTCTGTCCCTTGGGCTTTGTCAACTGTAAATGAAATTGACATGTGTTTCTATACAGCTTGTGTTTAGATGTTTCCTCAGTTTGGTAGGAGTGTTTTTTTAATCACAATATGAATGTCTTTTATGTAAGCTACAACTCAATTAATTCCTATTTCAATTAAGGATGAAGATGAGTTTGTCTTCTACTTCTTTTTTGTCAAATGACAACTATATAAGGAAGAAATACATTTTTCTTTCTACCCAGACTACTGGACTAGCAGAACATTTAAATTATCTTATCTCATTTTCCTAGTACCACTATCTTTCTCCTTCTAACAACCTCAATAGAATGTCTCTAACTGCTCTGTGCTAACTGTATCAGTTTTTCCTGAGTTGTTTGAAATTATTTTTAGAAATTTGGGTGGGTATATGTATATACACATGTGTTTGTATGTGTGTATATAATTTTCACATAAATGCAGTCAGGTGACAAGGCAAGTCCATGTGTAAAGTAAAATATGTGAGACAAATGGAAAATACTCAGTTATTTGGATAGATATGTGTCTAGAAGTTACCATGGAGATTTTCTGAATTCATTACAACATAATGGGCAAGCAGAGATTTAGGCTGGCATATGGATAGAGGCACTTATTAGCTAATAGGATTCCTTCATGTTTCTTCATTGTATCTAAGAACATGTACTATTTGGTATAATTTAGAATTTATAAATGATTGCCAAGTAATTGTTATTTCATATTTGTATATCAAAATGCAGTGGTGATGGTAATAATTTGAGGCAAATCTTTTAACTTTGTCCTTAACCATTACTTTCTCATCACTGGTTGTAATATGAATGATCAGAGTTTGTGAAGATGGTAATTTTTCTTGAAAGACTATAGTTTTATCAAGGCAACAATAAAGAAAAGGCTCTCTGTATGTCTGAAGATTTTTTCTCCCTTGTAGCTAATTTGTAACTTTCCTATTAAGCTGTGGCATTTTGTGCCTCAGAGAAGAATGAGAGTACTGATATTTGGATGGTTTCATTTTCTATCATTTCATACAAATTGAACTCATTTTCACCATCTCTGAAGAATATTCTTTTAATGTGTGTGTTATACTTTTACTTGTATCACAGTTCAAAAGAGATGCCTTTGGACCTACAGAGTAAGTCTAAAATACAGCCTTGTGTTCATTCTTATTATCACTGTGTGTTTGTAGGTGATTGGGTAGCTGGAGGGATACACAATTTGAGTAAGTTTTATTCACTACAATCTAACTAATTAAGGTTTAATCTTTTCAGTAATGTGATATGTGTGGCTAAGAATGACGTCAGTCTTGTCCTTGAAGACGGCTGTGCTATAATCTCTAGAACCCTGGATCTACTCTGAGATCTATTTCAATCCATAGCCGAGTTCTAGCCAAGAAGAGGTATTTCTAAAGCTGCTGATACAGGGGTTCCCACAAGATTGCAGCAGCCCATCTCTTGCTCATGACTTGGCTGAATTTCCTGTTGAACTGAGTATTGCTCATTCTTTCACAGGGTCATCTCTCTCCTCCAACTAGTACCATGGTCACTTATGCATCTGCCAATAGCTGAGGTCCTATTATTTTGCCATTTTTAATTCCCGCTGCTTGTTCAAACCTATCGAACATGCAGAGGCAGATGTTTTAGTCCGTTTGTGCTGCTATAACAAAATATCTAAGACTGGGTGATTTAGGAAGAACAGAAATCTATTTTCTCACAGTTGTAGAGACTGGGAAGTTCAAGATCAAGGTACTAGTAGGTTATCTGGTGAGAACTGCTCTCTGCTTTCAAGATGGCACCTTGTTCTTGCATCCTTCAGAGGGGAGGAATGCTGTGTCCTCACAAAGTGAAAGGCAGAAGGGTAAGCCAGCCCAGTTCTGTCCAAAGCCTCTTTCATAAAGGCCTTAATTCCATTAATAAGAGGAGGAGCCCTCATGACCTAATCACCTCTTAAAGGTCCCACTTCTTAATACCATTATACTGACCACTAAGTTTTAACACATGTATTTTGGAAGGGACATATTCAAACCATAGCAGAAGGTATGGTGGTAGAGATGGGGAATGAGTCAAAAGAGCACAAAACTCTTGAGCCAGAATTCAAACTATTTAATTTAAATTTCCAATGGCCACAAAAATTCTTTTTTCTCTTGCCCGTTTGCTTTGGGAAATGCATTTCCTTTCTCTCTGCCATTATCACAACACTCATCGCACACTCAAGTATGGATATGTTACCACAGTCAGTAGCAGAGTTCCTTGCTGATAGAAGGCAAGTTGAGATGCAACAAAAGAATTGGTGCCATTCTTAAAGGTTTGTGAAATAAGAGCCAAAGGGATTAATGTATATTGGCTAATGACATAAAATTCCAAGCATATCTATTCAATAAGGTCTAAATAAATATTGTTCAAGATCAAATCATTTGTTCAAAATGAAAGATTAAATTCATTTAAAAATCTATTCTTTAAGAAGTCATTATTTGAGAAAAACCTGCTAGACTAGAACGGGAATGTCACAGAGCTTCATAAAGTGTTATTTAAAAATGTACTAAAATATGTAACAACATGTATCTAGCAAAAGACATGAAGGCTCCATTTGGTTACAACTGTGTATGCAAATGTGTGTGTGTCTCTGTGTCAGATGTGATATGGGTAAGGGAAGGTGGTGAGAAAAACTACAGTTTTCTCCCCTAATCTTTGATATAAACTTCTATACTTCTATAAGGGAGGGCTTCTTATATATATAATTATTTGAAAATATGAACAGCATACTATAGGAGAAAGAACATAGGATTTAGAATCATAAGAGTTGGTTTCAAATTCTACCTACCTCTACCATTTCATAGGGATCTCATACCTTAAACTTTAGTCTTTTTGAAAGTGACAATAAAAACTGTGTCACAGGATTATAGTAAGGATCAGAAGAGATGATCTATGCATAAATCCCTAATAAATGTTCTTGTGCTTTTATTGTTACTATCATAAATATTGGTTGTTTTTATCATGAATATCACTTTGATTTTCTCAATCAGATTCTGATGGGTTGTAATGTTTTATGAAATTATGAATACATCTTTCTATGAAGAACTGCCCAAGACTGGGTAATTTATACAGGGAAGAGGTTTAATTAACTCACAGTTCCGCGTTGCTGGGGAGGCCTTAGGAAAAGTACAATCATGGCGGAAGGCAAAGGAGAAGCAGGCACCTTCTTCAAGGGCGGCAGGACAGAGTGAGTACATGCAGGGGAAATGCCAGATGCTTATAAAACCATCAGCTCTCGTGAGACTCATGCACTATCACCAGAACAGCATAGGGGAACCGCCCCCATGAGCCAATTACCTCCACCTGGTTCCACCCTTGACAAGTGGGGATTATAATTCAAGATGATATTTTGGGTGGGGACACAGCCAAATCATACCAACCCACTCCCCAACTCTACCTCCATGTCTTCTGCTGTGGTTTCAATGTGTCCCCTCCAAAATACATGTATACTTTTTCTCACCACCTTCCCTTACTGACATCACATCTGACATGAGATGCACATATATTTGCATAACAACTGTAGCCAAATGGAGCATGTATTAGTCCATTTTCATGCTGCTGATAAACCCAAGACTGGGTAATTTATAAAGAAAAAAGAGGTTTCAGGAACTCACAGTTCCACGTGGCTGGGGCTGCCTCACAATAATGGTGGAAGGCAAAAGGCATGTCTTATATGGCATCAGGCAAGAGAGTGTGAGAGCCAAGTGAAAGGGGAAACCCCTTATAAAACCATCAGATCTTGTGAGACTTATTCACTACCATGAGAACAGTATGAGGGAAACTGCCCCCATGATTCCATTTATCTCCCACCAGGTCCCTTCCACAACATGTGGGAATTATGGGAACTACAATTCAAGATGAGATTTGGGTGGGGACACAGCCAAACCATATCAGAGCCTTTATGTCTTTTGTTACGGTTACATGTTGTTACATATTTTAGTACATGTATTTTTTATAACCCTTTATGAAGTTCTGTGGCATTCCTATTCTAATCTAACAAGTATACATTTATATGTGTGTGTGTATATATATATATATATATATATATATATAAAATTTGATGTTGAGATATAAATGTTTATCATTAAAATTAGTTTGACCTTAGAAAGGAGCTTATCATCTTTTTAATATTGAAAGGGAGAAATAAAGGCTTGTAGGGAAAGAAGGGAGGAAATAGGGAAAATGAAGAAAAGAAACAGGAAGGAAGGAAGCGACTGGTTAACCATATGCCAATACAAGGTGCAGGAGACTTTTAAATATGTTCTCAACAATCTGAAAGGTCATAATTTTATCTCTTGTGACTTGAAGAATCTAAAATTAAGAAAGGTCATCTGCCCATGTCAAAGCCTAAATTAAGCTCCATCTGGCTCATCCCAGATGTCCTATTTGTCTTCGTGTCCCTGCAGTAGCTAGCACACTGGGGACAGTAAGTAAAAACACAAGGGAATTAAGAGCTCTTTGAAGGAAAGGAGGAAGTCAAGCTTTCCTCTTTACCCCCAGGATATTATATAAAATGTTGAAGGAACTTCACCAAGTCCTCTCCCATATTACACTTCAGACATTTTAAGATAATAAAATAGAAGGCTTTCATCCCTGGGGGTTTTCAATGGTTGATTTTCCATTTCACCTTCCTTTCTAACCCCCTTCATCTCCTCATTCTGCAATCAACTTTTAACTTAGGTGGCTTCAAGTAACAGGTAGTGGTTGCTAGGATACTGTCACCAGCCTCAGAAATCCTGAATATGAACAGCAAATTTATTTCTATAGCTCTCATTTTTAGCCATTTTAGCATGTTGTGTTATATCAATATATGAAACACATGAGTCTACATTACTTAATTCAAAGTGAGGCACCTTACATACATTGTTAGGTATAAAAATTTATATATAGGTTATATATAGGTGGCCGGGCACAGTGACTCACGATTGTAATCCCAGCACTTTGGGAGGCTGAGGCAGGTGGATCACAAGGTCAGGAGATCGAGACCATCCTGGCTAACATGGTGAAAGCCCATCTCTACTAAAAATACAAAAAATTAGCTGGGCGTGGTGGCGTGCACCTGTAGCCCCAGCTACTAGGGAGGCTGAGGCAGGAGAATCACTTGAACCTGGGAGGCAGAGGTTGCAGTGAGCCGAGATGACGCCACTGCACTCCAGCCTGGGCAACAAAGCGAGACTCTGTCTCAAAAAAAAAAAAAAAAAAAAAAAAAAAATATATATATATATATATATATATACACACACATATATATGTAATGAAGTTCCAAATGGTCTTATTCTGTGTATCTCCAAAGGCACTCATTGTTAGAGTCTGGGAGTGAAGCAACAGATGGATGAGATGCATTCATACTTATAAAAATGAGGCTGAGAGGAAGTTCAGGGGACAAACTTAACCTTTCAATGAATAAGTTAGAGGAGGAAAAATTTTGCTCCTTAGGGGAGACAATATATTATAATGCCCTGGGGATATTGATTGGATATCAGTGGTGACAGTATAGTCTAAATTCACTATGTTCATGGAGGTTGGTGGTAGTGAGGTAATACTACATTTAAAAAGTAAGTAAAAATAACAACAACACTAACGTGGAGTCATGGAAGACAACTGCAAGACTGTAATCTTCATAGGGAGAGACTGTATCTGCATGTCTACCACTATATCCCCAGTGTCATGCATTGGACCAAAGCCTTAGAAAGTGCTCATTGCTATCTGATGAATGAATGAGTGCATGGATAAAAGCTGAGAAGCAATAGCATGATTTTATCCATGATGGAAAGAGATTCCTTCCCCAAATCAGGACAGCAACTTCCTGAGGGTTATGCAACTAGAACCACACCAAGAAAGGAAATACCAACATTCAGAAAGGCAGTCAAGGGGTGATAGAAAGACACTAAGCATGCTCAATATGTAGCAGCTGGAGA
This sequence comes from Homo sapiens, assembly GCF_000001405.40. Taxonomy (NCBI): domain Eukaryota; kingdom Metazoa; phylum Chordata; class Mammalia; order Primates; family Hominidae; genus Homo; species Homo sapiens. The sequence goes on along the minus strand of NC_000002.12, from coordinate 220,791,268 downwards.
GCCATATGGGGGCAAAGAGGAAAATGATAATGGCTCTCCAAGAACATATGCAAAGCCTCAAAAGAATTCTATCATCACAAGAAAGGGACCTGGGGCTAGGGTCCAGAATTACCTTGATGGGGCCCAAGGCCTATGGCTCTTCCTAGGGAGAAGTATAAACACCGTATCGTTCATCTTTTAGGCTTGTGTGTCCTGGGAAACAAGTACATACATGTTTAATTCAGTTAAAAATTACTTCCAATTGGCAGATGTTAGGATATTAGCTTCAGCACAGAAAAGTGGTATTAAAATATTCACTAAATACATCAATATGTTAAACCGTCTGTGGGCTTTAAAACTGTATTGTGTATTCCATTATGGAAATATGCATGCGATATGTTAGGTGAAGAAAGTAAAAACACAAAACCGCGTGCACACACTGTGTTTACAGCTATGTTAAAATGTACAGTTATAGGATTTTAGGGAGAGAGACCAGATGATCATTGATAGAGATGCAAATATTTGGTATTTTAGTGTTTACTGAATATTTTTCCTGTAAATTTCTCTGTAGTAAACTTCATTATGTAGAAAGAGGTTGTTCCATCTAATCAGTCATAGCATGCATTAAATGATATTTCCAGATGGGGATGGACTGTCTGTCACTCCCACTCTAACACAGAAGGACCATAATGTAGGTCATACAGCCTATAATGGGGTTCTGCAGGACTCTATCACTGAAAATAAAATGATTTGCCAGCAGGCGTACAGACTGAGGAAAACAACATTAATAAACTTTAAAATGAGTTTCCCTAGATGAGTTTTATTGTCTTCCTATTTAGGTTATATTAAGTCAGCTGTCAACCAGACACTGAAGTTCAATTTACCAACATTATTAATTAGGTAGACCATTTCATAATAATATTTTCTTGCATTTCATTCAGGTCTCAGTGAATTTCACATTGTTCTCCTGCTGGTCATTTTGTTCTTAATAAAAGAATGAAGAAAGCTCCAGAGCTTCTAGTCCGGAAAGAAAATGAAAGGGGTACAATAGAAATACAATTAGCAGTGATACTTTCCATATTTCATCACTTTTCTGTAAACAAATGTGTTGTTAGCTGGCCAGTCTACAAGTGCATGAGTCACATGAGGAGCAGCATTACTGAAATCCTTTATGGCAAATAAAAACCAACTCTTGTCTTGCAAAGACTCCTTCAGAAGCCTCACACATTCAAGGTCTTACAACATTTTTTATCCCTTCCCTACCTCTTGGCCCCATAGTCTTGAACACCCCTCTCATCTTTATCCCCCTCAGGGGATTCAGAGTGAAGAGAAGAATTTTGGAAGAATTTTAGGAATTGGGTCAATGGAGTTTGTGTCTAGAAACTTCATGTTTTGACATACTGAGGGTATCTATACTTTTGACAGATATTTTCTACCTGAGATTTAGTGGACAAGAGAGCGTAACAATTTTTTTTTTTTGAGACGGAGTCTCACTCTGTCGCCCAGGCTGGAGCACAGTGGTGTGATCTCAGCTCACTGCAACATCTGCCTCCTGGGTTCAAGAGATTCTCCTGCTTCAGCCTCCTGAGTAGCTGGGACTACAGGTACACATCAACATGCTCAGCTAATTTTTGTATTTTTAGTAGAGACAGAGTTTCACCATGTTGGTGAGGTTGGTCTCGATCTCTTGACCTTGTGATCTGCTGAGAGCGTAACAATTTATAGACACTTGACACTGTTAGATTCAGCTTCACTCATAAGTTGTCTGACCAACCATTTTGGACAAGAGACTCTGAGTCTGGAACACAAAAACAAGATAAAGAGGAGAGGTCCCGTCTTCTTTTTTTTTCTCATGATCGAAGATGTGCATGGGGGTTGGCGGTTGAGGAGTGGTCAGAGAGGTGTCAAAGGAAGAGTGGAGGTAGAGAGGAATACTGGGAAATCTCAGCTCAGGATGATTAGTGTCACTTGATCTCAGAATACCCGTCTTTCAGTAGGGCATAGGTTGGTGACATGGTTTGAGTCTGTGTTCCCACTCAAGTCTCATCTCAAATTGTAATCCCCATGTGTCGAGGGAGGAACCTGGTGGGAGAGAGGCGATTAGGGTGGTTTCCACCATGCTGTTCTCGTGATACTGAGGGAGTTCTCATGAGATCTGATGGTTTAAAAATGGCAGTTTTGCCCACATCTCTCTCTCTTGTGCCACCAGGTAAGACATGCCTTTCTTCCCCTTCACCTTCTGCCATGATTGTAGGTTTCCTGAGGCCTCTCTAGCCATGCAGAACTGTGAGTAAATTAAATGTCTTCTGTTTTTGTAAATTACCCAATCTCAGGTGGTATCTTTACAGCAGTGTGAAAACGGACTAAGGCTGGGAAAATGCAAATTAAGTCAAAGTTGTCCTCAGCCCAACCCCCTGTGACTCCAGGGCAACTGTAAGTCCTGCTTCAAGAGGAATCACATCCAACTTGACATTTTAAAATCCTTTCTGTTTTGGCAAGAATTAGAAAGTTTTATGGGCTCACTCCAAAGTCATAGCCCTACAATTTTTACTTCTTCCAAGGCTTTGGGGGGACCCTCTCCAAAGAATAACTCTACTCATTGAACTCTCTCACTAAACATTCAGTCCTCCAAACTTTTGCTTGGTGTTTTCAAGTTTATCTCATTAAATGACTGCATTGCTGATGCCTGAGCCACCTGCCACTGTGGATCCGACCCAGCTTTATTACCACTTCACAAGTGTCATATCAAGAGAACTCTCCAGCCCTCTCAGCAGACTGATCAAATCATGTGATACAAGTTTCCAGGCTGGCCTTCTTTATGGCTGTGTGGGGGAAAAGATTATTCAAGAATTGCCTGAGGAGTTCAAACTGTTCACAAGCCATTACCAAGGGATGAGGGCCCCATAAAGAACTGTAAAAAGGAAATCCCATTGTTATAACAGAAGGCCAGTGTTGCATCTTATTGGCTACCCCCATCCAATGCATTCAGGCCTGATTAGCAAAGAGGCTTTGGCTAGGAGGTACAGTGCCTTGGAATTGATTTTGCAATTAAACAACCTTGGCAGTACTCAGCACAGCACGTGCCTGATTATTTAGGCTCAGTTCAAGTGAAATTACCAAAACCATGATCAATAATCCATATTGGACTTATGTTGGACCACTGAGGAGAAAATACTTTTCAATTTTGACAGATTTCCTCAAAATAGCTTGCAGTGTTCACTGTTTTTCTTCAAACCTTCTTCCATCTGCAGCCATCACAGCTCTGTGGCAAAGACTACATTCACCTCCACTGAGTTTAGGGAATTAGTTACCAAAATTCTTATCCAATCTGTCTCATCATCATATCTCACTGTCCACAGACACATGGTGTAGCTACATTCATGGAGCATCACACCAAGGAACCTATCTAATTTTACAAACAACTCTTTCCTCACTCCACCTCCAATGTCCCTACTTTTTTACAACTCTACTCTCCACCTTAACCAGATGATCCCTAGTATGGGTCTTCATGTTCCCTACTGTATCTTCAATCCAAGTTTCACAGCTTCAAAAGCAAATATGTATATATCAAAAGCAAATATGTATACATCAAAAGCAAATGCTTTGACATAAAATAACATTAAGAAATTCTTATAATTTCAATGTTTTTATTATTATTCTATTACACTTACCTCCAATTTGTTGTCAGAGGGTTTAACTTAAATTCACAGTCACTTTGTAAAGTTGTAACATTTTTCTATGGCTGATAAAAGAGAAGCCTTTGAGTTGTGGTTATTATTATTTTCCTTTATGTAGCTTACAAGCTATGACAAATTGGTAAAGACTGTCTGGATTGCTGAGACATGAAGAATTCAGAGGACATTTCCAATCTGGGAGAAATAATTCCAGGAAAGACTGTGATGTCTATTGTTGGCTCAAAGGGAGAACTTTGAGTATACATGCCACATATTTACCATTTTTACCTTAAATTTCTCACAAATATTTAGTTTTAAATGTTTTATTCAATAATACAATATTATTACAAGAATCTAGATGAGAAGTGAGCAAACTATAACCTGTGGGCCAATTCCAGACACTCTATGTTTTTGTAAATAAAATTTTATTGAATGTAGTCAATCACATTTATTTGCATGTTAGCAATGTTGAATGTTGAAAAGTTGTGATAGAGAGTGTAGAGCCCACAAAGTGTAAAATATTTGCTATCTGGACCTTCACAAAAAAAATTCTACCTCCTGATCTAGATCTAACCTCAACATACTGCTTGATTTCTTTCTCCATAGACCTAATAGTTTAGGCCACTTAATTCGTTGTTGCTGGTTCAACCCCACTTGGTCTTTGTTCAAATGAACTTAATTAAAAAGCTCAGGTATCTGAGCATCAGTTTAACTTCATGACCTAAGGAGACCTTATCTCCTACACTGTAATAATGGGTAGCTGTCCATTTTCTGTAACTCGGTTGCCGTTTGGTATTCTAGTTCCTACAAGTGTGGAGAATTAACAGATGTCCCCCACCACACACACTGCCCTTCTATTTCGATCTTTCAGATCCCCGTCGCCTATCTGAAATCCAAAAGGCCATCCTTCACAATTATAATGATTACCAACTACTCCTGCATATAAAATCACCTCAAAACCCTATGGTTTCAAACAACAATCAACAATTAGAATTCATGTGTCCGTGGGGCAGCTACTTTGGACTGGGCTTATTATAAGTCTGTGGGTCAACCAGGGACTCTGCTTCAGGCTGAACTTTTGCTGGTGCAGTTTAATTGGGCAGCTCTGCTCCACCTTTCTTTCATCGTCCTCCTGCTAAAGGATAGGCTACTCCAGGCACATTCTTGTCCTGGCGATGTTCTAAGTCCAAAAGGGAAAGCTCAACCGCACAAATGATTTTCAAGTCTCTGCTTGCTCATGTCTGCTAACATTACCCCAAACAAGCACGAGGCCAAGCCCAGAGTCAAGGGGTAGAAACAAAGCCCTATTTGTAGATGGATGTCTACAAAGTTACATGGCAAAGGGCACAGAAAGAAACCATTAATGCAATTCACAAATATACTCTCAGAAGAATCCAATAACCTGTCTGTCAGGTGACCATCTCTAATATCTCTATCAAACTGATCCAGAGCTAAACAAAACCATCAGCATATATAGTATAGGAAACAAAGGCAGGGTGCCATGCCAACTCTCTTGATGTCAAATTCCAAAGCATGCATGAGAATAGGGAGAAAAAAGAATTACATCTTAACCTAAATTCCAGCATCAGCAATACTATTCTGAAACACACGAGTCTTTTAGAAGCTGCTCTTCCATGTGAAGCCCACCTGCCCAGAAGTAAGAGCCACACCCTTATCTCACAGTACATATAAGTGGGATGATGACAGTAAGCCATCTGGTAGAGTGGGTGATACCGCATCAATAGATGCAGTCAAAAACTGCTAGGTTTTGTGAATTTTTATCTTGAGATAATTGTAGATTCACATGCAGTGTAAGATATAATATATAGAGAGACTGTATACTCCTCACCCACTTTCCCCTAATGGTAAACTCTTTTAACATTGCAGTATAATATCACAACCAGAACACTGACATTGACACAATTCACCAACCTTATTCAGATTTTACTAGTTTTATGTGCATTCTCGTATGTGTGTGTGTATTTTTATGCGTTTTTATCACACGTGTAGCTCTGTGTAACCATTACCATGATTAAGATGGCGAGATTCGTAACAGTTCCATCAAGCATCTATTTTTTACTAGTTGAAGGTCAGTGAATTCTGTATAGGAGCCCAGAATCCCCTTCATTGTAGGATTTTTCAATAGTCTCAAACATTTGGTTCATGTCATGCAGTCATAGCCTCTGTCAGACACAGGATATTTGTCTCTTTTTAAACAGGTAATTGCCTGTTAAATGAGTCACGTAACTACTCTCCTCTCAAGTGACCATGGAGTGCTTATTCAGTGTGTATCCTCTTACAAATCTAATAAGAGCTGTGTAAAATGAATTAAAAAGTGTTTCACTGAAATGCTATCTCAAAGAAACCCAGCTCTGTCCATTATATTTGAAGCCGTGAAAGAATCTGAAACACATTGATGAGTGAGACCCATTTAGATATTTTCTAAAATGAGATTGCTTCAGATTTGCTATTACTGATCTCATCAGAAATGATTCTTTGGCCATACTTGTTGTCTTGGCTCTGAAAGGCCAATTAATGAATTTCTAAAACAAATGACTTGGATCCTGGATTCTTACAGAGATTTCATAAATGAAAGATGTGACAGTGAGCTTTAAAAGCACAGAATTTCACAGAACTCATTACCAGGGAAGGTGCTATGTGTCTTTCCTCAGACTCTCCTTCTGATTTTTCTTTTTTTTTTGAGACAGAGTCTTGCTCTGTTGGACCGGAGTGAAGTGGTGCGATCTTGGCTCACTGCAGCCTCCACCTCCTGGGTTCAAGTGATTCTCCTGACTCAGCCTCCCAAGTAGCTGGGAATGCAGGAGTGCGCCATCACACCCAGCTGATTTTTGTATTTTTAGTAGAGACAGGGTTTCACCATGTTGGCCAGGATGGTCTCGATCTCTAGACCTCGTGATCTACCCGCCTCAGCCTCCCAAAGTGCTGGGATTACAGGTGTGAGCCACCGTGCCCAGCCTCTCCTTCTGATTTTTGTGTGTAAAGATGCCAGAACAATGTGGTCTTGACAAGAAGCATTTATGAATCTGAAGCTGTATGCCCATCTAACATGTGTTGTATCAGGACTTAGAGGAATGTACAAAACCCACAACTCCATACAATGCAGCCTACTGTGCTGGATATAATCATAGAATAGTAAATCCTGGAGGACTTTCTATTCAAGGGGTTTACAATATTTTTAACATTAGAACTTTCTGCTAAAATGTATCCTTTTAAAATACATTTTAAAGGTTATACATGGACATAGTCCAAAGAATCAAAGAGTTCTACAAGACTTGACTTGGTGTAAAAAGTAGCAGTCTGACTTAGAATTAAACATTCTTGAGTTGGCTAAGTCCCCAGTTTCTCATTTCTTTTTGCTCTTGTATTGTTCTTCGCTCTCTTGGCCTGTCTCTTAGTCTGTTCTCTTATGCCTTATATTACAAAATCGAACAATCAAACCTTTCTTGTCATTTCTGCAAGGTTCTGGAAAGAAGTAGAAAAATAATTATGTTTATACTGCTATCATTTACCAAAAAGCAAATGTAACCTTCTGAATCCCTAAATCCCAAAGACTCTCCTTATCAGGCATTCATCTCATCCCTTCAGAAGCCACTTGAGTCATCTCTTACCAAAGTTTTAAAAGCTCCTTGAAGTATTGGTTGAAAAAAATAATATAGTCATCTAATCTCAGCTTCATTTTGTAGATAAGCAAACTAAGACGCAAGTAAAATAAGAGTAGACAGATTTATACTGTGAACCACACCTTCTCTTCTTACCAGGTGTCTTTCTATCATACCACATTGCCTTCACTTAAGGCAGAAAACAATGAAATTACTGGAAACATTATGACAGTGGTCTAGACAATCTAGCCATTCATCACTTATTCTTTCATTCAACAAATTTGAACACCTGCTCTGCACCAGGGGTTATTATATTTGGCACTGAAGACAAAGTAACAAATATAACAAGCATGATCTTTTCTTTACTCAGGTCTACATTTAAAGATGCAGAGGTCACTATCTGGGAGTTTGCAGGCTAGATTTGGCTAGCAGATGTGCTTTATTTTGCCTATCCATCATTTTATAAAAAATAAAAATAAATTTATTGCCAATATTCGTAAGTTGAGAATATCATATTAAAGGCAATCTGGAAATCTGTCTTCTCTTGAAGAATGATAATGATCTGGAAAGACCGGGCCTTTAGTTTCTACTTGACATTAGTGTGAGATGTAGCAGTCCCTTTAGACTGAGCATGCTCCCCTCGTGTAGCCCAGATCCCACCAGTACATTTCCTTCCTTTATATTATCTGCCTTGCCCCTGTAGAAACTAGAATTTGTCACTTTTTTTCTAGTGGTTTTCAAATCCTTCTCTGTGGAATCAGGAGTTCCAATGAGGGCCTCAGCTGGTCAGATACAGAAGGGGTTCTGTTTTGAGAGCCCCCAGCTAAATGGAGGTGACCAACAACCCTCCCCTAACAGAAAACGAAGGGACCTGGACATGAGTGTGGAAGTATGCCTTTCACGGAATACTTTTGGACCTGGTGGAGAGCCTAATGCCTCATTTTTCAACCCATGAAAGGAGGTCCCTCACACGGGAAACTTGTTTATACTGGAAGATGCCCTTGTAGCTCTTGTATGACCCGTGTGCAACTGCCTGACCATTGCTCTGGCAATAAGGACTGTCCCAGTCACGTGATGCAGGAATGAAGAGTCAGAGAGAGAGAGTGAGTGAGTGCACAGATTGTGGCAACTAGCAGTATATATAAGGGAATAGGATGCATGTCACTTTAAGTTCATGGGCAAAGATTAGGTTGGTGCAAAAGTAATTGCGTTTTTTTTTTTTTTTTTTTTGCACCAATTGAAAAATAAACACCTGAATGGTCCCTTTAAAGGAAGTTTCTGGGAAACAAGATGAAAGAGATGCCTCTAAGTTTTTATCTCTGGCTATAGGCTTGAGCCATCTGGGTGTAGTGTAGAACTGGAAACTGTGAAGGGTGACTGAGCCCTTATGGCATGAAAAAGCTAAACTTGTATTGAAAATAGATGTCCCAGCACTTTGGGAGGCTGAGGTGTGTGGATCATGAGGTCAGGAGTTCAAGACCAGCCTGGCCAAGATGGTGAAACCCTGTCTCTACAAAAAATAGAAAAATTAGCTGGGCGTCTATAATCCCAGCTACTCAGGAGGCTTAGGTAGGAGAATCGCTTGAACCTGGGAGGCAGATGTTGCAGTGAGCGGAGATCGTGCCACTGCATCCAGTCTGGGTGACAGAGCAAGACTCCATCAAAAAAAAAAAAAAAAGAAAGAAAGAGAAAGAAAGAAAGAAAGAAAGAAAGAAAGGAAGAAAGAAAGAAAGAAAGAAAGAAAGAAAGAAAGAAAGAAAGAAAGAAAGAAAGAAAGAAAGAAAGAGAAAGAAAGAAAGAAAATAGATGTCAAGGCAACATAAAATTATAAGAATTCACTAGAGGTTCCTAACTCAGGTCTAATGGATTGTAACAGAAAGGCCCTGCTAGGCTCTTCCTATTTTACATATTAGGCATCCATTTAAGGATTCTCTTTCACTACTGTATTCTGCTGAGGGGAAAAACAATTGAGTCCTGCTGTCTTGTAAGTGTTTTAGTAGGTAGTGTCAACGGTAATTGCTGTAGAGATAGGAAAGAAACCAAACTCCAGTCAGTATTTGATTCAGGCTTTAAGGAGGGAATAGGGCCAGAACTAACCCAAGGGTAGGCCTGATAGAAGGCAAACATTTAAGACGGAGAAAAATAACCTTCGTCTTTACTAAGCAGCAAAAGGAACCAGCTGCTCTTCTCAGAAGGAAATGTGATACAAACATAGGCTACCTCGTGTAGTGTCAAATATGTTAATAATGTATACAGAAATGGTTTCTAATCGTGAAGATATTTTTCAAAGCATGAGAACAAGAAGATTAAGAAAAACCCACAAATTGAACTTATCATTGTCAGCTAGATAGGTGGACTCTCAAATACTTTTTCCAAATAACTGTTCTGTTTATACATAAACACAATAAAATGGGAGCTCATTTTCTAAGGAGTTTGGTGAAAGGGTGTGTGTATCTGGAGAAGGGATTATGACTTTATTTAAATGAAACACACACACTCAATAAAGATCAAGGAAGATGTGGCTGATTTTAATTGAGATAAATTGTACCTAGTGCACTCTCACTACTAGTACACAGCCACTCCTGTTCAAAGAAATACAATATAATTTGTATTTTTATATTCTAGAAAATCAGGCTTCTCAAATATTTTAAAGATGAGGAGCCACTTAGTTGAATATTGCATTAAAATGTAAATATTATTTTCCAGCTTTTCTACTTTTAGCATTTAAATTGCCAGGTCTCACATAGAGACAATTGCTTATCCCATTATAAGCTTGATTTTTAAATACTGAGATCTGTCTACGTGGCAGTTTGTCTTTTTAATTCTTTTCTTCATTACTTCCAGGGCATAGCATAGAATTATAAAAGGTTTTAAATCACTGCTAACTCAAAAAGTCCATAATCACAAGACATCTTCTTCTACCTCTTCTACCTATGTAGCAATAGAAAAACACACTGAGGTTCTTTTTCATGGATTCACATATTTTTACAGTAATATCTGCACGTTAAAATTTACAGAAAGTTCACATGGAGGTGCTCACTTGAAACTACAAACTTCCAAGCTAAAAAGAGTATCTTCATTTAAAAAATGTCAAAACTAATTTTTCCAGGGACTAAATGACTTGTCCAAGGTTGTATGGATCTCAGAGAGACCTGGGTTCATTTGTTGGCTCTGATTTGGGGCCCTAACTTCCCTCAAGTGTTAAATAGGTACTGAGAGTGTAGCAACCACATAGGGGTGTTAAAAAGACAAAATGAGATAAATTAAGGAAAGGCTTAGCATAGAAATGGTACCTAGCAGGGGCTTAATAAATGCTCCTTACAAGTAGTAAAAGGATTTCAACTTGATTACCAAGCACTGCGTCTAATTGCCTCTCCTGCTTCCTATCCTTTGATGTTGCAAACGTGTTAAAGAATCCGGGAATGTGTTCAGATTGAACATGGCCCAAAATTGCAGTCACTCATGCCTTGTGGCTTACTGAGTTAGCCAGGGAAGTGATGGTGACAAACCAGAGCTACAGGATCGTTGGGGCACATATTCGGGTTGACTTCACGCAAGTTCTTCAAAACTTTGTTCATTTGCGAGGAAACATAGAATAATAAAAACACAGATTACAGGCTCATAAACGGTCGTCTTACAAAAATCCACTGCATGTTTGAGTTCCTTCAACACTAATTCTGGTGGTTGTGCATTTTGTGTATGGTCCCTTCCAGAGATGGGAAGCTCCTGCTCCCTGGGCAGTTCACTCCCACACAGATGGTTCTGACAATGGAAAGACACTCATTAAATGGGAGGAAATTCTATCACAAAGTCCACTTGTGCTGGTTGGAATAAATTAAATTCCTCTTTCTAAAGACATTCTTTCGAAATGTGAAAACAGTTCCACTGACTCATTGTTGAATGATAGCCAAGTAATTCAACAATTTCTCTTTAGACTTGGAAAAAGAAGAGCCTCACATTCCTGGCCAGTTTTCTCTGAATGCCGACTAGTGTATCCTTATCATTTGTTTAATATAATTTTAACTTTTACTTTAGAATAAGGGGGGTACATGTGCAAGTTTGTTACAAAGGTATATTGTATGATGCTGAGGTTTGGGATATAACTGAACCTGTCAGCCAGGTAGTGAGCATAGTACCCAATAGTTTTTACACCCTTGCTCCCTCCCTCCCTTCCCACTCCAGTAGTCCCCAGTGTCATTGTTGCCATCATTATGTCCATGAGTACCCAATATTTAGCTCACACTTATAAGTGAAAACATGTGATATTTGGTTTTCTATTCCTGGGTCAATTTGTTTAAGATAATGGCCTCCAGATGCATCTGGTTTGCTGCAAAAAAACATGATTTTGTTCTTTTTTATGGCTGCATATATTCCACAGTGTATATGACTTTTTTTTAATCCAGTCTACTACTGATGAGCACCGAGGTTGATTCCATGTCTCTGCTATTGTGAATAGTGCTGCAATGAACATATGAGTGCATGTGTCTTTTGGTAAAATGTTTCATTTTCTTTTAAATATGTACCCAGTAATGAGATTGCTGGGTTGAATGGTAGTTCTTTTTAAAGTTCTCTGAGAAATCTCCAAACTACTTTCCACAGTAGCTGAACTAATTTACATTCCCACCAACAGTGTCTAAGCATTCCTTTTTCTCCATAGCCTCACCAGCATCTGTTGTTATTTGACTTTTTAATAATAGCCATTCTGACTGGTGTGAGATGGTATCTCATTGTGGTTTCAGTTTGCATTTTTCTCATTATTACTAACATAGGAAACATCATTCTGGATTATCAGCCCTGGGAAAGAATTTATAACTAAGTCCTCAAAAGCAATTGCAACAAAAACAAAAATTGACAAGTGGGACCTAATTAAACTAAAGAGCTTCTGCACAGCAAAAGGAGCTATCAACAGAATAAACAGTCTACAGGATGGGAGAAAATATTTGCAAACAATGCATCTGACAAAGGTCTAACATCCAGAATCTATAAGGAACTTGACAAGAATAAACAAATAGCCCCATGAAAAAGTGGACAAAAGACATGAACAGACACTTCTTCAAGGAAAAGACATACAAGTGATCAAGCTTGCTATTTTTTATAGTTCATGCTCCAAACGGAGAACAGACCCATTAGTGTGATATAAAGTACATCTTCTTTGTGCTTAGTTCTATGCTTTGATCAAGGCAGCCTGTTAGTGACTATTCTTGACTCCCATTATGCTTACATAAGGCAACTCACATGTGTAAGGCAACTGTCTTTCTCTTTTTTTGAAGTACTGGACAACACTCCTGGGTGACATCTCTAATCCTTTACTCACATGATGAAAATTGAGAGATATAAAGGATCATAGATACTAAGTAGTCCAAAGGTAGCAAACTAGCCCACAAACCCAGTTGATTTGGTATACACAGATTTGGCAAGCGTGATGTCTTAAAGACAAATTGAAGCCCATTTTCAAGAGCTGCATACATTGGCACCCTTAGCAGGGCAGTAAGACTTGTGATCCTGAATGACCACAATCACCCGGAGCTGTCTCTGCTATCTATTTAGACCAAGCATGCTTGTTCCAGGTGCTCACAACTGACCCCCTTCACTGACTTCCATTACCTGCCTGCTCCCTGAATGAGTTAGCAGATCCACAGCGGTTTCAAGGATATGCATCTGATTTCCCTCTACCTCCTCAACTTTTCTCTCATTCGCAGCCTGCCTTCACTTCTAGTTTCACTTACCTACCTAAAGGCGCTCTACAAGATCGCTGAAACTCCATCTATAAGTGCCGATGACTCTACATTTGGCCATTCTCTCAAACTCCAGAATAGTCCTTCCAGTTGTCCCTCTTTCCCCAGCCATTTCTGTGCTTGTCTTTTCTGTGTGTGTGTCTACCTTTCCACATTCGTGTCTTACCCAGCTCATCCAGAACAGTTCCTCTGGTTTCTGCTCTGTCCTGCCATCTGTGTCTGGACTTTGCTTTGTATATCTTCTCCTTCGTTGTCCAGAATGATCTAGTTTTGCCTCTGCCCTCGTCATTTCTGTGATTGTAGCTGTGCTCTGTATTTTCTCCCTTACAGGACAGAAGTTCCAACTTCCTTCTATTTTCCTCCATATCGCTCACACCCTCTTTCAATACTGGCTCCTGTTTCTGTTCTCTAACCCACTGGTTTTCAAGTGAGGTTCCCAGACCAGCATTAGCACCAGCTGGAAACTTGTTAAAACTACAAATCCTTGAGCCCCACCCCAGACTTACTGAATCGGAAACTCTAGGGATGGGGCTAAGCCATCTCAATATGATAAGCCTCCCCAACGATTTTGATTCCTGAGTTTGAGAATCACTGCGCTCCACCCCAGCAGTTCTCAGCTTTCCTTGACATCTGAATCTCCTGAGAAGGTTTTTAAAATACTCATGTCTGGGCACCACCCAAAAACAATTAACTCAATTTCTCTGGGGGTGGGCCCAATTAGGGATATAGTTGTAGAAGCTCTGCAGGTAATTCTAATGTAGAATCAGGGTTGCTTCTCGCCTGCCAAAATGTTTCCTTTTTGCAGCCTTGACTTGATCCCTCTGTCTGTAAAGCTCTGCCTCCGCTCCACAGGTCTTGTTTTCTCTTCATTGCCATCAACTAAGAAAAGCCTTCCCTGGCCATCTTAACTCTAAGCATCCTCCCCCCGCCAGACACTTTCTGTCACTTTATCCTGTATTATTGTCTTACTTGTACTAATCTCTAATATTTGAAAAATCATTCATTTACTTACTGGCTCTACTAGAAAATGAACTGCAGGGGACCAATGACTGTTCCTTTCAAGGCTGCATCCTAGCTCCCTAGAACAATGCCAGCACATGTAGCAGCTCGGGATATATTTGTTGCATGAAAGAACAAACAACACACACACAAACACCCCAACACCACATGCTGTTTATTCCAAACCCTGTGCTTTCAATGCTCTAGTTTTCTTTGCCTAAAATTTTGTTCTTTTCTTTGCATTATCTTTTATTTTATAATTAGCAGCATTCCCAAAAAGGTCTAGAACATTTGCTTCAATTCTTTATCCACAATAAATTCTTCGTTTCCTAACATCATGTATGATGTTGTAACTATTTAATGTTTCACTTCTTTAAAAAATGTGCAGTGGATACTCACCTCAGACGTGAGTGGCAGAAGCACATAGACCAAGCTTTAGGTCTCTTTCTGTTCGCTTCGTGGTGTGGATGAAATGTGCTGCTGGGGACACGGGGGTAGATACTTTCTGAAGTGAATTGACTTGAGGAAAGGAAAAAAGCTTTCAGTCAATAGTTTTAAATGCCAAGGGACCATTGAAGAGAGAGCAAGAATAAAAACAGATACAGGAAAGAGCATATCGTTCAATAGAGAGATTGAATCTTTAAAAAAAAAAAACAAGGGCTGGGGTGTCTAATGCATGTCCATGTATTGGGAATACCTTGGTGGCTGCTATTTCCAGTTGGTCCCTCTTACTATGCCAGCACTTTTGAAAACCTAGGTCTGGACAGAAATTCACCTGTAGCCCTTAGCCATCCCTTCCCTTTCTCTCTTAAACTGTATAGAAGACTGAAACTAGCATTCACATCAAGGAAAGCTGGAACACCACAGGCAGCCATTGATTGCAAGTAAGCTGCTACAGAAACTCCCCTTTTATGATGCTACATTATCTCTGTGAGAGCAATCAGAGCGATCAGCTGGAAATCCCTCAACACTGAGAAGGAACTGACTGGCTCACACACTGCTTCTCCTTGAAATAGCTTGCTGGGAGACCAGTAGGGCTCTTCAGCACAAATCAACATCCTAAGGGATTGATCTGTTCCTCCCTAGGAGGGAATGCCTGCTGACTGTGGCTGGACAAAGCCAGAGAGGGGACAAAGCCTTTAAATGATGATTAATACATTGGGATTAGGATACATTTGTCTTGTATCAGTCCGGGCAGTGTCTTCATTTTCATAACTTAGGATTCCTAATAAACCAGAGGTTAAATTACTTAGACATATTTACTCTTAGTCACACATTTTTATGCTTGAAGATCTAGGCTTGGCCTGACAAAGCTATGATGAGGCTTAAAACCATTTTACCTCTCTTCACTACAACTTCTTTCTACAATCTGGACATTCAGAGGGTTGCTTCCCTAAAATCAAGAATTGTAGATGCATAAGTGTCTTTATTTATCTTGGCTTTATTCATGTACCAGCTCTGCCCTCCACACCTTTAATTCACTCCTTCATCCCAAGAACTTGAATTTTCCAATGCTGCCTACTGGATGTCTATAACCTTTCCCCTTAGGCCTGCCCTCTCCTGTAACATTCCAGTTTCCGAACTTCATCTGGCCACTTTCCTGGGCCAATTTCCTTAAAGCAAGGATCTTTGCTAGAGTTAACTTGATAACCTAATTTGCACTTTGTTGATGATCTAATATGTGTGTTACCTTTCCAAGTACGTAACAGACATGCACGGACAGAGGTGTCTGAAACTCTATAATTCAAAGACTAAATATAAGAACTTTTAGCAGCTTTGGATGTCAGAGAAATGGGAAGATTTGGTCAGTGGGCAAGGGCAAGTCAAGTGGTGGTGGTGTCAGTCACAACAGAGGGGCCATCTTCATTGTGTCCTCTTGGAAGAGACCTAATTAACATAACCCTATTTGCTTCACCCCATGCATGCACAGCAGCAATGTATAATTCTTACACACTCCTGGAGCTAGAGACACTGGCCTAGCCAGACTGGGGGACAAGGGCCTTTTTAGGTTCATAGAGAGGAAATGTAGAGAAAGTGAAGAGGGAGGACAAAACCACCAGTTTGGAGACCTAGAAGATAAACTTAGTCTATCTTCTGAACTTTTTTTTAATTCATTGAAATAAGTTACATAGAGTGACTTCAGGCACAGTTCAGTTCAATTTAACAGATATTTACTGACTGCTAATGCATAATTAATAGGGATAATAATAAATTACTAATCAACAACGCTGAATTAGCACTTACCTTGTATCGTGCACTCCACTGAGCATTTTACATGGATTATTTCAATAGAATTTCACCAGCCTTATTGTGTGATAGGCAGTGACATGCTAGTAAACAGGCTCTATGAGGAGAAAAAAAAATACCCTAATTTGTAGCATCTGCTTATTACTATGGTGTAAACATTCCTAGCATAGATAATTTAAAGCTACCAATAGCTCACAAAATTTCTGAGTATATTAAAGTTGGCCCACAAAATTCCTGACTATTTAACAATTGGGTCTCCTAGCTAGTAGAAGCTGGTTCCAGCACACCACTCGTAGTAGATATCTTTACTTTCCCATTTGTTAGCGTGACCAGGTCCTCCCAGTTTGCCTGGGATTTTCTTGGTGTTAGTATGTGTTTAGGAAAACCCCTCAATTCTGGAGGAACTGAGATTGTTGGTCACCCTACCCTTTTGCGCTCATGAATATGATTATTGCCCTTATAAAAGAGGCTTCAGAGGGCTGCCTTGCCCTTTCCACCATGTAAGGATGCAGCTAGAAGCTGCATCTATGAATCAGAAAGGGGGTCC
Source organism: Homo sapiens (assembly GCF_000001405.40). Classification (NCBI taxonomy): domain Eukaryota; kingdom Metazoa; phylum Chordata; class Mammalia; order Primates; family Hominidae; genus Homo; species Homo sapiens. The sequence goes on along the minus strand of NC_000002.12, from coordinate 220,774,467 downwards.
TCACCAGACACCAAACCTATTGATGCCTAGATCTTGGACTTCCCAGCCTCCAGAACTGTAAGAAATAAAGCTACCCAGTTTGCCATGTTTCCTGCCATTTTGTTACAGTAGCTCAAATAGAGTAGACCAACTTTGTACATATGAAGAAATTGGGAATTTAGAGAAACATGTCCAATATCACACAGGACTGTTTGCAGGACTTACAAGTTTGATTACGCAGCCTGTGAGCATCACTGCAACAGACAACAAGCTTTCATTCTTTATTTGAGAAGATCAGCCATGAGTGCAAAAACTGAGAGAACACACACATGCACACACACACACACATGCACATTTCATAAAAACATAAAAACTAAATTGATTTATGGCATTATAAAAGTAAAGTATATTATATGTATCTAAGAGAATGAACTGCAGCTTTGCCCAGCTGATTGCTTTATCGAATTCAAGGATTTAGCTCAGTGTCATTTTATTGAGATCCCCTGAAAGGAATTGTCCACAGTCTCCTAGCACCTGCACTAATATCATTTACATAAATCCTCCACATTATGCAGTGGGTACAGATGAAGCCAGGCTCTGCTTGTCAGCACACAAGCACAGCAGTGAGAGCAACGCTACATCTTTTAACATCCTGGGAAATTTTATAAGTGAGGATATTTGCCTTTTCTTAATAGGCCCTGTTGAATACAAGCTTCATTAACTATAACATAATCCCTCATTTTAGAAAATCATTTCAATGATTATTCCTAATGAGTATCAAGATATTTATATGAAAAGTAGAGCTTCTTTCCTTCCAAATTGAAACTCATGAACTCTAGTATATCCTTTAATTAGAATACCCTTCAAGAATAAGTCTCATGAATAATCATGTTAATGTTCCATTATTTGCTAAGTAAGATGAAGATCTGTTTGGAAACTTTACATTTTGTTTTTCCATTTCTGATAGAGGTTTTAATAAATATTATTTGTAAAAAGCCAAATGATTTATTTAGATTATAGTGAACATCACTTTTGACCCTGTAGACCCCTTTTAATGGGTAAAATAAATTATCTGCTACATAGAAATGAGTTATCCCATTTTGTAAAAGGCCATAAAATTCTGAAAGCATTAAAAGAGTGCAGAATGACATTAATTTACCCAAGCAATGTTCCAGAAGAGTTGGTTTAATACAAATACATAACATATAAAAATAGTGATTTTCAACACTCATGAACTATCTTAAATATCTTAAAAGTTTTCCAGAAACTCTTCCCAAATGCTTAAAAAAATCTAATATATACCTCACCCCATTAACTTCAAAAAATAAGTATATGCCAATTTGGGCTTTTGTGTGCTAGAGAGAGACAAAAAATGAAGAAAGAGAATATGTTTAAGTTGGGAGTCACAAAATAGTAACCAGAAATAGATTTAAATTTTATTTCTCAGGGGGCCTTATGTCCTTGAGGTTTATTTTACTCTAAAATTGCAAAAATCTAATAGTGCAAAAGAGATTTAGAAAAAAAATCTTACAGAATATTAGATCTGATCCTTGGGGGTGAATGTCATCTAATTCAAGTAAGTAGCAAAAGAACATATGTGAGGACAGGAGGGTAAGGAAACCTGGGAAGAAAGAGTATCTTTCCAATATAAATCATGAATTTTATGTTTTGCATTAAAAAGGCATCTGCTATTTTTGTTTGTTTTGCTTAACGGTCCTGAATTAAAACTGATATCACTGACCTCACACATCTGATTTCAGAAAACTTGTTAATAACAAGATACTACCACAGTAAAACATGTTAACAGTTCTATTTCTGGGATTGTTCAGGATTAGTTTTACCCATATGCTAAAACGTATTGGATGGTCCAGAATCAGAGGTTATCACCTGAATTCAGATTTGGGCTTTAGGATCATTGTACCTCCAAATTTTATGCAAATATTTTTCTGGGAGAATTGTTGAAATCTCTTGTCATTTTCTCATGGCAGTGAGAAGCTCAACAAAATTGAAAACTCTCTGGTAAGACTCTCTGGCATATGATCTCATCAAATAATTTCATATTTATGTATTCTTATTCCATACTTTATTGCTTAAAAGATATACAATGAAGTTAAAATAAGTCCTTATCACTTTTTTACTGTATTTTAAGCTTATAAAGCTCAAAAATTGAAGCACATAGAATGATTCTAAATGTAAGAAATTCCCAAATAATTATTTTAATGTATTTGTTATACTTCTGAACAATATTCTCAAACCATACGAGCAAAATATTCTCAGACACACATATTACTAAGTTTGATTTTTATTAATGGTAGAGGTGGCCTTTGGTCAGAGGAAATTATTTATATAACATGATTTTAGGGAAGTTCTGAAGGTATTTCTGAACCCACAAATGCCCACGACTTTCCTGGGCTGGAACTTCTATTATAGATCCCTTCTTCTAAACCATCCTTCTTTGTTTCATCTGAGCTATAAATATCCCTACGAAAAAAAAATTGTTTTAAATCTCATAAACTGTAAGTGCCTACCAGGTCTTCTCATATTTTGAGATGGACAAGAGAGGAGACACATTAACACCTGGAGGGGAAAGGACATTTCCACTGAAGAAGGACATAATAATGAAAATGACAGCCAAGAATGCTAATGTTGGGCTTCAGTTATAGAAAGTAAGAGAGAAGGCACAGAGAAGCAATATCAATGATTATCATAGGTGCCATGATTTCAAATATAGTAGAAATTTAAAGATTCAGAAGAGAATTCTATGAAAAAATGTATGCCAATAAATCTGCAAACTGAGGTAACTGTAAAATTTTACACAAAATCATAATTAACTATAATTTATTATAGAATAGATAAACATGAAATGGTTAGACAAATAATACCATTAGAAGAATTGAATTAATAGTAAATGGTTACTTTCCATATAGTAATACTTTTTCTACACACACAATGCACAAAACACCAGTTTCAAACTGTGTTATTGGCATCTCAGTGAACTTTTAAGGAATGCATGAATTCTGTCTTATTTGAACTATTTGAGAGAAGAGAAAAAGAGAGAGACCCATGCTTTTCAGAGTATGTATCTGTATATCTTTGATGCTTAAATCTGTTAACAGACAGTTCAAAAATAAAATTATTGCCCAATCTTATTATGAATGTAGATGGAAAAATATAAATATTAGAAAACCAAGTTCAACAATGTGTTGTGGTAAAATATCTGAGTATATATAATGCATACATTCAACTATTCAAAACATACAACAATGGTATTACATGTCAATATAGTAATGTAATTCACCACATTAACAGATCAGGAAATAGAAATCATATAATCATCTCAACTGTCATAGCAAAAGCAATTGCTCTATTTAATATAAAATTGATATGCTTTCAATATTTAATTGAATATGCTTTCTTTTCCTAGTAAGTTTATCTATATCAAACAGTACTTAATGATGGAGTTCAAAAGCAGTTCTAATTAAGTCAGGAATAAGATAAGGATGCTTAGTATCACCTCTACTCAACATTTTACTAGCAGTTCTTTCCTACCTAATAATAAAGAAAAAGAAATGAGCATGATGATAAAGAGACAATTCTCTATAAAGAAAATCCAAAAGAAACTAAAACAAAGAATTAAAATGTATAAGAATTTTCATTAGGATTGCTGGAATTGATATAAGCATAAAAAAGTCATTTAAAATATTTTTTTAAACATACAGTTAAATAATATCAAAAAATTTTAAGCAGCCTAGTAATAACTCAAACAAAAGATGAACAAAAACAGAAGAATGTACAAAATACAATTAAAAGCTCCTAAAAAACCCTTGATTCAATAGGGATATATTTCTTATTTATGAATAGAGATATTTAATATCATATCTATCCTCCCCTCCATATTAGTCTATATATTTACATATTTTATAAAAATCTCAAACACATTTTTGATGGAACTAAAAACACTATTATTGAAATTCATATTAAAGAATATGGTTCCAATAGCAGCCATGACAGTTTAAAAGAATAAAGAAGGTTTGGAGACTTACTCTACCAGAGAGTAAAAACTGTTAAAAGAGCTACAGATTTAAAGCAGTGTATATTAATGGAGGAACAGATGAAAGACTAGATGCAGTGGAATTCAGAGCCTGTAGAAAGACCAAGCATGTCTCGGAATTTGGGATGTGACAAACAGCATCACACATCCGTGAGGGATGGTGTTAGGCCAATTAGTTCAACTCGTTTTCTTTTTTTTTTCTTTCTTTCTTTTTTTTTTTTTTGAGACTGAGTCTCACTCTGTCGCCCAGGCTGGGGTGCAGTGGTGAGATCTTGGCTCGCTGCAACCTCCACCTGCCGCGTTCAAGTGATTCTGCTACCTCAGACTCTGCAGTAGCTGGGACTACAGGCACGCACCACCCCGCCCAGCTAAATTTTGTATTTTTAGTAGAGATGGGGTTTCACCATGTCTGCCAGGCTGGTCTCGAACTTCTGACCGCATGATTCGCTTGCCTCAGCCTCCCAACTCGTTTTCTTCACAGAAAAAATTAAATTAAATTTCTACTTCATATTATATCTCCAAATTAATTTTAAGAGATTAAAAAACAAAATAGGAAATAAACAACTTTACAATTATTAAATAAATGTTTAATAAAATTTCTTTTTAAACTCTGATGGGAATGTATTTCCTAGCTGAAAGCATAACTCAAAAAATATATAGATAATTAAGACTAGCTGCATTAAAATGTAAACATGCTTCCCATAAAAGGAATAATGAACAAAGTTGAATAAGCAAAAACTGAAGATAATATTCACAATGAGTAAAATAAAGGATTAGTACCCAAATTTGAAAATTGTCCTATGTACGTATAAGAAATAATCAAGCTACCTTGTAGAAAAATGGACACAAGATCTAGAAAAGCAATTTACAGAAAAGTCAGACCAAAGGCAAATCATTCATGAAAGTGTACACAATCTAACAAGGCATCAGGAAAACAGAATCTATTCCTTTTCTTAAAGAAAAGTTATTGTGTAACTATTCATTTGGCAAGATTTGTTTAAAGTATCAAAATACCATAAACTGATGAATTGTGAAGGAATAGTCACTGACGCTGCAAAAGAAAATTGTCCTCCAAAATGAGAGAAACTTTGGAGAACAACTTGGCAATACCTAGTAAGTTAAAAACCTGTTTGCTCTAGGAACCACGGCTGCAATTTCAAATATACATTACAGGAAAATCCTTGCACATATGCATCAGGAGACTTGTCAACAATATCTCTTGAAGCCTTGCTTACCATGGCTATAAGAATAAAAACAACTTAAATATCAAACAGTAAGAAAATCTATACATACATTATGGAAAATAAAAGAACACACCACAGTGATCAAGAACAAGATGGAGCTACTGGTTTCCATATATAAATCTCAGAAGCATGTTTAGTGCAAAGAAGCAAGATGAAGACAGTTTTATAATTTTGTTTGTTTTGTTTGAGACAGAGTCTTTGTTACCCAGGCTGGAGTGCAGTGGCGAAATCTTGGCTCAGTGCAACCTCTGCCTCCTGGGTTCAAGCAATTCTCTGCCTCAGCCTCCTGAGTAGCTGGTTCGACAAGTGCCTGCCACCATGCCCGGCTAATTTTTATTTAATTTTATTATTTTATTTTTTTGGTATTTTTTTAGTAGAGACAGGGTTTCACCATGTTGGCCAGGTTGGTCTCGAACTCCTGACCTCAGGTGATGCACCTACCTCAGCCTTCCAAGGTGCTGGGATTACAGGCGTGAGACACCACGCCCTGCCCAGTTTTATCATTTTAAACACTGGTTACTGGGTATATGAGAATTTTAATACTATTCACATAATTTTTTGTATTTATGTTTACCAATTTTTTTAAAGTATTAATATATCTCCTTCCATCTTTATGTTGGTAAGTATTAAAATGATGCATATGGATGAAGAGCCATGGTTTGCTCAGTTGTGTATTTCTTATAAAGTTTCCTTGGTAATTCACAACTAAGCTGTCAGTTTTTGAAACACACTATGAAATCGATAAATGGCAAGTATCCAGAGACTACAAGAAGTAGTCAAGAAATTACTGTTCCAAGAAAATGCCCCTGGTAAAAAGAAATCCATCTGAATCTCCAGTCTGCAACACCTTCAAATGATTTAAATATTGTCTTTTATAATGAAAGTTATGTACTGCCAATATCAGGAAGGCATGACATAGTCTAGGCAATATGTGATTGGAAATAGTAACAAGGTTAAATAATAAAGCAACTTTTGCTGATTCATAGCTCATTATGTTATGAAATTATAAGGCATTAGAAGTTATAGAGCAAATGGCAAACATTTGCTTTGGAGAAAATGCATATCATTTTCTCGTTTCTTCAGTCTGATTCTGTAGGTAGACAGTTCCAACTGCTGAGCTTGGCACTGGTAATTTGATTCGTTTTAAGCCAAGTGAAACAGACAGAGGGTAGCTAAATTGACTTTTAAAAATAATAATTTACTCTGTTACATTCACAAAATTTCACACTTTCCAAGAGTGATAATAGTTGTTCACTGGAAAAGATTCATATGGACCTAGGGCAGAGAGAAACAGGATACTTTTCACTTGAAGCAAGACACTGGAAATGCATTAACATGAAAACCAGCAGCAGGAGATGCTCCTGGAAAAAAAAATATGTTAATGCAGCTGGTGGGTACAATGAATTTTTATGTTGACAGTCCTCACTGCTTAGTGATTCCAAGTACTGAAGATTAGAAATAGCTGAAAGGTTTGCGATTCCCAGTCCTGGCAGAATTGATGGAAAGAGAACTTTTTGAATAAAAAAGGAAAGGAACATTAAACTAATCAGGGGGAAAGATACAAAAAAACACCTATAATTAATTTATAGGTTATTAATTTGTCACTTTGGGCTGTGAAAGCATTTGTATACTTCCATATCCTACGAGTCTATTGTGAAAAAAGATGTGTTCTGTTTAAATTACACAGCTCAATTTGCTGAGAAAGCATTAGCAGTGGACCTTCACAAAAATGAATCCAATCTTTAAGGGTCTCTCTAATGTGTTGCTCCCTCTTTCAGTCATCGGTAATTTTACAACATTTCAATGGATAGTGCTGGAATCAAGGCCAATGGAATATTTGCCAGAAGTACTAGGGAAAAGCACAGTAATTAAGGCAACATAGTAATTCACCTCAATTAAGAGGAACCTCCAGGACAAAGCTGATTTTCTGATTTGCAGCAGTCAGTTGCTTCTACCCTTTGGGAAAGTGTTCATCAAATCTGCATCGCCAGTGTCACCAGCAGCACCCTTCATGTAGCTTAGCATTTGTTTTCCAGGCTTTCTGTCACTAATCAGTTACATAAACCTTCTTGTGCATTTCATTCCAGACTACCAAAATCTCCATCTGGAAAGAAAGTTTATTTTTGGCTAATTCATTTGTATTTTTATTTTTACAGTTTTTCTACTATAGTCTCTAGGCTACATGTATTTTCAACTCTCCAAAATACTTTCTGGAGAATTTCAGTAAAAAGAGAAACAAAGAAACATGTTAACATGATCATGCCATTACTGACAAAAGGTCTACAATGAAAGGGAATAATCACTTGTAAAATACTATTAAACCCAGATTTTCCAGTAAAAAGTAAGAGATGTCTATACTATCACACGAGGTAAGACAAGCAAGGAGTTGCTGCATGGCTGCTACATTCAACAAGCCTTTGGCATTCCAAATTCTAGAACTCTCCATCTCCTACTCACCTCTACGTGTTTCCACACTGCGGGAAAATCCTTGGGCTGGTTGATGGTGATGGTAAGGTGCAGTAACTATATAATGGGACTTACAGCTGATAGCTTGAATTAGCAAGTGGATTATCACTTAGTTGATCCAATTACATCATTAAGTTAACCCAAATAACTGGACCATACACAGGGCCAAGTTAATTTACCATTTTAATGATAAAACCAGGTTAGTCAGGCAGTGATTTGGGATTTATTTACGCTGCGCAGGCTTGTTTGTCCCTCAACCATCATCAAAGGGGCTTAGCAGCTTCTATTGAACACTTCTTTCCCTTCCCTCACCCAAACCCCAATCAACAGGTTTTATTTTAAACCATTTATCTGTAGAGAGAGAGGGTGGATCTCTCTCCGACACTAATGAACAATTCATTCTGGCAAGAAAGACCAACACAAACAACCCTTAGGTAAAGTTCCTGCTTCCTAATGAACAGCGCCTTTGGGCTCCACACTGTAGAGCCAAATAAATGACTCCATAAGCCCAAAAGCTCATTATTGGCCTGAAATAGGCCCAGCCTCAGGCATCTGTGGCCATATTCAGATCATTAAGAATCTTCTGTTGCTTATTGCTTTCTCCTTTTTCTATTTAAGAGGCCAGCAAGGTACAGGTTTCCATCCTCCCCCACATCTTAAGCCTATTTCTTATTCCATGTTTTGCCATCTCTCTACTCTCTGCCTGGTGCTCCTTTTTTTTTTTTTTAACCTATATAAAATTAAGTCTTTCTCTCTCGTCAATGACCCTATTTTTGAGGTTCACTAGTTGACATGTACACAGCTGGGGACTCACCCTTTTTATTGTCTTGCAAAGCCCACCACCAAGGGTCACAACCGTGTCAGGAATCTGCAGCTTTCATGTCCAAGCACCCGCAAGTCCCACATGAGTTTAATAAGGAGATGTAGAGCTGAATCAAAATTGTTTCAGAGAACCTGGAGGGGCTCATTTAAAGCACTTCCAATCTCTAGCTCACACATACATTACTGAACAAGTTCCCAGGAGAGTAGCATAGAATCCAAACCTTGGACGCATCTTGTACATTAGCAAATATTAACTTGTAAAATATTTTATTTTTCTGCTATAATGAGCATGGATGCCTTCAGAACCCATCTTTGTTTTTGTTTTTGTTTTTTCACTTGATGCTGAGGAAATAATCTTTTATTTGAGGCAAGATAATTAATTCATGTTATTTTGCCTATTAATTTTATTTTTACATCCACAGACATCACAATAAACAAGTCTATGTTTGCACTTTCCAAAAATTCCTCTTTATACAATTGCAATTACTGAAGGATATTTCAGGCTTAAGTTTTCTCACCAAGGCATTGCTTCCTGAAAATTAGCTCTAGATATCATGACATTGAACTAAACATTTGTTCAACAGCCACGTTTAAGTTTTGTTTAAAATACTTTGGGGAATGAAAGTGTATTTTTGAGAAAATTATTTTGAAGAAATACTTGGCAATGGAAAGCCAGATGGAAGAGACAATTAGAGAAGAAAACAAAGGTTAAATGCAAGCATTTTGCCACCCAGCCAGGTCAGAAAAATATAAAGTGGAGAGGGGAGAAGTTGAGGACCAGAAAGAAAACAGTTGGAGTTCTCTTCAGAAAAAAAAAATCATTGCGGAAGAGTGAGGAAATGGAGGAAGGGCATTTTTTTCTCACTCATTCTGTTTCAGTTTAACATTTATCAGCACTTGTGATAACCTGGCTCAGGACTCTCCCCATTCAATCATTAAGTGAGACTTTACCAAACACTTTTGAGTATTAGACATATGGTGAGTATGAAGAGGAATAACATATGGTCCCACTAGCCTCAAAGAATCTTTCTTTGATCTCTCTAAAAAAGAGAATATACTTTATTAGAATGACACAACTGGAAGGACCAATTCTAAAGATACAGGTGACATATCAAAATGCAGGGAACGCACCCATTGAAGCAAAAGCTTTGACTGAGTTAGGCTTCATAATGGCCTTCAGGGAGGAACTAGGGGTAAGCAGGTAAAGGAAATGGGAGAGTCTACTGGTAAAGGCACAAAATCATACCGTATTTATTTTGTCTTTAATACATTTTTTAAAAGTTGTCTTTAAAAATACTGTTGTATGGTTATTTAATCTATTTTCCTAAATAGGTCTGTTTCTACTTAAACTTTTTAAAAGAGTAAAATGTTCATGATTAAGGAAAGAGGGCCAGAAAGCAAGATTGAACTCTTACATACTGCTTCCATTTGAAGCACGGTAGCCAAGACGGCAGGAGCGGGGGTGTTGAAATTGCAAAAGTAAATAATGACGTGATAACCAATGTCAAACGGTGCCTAATGATGTGTTACTAAATAAAACCAATATTTAAAGGTAATTTCCTCACTGAAAAAGTACTGGACATGTGCTCTTCTTTTTACATTGGGTAAAAACACTGTTTGCAGAGCTGCCTGGGCTTTTGCCCCAAGCTTTACCACTAACTAACTTTACAAACTTAGGAAAGTTACTCAACTTCTGTGTGTCTCAATTCCCACTTCTATTATATTAAAAAGACTTGTTCTGAGATCTTAGAAAGACAATGCATATGACATGTTTATAACAGTGCATGACACACAACAAATGATACATAACATTTATTAGTAGTGATGATGATGATGAAGATGATGGTATCATTCATTTATTCAAGAACTATATATTGGTTGCCTATGTGTAAATCACAGCCCAGATTTTCCAGGATAAATCTTATTACATGTAATGTTACATAATTTCATATGAATAAATTTACAAAAGCTTTTGTCCATTTGTTTTTGCCAGATCATGAGACACCATTTAATAGATTTAGGACTATGAACTTCGGGGCCAAAATGGTCAATTTATAAATTTTGGAGTTAGCTTTGGCCAATATACTTGCTTTGCAACCTTGGACAAGATACTTAATATCACTAACCTCTTAACAGTTTCCTCATCTGGAAAATGGAGCTAAAAATGATACATAGTTCAGAGCATTATTTGTTGATTAAATAAAATGACTCATAATATTCCTGGAAAAAACTCACTTAAAATGTTTTGCAGTTAATAAGGCTTATGGACATATAAGTATAATGATCTTTCCGTGACAAATCTTGAAAATACAATGCCTCAGTTTAAAGGATTCAATACCTAATTCTAATGTGGGGAAATGGAATTGGACTAGACCAATAGAATTGATCAGAATAGAATTGATCTGGGTTAAAGTAGAGTTCTGATATTAATAGACTCTAGACTTTTGAAATGTCACTCTGTTTTTATTGTCTTCAACAGCTCACTTGCATAATAATGAGAGCAAACTGAGTGACTTGGAAGGACTTCCCCAGTTTAACATTTTGTAATGACATGGCTTAATGGGAGAATTAAGATACGATGCACAATCTAATGAGGATATTACACAATCAACTTTCCTTGTCTTATGTATTTATTTTCAGCATTCAAAATCTTATTCTAAAGTTGTACCCAGATTTTGAATGACTTGTTTCTCCAGTTTGGGACTTCGTTTTGCAAAGACAGCAAAAGGAATGGCAATGACATTCAAAAGGAGAATTATAAACATATTATCATATAGTTAATTGAAGCCTAATAATATACAACAAAACCACAAATTACGTATAATGGCATTCTGATTATACGTAAATTTCTTCTCACTAGAGAACTGGTAAAATTCCTGAATGCAAAATGGATAATAAAATACACCTGTTTAGGTTTGAAAAACTAACAAAATCCTTTTCTGGGAGTTTCAGTTTCAGCATGGTGGAGCCTAAGCACAAAATGGCCCTTATATCCCATTGATTACAACTAGAAACTCATGGATAAGAAACAAAAAACAACTATACAGGTTGCTTCTTAAGGGGACTCACATCTTGTAGAAATAAACCATATGTAGGCGAGTTTCACCTTTTTTTTTTCGCCTGAGGGAAAGCCCCATTTGCAGCAAAGCAGTCTTTGCGGTGCAGGCAGTTAAGCTCCAAAAGAGATCATTTTCTTGCCAGAGGAACCAGGAAAATAGGTAGCTGTGGGCTGGAGAGTCTGAGAGCAAATCTTGGAGGGGAGAAATCCAGAAGAGTTCCCTTATTTCTGTGTCTGAACCCATAGAAATCTCAGGTTCTATATACACATACAGCAGACCCAAACCACAGCAAATATTTTAAAACTGAACTGAAATTTGAACACAGCCCTAAGATGATGAGCAGAGTTTGCAGTCTGACCCTCATTGAGCTGATTTTCTACTAAAACGTAACACCTCAACATCCTCTAGAGGAATCAGAGTCTAAGCAACAGAACGTACACAAGGTCTGGGATATGCTCCCAAATTCCCAACATGAGAAAACCAGGAAAATGTGATCAGTTTTCAAGGGACCAGGCAACTAGCAGATACCAACTCTGACATGACCAAGGTGTTAGAATTGTTAGATAAAGGCTTTAAAGCAGCTATTATAACATGCTTTCTAAGTTGAAGAGAATACACTTGACATGAATGGAAAGAGGAATTCTCATCAGAGAAACATAAACTATATATAAAAAAGAACCAAGTGATAAATTTCAACCCCAAAATGGAATCTCTAACATGAAAAAAGTCATTGAATGGGATCATCAACAAAATCGAGATACAAAGGAAAAACTCAGTCAATTTGAAGATAGACAATGGAAATTGTCCAATGTGAAGAACAGAGAGAGAAATGAAATGAGGGATGGGGGAGAAAACAACTGCAGGAATTTGCGAGACGATATTAAAAAATTCAAATATACACATCACTGGAGTGCTGGAAGTAAAAGAAAAAGTTTGGAACAGAAAAAAGTATGAAGAAATCATGGCTCTAAACTCCCCAATTTTGGGGAAAGACATCAATTTAGAGATTCAAAGAGTTCAGTTAATCTCAAGCAGGATAAGCTCATTGAAAATCATGCTTGTAAATATCTTCGTCAAATTGTTGTAAACCTAAGATACATATGTACCTTGAAAGTGGCTAGAGAGAAAGACATATTATGGACAGTGTAGCAATGACCTAATTGGCCATGGACCTCTTATCAGCTAATGTGGAGGTGAGAAAACAGTAAAATGACATCTTTAAAGCACTGAAAGAAAAAAAAGTGAAATCGGAGTACAATATATAGTGAAAATATTCTTCAGAAATGAAGGTGAAATGAAGACATTTCAGATGTAGAGAAACTAAAATAATTTCCCACCATCAGCCTTGTTCTACAAATATTCAAGGGAGGGTCTACAGGCTGAAGGGAAATTATATCCAAGGGTAAGTTGTTTCTTCAGAAATAAAGGCACAGCAACATAAATGGTAAAAATATGGGTAAATATAATAGAGTGTATTATCCTCTTAAGTTCCTTAAAATATGTGTAATTATAGAAAGCAAAAAATAAAATTATTGAATGGGGTAATATATGTATGTATATATAAGTAATGTATAAACTATGTACATATGTATAGTGTAAGTACATATACGATAAATGCAATATAAATGTCTACATTTGAATGAGGTAGTACAATATAGATAGACTTAATAGGTTAGATATGTATATTTTAATCACTAGAACAACCATTAAGAAAAAAGAAAATCCAAAGGAATATAGCCAAGTAGTGAAAACTTAAATTAGAACGTTAAAAAATACTCTGGCATGCCAAAGAAAGGAAGAAAAAAGGAAACAGAATACACAGGAGAAAAACAGAAAACAAACAATAAAATAGTAGAACTAAATCAAACAATATTAATAATTACATTAAATGTCAAATGTCCAAAAACTACAATTAAGAAGCATAAATTAACAGAGTGGATACTCAAGCAAGACTCTATTTTATGTTTCCTATTAGAGACAATATAAAAACACAGATAAGTTGAAAGTGAATGAAAGGAAAAAAATAATACCACACAAACAGTAAGCAATAAAAGGCTGGACTGACTGTTTTGATATCTGATAAGTATACTTCAATATAGAAAGTAGTACTGCTTATACAAAGGATTTTTTTCATAATGATAAAAGAGAAATAACAATTATAAATGTGTAAGTGCCTAATAGCAGATACTCAAGATACATGAAGCAACAATCGACTGAATTAAATAGAAATAGACAAGTCCACAATTATAGCAGAAATTTTTATAACTACCTCTCAGTAATTGATAACACACTAAACAAAAAATTTAGCAAAGACACAGACCAGAATAACATTATTAACCATCTTCATTGAACTGACATTTATAAATGACAAAAAGAGCATATACTGTGTGCTCCCACTTATAAAAAATTCTAGAAAATATAAAATAAGTATAAAAAGAAGATCGGCCAGGTGCAGTGGCTCACGCCTGTAATACCAGCACTTTGGGAGGCCAAGGCAGGTGGATCACCTGAGGTCAGGAGTTCGAGACCACCCTGACTAACATGGTGAAACCTCATCTCTACTAAAAATACAAAAATTAGCCAGGCGTGGTGCCGGATGCCTTTAGTCCCAACTACTCAGGAGGCTGAGGCAGGAGAATGGCGTGAACCCAGGAGGTGGAGCTTGCAGTGAGCTGAGATCGCGCCACTGCACTCCAGCCTGGGCAACAGAGCGAGACTCTGTCTCAAACCAAAAAAAAAAGATCAGTGGTTGCCTGGGGAATAATAGGTTGCAAATGAGCATGAAGGATCCTTGGAAAGTGATTAAATGTTTTTATCTTGATTGTGGTGATGTATTCATGGATATTTGTGCATGTAAAAACTCATCACATTGTTCAACATAAATATGTAAAGTTGATTGTGCTTCAATTACATCTCAATAAAGTCATCAAAAAAAAACCTTATCCGGCCAGATGCGGTGGCTCACGCCTGTGATCCCAGCACTTTGGGAGGCCGAGGTGGGTGGATCAATTGAGGTTGGGAGTTTGCAACCAGCCTGACCAACATGGAGAAACCCCATCTCTACTAAAAAAAAAAAAACTACAAAAAATTAGCCGGTCCTGGTGGTGCATGCCTGTAATCCCAGCTACTCGGGAGGCTGAGGCAGGAGAATCACTTGAACCCAGGAGGCAGAGGTTATGGTGAGCCCATTGCACTCCAGCCTGGGAAACAAGAGCGAAACTCTGTCTAAAAAAAAAAAAAAACCTTATCCTAAGTAGAAGTTCATGGCCTTCATCAGACTGCTAAAGAAATCCATGGCACAAAAAAGAGGTTGATTAATCTTGGATTGGGTGGTAAATTTTTTATAACTACCAATGTTCCAGCTTTACACAATGAAATTTATAGCTACATCAGAAGCTGGGCCATATTTTAATTAATCCATTCATTTATTCAACATTTATTGAGCAACTGCTACATGCCAGACAATGTGAATAATGCCCACTAGAATAATTTATACTTAACATCCCTTTCAATGTTTATATTATTTCATTTTTAAACTATGTTTTGGGGTGGCTATACATCCCCTTTTTATCTTAAGTGACATCACACAGGCAACTTCATATGCTCTTTGCTTTTAAGGATTGTCCTTAGGGAGAATTTTTGTCATTTACATACCAAAGAACTCATCATCAGAGAAACTTAGTATTCTGGGATTGCCGCAGTGAAGACATGACCATCCTGGAACTTGTTCTGGGGCCAGCCCAGAAGAAACTAGAATGGCCTGTAAAGCTTGGCTCCTCTGGTTTTACACTGGGGGCAGGACTAACTCAATGCAGTAGGCATGGATAAGTGTACTTGGAGGCCCAAATTGCTCCCTTAAGATGGCAAGTTGCTTTGGATCCCAAGTCATTTGCCAGAGGCTGCCATTCTAGCATTTCTCAGAATACTTTTGTTTGGTTGTAAAAATGCAAAAATATTAGGTATATCTCCTAATGCTATCCCTCCCCTCTCCCCCCACCCCGCAACAGGCCCCAGTGTGTGATGTTCCCCTTCCTGTGTCCCTGTGTTCTCATTGTTCAATTCCCACCTATGAGTGAGAACATGCGGTGTTTGGTTTTTTGTCCTTGCGATAGTTTGCTGAGAATGATGGTTTCCAGACGAGTTAATGGGTGCAGCACACCAACATGGCACATGTATACACATGTAACTAACCTGCACGTTGTGCACATGTACCCTAAAACTTGAAGTATAATTTAAAAAAAATCCAACATTGAAAAATAAATAAATAAATAAATAAATAAATAAATAAATAAAAATGCAAACATATCTGCTTTTCAGAGGATATGATATTTAGAACTATGAAGATTTGGTGAACCTCCAAACAAATTAGTTTATCTTTGATATCCTCTCTTTCTTTCAGAGTTCCTCTACCCAGTAGACTTCCTATGGACACAGTAAAGTTACTGATTTCCGGTTTTAGTTCAGTGTTTTTTATCTCCAGAAAAATCCTCAATCATAATAGCCACAGTGGCACATCCTATGTAGCTGGCAACCACTGTTCTAAGTACTTTGTACATATCTACATATTTAACCCCACAACAATGATCAGGTGCTATTATTTTCTTCATCAATAGAGATGAGGAAATTGAAGCTCAGAGAGGTTAGGTAGATGATCAAAGCCACACAGCTGATAGTTATTGGAACTGAACTTTGGACTCAGTAATCCAGCTCCAGAGTCCATGCTAGGCTGCACTACCTTAACCCCACAGGCTAGTACCCTGTTGTTTCTGTTTTCAGTAGTGTAAGAAGCAAAGAGAAGAGAGAAAATGTTGGGGAAAGGTTTTTGTAGAGCCTGTCACATCACACCTGGGAGTCATCCATCTTTATCCACACGTAAAGCCAGCAAGAGTATAATGACCCACACATTCATGAGCTCTTCTCTATATTTGAAATACTACAGAATAGCAACAGAATCCCTTTAGCCCATTGACTGATAAGAGGCATGCCAATCCACTTCTTAAAACACAGTTACAAAAGCCAGAGGATGTACATACCATGCCCATCACCCCTACTCTACATTCACTGAATAGCCCAGTGATGCCAACTCTATGAAATAATGGCTTCCAAGTAGTCAGTTGTAAACAGAAACATGAAAATATTACAACAGATGCTGAAGTCTACACATTAGGAGTCAGTCTATGTGTCTGAATAATATTTACTTCAAGTTAATTTAGGCAACTGGTATATTTTTGACCGTAGTTATAATAAATTTTACTATGGAAAACATATATTTCAAACTTCCTAGAATTCACTATTTACTAAGCATGACTGGTGGGGCATGAAGTGGAAATGTAGAGATTGAAGTAGGAGTTAGAACAGTGCTAACCCTATCTCCATCATGTCAAAATGTATTTTTACACACACACACACACACACACACACACGCGCGCGCGCGCGCTAAAACAAAACCATTCAGTATTTTTACCTAGGTTATCAAGTGAATCAACTGACAGTAGAAATTTTCAGTTCAAAAACAAAAGCCACAGTACCAAATCCTAGGGTCATTATTCTAGTTCCCATGTAAGTTTACTTGCCTACCGTTCCCATTTAAATCTTAAAAATTTTATAGAGAAATGTGTATCAATTATATATCCCATTGTGAACAAAATTCTCTCTAGAATAATAATGCACACATACTTATTTATCTAAACTGCACCCTTTTGTTTAATATAAACTCTTGATAGGGTAAACCAAACAACAAAAAAAAGGACAGATCTCAACTTAAGAATGTAACAGTTGGTGTGAGCAGAAGAATGGGGGCAATTATCAGGGAAAAGGGGAAAAATGTGAACTCTGATAAGGGATTGAGTTGGAAAGGCGGGCAGTTACAGATAGGACCAGAAGTTTTGAACTTGGAAGGTAGGCAGGAAGGAATGAGTGAAATTTCATACAGCAGGAAGCGCTGTTTATGGCAGTGAGTACCCAGAGGAAGAGACACGCCCACGGAGCCCAGGTGAGCACAGTTAGAGCCTTTGTACCAAGGAAGCGGAAATGAGCGGGGGTAGGAGTGGATAGGCCAGGGTTATAAGTGATTCCTACCACTCCTAAATGTGCAAGTAGAATAAGATAGTGAAAGAAGACAAAGGCTGATTCAGTTATACATATGGTTGTACAGAAACACACACACACACATATATGCTTGTTATACATCTGTATACACATTAACAAGTAAATGATAGCATCATAAAGGTTTTCATTTATGCAATACTTGCTTCATCCTAGTGGGATACTCCACTGAGGAGAATTTTATACATGTCAGATGTGCCAAAGGGTGATTCTTCCATAAGTCAGACACTCATTTTCCAACCAGGCAAAGCACAATTTTGACACCCGCATGGGGTGTGCTCTGACCCTCTCCCCAAGCACCCTCCCTGCTTTCACAGCTAAGGGGAGGAGAGGAGTTATTTTCTCTGGTTTCTGGGAGAAGGAGGGCTAACACAGCAGCAGCAATTTCCCATTTCATTTTCTGCACCATTCTGAATGTTCTACTTCATATTTTCCACTTATATCCCCTCTACAATTTGTAAATGGGGATTGTATTAATATTCCTATAATAGTACACTTTTTATATATACAGTTGTAAGGAAATAGATTTTAGAAAGCTTAGCTTAAAATAGCTATCTTTTGAAGACTCAAAACTGCCAGCGACACAGATTCAAGTTGGATCATGTTTTAAGGGAACTCCATTTCCTGTAAAAGTTTGGAATTCTCTCATAATATGGGATGTAAAAGAGTTCAGTTTGTTTAAAAACTGTACACAAGTTTTCTCCATATCTTGTTTTCATTTGTGTATCAGTTGTAAATAAAAATTGTTGTTTGACAAAATGTAAGCTATTTTAAGAAAAAAAATTGTTTTAGTTTGGCTCTCCTCCCTTCTCTATCCTTGAAGTAAGCCCAACTCTCCCAATTATAGAGCCTTCCATTGGCATCATGATCACCCTGTTGGCAAGTGCTTCCCCATATGAAGGCTTTCCCTACACGGGATATATATAAAGGAGTATACAATTACTCTAACATTCAAATGACATGCAATTTATATTAAGAATTATTATTTTTATAATATAGATGTGGTTCAGGTAAGAATCAAATTAAACCAAAGCTTGTCAAAACTTGAAAGAGCTTCACCTGAGAAGTGGGCTGTGCTATTTAATTAAGGTGCCGATATGGTACATAGAAAACAGTATGGCTGAGAGTTCAAAGGACCTATTTGTGCAATTACCCAATCATAGGATACTGATCCAATGACCTTACTGTTGTGTGTCTCCACCTGCATCTCTATATAAAAGAAAGTAATTTAACCAGATGTTTTTCAGTGCCCAGTCTAGCTCTACATTTCTATGATACTGGGCATGAAAAAAAATTTGTAAAGTAATTTAACCCATCTAACCCTTAGTATCAGAGAAAATAGAGCATTTCTAATGGTGAAATATCTTTAGCATAGACAAGTATTATTCAGAGATTTTATAAAATGCTCCCTCTTTCTAAAAAACGTGATGTAGGATTCTGTTTCAGAGTGTGAATTATAGTCCTGTTTGAATTCAAGGAATAAATTAGAATAGCTTCTAGAATTTCAGAAACCAGTACAATTTCCAAAAATAAATAAATAAATAAAAGAACTAAGGGCTACTTTATTTTTCAGTAAAAGATATTAAAAAGAAAATAAAACCATCAATAAACACTATTATGACTAAAATTTCTTTGAAGAAAGAACATTTAGTATAAAAATTAAGAAGCACATGTTCATAGGATAAAGAATATAATTTATGTTGCATACTTTATTAAAAGCTCATTCATTTTCCTAATTTATTTCATTTGTCCATTAACGGGGAAGACATTATCTCGGACTAGCATAGATCAGAGAATTGGCTTTTGAAAAACTGGTAGATTAGATGACCTCTCACTTTCTGTCTCTTAATCCCATCTTTCCCTTAAATCGGTTTAATTATCCTGCAAAAATAGAACCACAGCAGTGGCTTATGCAATTTCTTCTTAATGGGGCATTTTCTCCATCCCTTAGTTTAACTTTATTGTATTTGACTGAACATTGTCATTGACTTTCTATAAAGTTAATCATTTAGATATCTTTGGTTAAGTACATCTCAGGATTCATAATCAAAATACTGGCCATGGATGGCAGAACTATTTGTTGCTTGTGTTTCTTTTTGCTACGGATACTTAAGTACAACCTTTTCTTTTCAGCTGTGGCTGGCACTGCTGTGCCGGTGTCCCATAGCATTCAGAATAGAGTATTTGGATAACAAGTACAAGCCACTTTTGCCCTTGTTCTTTCACTTCTCTAAAGCTTCAGAAGGAAAAAAGGCAGAATACAAAAAATAAAAGTCTTCTTGCCTCATTTGTGTGTTTGATTTGGAATCCCATTATAGTTGTATAATGGCCACCACCACCTTCTGTGAATGACCTTTGGAGACAATGACTATAGTTAGGATTTTCTTGAAGTTGAACCCCCAATTATCTGTTGCTGACAAGGCCTTATCACATGGTGGCCAAGTTTGTGAGGCTCGTCTTTCAAAGGAGACCTGTCTCTATGAAAGAATCTGAGACCAGATACACACAGTTGACTACAAGCTATTTATAGGTTTCTTAGCAGACATGTATGCAATGTGCCAGCTCTTTAGGGCCAAAACACCAACATTAAAAGGAATTATTAAGTGGGTTTCATTGTGCACCAAGAGGATACCCGATTATATAAGAAAAGACACAAAGTCACATCACATGCAAGACCTAAATGACTTTAAACAGAGATTCATTTCTTGCTCACAGAAAGTTCAATCTACAGCTGGAGTGGGAGACAGAGGGATCCAGACTGACCAAACCATCATCTTCAACACGTGGCTCTGGGGGTTATCCTGGGATCCTGGGAGACAACATCCAGCTGACACTAAGTAAGAGACCACAGGATTGCACAGGTGGTTTTTTGTTTTTTGTTGTTGTTGTTTTTTAACATGACTGAGGCATACAAGTGGTAAACATCAATTCTGCCCATATTTTATTGACCAGAATTTAGTCATGAGGCCTTACCTAGATGCAAGGAAGTTGGGAATGGACACACAGGCTCCAGGAAGCCGCCACTTCCGAGCCACAGCCAACCCACAAGGAAGAGAAGATCTCCAGGGCAGCCTGCCATCTTTACCACAGGGAATTTGCAGAAACTCTTGCCAGATGCAAAAATTAAAGCTGGGAAAAAACCAATGAAGAAATTTGCCAAAACATTTGAAACATGAAATTGTGCATACTTATTGACTAATATAAAAACAAGTTCGAGAAAAACAACTTAAGGGTCCAAAATATTATATAAATGGTAACACTCATTGACCAGATTTTCTAATTCCCTCAAGCATTTATTGACTGCTCACATTTACAAGAAAATTCAGTGAAAATATAAAATACCATCCGTCCAATTTTTCTAGGCTCATATCCCTTAAGTGTATATTCCTTTTATGCCCAATTGTCCAGTCCTCCATGTCTCCTTGTGCTTATTAAGTCCCAAAATTTTCCTGAATTGGTAAGGCTCCAGAAACCTCTGTACTTATCCCCGTGCGGAAGATCCCTGACTCACGATGGTTCCACTTATCATTTTCAACTTGAGGATGGTGCAAAGTGATACACATTCAGTAAAAACTGTACTTTGAGTGCCCATAAAACCATTCTGTTTTTCACTTTTAGTATAGTGTTCAATAAATTACATGCACTATTCAACACTTTATTATAAAACAGGCTTTGTGTTAGACAACTTTACACAGTAAGTGTTCTGAGCACATTTAAGGTAGGCTAAGCTAAGATGTGATGTTCTGTGGGTTAGGTATATTACATGCATTTTGACTTACGATATTTTTAACTTAGGATGGGTTTGTTGGGGTGTTACTTCACCTTTTTTTTTTTTTTTTTTTTTGAGACAGAGTCTCACTCTGTCACCCAGGCTGGAGTGCAGTGGCACGATCTTGGCTCACTGCAACCTCCACCTCCCAGGTTCAAGTGATTCTTTTGCCTCAGCCTCCCAAGTAGCTGGGACTACAGGTGCCTGCCACCACGCCAGGCTAATTTTTTTATTTTTAGTAGAGATGGGGTTTTACCATATTGGCCAGGCTAGTCTTGAACTCCTGACCTCAGGTGATCTGCCCACCTTGGCCTCCCAAAGTACTGGGATTACAGGTGTGAGCCACAGTGCTGGGCCATTACTTCATCTTAAGGTGAGGAGCATCCGGCTAACCCTGCACATATATCCCTACACATAGGTGCCCTATGTCCTATGTCCAAAGGCAGGGGCTACACCTCTCCCTATTCTAGGCCCTCAATCATGCAAAGGTGCATTGATCCTGTGTGGTCCTTCCATGTCCTCACTCCTCTTAACATTCTCAGTCAGATCCTCCATTCACACTCAGAGTAAGTTTCTGCTAACAGGTAAAGGAGTTACATTTTTTCAGGTAAATCTTAATTATAATTGAATTTAAAGCCCTTTAGCGTAAGACTCGGAACTAACCCAGACACAACTGCAAAGTGTTTTTGTGCTGGAGATTGAAGAATGACTCAGAATTTACCACCTAGAGGGCTGGACTTTGGTCACCTTGACCTTGATGATGACAGTGCATGGAGCTTGTTATTTTAATTTTAAATTTGATATTAAGTTGATTATGTTGTATTTATAATCCTGCATTCTATTATTTGGAAGAGAACAACTACATACCTAACACTACATGCTAACACTCACTGACCAGATACCTGAGTTTGCCCTGCTGTGGCTGAGGTGGATGAGGTTTTCTAAATATAAAAATCATGTCGTCTGCAAACAGAGACAATTTGACTTTCTCCCTTCCTATTTGAGTATGCTTCTTTCTTTCTCTTGCCTGATTGCCCTGGCGGGCGGATCACGAGGTCAGGAGATCGAGACCGTCCTGGCTAACACAGTGAAACCCCATCTCTACTAAAAATACAAAAAATATTAGCCAGGTGTGGTGGTGGGCACCTGTAGTAGTCCCAGCTACTTGGGAGGCTGAGGCAGGAGAATGGTGTGAACCCAGTAGGCGGAGCTTGCAGTGAGCCAAGATGGCGCCACTGCAGTCCCGCCTGGGCGAAAGAACAAGACTACGTCTCAAAAAAAAAAAAAAAAAAAGAAAGAAAGAAACTCACTCAAAACCACACAAAACCACACAATTACGTGGAAATTGAACAACCTGCTCCTGAATGATTCCTGGGTAAATAATGAAATTAAGACAGAAATCAAGAAGTTCTTTGAAACCAATGAGAACAAAGAGACAACATACCAGAATCTCTGGGACATGGCTAAAGCAGTGCTAAGAGGGAAATTTATAGCACTAAATGCTCACATCAGAAAGCTAGAAAGGTCTCAAATCGACACCCTAACATCACAATTAAAAGAGCTAAAGAGGCAAGAGCAAACTAATCCAAAAGCTAGCAGAAGACAAGAAATAACTAATATCAGAGCAGAATTGAGGGAGATAGAGACATGAAAAACCCTCCAAAAAAATCAATGAATCCAGGAGCTGATTTTTTTGAAAAAATTAACAAAATAGATACACCACTACCTAGACTAATAAAGAATATGAGAGAGAAGAATCAAATAGACACAACAAAAATGACAAAAATGACACTGACCCCACAGAAACACAAACTAGTATCAGAGAATACTATAATACATCTACCCAAATAAACTAGAAAATCTAGAAGAAATGGATAAATTCCTGGACACATACACCCTCCCAAGACTAAACCAG
Source organism: Homo sapiens (assembly GCF_000001405.40). Classification (NCBI taxonomy): domain Eukaryota; kingdom Metazoa; phylum Chordata; class Mammalia; order Primates; family Hominidae; genus Homo; species Homo sapiens. The sequence continues at coordinate 220,751,057 of NC_000002.12, read as the reverse complement.
GAAGAGGTTGAATTCCTAATAGACCAAAAACAAGTTCCAAAATTGAGGCAGTAATTAATAGCCTACCAACCAACAAAAAACCGAGGACCAGACAGATTCACAGTTAAATTCTACCAGAAATACAAAGAGGAGCTGAAACCATTCCTTCTGAAACTGTTCCAAACAATTGAAAAGGAGGGACTCCTCCATAACTAATTTCATGAAGCCAGCATCATCCTGATACCAAAACCTGGCAGAGACAAAACAAAAAAAGAAAATTTTAGGCCAATATCCCTGATGAACATAGGTGTAAAAATCCTCAATAAAATCCTGGCAAACTGAATCCAGCAGCACATCAAAAAACTTATCCACCACGATCAAGTTGACTTCATCCTTGGGATGCAAGGCTGGTCCAACATATGCAAATCAATAAATGTAATACATCACATAAACAGAACCAAAGACAAAAACCACATGATTATCTCAATAGAAGCAGAAAAGGCCTTTGATAAAATTCAATGTCCCTTCATGTGAAAACTCTCAATAAACTAGATATTGATGGAACATATCTCAAAATAATAAGAGCTATTTGTGACAAACCCACAGCCAATATCATATTGAATGGGCAAAAACTGGAACCATTCCCTTTGAAAACTGGTACAAGTCAAGGATGCTCTCTCTCACCACTGTTATTCAACATAGTATTGGAAGTTCTGGCCAGGGCAATCAGGCGAGAGAAAGAAATAAAGCATACTCAAATAGGAAGAGGGAAAGTCAAATTGTCTCTGTTCGCAGACGACATGATTTTTATATTTAGAAAACCCCATCCACCTCAGCCACAGATCCTCCATTCACACGCAGAGTAACTTTCTGCTAACAGGTAAAGGAGTTACATTTTCTCAGGTAAGTCTTAATTATAGTTGAATTTAAAGCCCTTTAGCGTAAGACTCGGAACTAACCCAGACACAATTGCAAAGTGTTTTTGTCCTGGAGATTGAAGAATGACTCAGAATTTACCACCTAGAGGGCCGGACTTTTGTCAATTCGTCCATCTGATCCTCCATCCAGTTCTGCATCCTTACTGGAGAGACGCTGCAATCATTTGGAGGAGAAGAGTCACACTGGCTTTTTGGATTTTCAGTTTTTTGTTTTTTGTTTTTGCTGATTCTTTCTCATCTTTGTGAGTTTAACTAGTTTTGATCTTTGAGGCTGCTGATCCTTGGAGGGCTATTCTGTGGGTACTTTTTGTTGTTGTTGATGCTGTTGTTGCTTTCTGTTTGTTTGTTTTTCTTTCAATGGTCAGGTCCCTCTTCTGTAGGGCTCCTGCAGTTTTCCAGGGGTTCACTTCAGGTCCTATTCATCTGGTTCGCCCCCTCACTTGGAGATGTCACTCAAGGAAGCTGGAGAACAGCAAAGGTGGATGCCTGCTCCTTCTTCTGGGATCTCGGACCTCGACGGGCACCAATCTGATGCCTGTAGGATTGCTCCCCTGCCCTGTTCTGTTCTGTCCTTGAGCCTCTGGTTGGAGCTATTGGAGTTCCTGCAGGGAAGCCCCAACCAATGAGGAAGGATGGGTCAGGGTCAGGCCTGAAGAGGTGCCCTGGCTGCAGCCTGCCACAGCCAGTGTGTTGCACTTTAGGGGACACATCTTGAGACTAAGCCCTCCAGCCTCCCTGGCTTTAGCAGGGGAAAGTGCAGCCAGGAGCTGTAGAGATGGATGCTGTCCTTCCCCTGCCCAGGGGGCTTAGCATGTTAGTTGCCAGACCCAGTGCTGGCTGCTGCTCCTCCCCCAAGGAGTTCAAAGGGCTTAGACAGCATACAGCCGCAGCATTGGTGCCGGTTTCCCCTTCCGCTGGGAGTTCAGTAGGCTCCAGCTGAGAGGCTGTTGAGAATCTGCACAGCTCCAGGGTTGGGATGCTAGGCCCTGGTGGCGTGGGTTCGCAAGTGGAATCTGATCCATGAGTTGCACAATTCCGTGGTAACAGCACGGTTTCCTTGGCTGGGTAGCATGCTCACTCGCTGCCTTCCTTGGCTCGGGAGAGGGGGCTCCCCTGCCCGTGTGGCTCTCAGACAGGCTTCCGCACCACACTGTTCTTCCTCTCTATGGATCGCACCAGCCTTCTAGTCAGTTCTGATGAGAGAACCTGGATACCTTGCTTGCCAGGGAGGGATTCACATGCTTATTATGGTACTTTTTTGAGAAAATTTAAACTTTATCAATTTTGTCTCTTTAATATGAAAATTGGGAAAAAATTATAAAAGTTAAAGCTTCTCTAGGGCTGAGGTTGTTATTTGTCATTCAATCTGTCTATCTGCAAATACAATGCATGATCATCCTGGGTATTCTGCAAATGTTTACTCATTGAAAAAATAAATTCCATCTTATATCCCTTCCTCCTTCTTCATACAAATATATTGATGTAATAGTTGCTTATTAAATATTTCATTGACTTTTTAATGAACCTCTTATATGTCTTGTTTCTTCTGTACTCCCAGTCTCTTACTGTTTGCAGCAACTCAGCATTTCAGAGAGTAATCAATAGTGATGGAATTTGAACCACCATGATAAGCAGAATAGGAAACATTTTATTTGAGTATCTACATTTTATATTATAAGCATCCTCTCCAGTCTATTTGTGCAGCCAACTCTGCAAACACGCCTAACGTGATTTAATATAATCAAGATTCAGGACTGCCTTTATCCTGAGAGCAACATAGCTGTGGGTCTCCGATGACTCCTATTTAAGAACTCTTGAACTAAGCTGCCTTTTTCTGTATCAGGGTATTTGGATCACCGTCCTGAGTCCATCTTATGCTCACCTCCATGTCCAGCTGTCTTCTCAGTATCCTTATCTCTTCTGACATCTCTGATGCAAAGGGAGAAGTCCTCCCTACTTGCAGTGCTTTCTAGCTTTCTGTTTCTTTGTGTTTATAATCACTATGAAACTCTAATATGCCACAGTATATTTCTGGTATTTTGAGGTCAAATTGAAGAGTAAGAGTTAATGCAAAATGTTAATTAGATGACCTTTCAGAAGGCTTGATGGGATGTACAATACATTCTCCATTGTTTTTGCTTTAGTTGAAGATCAGTCAATTTTTTGTTTAGTAACCTGAACAGGCATGAAACTTCATTTTTGCCACGTCATGATTTTTTAGTCATTAGCTATGGTCTGATTATTGGACTTACTTGACATTATGCCTTGTCTTGAGATTTTCATTGATTTTTTTTTCAAAGAAACCAGAAGCTCTTTCCATATTTTCTTTACAGTAGGCCTGAAGTATAAGAGCACACTTTTGAGAAATATCAATATTCATAAAGGTGCTGATAGAACATCTCTATCTCATTTTTTATTGTTATAGACAAAAAAAGGAAGCCAAAGTAATAGACCAATATTGAATTTAGAGAGATTTGTGGTATTTTAAAAAACCAAGCTGATGATTAAATAAGAAATAGTGTTGACCTGAGAAGAAAAATTCACTAGTGGGTAACCTTAAAGTAGATTATTTTAAAAATGCATATAAGCATTACTCTTCACATAAAAATATGCCACAATAAAATACGATGAAGCTCCCACCATTACACTGATCACATAGGACAAGATGATTACTATACTTCTGGAAAGTGGTTGAGCCCAAGGAAAATGTACAGTTTTTAGACATTATATCAAATTATAATGAACACTAAATTGGTCCCTAAAGAAGAACAGAGATTATAAGAAGTATGCATAGATAGGAGGGAACAGAGCTCAATGCTTGGCCTTGGCAAATGTTGGGGGTTTGGGGACTGACTTTGAGTTTCAGACCCAAGGAATCACCTGAAAGGAGCTGTTCTGTTTCCATCAGACTGTTTTCCTGGGTCACTGCAAAGCCCTTAGCTCCCGTAGCTGCTGGGTGGAGGTTGAAGGAACTCTAGGAAATCTGACGGGCTAGATTCTGTGGAGGGCTGCCCTCACTATTGACTTTTCCTGGATGGTTCTGACCAGTCTTGCCAATCGATGCACTAGTCCAGTTTTGAAGTTGGAGAGAGAAAACTCTCATTTTTTTGTAATAACTTGTTTCTCCACTTTCTTAATATCATTCTACAAATAATTTCTAAAACATATTATTTTCTAAGCACTTTTAACAAAATGTCATTATTTCTACCTTAAAATGTATAGCATTTTCCTATATCTTTTCTTGTGACCCATCTTTTCTTGTGACCCATCCTCCTGGCTTCTATCTTTACTGGATTTGCAATCTCTAATGGGATCTTGCCTAGAATGTCAGGTATAGATCAATGACAGCTACCCAAGAAATACGATGGCTGATGGTTCACAAGACCTTTTGGCTGGAAAGAAAATTTTCACAGATGGTACCACACACACATACATCCCCCTCTCCACAGGCACTAGTACTTCTTAATATGTCAGCTAATGTATTTATTAGAATAAAAATATAAATATATCATCTGTCTTATCACTATTCCTCTTTGTCCCTTAATTTCTGCCACTTTTATTAGCCCCTCCAAATATGGATATACTAATATATATGAAATACATATTATGGATATAATGCAAATAATAATATATATGAAATACATAATACCATATATATTAGTATATTCATTATATGTGAAATACATAACTTCACATGAAATATGAAATAATTATATATATAGTATGTGAAATGTAAAGGAGTTACATTTTCTCAGATATATCTGTATTGGTATCTATATATCTATATTTATATCAATATTAATATAATCCAGAGTCAATATTGTACAATGTTCTAAAAGCAAATGTACCACCTATCAGGCTTTTAGCGGATAAGTAGTGTTTCTTTCTTTTTTTTTTCTTTTTTTTTTTTTTTTTTTGAGACGGGGTTTCACTCTGTCACCCAGGCTGTACTGCAGTGGCACGATCTCAGCTCACAGCAGCCTCTGCCTCCTGGGTTTGAGTTCAAGCAATTCTCCCACCTTAGCCTCCCGAGTAGCTGGGGTTACAGGGGCATGCCACCACGCCTGACTAATTTTTGTATTTTTAGTAGAGACGGGGTTTCATCATGTTGGCCAGGCTGCTCTCGAACTTCTGACCTCAGGTGATCCACCCGCCTCGGCCTCCCAAAGTGTAGGATTGCAGGCATGAGCCACCGTAGTTGGCCAATGTTTCTTCACTCTGTTGAAGTTGCCAAATCCTTTGAGCACAAGCTCAGTGGCAATATTTGACAGTTTAGGATTTATGCATTCCCTAGACTGCACAACTTGGCAATGGAAGCAGCCAGTTGCGAAGAGCCACAAACTACTTACCTTTCTCTTGCGCAAAGTCTTAAAAGTGAGCAGATCTTGTTTAGGCCAAATAAAAAGTTAATACAACTTTGAAAGCTACATTAATGGGAAGAGAAGAGGACAGACAGAAAAGAGGAGGTGGGGTAGAGAAAGAAAAAGGAAAAGAGGATATTGAGAGAGAAGTAAAGAATCACCATTCTGTCCTCAGAAGGGTGCACAATCATGCCTTTCTGAGCACAATTGGAGAGAATTGGGTAAGAAGGAACAACAAACAGAAAAATAATAGCCTGAAGAAAAAACCGACTTTTCAAATGTGTAACTTACCTAATGAAATGTAATACTTTCATCCTTTCTATTAAAAATCACAGATGTGTATACATCTGCCTGGAATAACATACGGGACTCGTTTAGTGAAACCATTTGTTCTCCTTCTGAAAAAGTCTATAGCAATTCCGTATTTCATCTGAAAGCCTAGCTGCCTATTGATTTCAAGAGTAGCTTCTAGGGAGGCCCTCTATGTGATTTGAGGACTGATGAGGAATCCATATGTCATGACAGTTCAGACAACAAAAAAAAAAAAAGGAAAAAGGCTGACTGTAATTCTTTCTCTACTATAATTGTCGGTGAGTTTACAGTTAGTATACTAGACTAAATGATATAATTTGTAAACATGGTGAGTAACGGTTGTGATCTCAGGCCCCAAGGCCAACACAGTTTGTATTACAAGCTGACATTTCCAAATCCTTTAGAATTTAGCCTTTGGTTGCCCCATAGGAGTAAAAAAACCATAAACCTTTTGGAATCCATTGATTGGCCACACTGAGATAAACACACAACTTTCTGAAACAGAAGAAACTGTTTATTTAAAGCCACTTTATTATTTCCACTAAAGAAAAATGGAAAACATTTAAAATATAGAGCATTTTAAAGGATTAAGTGGTGCTGATGTGTGTATGGACTTGCTAGCCCTGAATTGAAGTCTCAACTTTCAGATTCTTCTCCACCCACATAAAGTGGGGCATCTGGCAAGGTTCTACCCAAGTGGGGAACACATCCTTCTTTATACTGTGATTGCATGTTATGGGTGTGTAGTAAATTAAAGCTCAAGCACAACAAGGAAAACTAGCACCCAAAAGAGCATGGCTAGTGCAAATATGGGAAATAGGGTTTTGCTAAATCTGAAAAGTATATTGCAAAGAGAAGGAGCTTGACCTCTTCAGTATGCATAAGGATCACCTAACAGCTTGCTAAAATGTGGACTTCAAACTCAGTAGCTTCAAACTTCAGTAGGCTTTGGGTAGGGTCTAAGAATCCACAGTTTTTTGTAAGCATTGCTAGTAATGCTGCTGGTTAATGAATCACACTGAAAAATACTTGAAAAGACCATTTTGATATGCATCATTCAAAAACACACATATGGAAGTTTCTATGTAAAATTTCTTTCAATTATTTATTTATTTATTACCTATGATTAATCTACTTATGTGCAAATTAGTAGAAAAGATTTACTCAAATGATGAGAAATCTTTATTTTCTTAAAATACATTTCAAGATAGTTTACAATGTTCAGAAACTATTAGGTGAACCAAGAAAATAAAAATGAGTAAAACTATGAAAATTGTCACTATCAACTTAATAAAGATTGCCAACATGGCATGTAAAATTTCTTTCAATTATTTATTTATTTATTACCTATGATTAATCTACTTATGTGCAAATTAGTAGAAAAGATTTACTCAAATGATGAGAAATCTTTATTTTCTTAAAATACATTTCAAGATAGTTTACAATGTTCAGAAACTATTAGGTGAACCAAGAAAATAAAAATGAATAAAACTATGAAAATTGTCACTATTAACTTAATAAAGATTGCCAACATGGCATTTTTCCGGTAAAATAGTGAGCAATAGTTGCTTGAATATGGATTCTTTTTTGGCTCTGAATCAACATTTTAAATTGTTTTGCATGTGGAAAAATTTCATATGCTAAATTGCAAGTAAATAGGTCTATTTGTTTATTGGCTCATGTATATACATGAGCATGAGTGTCCTTAGATTTGTAGCTAATGCAGGACTAATGGTGATTACAATGTGTCTCTTAGAAATTAGAGGAGGAAGAAGAGAAGGAGAGGGAAGAGGCAGAGGAGAGGAAGGAGGAAAAGAAATCAAACTAACCTCCTCACACTCAATTTACTCTTATTTTGTGGTGTCCAGTCTCCAAGACGATACCCAGTGATCTCTGCCTCCTGGTGTTTATGCCATTGTGTAGTTCCTTCCCATGTTGTATCAGTGGTGGGTTTAGGTAACAAACAGAACATGGCAGAAGTGATGGTTTGATGCCTCTGAGTCAGGGTTATGAAAGACACTGTGGTTTCTGCCTTGCTTTTTCTGAGAGTTATGGGGGGAAGCCAGAGGCAGTGTCTTGAAGACACTTAGGTAGCCTTCCAGAAAGGCCCATGTGGCAAGGAGTTGAGACCTCTAGACAACTGTCACGTGAGTTAACCAGCCCCAGTCAACCCTTGAAATGACTGTAGCCCTGGCTGACATCTTCACTGCAACTCTAAGAGAACCATCCAGCCAGAAGCACCAGCAGCTCTCATTTCCCTGACCCTTAGAAACTGTGTGTTATAATAAATATTTCTTATTTTAACCTTAAGCTTTGAAGTAATTTCTTTATGAAACAATAGAAAAAATAATACAATTTTCATTTAAAGTTGCTATGTAAAATGTCTGTGATGGGGCTCTCAAACCATCTGCCATTTGACCTTGTGATGTTCTAGTGTTTAAAAAAAGGAAAAAGAGAAGGGAACTCACTTCATAAAATTTAGCATGTTTGTTCATTACCAACGGCTAATATATTTTGATACTCCAAGAAGAGAGAAAATTAATAAATAAATTTTCTTTTGTACCATATTGCATAGAAAGTGTCAACATACTCCTTTTAAGTAAGAATACTTAACATTATGTGAAATTAAAGGCAAAACCACAGTCTTTGATAGAATTTTGTCTTGTTAATCACAAATCTAACTCTGTAACAGTCTCAAAAATAATATAAATATTAATTGCTTGTAATTTCACACCCATTCTTAATCATATGATTTTGAGTGAGGGGAAAAGATCACAAACAACAGATACTTCATCACCCTTCAATCTTGGAATTATACTACAATTCCTCATTTTTAATAAGTTCACTTTAAGAAATAGCTAACATATTTTCTACATCATCTTAGACTCTAGTTTGAAATTAAAGAACAGATGATCCCCAACAAGAAAAGATTATAACATTTTGTTTAATCTTATAGCTTCGTGTTCCCAAATAGTCTTTTTGTGTGTGTGTGCCAGACAGTAGGTGCAGGACAGTGGGTGCAGCGCACCGTGCACGAGCCAAAGCAGGGCAAGGTATTGCCTCACCTGGGAAGCGCGAGGGGTCAGGGAATTCCCTTTCCTAGTCAAAGAAAGGGGTGACAGATGGCACCTGGAAAATCAGGTCACTCCCACGGTAATACTGCGCTTTTCTAACGGGCTTAAAAAACGGAACACCAAATAGTCTTACTAATATCTATAAATACATTTTTTATTTACAAAACATGTGGGGAAATTTGTTATGATCTTGATTATACTCAGTGAATCTTCAAAATTAGTTTGAAGTGTCACCAAATGTAACTCACATAAAAATATAGTTTTAATTTTGAACAAGTCATGTATTGCTGATGGATAGCCATAAAATGTATATTAAAATGTGGTGTAATGGTAATACCCTTTTTAAGAAGAAATTGAACCTCATCAAGGCAATTGAATCTATGAAGGTAACTTGTAACTAAAAATTAGGTGATTTAAAATATTGTAAAAACTAAGGTCAAATTTGGCAGACCTATGAGATGGGCAAAGGGTGCCCTACCTGCCCTTCCTTTCATGATACCTACACACCTGGAATTTTAGATTTCGAAAACCTTTCTCTTTAAAATATAATTTTCCTGTTCTCATAGGTTTTTATATTCTGCTACCAGACAACTATCTTAACAACTGAAGTAACTTAGACTGTTCTCATAAATACATTTAATGTGGATGCTACTTCCCTGACTCCTTCAAATTAAGGGTGTTTTGGGGAGCCAGATATCCTGAGGCCTTATTATTTGTAACATATATGCAGTTACTTATTTCATATGAATAAGCACAGGCCTACTAAAATGTTTTTCCAAATTATATATCTAAGTTGGAAACACCAATTAAATATTGATTGGCTGTTTTGATATTTTAGGCAAAACTGGGAGGACTATTTTTTTTTTTTTTTTTTTTTTGAGATGGAGTCTCCCTCTGTCACCCAGGTTGAAGTGTAATGGCACGATCTCGGCTCACTGCAACCTCTGCCTCCAGTGTTCAAGTGATTCTTCTGCCTCAGGCTCCCAAGTAGCTGGGATTAGAGGTGCTCGCCAACATGCCCGGCTACATTTTGTATTTTTAGTAAAGATGGGGTTTCGCCACATTAACCAGGCAGGTCTGGAACTCCTGACCTCAGGTTATCCACCTGCCTTGGCCTCTCAAAGTGCTGAGATTACAGGCATGAACCACCATGCCCAGCCCCCTGAAAAGACTATTTCTATAAGAATATTTAAAGGTTATCAATAGACATTTTATAATAGAGTTATTAACACCAGTTTCTATAGCATTAGAATACCAATGGCTTGGTAAATGTTCAAGGAAAACATCCGACGACGAAATCAAGAAAGCCAGTGTTTTCATATATAATTCATAAATATATATATATATATCAGACACATGTATATTATATTAAACAGATATGTGTGTGTGTATATATATATATAATTTCAATAGGTAGTAACAAATAATTTATTTAACATTACTAATTGAGTTATTAAATTACAGTCAATACTGAAATGAATAGTGTAGAAAATTTTAAGTCTTGTGAAATTTTAAGGGCAACACAATCAAACTGTTGAACCATTATTACATTATTTTATAAAATAATTTGGCCACGATGTAAACATAAACTCAGATGTTACAAATCATAACACTGCCGTTTTTAAAACTTCATAAAGGCTTTCCATCTTACTTGGAATAAAATCCACACTCCTTGCCATAGCTTACACAGACCCATATGATCTGGCCCGCCTCACCTCATGACCTTCTCTAGTAACACTCACTTCCCCTTCCAATACTCCAGCCACGTTTGTCTTATTTTCTGTCCCTAGAACACACCGTACATATTCCTCCTCAGAGCACTTTGGATTTGATGTTTTTAACAAGGTACCACTGCTGCCTTTATTTACTGGATTTGCAATCTCTAATAGGGTTTTCCTCAGAATTCCAGGTACTGATCAAGTAGTAGCAACTGAAAAAACAAAACAAAACAAAAATACTTTTTTAAGAGCAAACTTAATGATTCCAATATCTATTAGCAAAGAAGTAAACTTACAAGTTTTGAGTGGTGATCATGGCTTATTCTACTAGTGGATTCTGTCTGTCTCTCTCTCTCCTGCTCTCTCTCTTTCTCTGTTCTGCCAGCAGTAACCTGATAGAAAAACCAGACAATGACATTATAAGAATAGTACAGTATGGACTAAATATCCTAAAAAAAGATGCAAAAATTATTCACAAAAATTTGGCAAATTAAATTCAACATGATTAGTGGGGTTTATCCCTTGAATTCAAGGCTGGTTTAACATTTGAGAATAAGTATATGCAATTTACCATATTAAACTACATTTCAGGCTAGCTGTGGTAGCTCATGCCTGTAATCTCAGCACTTTGGGAGACTGAGGTGGGAAGATTGCTTGAGCCTAGGTGCTCAAGACCAGCCTAGAGAACAGAGCAAAAACCTACTCTACAAAAAATTTAAAAACTAGGGGGATATGGTGGCATGTCCCTATAGTCTCAGATACTCTAGAGGCTGAGGTGGGAGGATAGCTTGAGCCCAAGAGGTCAAGACTGAATGCTTTCCTACTAAGATTGGGAATAAGGCAAGAATGATGATTCTCACCAATCATTTTCAACATTGAACAGGAGGTCATAGGAAGTAGCAATAAGACAAGGAAAAGAAATAAAAGGCCACAGATTGGAAAGGAAAAAATAAAATCGTCTCTAAATGCAGATGACATAATTGTCTATAATTCCAAAGACTATGAAAAGGCTATTGAACTAATAAGAGAGCTTAGTAAGGTGGTAGGATACAAGGTCAACAGACAAAAATCAGTTGTATTACTGTATACTGTATGTTAGCACTGCATAATCAGAAGTAAGTTTTAAAAATACCACTTACAACAGCATAAAAATGCAAAATTCTGTACAGTAAAAACTACAAAGATTTGCTGAGTGAAATCAAAGAACACTTAATCAAACAGAGGGATTACCCTGGTAGCTCACGAATCACAGGTGTCAGTTCTCACTAATTGATGTACAGGTTCAGTGCAGTTTTAATCAAAATTCCGCAGGCTTTTTGGGTCATACTTGGCAAACTGATTCTAATTTATATTAAAATGCAAACGACTAGACTAGTAAAAATAATTTTGAAAAAGAAAAACAAATTTGGATTAATTCATGCCATAAATAAATTGTAGTTTCTACAGGTTAGTCAGAGATATTTCTGCTATAAATTTCCACCAATAAAACATGCCATCAATTATGTGTGTGTATATATAAAGGCTGGTAAAAAATAGCATGCTAATAAATGCAAAGCCACACAATCCCTAGAAGATAGCACGGGAGGAAATCTAGGTGACTTTGGGTTTGGTGATGACTTTTTAGATGCAACACCAAAAGTACAATCCATGAAAGAAAAAAATCAATAAGTTGCACTTCGTTAAAATTAAAAACTTCTGCTCTACAAAAGACATTACGACAATTAAAAGACAAGCCACAGATTTGGAGAAAATTTTTGCAGAGCACATTTTATAAAGGACTAGTATTCAACATATACAAAGAACTCTTAAAACTCTACAATAAGAAAACAACCAACCTACTTTAAAAAAAAAATGGGCAAAAGATTTAAACAGAAATTTCACCAAAGAAGATGTATGGATGCAGATAAGCACATGAAAAGATGTTCAGCATCATATGTCATTAGTGGATTGCAAATTAAAACAACAGTGAGATACCACTATGCATCTATTAGAATGGCTAAAATCCAAAACATTAACAAGAAATGTTCTTCTGGAACAAAAAAGAATTCTCATCAATGGTGATAGGAATGTTAAATAGTACCACCACTTTGTAATTCCGTTTGGCAGTTTCTTACCAAATTAAATGAACACTTAATCATATTATCCAGCAATTACACTCCTTGGTATCTAACCAAATAAGTTGAAAACTTCTGTTCACACAAAAACCTGCACATAGATGTTTATAGCAGCTTTATTCATAATTGCCCAAACTTGAAAGAACCAAGATGGCCTTCAACAGGTAAGTGCATAAACTAATTGTGCTACATATGTACAATAAGATACTCTTCAGCAATGATAAGAAATGAGCAATCAAGCTACAAAAAGACATGGAGAAACTTTAAATGTATATTGCCAAGTGAAAGACACCATTCTAAAAAGGCTACGTAGTATGTATTCAAGCTTTATGACATTCTGGAAAAGGCAAAACTATGGAGACAATAAAAAGATCAGCGTTTGAAAGGGACTCCAGGGGAGGGAAGGAGGGATGCATAAGTGGAGTGCAGGGGATTTGGGGGATAGTGAAACTATTCTGTATGATCCTGTAGTGGTAGATACATGCCACTATACATTTGCCAAAACCCGTGGAATGTATAATGTAAAGAGTGAACCCTAATGTGAAATATAGACTTTAGTTAATAAAAATGTATCAATATTGACATCAATTGTAACACATGTAATACACTAATGCAAGATATTAATTATAGGGGAAACTATTGAGGGAGCAGTGAGAGAATAAGTAGGAGCTCTGTAGTTTCAGTTAATTTTATCTGCAAACTGAAACTTCTCTAAAATATAAAAAATAATTACAGAGACAGGAAAAAACATGCTGCTGTCATGGTGACTTACTAGAAAAAATAAGGTAAACACATAGGGTGTTAAAAGGGAGCTTGAAAATTTGGAAGGAGCCTGCATTCTCAAAAGAGTCTTGAAATAAATTTAAACCCTTTGGAGGTGATAGTAAAGACAGAGAGCTAAGAGAAATTGCTGTTCCCATAAAACTCAATGTCTAAAATGTGCTTTTGATGAAATAAGCACTAAGTCTATTTTATAGATGTTACCTTCATTTAATAATATATAGTTCCACATTTAAATAAGGATTATCTGAAGATATTATAATTCCTATACTAAAAGGGGCTTTACATATATTATCTCCAAATCTCATACAAGAAGTTAGTACCACTCCATTTCATAAAGAAGAAAACATAGATTTTAGGTTAGATCGACCCAGATTTGAAACCTACTAGCTGGGTCGCTCTAACCTAAAATCTATACTTTTCTTTAAAGAATAAATGGAAATTTCAGGAGCCATGAAAGCCAAGTTGTGGAGAAATATTTGGGGGCAGGTGAAGTTTCTCCAAATCCACAAGATAATAATCGCATTGTCGAAAGTATGTTGGGTAGCAGGAATAACTTCCAAATAAGCTGAAGGCTAATGTTTGGTCATAGAAAAATGATATCATTGGATAATAGAATTAATTCCTAAATGAGAAAACTAAGGTCCTTTCCAATATTCGGCTGTCTTATTTGATGAGACTTATAATTTCCCCTAATAACCATTTTCCCCCTTTTTCTTTTGTGAAAAGAGCCAACCTAGTCTTCACAGAGGTATGTGGCTGCTCTTCCAGAGACTACATTTCCCAGCCTTCCTTGCAGCATATGCTGTCATGTGACTTAGTTCTGGACGGTGAATGAGTAAAACTGATGTGTGACCCTTTTGGGTCACGTTCTTGAAAGCAAGATGCTTACTCTCTGCCTCCTTCATCTGCTGGAATGTAGATGTGTGCTGGTCATGAAGTATGGTAGGAGCGAGCCAGCTTTGGCCATTCTCATGAGAATAGACAAGTAAAATTGGAGGAACCTGAGGCAGTGGATGGCCTTACAAAGCAAAGATGCTCCACATGCCTAGACCACCCATCAACTCACAGTTTACATGAGAGAGAAATAAATCTTCTACCTTGCTCAAGCCACTTTCATTTAGTTTTTGTTAAGGCAGCCAAAACAATCCTGAAATTAATACCTCCTAAGTCTGATTTTAGTGTTGTCACCCTTGGATATTTATTACACTTAAATATTTACCCTGTTCACTAATTTATCAAAATATATTCATTCCTTTTTATATGAATGAACAAGATGGATATTTTCAATCGGTATTGATATAGCTTAATTAGGAAGTTTTGATCTCAGGTCCATAGACTACAGTTGATATACTATAAATTGAGTATTCCTTATTCTAAACACTTAGAACCAGAAGTGTTTTGGATTTTGATTTTTTTCGGATTTTGGAATATTTGCAAATACATCATGAGATAGCTTGGAGATGGGACTCAAGTGTAAACACTAAATTCACTTATATTTTATGTACATCTTATACATGTAGCCTAAAGATTATTTTATACAATATTTTAAAATAATTTTAGGCATGAAACAAAAGTTTGTGTTAAGTACTTACGTGTGAAATCTATTTCTGGCATTATGGTGGCACCCCAAAAGTTTCGGATTTTGGAGCACTTCAAGTTTCAGGTTTTCACATTAGGGATGTTCAATCTGTATTACTGTTCTCATAAATCTAATTGACTAAAACTTACGAGAGATTCAATTTCAACTTTCACAGACAGCATTTATATATGCTACGTGAAAAGCACATCATTATTGTTGGTTTATTTACTGTTAGGTTGGGTAAGAATCAGTTGAATTGGTTTAGCCTACCTTGACAGATTCTTCCTCACTCTTCTGACTTACTGGAAACCAGTCCAGTCAATAAAAACAATTTCTCCAATGCAACCAGTTGAAAAATGTCTGTTAATTTCTGAAATATCTTGAACTGAGACTAGAGGTAAGAAAGAGGTAATCAGGGGATTTGGAACGAGTTTATTGGACCCAAATTCATGTTGTAGTGAGGATATTTATCACAGCTGTAATTATAGGATACTTTTTTTTAATATAGCCTCAGAACTTGCTTCATCAAAAGCATTTTCTGTTTTTTAGTATCATGCTAAATCTGACTAGATCATTTTATTTATCTCTAGGCTCTCTCTCTGCTTATTGCCAGCATAGAGGGTAAGGGTTTGCTTTTAATTCAACTATTCCCAAATGGAACACTTGCTGAAGTTAAAAATGAATATGTCCTCATTTTCTTGCATGGTTAACACTAAGTAAACTTAGGTAACATTTTGATAAATATAATTCTTTTGAGTGATGCACCAGATAGGTCACCCACTAGGAATCTAATTTTACTCTCATTAATTAATATGCTTTTGAATTATTTGCAGTGTTATCCATACACATTCAAACCAATATTGGACATTTCAATTAGCTAGAAGAGATTGCCATGTCTTATTTATTCAACAACTAATTTTTTTCCAAGGTGAATGGAAGTAGAGGCTAATCAAAATATTATTTGAAGGTTCCCTGTTTCAGTCTCCTTCTGGTCTATTAGATGTTTTAAATGTCTTGACTCACAAGTTCAGTTAAAATATTTCATCTTAGATATTTCCCTTCAACTTCCCTATCCCCATCCCAATCTTATCTTATTTCCTTTTAGAATCTGGAAATTTTCTCTTTCTTTCTTTCTTTCTTTCTTTCTTTCTTTCTTTCTTTCTTTCTTTCTTTCTTTCTTTGTTTCTTTTCTTTCTTTTCTTTCTTTCTTTCTTTCTTTCTTTTCTTTCTTTCTTCTTTTTTTTTTTTTTTTTTTTTTTTTTTTTTCCGTATTCCTTGGTCCTGCTGCGTTCTTTAGGTTGGTCTAGATCACCTAGATTTCTTCACTTCAGTACTTCAGTTTAATAAGAAATACACGTGTCCTTTTCTGATTCCTAGCTTCCACTAAACTAAAATTAGTGTAGTGCTTTGAGATTGGGGCCCATTGTTAAAACACCATGTTTGTAACAGCTTACTCCTCCTACACTGAAGTAACTAAATTGCACAATTTTCAACTATAGGCACACTGATTTTATTGAGTAATCAAAAAGTAGATACAAGAGAGACATAACTGGTTGCTACATTGAAAAGCAGAAATACAGTGAAATCTTAAAATGGTTATAAAATGAATGTGAGAGGCAGTATTGCACAGTGGACACTGTAACCAGTCCCTCCACACCGCTCTGTGTCTCAGGTTTTGCTTGTTAAAATTTTGATTAAATACAAAATAACATTTATAAGTAATCACAAGGTATGAGAGTGATACAGCATTCATTCTTCAATGTACTATTCACTTATCTAGTTCAAGAAAGTAAAAAACTTGGTCTGTGAAGCTCCTTACGTGCCCTGCCTGAATCCCATCTTTCTCCCTCTCTCAAGAAGTTACTTTATCTTGAATTTTAGAAACTTAATATCACAGGCTCTCTATTTTTTTGTTCTTAACCTATAAAATGAATATAATAGAGAATTCAATAACCCCATCAAATATATGGTTAAATACTAAATATAGTATTTAATAGGGTTTTGGATAGTAATAGATTAGTTTTTATTCTAGGTGTTACAGGTAAAACACCTGGCATTTGACTTAGCAGATAAATCAATGAAAATGGCCATTGTGACAACAGTGATAGTAATGATGGATAAGCTTAATACTGTCATGTTTACTGTTGCTTTTGTTCATCTTTATGTTCAACAAAACATCAGACTACTTGTCAGTTTCCTTTAAGGCATCCTGAAAACACAAGACTTACCTATTTTTTTAAGGTAGATAACTTCTGCTACACCAATGAAAGACTCCTATAAGAATACATACATATTGAGGGAGGAAATCTTGGGATCCAGGAACTTTGGGAAACCAAGATCTCTTGTGAGTTTATAGAAAAATCAACTGGATTCTGCAGAAATTTTTTATTCATCACAAATTTGTTTCAAACATTTCAAAATTTGTGAGCCACGCTTTCAACCTAAGGTGATGTTTTAAATCTGTGGATAATATTAGCACACTTGTGGTTGAGATTTCATTGCATTTACCTCTCCTTTGTGCTCACCCAGAAAACAATTATTTTCAATAATGCTTCTGTCTCTTGAACTGGAAATTATACAATCATAATCAAAGTGCTCAAAATGACCAACTCATATATTAATCTGACAAAGCCAAAGAAAATCATTTTAAAGGGCTATGGAATATGAAACTATACAGATGAGAGAACAATTGTATTCATGCAACTCCTTTGGTTGGAAAAATTATGCTTTGGGCATGAGTCAGAAAATGATTTTAAAAAGCATTCAAATGTCACTTGTGGTCAATTTCATTGCCTCTAGATAAAAATCACACACATCACCATATCTTAGAGAATAGTGACTCTTTATCGCTTTTCAAAAATCTCCATGTAACACACATTCATAAAACTACACACATCATAGGCCTAAATTTGGATGAATTTTCAGAAGGTGAATACCTCCAAGTTACCATTCACTCAGATCAAGAAACAAACATCTTCAGCACTGTACTGACTGTTTTTAAATATGCATTTCTGATCATGTTTCTCTTGCTGAGCAAGAAGGTAAAAATCAAAACCTCTGTCTATAATGCTTGGATTAAAAAAAAAGATTAAGTCAAATAATCTCTTGCCATACCAGCTGATAAATCTGATCAATCACAGCTGATTTACTATTGAAAATGATGGCCTTTTACCAGGCATTTATATTGATGGAGAAAGTTGGATCAAATGCACAAAGATGATCAATTTTTTATTGATTTATGTGTACACAGGGCCAGCCAGTAAGTATCATAGAATATCATACTTGTCATTGCCTTGAGATTTGGTTTTGTATCTATAATGAGGCCAAAATATAATTTCATGCCTTGGCCAAAGAATGAATATTTGGCCACCTTTCTTTGAGTCAGTCTGTTTCTCTCTCTCTCCCTCTCTCTCTCTCAGATTTATGTTCATGGGTAAAGTTGTATTTGATGGATAACCTCTTCCTCTTTTTCATCAAATTTAGGTGGTAAAAAGTACATTTAGTAGAATAATATCAACCCACATAAAAATCTGATTATTGTGAGTTTCATTTTAAAGAAAGGTTTTACAAATTCATTTAAAATATGGGTTATCTTTTTTTCTCTTTAAATATGGTTTTTGGCCAGGCACAGTGGCCCATGCCTATAATCCCAGCCCTTTGGGAGGCCGAGGCAGGAAGATCACTTCAGGTCAGGAGTTCACTTCAGGTCAGGAGTTCAAGACCAGCCTGGCCAACATGGTGAAACCCTGTCTCTACTAAAACTACAAAAAATTAGCTGGGCGTGGTGGCACCCACCTGTAATCCCAGCTACTTGGGAGGCTGAGGCAGAAGAATCGCTTGAGCCCGGGAGACGGAGGTTACAGTGAGCCGAGATCACGCACTGCACTCCAGCCTGGATGACAGAGCAAGACTCCATCTCTGAATTAATAAATAAATAAAATAAATATGGCTTTTGTTATATGTGGTATATGAAATCTTTTGTAAAGCGACTTTGAGAAATCCTTTTGTTAAGCTATCCTGAAACAAGCATTTGGATGTTGTTGCCTGGTAGTCATCTCGTGGCACAAAAGGATCTAACAGAGAAGCAGCTCATGTGAATGAAAAGTGTCTTTAAATTTATATATATATTCTAGCTCCAGCTTCAGAAAGCATGGACAGTTGTTCGCCTCTGTTCAAGAGAAGAATAAGGATTAGCCCATTTTGGCTGAAAAGTGTCAGTAGCATCCATGAAAATATAACTTTTTCTATGCCTGTTGAATTCTAAAGACAGATGAAAGGTGGGATCAGGAAGCCAAAAAGGGGGCATTTTTTCTTCATCTCAACAAGAGTATTACGCTTGGTAAGCAGAGATGGATAGAGACAGAGATAGAGATAAAGGAACGATAGAGAGATACAGAGAGAGAGAAAATTAAGAGCAGTTAAAATCAGTGTATTTCTTCATACCCTCTCTCCAGATATATTTAAATAGCAGGCCGTTTGTCTGTTATTAAGAACATTACATGCCCTTCATTTAATAAAATATCCTTCCTATGGCAAACATTAAAAAACCAACAATTAGTACAAAATGCAGATTCATAGTATGAAAATGTATTGCAAACCTTAAACATAATTTTTTAAAGCTATAAAAATAGCTATTTCAAATATTAAAATATGGATATTCATATATACTGTTCATATAATACGATGAATAAACATGCATATTGTATAATTTGTAAATATGTGGTATATGGAGGTCTCCATTTTTAATTTTCTATTATACAGCTAATGAAAAATTAAATGTTCAGTTTGGTTTAACAAAACTGAACATTACAAACATGTTTTCGATAAATAGTGAGTTCCATTCTATCTTACGTCCCTAGATTCCATGCCACTTCTCAGAAGTAGCAATTATCAAGAGTTGTCAAGGCCTGTCTTCACAAAATCTTTCCATGAAATTATGGAACATATGCTTATATAATCAACATAGTGGGTTTAGGTCACAGTCCATAAATTAACATATGCAGGAAATATTGTACTTATTTCCCTAGAACCAACTAAATATCAACATATAGCTTCCAGCCAACTAGGAAATTCAAATTAAGTCATCCTCTGCAAAGGGATGTTTAATAAAGCTAAAAACCTCCTTCTGTTAACCTCTTTCAGACTCCCCAGTTCCCTGTCCAGCATCAGAATATGAGTTCCCAATTCTAACAGGACCCATAAACATCTCCTCCTTCCTAAGAGTCTGTTTTATAAATGTGGTCCATTATATTACCATGCTTACATTTTATTAATCATTTTTAAGATCTGCTAATACCCTTAATATGTAAAGAAGTCTTACAAACTAGTATGAAAATAATACTTATAAATCAATATAAAAATTGTGCAAGTCAATATAAAAAAGATAATTTCAAAAAATTAAAAATGGCCAATGCACACACAAAATCAGCCTATTACTAGTTTTCAAAGAACTGTAAGAAGATGCCTGTTCCCTATTAAATTTTGCAAAGATTAAAATAATCTCATTAACTTGTGTGAATGAGGTTACATAGATATAGTTATAGCGTGCACTTTAGTTGAGAATATGTATTCATACAATCTTTATGAAGAGCGGCTGGCTAGATGACAATAACATGTAGAAATTTGTCCTGAGGAATAATCATGGTTAACCATAAAAATATTTGTTAAGAAAGGTATTTTTAAAAGAAAAAAGCCTAACAATCAATGATTAGTTAAATTATTATATAAAGTAATACAATAAGTTTAATTAAAACCTGTTTTTATAAACTATTAATATAAAAATATTCAAGACAGGATTTTTTAAAAAGAGCTTTTAATACAAGTTTTATAAAATACATATTTGTGCTAAGAATAAGGTAGACAAATAACAGGACGTTAATAATATGCTAAGTATTCATATATTTTGAAATTTTCTCTATTTTTCAAATTCTCTTAAAAGATTTATATATTTCTCTGTCATTATGGGAACAAAAAACCTTCAAATCACAGTGAAACCACACAATTATTCTTGTAAATAAATGAACATAGGTTTTAGATCACTTTTATATTTAGTTAAAGTAATTAAGTACACAGGTTCAAAAATATTATTATCTGCCTCCCTCCCATACTTCTTGTTGTTGTTGTTGTTGAGATGGAGTCTCACTCTGTGGCCCAGGCTGGAGGGCAGTGGTGCGATCTCGGCTCACTGCAAGCTCCTCCTCCTGGGTTCACGCCATTCTCCTGCCTCAGCCTCCTAAGAAGCTGGGACTACAGGCGCCGCCTCCACGCCTGGCTAATGTTTTTTGTATTTTTAGTAGAGATGGGGTTTCACCATGTTAGCCAGAATGGTCTCGATCTCTTGACCTCGTGATCCGCCCGCCTTGGCCTCCCAAAGCGCTGGGGTTACAGGCGTGAGCCACTGCGCCCGGCCGCCTCCCTCCCATGCTACTTCTTGCCATCAAATCCCATTCTCTAGGAGTAAACGCTTATAACTCTGTTAACTTTTTTTTTCTGATACTTATTTTCACTTGTCTAGATAATATGCTTCAACCCGTTGGTCTTGTTTATTGATTTTAACATATTTATATTGCTATCTTCTGTTTACTTAAAAGATTCCAGTGTAGATCTATCTCTAAGTTATTTTGTTGATAAGATTTGAAATATTAGGTATTTTACTATGGCAATTAATATCTTTATTTTCTTTTTTACTACACCTCACTTTACAAAATGAGGTTTGTAGTAAAGCCTAATTATCTTTAGCTCTCTAACTACTCTCCCTCAATATCTTTTCAACTTCTAGTATCAGAATTTTTTTCTTTTGCACTATCAAGGTTAATTATATTGTATTTTTTTCGTATAAATGTAGTCCTATTTTTTATACTTTTTATAAAATTATCTTTAAAAGTTTAAAATAAACAAATATATTTTATAAATAAATCAATAAAAATGTTTCATTATTTTGACAATATAAATATTTCATAACAGAGCTAGTCTTCCATTTTTGTTTCCTTTATTTTCATTTGATTTTATTCCTTCTTGTGTAGCTTTCAGTTTTCCCTGGAGTCTCTAATTGCCTTTCTATTCATTTTTTCCTAATTTGCCTTTGTATTGTGCTGTCATTCTTCTCATTTATTATATAATAAAATAATACGAAATTCAATGTAAAGGACAATGTATATAGAATCAATATTAGAGTCATTCTTATGTATTTTTCCTTTTTTATTTCGTATTTTCTCTAATTTTGCCAGCAGAGATAGACTGCCAGGAGAAGACTCTGGTTTCTTGCTTTAGGGACTGAATTTTCCTGGAAGATACTTTCCATCTCCACAAAATTGCTTACAAAAACTAAATTTACTGTGGACTTAGTTTTATGTTTCTAATAAAAGAAAAAACGAGTGCATATGGAAAAAAATATGAGGAAAGATTATTCGTATGTTAATGGAACCTCTAAATGTATATTTTTAAAAAACAGATAAGCCTCATATCCTGCCGCCTCAGAGGCCTCTGTAGAGCAATAATAAAGAGTCCTAAAATCATTTAAAAACATAATGAATAATTTTTTTTACAAAGAGATGGTCTGTATGATAGGAGTGATCAGAACATATTTCTACAGAGCTGATGGAACAGTAGAAATTGCTAAAGCAGTACATGGAAAACCACAGAGACAGATAAATCCAAAGAATGAGCCAATTTACCTTGCAGAAAACAGAAAAGAGACACAAAGCTGAGGAGGAAAATAGAAAGCAGAAAAATAAAGATGTGAGAGCGGCATTGGGCTGAAACTAGGGGGATGAATTGAAAGTCTGTGTATGGAGGGCTCTCCCTCCCACTACACCCTATTTTTTTTTTTTTTTTTTCAGAGAACGTCTTCAGCTATAGAAAAATATTTTAAAATTTCCTTCTCTAAAAATTGAAAATATTCTAGAGGAAAGACTTCACACTTTGACAGACTATCATTATTAAAGAATAATATTACCCATATAGACAGACGATAAACAAATTTTTTTTTTTTTTGAGACGAAGTCTCGCTCTGTCACGCAGGTTAGAGTGCAGTGGTGCAATCTTGGGTCACTACAACCTCTGTCTCTTGGGTTCAAGTGATTCTCCTGCCTCAGCCTCCCAAGCAGCTGGGACTACAGGCACCCGCCACCACGCCCGGCTAATTTTCGTATTTTTAGTAGAGATAGGGTTTCACCATTTGGCCAGGATGGTTTTGATCTCTTGATCTTGCGATCTGCCCTCCTCAGCCTCCTAAAGTGCTGGGATTACAGGCGGGAGCCACCGCGCCTGGCCTATAAACAACTTTTTATTGTCTCACTCTGAAATATTTGAGGAAGCCCTCCTACAAAAAAAAAAAAACAACAACAACAACAATACAATTCTTATCATAGATAAACAGAATTACAACCACCAGCCCTATAGGAAAAGGAAATAACAGAAGGACTAGAAGAAAACAAACAAAAACTCTAAAAAGCACATGCATATTTTAAAGTTCAAAGATATTGATAAGGCGCTCTCCAAAGAAGTAATAGAAAATTAGGGTTCTATAGAAAGTTTATAAGAGTATGTATTTTCTCATGCAGTTATTGACAAACTTTTGAATGTTTGACAATTTAAGTAAAATATAACATCTTTTTCTATTATATTTACTAAATTACTTGTAACATTGACAATCTTTTTATAGTTTATTTGCCACTTGCCTTTCTATTAACTATCTTTTCATGTCTTTTTCATGTTTCCATTGCATTATTAAGGTAGCTATATTATTAGACTTACTATTGGGTAGAGTGACTTGTGCTTTACTAGCCCTAGCCAGGATTGCTTCAGCCACTCTAGGGCATTGGTTTTATATAATTTTAAAAATAAACTTACCTACATTTAAGAAATTCTTGCTGTGATTTTAATAGGAATTATATTAAATCTATAGATCAGTTTGGGCACAGTTGAACCTTCCAATCCACAAATATATTAGGTCTCTCAATTTATTTAGGTCTTCTTTTATTTCTTCTATCAGAAATTTGTAATTTCTAGCACACAGAACCCGTACATGTTTGTTAAGCATTCTTTGGATTTATTGTAAATTGTATTTTTTTATTTTAATTTCCTCATGTTCCATGTTATTATATAAAACTGTAATTGACTTTCGTGTGTTGCTCTTGGACCCTGTGATTTTGCCAAACTAACTTATTAGTTCTTTATCAAGTTGAAATAATTTTTCTTTATTTCTAATTTTCTGAGAGGTTTTATCAGGAATAAATGTCAGATTTTGTTAAATGCTTTTTCTGTATCAACTGATATTATCATATTATATAATTTTTCTTCTTTAGCTTATTGATATGATAGATTTCCTATGGATATTCAAATGTTCAAAGGAAATTTAAAGAATACATAGAGACTTATGTACCTGAAATAAATTCCACTTGGTCATAATGTATACTTTCATATATATATTATGTGTTATATGTGCTACTGTTTTCTTGAGGATTTAAGTTCATTTTGTTTTCTTTTTTTATACCATCTTTGTCTGTTTGGGGTATGAGTCTGAAACTGGCCTTATAAATTGCTGTGGGAAGTGTTCTCTCTATTTTCTGGAAAAGATTGTGTAAAATTTCTGTTAATTTTTAAATTTTGGTAGAAATCACCAGTGAAGAAATTTGAGTCTGGAAAATTTTTTAGAGGGCTTTTAAATTATAAATTACATTTCTTTAATGGTATATTAACAATTTAGATCATTTATTTCATCTAGATTGAGTTTTAGTTGCTTGTGGTTTTCAAGGAATTGGTCTATTTCTACTAAGTTGTCAAGTTCAATAGTGCAAAGTTGTTCATAGGATTCCCTTCAGATTCTTTTAATGACTGCATGATCTGTAATGATGTATTACATTTTATTTCTGATATTGGTGATTTATGTCTTCTCACTTTTATTTTCTTCAGCCTTCCTAGAGGTTGATCAATGTTATTGATTTTTAAAAAATAACCAGCTTTTTGTTTCATTGATGTTTTCTATTGTTTTCTTATGTTCAATTTCATTGATTTCTGCTCTTTATTTCCTTCTCCTGCTTGCTTTCAGTTTTTGTCCTTTTTCTAGTCTCTCTATGTAGTAACTTATAGTATTGATTTAAGACCTTTCTTCATTTCTAATGTAAGCACTGAGTGTGACAAGTTTCCCTCTCCACACTGCTTTGCTATGCACCAAATATTTTTATGTTTTATTTTCCTTTCCTTTTAGTCCAATGCATTTTTTTCCTTTCCTTTGAGACTTTCTCTTTGATCCTTTAATTATTTAGAAGGGTGATGTTTAATTTCCACATACTTAGGTATTTTACTGTGGTCTTTCCATTATTGACTACCTATTACATTATGGTTAGAGGATACACTCAATGTGATACCAATGCATTTAAATTGTTGACATTTGTTTTATGGTCAGATATGGTATGTATTGGTGAATGTTCCACGGCATTTGAAAAAATTATGTTTTTTGCTATTGTTGAGTGAAGTGTCCCAGGTGTGTCATTTAGATCCTGTTGGTTGATTGTATTTTTCAGAATTTCTGTATTCCTGCTGATTTGCATGTACTAATTCTATCAATTGCTGAAAACAGTGTTGAAGTCCCCAGTTATAATTGTGGAATTGTCTATTTCGTCTTTCATCTTTGAATTTTTGCTTCACATGTTTTGAGGCTCTGTTGTTCTGTGTGTACACAAATCAAATTGTAATCTCTTCTTGGTGGATTGATTCTTTTATCGTTACGTAACGTTTTATTTGTCTGTGGTAATTTTCTTTGCTCTGAAATCTTTTCATCTGATATTAATAGTGCCAATTCTGCTTGGGTTTTCTGATTGTTTAAAAGGTATTGTGTGTGTGTGTGTATGTGTGTGTGTTTCCATTTTCTTTTCCACCCTCCTATGTTATTGAATTTTAAGTGAATTTCTTGCAAATGGCATATACATGAACATGATTATGCTTTTTATCCACTCTGCCAATTTCCATCTTTTGAGTAGTGTGTTTAGACCGTTTATATTGAAGGTACTTATTACCATTTTAAAGCTTAAATTTACCATTTTATTATTTGTTTTCTGATTGTCTTGTCTGTTTCCTCATTCCTATGTCTGTCTTTCCTTGTCTTTTAGTGGGATCTTGAACATTTTGGAGATTCCATCTTGATTTATTTTTAGTGTTTCCTTGCAGTATATAACAGTGTATCTTTTGTATAATCTTTGTAGTTGTTGCTCTGGATCTCTGCTAATATGGATTTAGATATAAATGAAGATATCTCAATGTCGTACTACTCAAGTAAGTGTACAGGGATACTGGTCTGTAGTTTCCATTCCATTTAGGTCCCTTAACCTTTCTCACTTTTAAATATATGAGTTTTAATACAAAAGATAAATGGAACAAAAAGCTGGTTCTTTGAAAGGATAAATAAAATTGATAGACCATTAGCAAGATTAACCAAGAAAAGAAGAGAGAAGATCCAAATAAGCTTAATTAGTAACAAAACGGGAGATATTACAACCAATACCACAGAAATACAAACGATCATTCAAGACTACTATGAACACATTTATGCATATAAACTAGAAAACCTAGCAGAGATTAATAAATTCCTGGAAATATACACCCTTCTAGATTAAACCAGGAAGGATTAGAAACTCTGAACAGACCAATAACAGTGAGATTGAAATGTTAATTTAAAAAAATTGCCAAAAAAAGTCCAGGACCAGATGGATTCACAGTTGAATCCTATCAGACATTCAAAGATGAATTGATACCAATTCTATTTACACAATTTCCAAGATAAAGAGGGAATCCTCCCTAAATCATTTTATGAAGCCAGTATCACCCTAATACCAAAACTAAGAAAGGACAAAACAAAAAACTACAGACCAATATCCCTGATGAATATAGATGCATAAATCCCTAACACAAAACTAGCTAACCAAATCCAACAGCATATCAAAAAGACAATCCACCATGATCAAGTGGTTTTCATACGAGAGATGCAGGGATGGTTTAACATATGAAGTCAATAAATGTGATATACCACATAAACAGAATTAAAAACAAAAATCACATGATCATCTCAATAGACACAGAAAAAGCATTTGACAAAATCTAGCATCCCTTTTTGATTAAAATCCTCAGCAAAATCAGCATAGAAGGGACACTCCTTAATGTAATAAAAGCCATCTATGACAAACTCACAGCCAATATAATACTGAACAGGGAAAAGATGAAGGCATTTCCTCTGAGAACTGGAACAAGACAAGGGTGCCCACTCTCACCACTTCCATTCAGTTGGTACTGGAAGTCCTAGCCAGAGCAATCAGACAAGAGAAAGAAAGACCATTCAAATCAATAAAGAGGAAGTCAGCCTGTTGCTGTTTGCTGATAATATGATTGTATACTTACAAAACCTTAAAGACTCCTCCAAAAAGCTCCTAGAACTAATAAATGAATTCAGCAAAGTTTCAGGATACATAATTAATGTACACAAATCAGTAGCCCTGCTATACACCAACAGAGACCAAGCTGAGAATCAAATCAAGAACTCAACCCTTTTTATAATAGCTGCAAGAAAAGTAAAATACTTAGGAATATACCTAACTAAGGAGGTTAAAGACCTCTACAAGGTAAACTACAAAACACTGCTGAAAGAAATAGATGACACAAACAAATGGAAACATATCCCATGCTCATGGATGAATAGAGTCAATATTGTGAAAATGACTATACTGCCAAAAGCAATCCACAAATTCAATGCAATTCCCATCAAAATACCACCACCATTCTTTACAGAACTAGAAAAAACAATCCTAAAATTCATATGAAACCAAAAAGAGCCCACATAGCCAAAGCGAAAAGAACAAATCTGGAGGCATCACATTACCTGACTTCAAACATTCACCAAAACAGCATGGTACTGGTATAAAAATAGGCACGTACACCAATGAAAC
This sequence comes from Homo sapiens, assembly GCF_000001405.40. Lineage (NCBI taxonomy): Eukaryota > Metazoa > Chordata > Mammalia > Primates > Hominidae > Homo > Homo sapiens. The sequence goes on along the minus strand of NC_000002.12, from coordinate 220,723,264 downwards.
AGAATAAATAAACCAGAAATAAAGCCAAATACTTACAGGCAACTGATCTTTAACAAAGCAAACAAAAACATAAAGTGGGGAAAGAACACCCTATTCAACAAATGATGCTGGGATAATTGGCAAGCCACCTGTAAAAGAATGAAACTGGATCCTCATCTCTTACCTTGCACAAAAATCAACTCAAGATGGATCAAGGTCTTCAATCTAAGATCTGAAACCATAAAAATTCTGGAAGACAACATCAGGAAAACCCTTCTGGACATTGGCTTAGGCAAAGACTTCATGACCAAGAGCCCAAAAGCAAATGCAACAAAAACAAAGATAAATAGATCGGACTTAATTAAATGAAAAAGCTTCCTCACAGCAAAAGAAACAATCAGCAGAGTAAACAGACAACCCCCAGAGTGGGAGAAAATCTTCCCAATCTATATATCTGACAAAGGACTAATATGCAGAATCTACAAGGAACTCAAACAAATCAGCAAGAAAAAAACACACAATCCCATCAAAAAGTGGGCTAAGGACATGAATAGACAATTCTCAAAAAACGATATACAAAGGGCCAACAAAAATATGCAAAAAGATCAACATTACTAATAATCAGAGAAATGTAAATGAGAAGCACAATGTGATACCACCTTACTCCTGCATGAATGGCCAAAATTAAAAAAAATTTAAAAATAATAGATTTTGGAGGGAATTTGGTGAAAAGGGAACACTTTCACACTGCTGATGGGAATGTAAACTATTACAACCACTATGGAAAACATTGTGGGTATTCCTTGAAGAACTAAAAGTAGAATTACCATTTGATCCAGCAATCTGACTACTGGGTATTTACCCAGAGGAAAATAAGTCATTATACCAAATAGATACCTGCACATTCATGTTTATAGCAACACAATTTGCAATTGCAAAAATATGGAACCAACCCAAATGCCCATCATCAGTGAGTGGATAAAGAATTCATGGTATGTGTGTGTGTATATATGTATGTGTATATATAAATATATATATATATATATACACCATGGAATACTACTCACCATAAAAAGGAACAATATAATGGCATTTGCAGCAACCTGGATGGTAAGTGAAGTAACTCAGAAATGGAAAACCAAACATCATATGTTCTCACTTAGAAATGGAACTAAACTATGAGGCTGCAAAGCCTTAAGAATGATACAGTGGACTTTGCGGACTCGGGAAATGGTGGGAGAGGTATGAGGGATAAAAGACTACAAGTTGGGTACAGTGTGTACTGCTCAGGTGACAGGTGTCCCAAAATTTTAGCAATCACCACTAAAGAACTTATTCATGTAACCAAACACCACCTGTTCCCCAAAATCTATGGAAATAAAAAATATGTAAATATGCGAATTTTATTCAGTTTCTTGAATCTGTAGGTTTGCATCTTTCACTAAATTTGGAAAGTTCTCACCCACTATTTCTTCAAACGCTGTTTTAGCTCCTCACTCTTCTTCCTGCCCTTCTTTGACTACAATAATAGTAGTCTACAGAAATAGTCAATTTGTATTATTGGCTACAATAATACAAATGCTGGATCTTCTGCTATTATTCCACAGGTCCTCATGTATTTTAGTTTATTTTTCTCTGTTTTTCAGACTTTTTAAATTCAATTGATCTTTCCTCAAGTTTAGTGATATAAAGTGCTTACAGTAAAAACATAAACCAAGAAATAAACCAAGAAAAGCCACCAAAGATTTACATTTCAAAAAAATTGGCTAACTGGAGGAATTAGAACATTGCTTTCATTTATCACTTGTGATAGCCTATGAATTACAGAAATATCCTCTAGAATTTGAATTTATTCACTCAGCTGTTGGTTTTTCATCTACTTCCTAGACACAGACCATGATTTCCAGTGTTTCACCTTTTCTTCCTTTTTTAAAATAACAACACACAAATCCAAATTCAGTGTAAATGAAGCCATTAGGAAAAAAGTTATCTTCTCATTTTTTAGCACATTCATACATAACTGAAATGATTTATGTTATTTAGTTTTCTTGGTCTTGAAAATATGAGTGATCTTATCGACCAATGCTGCTTGTGGTGGTGCTATGGCTGTGTGCCACTATCCAGATACAGTGGTTCTTAGTGTCCTGAACCTCTATAGGGACAGCTAATGAACACTTTTTTGCACATGCTAAGAAGCCTGAAATAAGCACCATTATGATTTATTTCTATCTAAATTACTCCAATTTGGGAAAGGATGCTGAATTGCACTGATTTTCCATAAAACTAGCTCGTTTTGATGAATACCAGTTTGTCTCTTGAAGCAGGATATTAGAGAAACAGAAAATAAACACGTACACAGACATATAAATGTCTCCAACCTTTTATTTTGAATCAAACAATTGCTTTTTGTTTCTTTCATTGATTCAGTTGGTAATTAATACTATGCTCTACAATGAATGCCACTTGCATAATTTGAACATCCAACAATATTAATATTCCCTTTCTTAGAAACAAAAATGAACCAAAGAACCTTTTAGCAGATGTTTGAAGCATATTTTGTCATCAGATTGGGCATTTGTGCCTGTAAACAATAAAATGGTGTATTATTCTTTAAGTCTGCAGCTCTGTCAGTATTTTACAATCTGATCACTTATATTGGAAGTAGGCTATATTATTGTATAGATTATTATATAGATTTTCTGAGGAATTTATTTTAACGTAAAACTCTACCAAATATTCATTTTTCTCAACCTCTTCCTCATAATTATTATTATATTTGAAATCTGTAATTTAGAATAACTGCACATAAAACTGACAAATGTCATTTGGCACAGCACCTTACATGCAAAATAACCACTTAGGCTTATTGTTTGCTAAACATGTATATACATGAAAATATTAAGCTGACTTTATTCAGCACAGAAATAAGCAGGGGAAACATTTAAATGTTACTTTTACCTAAAAAACCATTAAATGGGCCAAGATATGGAAGAGACACTGAGAGGCACAAAACAAAAATTTTCCCCCATGTAATGTATTTTCCAGCTTGAAAAATAAGACATATCTCTATCAAACAGTTACAAAATATTTTTAAATTAAACAAAATAACAAGATGTAAATGTGAGACATGTCTAAGAAAGCATGCAGTTAAATGCCAAGTGAATGGCGCATACAGTAAATCCTAAAAATTCAGAGAAGAGTCAAGATCCTGGAAATCAGAACAAATCATGAAGCTCTCACTAGTCATCTTAGTTGCAAGGATCATACCAGTAAAGATATTGGTTAATATGAAAGTAATTGCTGTTTTAGCCATTGAAAGTAATTACAAGAAACCGCAATTACTTTTGCACCAACCAACTATAATCATGAGGTGCTGAAGCTAGCCTGTTCTTGCTCCAATGAAGGATGATCATCAGCAAGTTTTGCCAGCTCTGCATTCAGTCACATTAGGTTAACAGCATGAAACTGTCTCGGTTGGAAATATTTATACCAAAAAAAGGGGCAAATACTAAGAAAAACACACACACACACAGACACAGTTGATAAATTTACCAGCCTACCATCGTATGTAAGGGAACTTATCAAAATCTAGCTCAAATGTTAATTTCATTTCTATTTAAAACATTTTTGTTTTGCACGTGAGGCGGCTGAGGCCAAGGGGTTAAATGACTTCAGTAAGTCACACTATAAGTAAATGACATCCTGATTTTCAGGTTTTTATAATCTAACTGTTCAAACAATTTAATTATTTGTTGGTCTTACAGTTTTAGCCTATCATAGATCCCTGATATACAGAAGTACAAGGTTATTGAATTTTCAAATCTTATAATGAATTTAGAAATCCTTACTACTCACTTTGTAGAACTATTAGGTTCTTTCTGACATGTGTTCCAGTAAAACTGATCCCTCTACCCATTGAGTCTCCCGCATTTAATCATTACTCTGATTCTCTTCCCCCACCAGACCCTGGATCAATCTGTTTATTTCTACGATTTGGGAGTATCCACAAAGTACTAGTAAGGAGAGTTTCAGCCACCAGAGAGATTTGCACTTAACTGACTATAGAGTATTGAGAAGGGATTGTATTACAGCTAAGTGATTTGAATCCAATATTCTCTCCAGCTAAGTTGGTGTTACTGCTTTTTCATCATGCAATTCTGCTACAACACTAAATGCTGGAGAAATCCTGCTTATCAGTTAGAATGAGCTACACTAGGCTGCAGTAACAACCTCCAAATCTGAGTGTCTTAACCAAAATATATTTCCCATGTATGTTACATTGCCCTCTTAGGTTGACAGCAGCTCTATTCCATGTCACTCCCACTCAGGGACTCAGGATGACAGAACCTCTACATCTATAATGTCACGAGAGCAGGAAAAAAGGAACATAGTTGATCTCATGCGGGCTCACCAAGGCTTCCACCCAGAATTAAACACCTCATTGCTGCTCATGTTCCTCATCATGCTATATTGGCCAATGGAAGTCACATGGTCTAAGGGATGTAAAATTCCACCAGAATTGAAACACTGGTAACAACCCTAATGATTACCACAGGTTAGGGATCTACCATTAATAAATAGAGTAAAACTTTTGGCTAAATATGCATGATAAAAAACTATCTACATAAATAAACATATTTGTCTTGTGTCTTCTGTATTTCTCTCTGATTGAGATAGTATCAATATCTACTATAAAATCAGTACAAAAATATATTTTTTTAAAAGGAGGAACATGATTATTTCTAAGTGAGCTGTGCCCAAACTGTATCTTTAGGAGAGAGCTTATATTCATTTACATATGTAAATATTCATTTACAAAGTTCAATTTCTCTTTCAAATTCACTTTATTGTTATGAATATAGAGTGATACCCAGCCCATCACAACAGAGATGGCTAGGTTTCTAAAGCCAATTTCTGCCTGAGGGCTTTGTGGTTTAATCATCTCACTTTCTTTTGTTTTTAGTTATTGCTGTTATTGGACTTCCTGACCTATTATATGGTAGTGACTCTGAGTTGACCTATCCTTAGTTATTTTCATTTTATTTCTCCCTGTGTAAGAAACTAGTATAGAAGGTCAGCCTAATCTCCATCTCTCCTGAACATGACAGGCTCTCTACAACTCGAGACTTGTAAACATTAATGAATCATATCCTCCATTCCCCTCAACTAAAATGCATTCCCTACACTGCTGATAAAGTAGAAGACCTATGTGGGGTGGGAAAAAATAGGAGTATAATCCTAAGAAGGATATCCATACTTCATGACTCCAAGACCCAAAGGTTTGACTGTCCTTGGCCATATTAAGCCACAATCTTTTTCCCATTTTTGTTTGTTTGCTTTTTCTTTTTAAGCTAGATGCTGGTTGAGTGACAAAGACACATTCACAGGCATGTTACATGATGGCACTAATTCCATTTTGAAATAACACATTTTACTAATGATAGAAAAATGTATTATGTACCAGTTCTACTTACATGTTATTGGTATATATAATCATGTAACTTGAAAACATTCTTTTAGTACTTTTTATACACACTAGAGTTTCAGAAACATTTCTTTTTGGGAAATTTTTAAATCGACAATGTCTCTAGTTAAATACTAATTTCTACAGCAGTGTAAATGGGTTTTCTTCGCAAATGTTCTTGGATACAAATAATAGACCTACATATTTTCAGAACTGAGAAACTTAATTCAAGTCACATCTACATTTTACCAATGAGAATGCTGTGGTTTGGCTCTGGGTCCCCACCCAAATCTCATGTCAAATTGTAATCCCCACATGTCAGGGAGGGGCCTGGTGAGATGTGATTGCATAATGAAGGCAAATTTCCCCCTCGCTGTCCTCATGACAGTGAGTGAGTTCTCACAAGATCTGATGGTTTAAAAGTGTGGCACTTCCCTTCTCGCTTTCTCTTTCCTGCCACCTTGTGAAGAAGGTGCTTGCTTCTTCTTCACTTTCTGCCATGATTGTAAGTTTTCTGAGGCCTCCTCAGCCATGCAGAACTGTGATTTAATTAAACTCTTTCCTTCATAAATTACCCTGTCTCCAGTAGTTTTTATAGCAGTGTGAGAATGAACTAATACAGAAGACTGGTACTGAGAGTAGGGTACTGCTATAAAGACACCTAGAAATGTGGAAGTGACTTTGGAACTGGGTAACAAAGGAAGGTTGGAACAGTTTGGAGGGCTCAGAAGAAGAGAGAAACTTGAAGGAAAGTTTGGAACTTCCTAGAGACTTGTTGAATGGTTGTGACCAAAATACTGATAGTAATACAGACAATGAAGTCCAGGCTAATGTGTTCTCAGATGGAGATGAGGAACTTATTGGGAACTGGAGTAAAGGTCACTCTTGCTATGCTTTAGCAAAGAGACTGGAAGCATTTTGCCCCTGCCCTAGAGATCTGTGGAACTTTGAACTTGAGAGAGATAATTTAGGGTATCTGGTACAGGAAATTTCTAAGCAGCAAAGCATTCAAGATATGACCTGGCTTTTTCCAAAAATGTATGCTAATATGTGCTCATAAAGAGAGGATCTGAAATTGGAACTTATGTTTAAAAGGGAAGCAGAGAATAAAAGTTTCAAAAATTTGCAGCCTGACCATGTAATAGAAAATAAAAACTCATTTTCTGGGGAGAAATTCAAGCTGGCTATAGAAATTTGCATGAGTAAGGAGTAGCTGAATGTTAATAGCCAAGGCAATGGGGAAAATGTCTCCAGGAAATTTCAGAGATCTTCATGGCAGCCCTTCCCATTACAGACCTGGAGGAATAAATGGTTTTGTGTGCAGCCTTGGGACTTGGTGCCCTGTGTCCCAGTGGCTCAAGATAGCCATGGCTAAAAGAAGCAAAGGTACAGCATGGGCCATTGCTTCAGAGGGTGCAAGCCCCAAGCTTTGGTGGCTTCCACGTGATGTTGAGCCTGTGGGTGCACAAAGGTCAAGAGTTGAGGCTTAGCAGCCTCTACCTAGATTTCAGAGGATGTGTGGAATTGCCTGGATGTCCAGGCAGAAGTCTGCTGCAGGGAGCCCTCATGGAGAACCTCTACTAGGGCATGCATTGGGGAAATGTGGAGTTCGATCCCCCATACAGAGTTCCACTGGGGCACTGCCTAGTGGAGCTATGAGAAGAGGGCCACCATCTTCCAGACCCCAGAATGGTAGATCCACCAACAGCTTGCACTGTGTGCCTGGAAAAGCTGCAGGACTCAACCCCAGCCTGTGAAAGCAGCCGAAGGGGCTGTACCCTGCAGAGCCACAGAGACAGACCCACCCAGGACCTTGGGAGCCCATCTATTGTGTCAGTGTGACCTGGATATAAGACATGGAGTCAAAGGAGATTTTGGAGCTTTAAGATTTAATGGCTGCCCTGTTGGGTTTTGGAATTGCATGGGGCCTGTAGCCCCTTTGTTTTGGCCAATTTCTTCCATTTGGAAAGGGAGCATTTACCCAATGCGTATATCCACATTGTATCTTGGAAGTAACTAACTTTTTTTGATTTTACAGGCTCATAAGTGGAGGGGCCTTTCCTTCTCTCAGATGAGACTTTGGACTTGGAATTTTGAATTAATGCTGGAATGAGTTAAGACTTTGATGGACTGTTGGGAAGGCATGATTGGTTTTGAAATGTGAAAAGGATATGAGATTTGGGAGGGGCCAGCAGCAGAATAATATGGTTTGGCTCTGTGTCCCCACCCAAGTCTTGTGTTAAATTGTAATCTTCATGTGTCAAGGGAAGAGCCTGGTGGGAGGTGATTGGATCATGGGGGAGATTTTTCCCTCACTGTTCTTGTGATAGTGAGTGAGTTCTCATGAGATCTGATACTTTAAAAGTATGGCACTTCCCTTCTTGTTCTCTCTCTCCTGCTGCCTTGTGAAGAAGGTGCCTTGCTTCTCCTTCACCTTCCGCCATGATTGTAAGTTTCCTGAGATCTCCCTAGCTATGAGTAACTGTGAGTCAATTAAACCTCTTTTGTGTATAAATTGCCAAGTCTCAGGTAGTTCTTTATGGCAGTGTGAGAATTAACTAATGATACAGGGAGTATTAAAGTTCTGAAAAGTTTTTTACACTAAGGAAAGAAGAATTTCTGGGAAGCCTTTGTCAACTAAAAAAAAAATGTTTACAATGGACAACATCAAGGGAAAGTGATAAGAGTAACAATATATCGGCCAGGTACAGTGGATCACGCCTGTAATCCAAGCACTTTGGGAGGCCAAGTCAGGCAGATCATTTGAGGTCAGGAGTTCGAGACCAGCCTGGCCAATGTGGTTAAGCCCTGTCTCTACTAAAAATAAAAAAATTAGCCAGGCGTGGTGGTGGGCACCTGTAATCCCAGCTACTTGGGAGGCTGAGGCAGGAGAATCACTTGAACCTGGGAGACAGAGGCTGCAGTGAGCCGAGATTGTGCCACTGCACTCCAGCCTGGGCAACAGAGCCAGACTCTGTCTCAAAAAAAAAAAAAAAAGGGGAGGGGGGGTAACAATATTATATGAATCACTTATTTGTTCATGTTTAGGATTTCTTATCTGTGCTTTCTAAAGATAGATATAATAACTATAGTAGTACAGCTTTGCTTACTAGGCTTGAAATCCACATACGTAAGGTGACTATTGTGTAGTGGCTCCCTAGAGGCTGTATTAAGAAAGATTTTGAGGACACATAAAGCCTTGGCATCAAGGTTCTGTGATTGGTTGGTTATGTCTGCCTGGCTCAGGGAATGAGAGAAACGGCATGTGTGCTGCACTTTGTTGTGCCTGAAGTACCCAAAGTACAAGTAAACATGTACTGGTTAGGAACACCATAGTTTAAGTTTGCCCATGACACTAGGTAAAGAGTATAAAAACCTTTGATTAGCTTTGTGTATTCCATTTTCCTGTCAATAGAGTGGATAGTTTGTTTAAAAAGAGTTTTGAAGTTTTTTTTGAAAATCAGAACATGAGAAATCAAATGCTTTCGTGGTCACCTTGCACTGGTTGGATGAAGAACAGGGAATTGAAATAGCTGTTATCTAATGATTTCCTATAATATTTGGGGACTGCTAAAGAAGGATACTGTGTAGAAACAATTCTAAACATGTTTCTGAGAGTAGTTAACCGGAGAAAACCCCCTTGCAATTTGTTCTTGGAAGGTCTATATTTAAAGCTGTATTCCTTGCTCCAACCACCCCCACAAAAAAAAGAAAGAAAACACATTGTGATTTATAGCAGAGAAAGTTTCAAGAAGTGGCCCTCCAGGACATCTCTGAAGCATTGCTATATTTTCTTCTAATTAACATAGTAAGGACACTGAAAATTGTTGCGGGGAAACAAAAAGAATGACGAAACATTTATTGTAAAATTCCCTAGACATAGGGACAGTGAGAAGATAATGAATCCTTTACTATCAAGGACACACAAGTTAAGGAAGAAAGAATTCAGCCAAAAATATATATGTCATAGACTGTATTGTAGGCAATTACAACCAACAAATATTTATACTCTAATAAAGTAAAATAAATCTAAGAGTGTATTATATAATTTCAAACAAGAGTTGTAAATACACTTTAAAGCAACCATTTGTCTCAATTCTACGTTTTATCAGCATGAAAGTCAATATGGTAGCTTTGACTTGGAATACAAGTCAGGAATCCCAAATTTGAATCCTAGATTTGTTACTGACTAGCTATGTGATTTCTAGCCAGTTGCATGATGTCTCTAGACTTTATCTCTTAAACTGTTCTGTTTGAACTAAATAATCTCTAAAATACATTTTTACTCTAAAAGGCATGATGATGTTGCATAAAGCAGAAAGCACACCCACCTGCACATCAAAACAAGTGGTCAGAGATTGCACTTGGTGGGAAAGACTGAACTTGAAGACAAGCCTAAAACTGATGTAAACATGCTCCTATTTGCCTTTGTGGATTGGCAGTTTAAAGAATATTGGGAAACTGATTACTCTTTATCTTGGTGCACCTTGAAAGCTCTCAGGCTTGCTCCTGGTTGGCAGTGTAAAAAAGAGAGCGTTGGGTCAGGAAGGGCACAAGCAGCCAGGGAAGTAGACCCACAGTTTCCGTTTAAGCACCTGTAGCTCTCAGTTGCTTCTCTGGAGAAGGCACATTTTTTTTTTTTTTTTTTGAGGCAGAGTCTCACTCTGTCACCCAGGCTAGAGTACAGTGGCATGATCTCAGCTCACTGCAACCTCCTCCTCCTGGGTTCAAGCGATTCTCCTGCCTCAGTCTCCTGAGTAGCTGAGATTACAAGTACCTGCCACTACTCCCAGCTAATTTGTATTTTTAGTAGAGATGGGGTTTCACCATGTTGGCCAGGCTGGTCTTGAACTCCTGACCTCGTGATTCACCCACTTCAGCCTCTCAAAGTACTGGGATTACAGGCATGGGCCACCATGCCCAGCCTTGAAGCCACACTTATGTTGTCCTAAAGTAGGAATGAGGCACCCCCTCCTCAAAGTGATGGAGTCACTAAAGTATAACTGTCCCTGCCTGTGGAAACACTGTCAATCACCTGTGGGACTTCTAGCCCTGACCCTCATCTTCAGAACTTATTTCAATCCTTGGGGAGCATGTTGCATCCATCCAGGCTACCAGTGCAGAAAAAGATGAAAAGTCACTTTATAAGAGGCTTTGTAAGAATTGCTATAAGAATTTTAGCCTGGGTGAGAAATTGAGAATGGAAATAAGTAAGTGACGCAAGAGGATTTACAAACAATGATCAACAGAATTTGCTGATGGATTAGTGGGGCCAAAAATTAGAAGGGCCAGAATGAGAAAATCCTTTCCTTAATTTTGACCCCAGGGAGCTGGATGATTTCAATGTAGAAATAAGTAGAATATGAGCCTGTAAATGACCTCTTTCCAGGGAACTAATCTTGCCAGATACTAGCCTAGCCCATACCCCAGACCTTCACCCCACACTGCCCAGTTGTCCTCTAGCACAGCACTTTCTTTCCTTTATCAGAGCCTGTATTTTATTATGCACTTTTAAAAATGTATGTGTGGTCTGTGTTTTGCACTACAGTGTTAGCTCTATGAAGACAAGATTTCATCTTTCTTGTTCACACATGTCTCGTGCATAGTAAGTGCTCAATAAAATATTCAATCAGCTAATTAGTGAATTAGAGTTTCACGAAGAAAGAGCAACATAGTCAAATAAAATTGAGCAATGCTGCATACTATATACCCCTCTTGTGGAATATGAACAAATCGTTTTCTTAATAACTTCATTTATTTTATGTGTGTTAAAAAAACTGGAATACCTCTTTATTTCAGATATATTAATGTTTACATAGGAATATATTTTTTTCAAAATAGATTTTCTTTTTTGAAGAAAATAATAATAGAAGTGGCATGTAGTTATGGCAAAAATCCAAATATATCATGGCTGAACTGAAAGAACAGTGAGATGTGTTAGTTTTCTCTAATAATATACAATAAACTATCAAAAACTTAATGGCTTAAAAGACAACATAAGTTTATTATCTAAAACTTTCAGAAATCAAAAGTCTTAAAATCCATTTGTTGAAATAGCTGCGTGACTTCTGGAGGCTCCAGAGGAGAATCTGTTGCTTGCTTTTTCTACCTTATAGGATGTATTGGTCCATTTTCATGCTGCTGCTGAAGCCATCCCCAAGACTGGGCAATTTACAAAAGAAAAAAGTTTAATAGACTTATAGTTCCACGTGGCTGGGAAGGCCTCACCATCATTGTGAAAGGTGAAAGGCACGTCTCACATGGTGGCAGACAAGAGAAAAGTTCTTGTGCAGGGAAACTCCCATTTTTAAAACCATCATATCTCATGAGACTTATTCACTATCATGAGAACAGCATGGGAAAGACCCGCCCCCATGATTCAATCACTTCCTACCAGGTTCCCCCCAGGACATGTGGGAATTGTGGTAGTTATAATCAAGACGAGATTTGGGTAGGGACACAGCCAAATCATATCATAGAAACTCTCTGCCTTCCTTGGTTTGTGGGCCCTACCTGTGATGGCATCTTTCAGACTTCTGATTTGTCTTCACATCTCCTCTGACTCCTCCTCTTCTACCACCCCTTAGAAGGACCCTTATGATTACATTGGACCCACCAGGATAATCTCAGATCACCTCCCCATCTCAACATCCCTAATTTAATCATACCTGCAAAGCCCCATTTCCCACGAAAGATAACATATTCACAGGTTCCAGGGATTATTCCGTGAACATCTTTGGGGGACCATTATTCTATTTATCACAAGGGGAATTCTGATTAAAATCACTGGATTGAACTTAAGTAGTAGATTGATTGCAGGAATATCCTCACATCTTCACCACTCCCCATATCGAAGCCTTTGAAATGTCTCTTTGTAGTTCTGTCCACCAAGATTTCCTCACTACTTGAATCTGGATTGCCCTTGTGACCTGTTTTGGTGAATAGACTGTGGTGGAAGTGATGATGTGCCATGCGCAATCATAAGGGTTACATGCTTCGCTTTTGCCTTTGGAAAGCTCATCCTAAGAACCATCAGAGAACAAGCCTAGAACAGCCTGGATGATGAGAGACCCATGGCTTGGGCAAACTCATCACCTCAGCAAACAGCTGGTCAACCAGCTGATGTTCTGATATATGAATCAGACCATCCTAGGACAGTCAGAGTCCAGCCAACTTGTCAGCTCACCATAATATCTAAGTGAGTCCAGGAGAGGTCGGCTAGACCTGGGTGAGATTACCTGAACTATGCAGCTGATCCAAGGACTCTCAGCAATATTCAATATTTACTGCTTTAAGACACTCAGTTGTAAAGTCGTTTGATAGTTCGTCACACAAAAATAGCATAATGATATTGGTGTTTATCTCCACTTCTCTCAAAAACTCAGTCTAATGACAATAAAGGGTTGTATCCATTACTGTTGTTTTGTTTTTATCCCACAAGGATAAAGAAAAAATGGACAGAATAGAGAAACAACATTTTGGAAGCTCAAAAACAAAAGGACCACTTAATGATGGATTTAGCAGACACACACACATGCGTGCACACACACATACACACACACACACACACAAGCTGGCTTAGCAATAGGAAAACAATGAGAAGAAACGCAATTCTTCGTGCAGAAACTCCAAGATGATCAGAAATTTACGACACCAGGGCCCTTGCAGGGATATGTTTATGTGAGAGAGACATAAAACAAATGATTTTTTTAAAGTCCCTTTGAGAAACATAGTTTGAGATCCAATCTCGACTCTCTCCATAGGCCACCCAGAGAAAAGGAGTGAGGTTTTATTGTACTTCACTCCTTTGGTATGAATGAGATAAAAAGAGGGCCTCTGGAGTAGAGAACATCAGGCACAGTTGAGGGTCCTAATGAAGGCTGAGAAACAGAGAGTTAAGTGAAATCTCATATTCTGCATTTTGTGAGCTCCAGCTCTCTTTTTCCACTCACCTCTCAGAACTCAGAAAGCCAATCTTATTGAAAAAAGAAAAAAAGAAAGAAAGAAAGAAAGAAAGAAAGAAAGAAAGAAAAAGATTATTTCCACATAAATTTGATCAACAGAAGAGACCCATATACTGACATCTGTGCTCCTCCAGTGGAATGGCCAGTCACCCAAATTAACCCTGAAGTGGAGCTCACGATTGACAAGAGTGTAGCACAGAGCTTATTCTGCTTTTTGGTGCACCACACTTAGTGCAACTGGATTGCTGATGAGCATTCAATTTCCATGGAAATTCTCTAACACAAAAGACAGAGGTCAAGACAAATACAAAGAAAAAGGTAACCTGAAGGAGGCAGACAATGCAGAAAGTTGTTTTGTTTTGTTTTAGTCTAAAGAGCCAACAGAAAAAAAAAAAAAAGAAAAATGCCATATTTGTAACTAAATGTGTTTGTTTTTTCTAGGGCTGATTTCTTAGGAGACACAAGAAACGACATATAAGAACATAAAGGAAAAAAGGGAGTTTTTTTAAAAACTATGTTTATCATTAGTATTATCTTAGAGGTAAGTAAAGATGGTATATTCATGAGAAGAAAAAACAGGAAACTATCAAAACTCAAAGAGCAAAGAGCAAATGCTGGAGAATTCAAAATATGCTCAAAGAAATTTAAAGTCTCAAAGAATGGTTGAATGACAAAGAATTGGAAATATGCCAGAAAGTAAAACAAATCATAAAAAAGATAGAAAAGGGGGAAGAACAAAACAATGAAATAGAGCATAGGTAATTTGGGGAATCAGTCCAGGAGATTCAATATTTATATAGATATTCAAAACGAAAGAATAGAGGCAAGAGAAAAAGACATCAAAGATCAAATGCAAGATCATTTACCACGATTAAGGGGTCCATCAAGTGGGTATTCAGCACAATGGATGAAAGAAGACTCACACCAGGGCTCAGCATTGTGAAATTTCAGCATAGAGCCAGAAATGAAACCATACAAATTTCCATAAAAATTTTAAAATGTTATGTGAAGCCAATCAGAAATTAGAATTCCTTCATGCTTATCACAACAGTATGGAAGTCTAAGAGACAGGAGTGCTACCTTCAAAACTCTTAGGGATTTTTTCCTTAACAGTCCCAGTTATTTCTTGCTATGTAGCAAACAATTCCAAACCTCTAAATCATATATTTTTCTCCCAAATCTGCACTTTGGATAAGGTTCACAAGAGAATGCTTGCCTGCTCCATGTAGCATGAACCAGGATGGCGTGGCTGATCAGGAGAATTCCCTTCCAAGTGAGCTTACTCACGCAGCTGGTGAGTTGCTGCTGCTATCATTTCCACTTCATGTGGGTGTCTCCACTGAGTGGTTTCTGCTTCCTCACAGCATGAGGAACACAACCCATTGGTCAGGTTCCAAGAGCAACTGTCTCAAGAAAAAAAAAGAAAAAGAAGAAAACCCTAACCCTAGACAACATTTTGTGTCTTACCCTTGGATGTCACATAGCGTCACTACCACCAGAGTCACATGTCTGTTCAATTCAGATCAGGGAACAGAGACCCCTTCCCATCTCTATGAGAGGAGCATCAAAGTCACATTCTAATAGCATGTGGGATGGGAGCTGTTGTAGCTACTTTTGGAAAATATAATATCCCACATCAACCCAGAATTCCGTACCCAGATAAACTATTTATTAATTAAGTGCAAAGGTTGGATGAAGATATTTTTCAAACATGTCAGATGTTAGAAAATTTACCTTCCAGGTACTTATTCTCAGGAATATGTAGGAGAATGTGCCTTACCAAGACATGAGAATAAACCAACAAATATGACGACTGAAATCCAGGAATGCAGAGGCCTGACTCCATAGAGAGATGAAGGACTCCCCAGGATGGTGAAGGGTGATCTCAGAGTGGCAGTTGTCTACCACCTGTAAAGACCAACCAGCCTGGACAGAGGCTCTGGGAGTGATGTCTCCAAGAGTATCACATTTTTACAATGTAGGATGTTTGATTGTATTCAGGAAGATTTAATCCATTAGGGAAGAAATTGAGGTTAGAGATGGACACAGAAAACTAAGGAGACAAGGACATAAAACCCAAGAAAAAAGAGTTTTCAAGGCAAGAGAAGAAATTATTCTATCCTACTGATTTAAGTAAGAATAGTGTTTATCAACATTAAATACCTATAGAACCAAAATTCTGCTGTATTTGTATTGAGAGAATGGGATGTGTGGTTGAAATGTGGATGTGGATGGGAGTAGGGGAGATTAAAGAAAGCTAAGTCATTATTTTGTACAGTAGGAAATTAATAGTTGAGGTCTAAAATTTAGAAATCAGGAAGTTGTCACGTAAGTATGCTTTTTAGAGACACTGATAAATTTATAAAGTGATCTGAAAGTGCTTGCCTCTGGTAAACGGGATGAGCGAGGAAGGATGACCAGGGAATGAATAAAAAGAATGCTATTTTCATAAACCTCATTAAACTATTTTTTTTGGAAATGGACTCTCACTCTGTTGCCCAGGCTGGAGTGTAGTGGTGTAATCTCTGCTCACTGCAGCCTGAGCCTCCCAGGTTCAGGCAATTCTTGTGCCTCAGCCACCTGAGTAGTTGGGATTACAGGTGCCTGCTACCATGCCTGGCTAATTTTTGCGTTTTTTGTAGAGATGGAGTTTCACCATGTTGGCCAAGCTGGTCTTGAACTCCTGTCCTCAAGCGATCCACCTGCCTTGGCCTCCCAAAATGCTGAGATTACAGGCGTGAGCCACCATGCCCAGGCCCCTCATGAAACTATTTGACTCTCAAGAATAAGCAATAGGGAAACCTACTTTTTTCCTTGGAGAGCACATTGTGGTTTTCACCCTCTGTAATCACTGCCAGGTATGTTGCCAGCGTCTCTGGGAGGAAAGGGCAGAGGGGCTGGCTGTGTGTAGGGCAGTGGAGCTGCTCCTATCTTTTCCCACAGCTGTCTACCTCACCCGGAAGCTGCAGGAGCATTGCCCAGCTTCCTGTGCACCCAGGGCTGGTAGAGGACAGAGGGGTCTGCACCAAAGATGTCCTCATCTGTTTCTTGCTGCCTCCATGGCCTTAGAGGAGATAACTTACTTCTTAAAATTGAACTCTGATAAATGGGACAGAAATAACTATCACTTCCAAAAAACTCATTAAGCTTCCTGGGAAATATGGATGTAAATAAAATATTGATTAAAAGCTAAAAGGATTTTAATTAGGTTACTTAGTTTAATAGTTTAATTTGGCAGAAACAGACAACTTGGACAAGGTTCTTTGTGTAAGCACATTTCAATTCACTAATTAAAATTTCAGATGGCAATCTGAGATTAGCAAAGGGATCTTCAAAGGCAAGCAAGATGCCCATTTATTTTATTTTATTAAAAAAAAAGTCAAAGCAATTGTAAGATGTTACTTTGAGTCCTCTATTGGAAATAATGTGAATGCCTGAATATATTGTAACCCACTTTGGCCCATATACCATCTGTAATTAATTTAAAGTGAACAGAAAAGATAATTTGGTGGGCAAACATCACATAAATTATACTTTTATTAAAGAATCTCCTGTGTTTTTAACAGAATAGAGAGAATTGGTCTTTTACAGATACAGTGTTATTAAGTAGGAGAAATTAACTCCTAAACACATAAAACTCATAGCACAGAGAAATGTTATTTATTCACCCCAATTCAGCTAGTGCATAAACTATTTTGAAAGGAGACACCCAGAGAAACTCTATTTTGAGTCCCTATTAGGTAATTAGATATCAATATACTAAATGGCATACTTCAAGATCAGAGCTATGTCTGTGCTCTGTTTAACACGGTGCAGCATACAGAGTATATCAGTTGAGGATAGTGATTGCAAGGACAGACTCTAGAGCCACATGCCTGGGCTCAAATCCTGCTTTGCCACTAAATCGTCACATGACCTTGGGAAATTTAAATAGCATTCCTATGCCTTAGTTTCCACATTTATAATGTAGAAGAGGTAATAATTTTACCGACTTTGCAGAATTATGATGAGGATTAAAAGCATACGTTTAAAGCAGTAAAGTGAAGCTGTGGAATGTGGTCATACCTAGTAAATGCCAGTTCTATAAATATGATATAATTAGGGTGCTAGAATTGCAGAAAATTGAAAATTGTTATTTTTAATGGGAGACAAAGAAAAATAATAATCATCATGGACTATGTTTTAAGATAGATCTAGATTCAAATCCCCACTCTAATATCCATTAGCTGTGTGTGCCTTGAGCAAGTCACTTAACTCCTCTGCTTCAATTTCCTTTTGTACAAATGACAATAACCACACCTCACTCAGAGTGTTACGGAAGAGTCAATCATGTTAAGGCCCTAAACAAAACTTGACCCATAGGACTTGTTCAACAAATGTTAAGTTACCGTCTTTTCTCTTATGCAATAAATAGAAGAATAGGGCTGGGCGTGGTGCCTCACGCCTGTAATCCCAGCACTTTGGGAGGCCGAGGCAGGCAGATCACGAGGTCAGGAGATTGAGAGCATCCTGGCTAACACGGTGAAACCCCGTCTCTACTAAAAATACAAAAAATTAACCGGGTGTGGTGGCGGGTGCCTGTAGTTCCAGCTACTCGGGAGGCTGAAGCAGGAGAATGGCATGAACCCGGGAGGTGGAGTTTGCAGTGAGCTGAGATCGCGCCACTGCACTCTAGCCTGGGTGACAGAGCGAGAGACTCCGTCTCAAAAAAAAAAAAAAAAAAGAAAAGAATAAAGGACATATGTCTGGTGAACTGCACTGTAAAAATTTATAGATGTGGTGACTCAAGGTGGTTGCTTCCGTTACTTTAAATTCTGTAGGAAGGACTTCAGTGATGTATTGATTTTCTGAAAGCTACCCAAACACAGGAGGGCCTGAGTATGCCCTGATACAATCAAAATCCATCACTCATCCATTGTAGGAGAGGAGGCAGCATTTTGATTCACACACAGATTAATTGTACATTTCAAAAATGCTGGTATTTACATAAAAAATCATCAGAACTTTTGTTCAAAAGCCATGACAGTGGGCATGGCATTCACCCCCTCTAACAACTTCAGAGAAAGTGCTGAAGGCACTAATCCCACCTCACGGCTGTGTTTGTGACCTCAGCCCAAATATTTGACTGATACCATATTAAGATACCGGGTTGAAATTCTTATGTGATGCTGATTTCAAGTAACTTTCATTGATACAAATGCAAGTGAATGGAGATAAGACCATTGGTTTCAGAAGGAAAGTAAACATATTTCCTATGATTATCACCAGTAAATAAGGCAACCAGACACCCCTTTGTTTATTTTTAATGAAGTCTTTATTAGGCCAAAAGTCATGAAGATGAAAAACAGAGAGAAGTGAGAGGGAAACTTGTATATCAAATATTCAAAGAACTGAGATTTTTAATCTGGTTTTACATCTCCGTAATCTAAGTAATTTGAAGATTACATCTATTTTGGTATAGCCAAAGATTTCTCTTCATCATTCAAAATTGTCAATTCCTGTTTTGAAGGTCTTGGCTTAGCAGAAAGTTGGAACAAGCCGCCTTCCCAGAGTTTTATTTTTTCCATCACTTAGGTCAAATTTTTCATATGTTTCCATTTACTCCTTTAAAAACTCAGCTTCTGTTGGAATCTGCCAAAGCCGCCTTCTTTTTTCCTGTCACTTTCTGAACTCACAATCTGTGCTACTCAATTAACATGTATTTTCAACCTATGACATGTGCCCAATTTCTCTTAATAACAACATGGACGAGTAAAAGAAGTACTAGGACCATGACCTTGTGAAATGTATATTACAGCTTGAGAGGTAAAAACCAATGTATACAAATAGAGAAAGTGTAACATAACATGTAATGAAAAGCATAATTGTGTAGTTCAGGGTGTGTATGTACGGGATGGCCCAATAACATATGCTTCAAACTGCCTTTATTAGAATGGGATTACAGATCATTTCATTCTGCCTCCCACATGTACCATGTGTCACTCTATAGTAACGAAACGGAAATCACTCACCATACACACAAATCTTTTCACTATTGAATAAATAAATACATACTTAAAGTCGAACTTCTTCCTAAATTAAAAAAAATCTAATTAATATTTTTCCCTGATTTGGTAAAGTATTACAGATCCTGTGGGGCAAAACAATTGGTGGCTAGGTTTAACGACACAAGGCAATCACTGACTGCAAAGGCATTTTCTCAACAAAAGCTGTGTTCTATTAGTATTCAGTAAATCCTTGAAACGGACATAAGCTCAAGCCGCCAGGCTGCTCTTTATCTGTCATTATCGGCTGTTCTTTGATGAAACTGCTATCTTGGAAAATGCATCTACCTTCCTTGGGAGATTGTTAAGCACTGAAGAATGAACGAACCTGCAATTTCTAGGCCTTGTGGTTTTGCTCTGCATAGCAACCAATGGCAGAAGGTATGTGTGGCATCTCTGATCAGCCTGATCCTGAAATAAGAAGGTTATACAACCAATTTCAAAGCCAGGTTTTGTTCATTGGGTAAAAATTCACTAAATCCCATATATCTCCTAATGGACTCTGTCCATTTTTCAATTTTTTCCGTAAAACTGAAAGAAAACCTATCCAACTAATAAAAATAAACCTTTAATTCGAGCAAGGCAAGATGACAATGCAATTTTAACTCAAGCTTCGTTTGAAATTAACTGATTGGAATATCCTAGATGATGAAATGCTAGGTTAGTTGTCTTTGGGAACTGAAGTTATCCTTTGGTGCTTGAATAGACATCTTTGAACATTATTCTTTCCATCTCGTCTAAATTTCTCTTTCAAGTTCTCTCCTCTAGTCTCCAGTGTCATTGTGCTGAACTATAGTGATAGTGTCCATTGTTCCCCCAAAGTCATAGTTGTGTAGATTCATGTTTCCACGGTGAACTTCTGACATGAAATTATCAAAGATACATAAAACAGAGCAAACTGTCCTTTCTCATCTCCCCAACCACTTTTTATTTCATTTTCATTACTCTATGTAGTCATAGGGCTGACATATAAAAATGGTCTAGACTATTGCTTCAATTTCTGCATGGAAACATGACTTGTGTTCCTAGTGCAACATCCATTAAAATGGTAATGTCAGATCAATGGACCCATGCTGACTCAAACACTCTTCCAAGAATGTGTGATAGCAGGCAGCCTTTCTATCAGGGGCCACAAACTGAAATAATTGTCACGTTTACTGAACACCTGCTATGTGTCAGGAACTATTCCAGGGACTTTGTATGTAGTGAGTTCAATTAATCTTTATATACCCCTATGAGGTAGGTATTATTGTTATCTTCATATCCCAGATGAAAAAATTAAAGAGAAGGTAAGTACCTTGCCAAAGGTTACACCACTAGTAAATGAAGGCAGAAGGATAAGCAGCCAAGTCTTGTGGCTATAGTCAGCTTCCTAAACGACTACTTACCTCCAAAACTCAAGTACTGTAGGGTTAAAGCAGGTTATAGAAATGAGCAAAGCAGACAATCCCAGCTTCTGGTTGCTAGGTAGTAATATGGACTTGATATTGACATATCTATTCATATTACAGAAGAAATCTGAAACCTGAAACCTGGATTGCTTATGTTAAGTCCATTTGCTTTCCAAATGTTGAGAACTGGAACAAGACAAGAATGCCTACTCTCACCACTCCTATTCCACATAGCACAGGAAGTCCTAGCCAGAGCAATCGGGCAAGAGAAAGAAATAAAAGGCATCCAAATAGGGAAAGAAGTCAAACTATGTCTCTTTGTTAACGATATGGTTCCATACTTAGAAAACCCTAAAAACTTCACCCAAAAGCTCTTAGAACTGACAAATGACTTCAGTAAAGTCTTAGGATACAAAATCAATATACAAAAGTCAGCAGCATTTCTATACACCAATAATGTTCTACCCAAGAGCCAAATTAAGACCACAATTCCATTTATAATAGCCATGAAGAAAATTAAATACCTAGGAATACAGCTAACCAAGGAGGTGAAAGATCTCTACAAGAACTACAAAACACTGCTGAAAAAAATCAGAGATGACACAAATAAATGGACAAATATTTCATGCTCGTGAATCAGAAGAATCAATAGTGTTAAAATGGCCATACTTCCCAAAGCCATTTACAGATTCAATTCTATTTCTATCAAACTGCCAATGTCACTTTTCACATAACTATAAAAAACTATAAAATTCATATGGAACCAAAAAAGAGCACAAATAGCCAAAGCAACCCTAAGCAAAAAGAACAAAGCCAGAGGCATCGCATTACCTGACTTCAAACTATACTATAAGGCTATAGTAACCAAAACAGCATAGTAATGGCACAAAAACAGACACATAGACCAATAGACCAGATTACAGAACCCAGAAATGAAGCCACACATTTACAACCAGCTGATCCACACAAGTTCAACAAAAAATAGGCAAAAGACATGAACAGACACTTCTCAACAGAAAACATGTAAGTGGCCCATAAACATATGAAAAAATGCTCATCATCGTGAATCATCAGAGAAACACAAACCAAAACCACAATGAGATACCATCTCACGCCAGTCAGAATGACTTTTGTTAGAAAGTCAAAAAACAACAGATATTGGCAAGGCTGTGGAGAAAAGGAGACACTTACAAACTCTTGGTGGGAATGTAAATTAGCCCAGCCACTGTGGAGAGCAATCTGAAGATTTCTCAAAAATGAAGAGTTGAACTACCATAAGTTGTACCCAAAGGGAAATAAGCCATTCTACTGAAAGGACACATGCAACCCTATGTTTATTGCAGCAATATTCACAATAGCAAAAACTTGGAATCAACCCAAGTACTCATCAGTGGTGGATTGGATAAAGAAAATGTGGTACATATACACTATGGAATACTATACAGCTATCAAAAAGAATGGAATCATGTTCTTTATAGCAACATGGATGCAGCTGGAGGGCATGATCCTAAGAGAACTAATATGGAAACAGAAATCCAAATACCATTTGTTCTCACTCATAAGTGGGAGCTAAACATAAAGATGGGAATAATAAACAATGGGGTCAACTAAAGCAGGAAGAGCAGGAGGAAGGAAAGGGCTGAAAAACTTCCTATTGGGTACCCTGATCACTACCTGGGTGACGGATTCAGTCATACTCTAAACCTTAGCATCACACAATATACCTTTGTAACAAACCTGCACATGTATCCTCTTTATTCTAAAATAAAAGTTGAATAAGAAAAAAAAATTGCTAAATATTGAGTATTATTTTATAATTGCTTTTAAACACCATTCTGAAAACAAACCACATTTCTAAGAACCACAACTTAGCAACCTCTACTTTAAAGACATAGTGTGGCACATTGGAGTACAGCACAAACTGCATGAGAAGCTGTTTACACTTTTAAGAAGAAATTTGCAGAATTGTCAAGCTGAGGCCCATATAGCTCATCTTGGCCAACATTCCATCCCAAGTGAGAACAGCCTATAGTGCATCGGCTCATTTCATCACCTGGACAAGAAAATTGTTAGAAAAATCTTCCTTCTATTCCATCAAAATAGTCCTTTTGGTTTTTAAGTGATCTTAGCTCTGACTCTCTGGAGATACACCACTAAGACAAATCTTTCTTCTACAGAATACTCTTTCAGCTTTCTGAAGGCAGCTAATGCGCTTCTTCATCTTCTATTTTATATTCTATAATCACAGATTCTTCAATAAGTCCAGTGACATGGTTTCAAAAACTTTAACCAGCCTTTAAATAAAGGCGAACAATAACTTTTACAAGCATCTGATATGTGCTATTCTGATGGTGTCCGAACTCTTTTACTGATTTACAGTTGTCTCCCATAAATGTATTTTGAATATATATTGTTATAAGTTTAACTTTATATGTTACTTTATAAATTGTATATGCCTAGATAATATACATTTGCTATCTCAAGGCACAATACATATTTAATTTAGTTCAAGGTTTCTCAACATCAACACTATTGATTTGGGGCCAGATAATTCTTTGTTGGTGGTGGGAGCTATACAATGTACATTATAGGAGGTTTAACTACATCCCTGGTCTCTCCCAATTAGAGGCCAATAGCACGTTTCAGTTTTAATAACTAAAAATATCTAGGCATTGCTAGTATTCCAAATGTCTCTTCAGGGGCATGGTCACCCCTGATTTAGAACCATTGATTTAGGGCAAGGTTTATCATTCAATGTTACAGATCCATAGTTCAGATGTTCTTCTTGACTATTTCAAATGTGTTAGCCAGCTTCTTTAGGCTTATTTAGATTGCTATTGCTTTTAGCTCTTCATGTGGCTAATAAGCAGTTTGTGCTGGGAACAGAAGTACAAGTTCTCCTATCTTGTTTGGTTTCCTTGTTCTACCATTAGTTTTACTTTTGATCTGGTGCCTCATTGAGAGAAACTTCTCAAGTCCCTTCTCAAACCCACTTAACTGGGTCTGTTTAAGTTGAAGTATGTCGTGATCCCCAGAGCACATGGGAGTGTGGGCACCAGGATGAAACCTTTGCTCCAACCCCATATATGGTACAGGGTACGTGACACACCATCATCTAACTTCTGGTCCCAGAGAGCATGCCAGTGACAATCTGTAGAACAAAGATCACTTAGGTTCAATGAATTTCTTTCTCTCTATAAAATGTAAATATTAATAGCAGTTCTAATAATTTTACCTTCCCACAAAGAACTATTTTGCTCCTCTCTGGGTTACATATATCTCACTTTAGAGATCATGGTACCCAGCAATGGAAACTCCAGGAACATTACCTTATTTATTTCAGATTAAAAATTTCCACTAAAATATGGAACCCAAACAAGAGCAGGAAGGCCTTCTCATCAGTGCTGTGTCAGGAGGACCTTCACCCACTGAGGATGCTCTCTAACCTCCTCCTAGTGAATTGTCTGGGCAGGTAGGTGGCAGATTGAGTCCCACTGTGTTGCCAGATTTTATAGTATTTGAATCCTTTTCCATTTTGTTAAGATCTTTTCAAAACTCTGGTCTCCTCTGGATTTCTGTTCCTTTTGCCTGCCTAGGGTCTATTTCCCTTCCTTCTTGTTACAGCTTCCTCCTCCCTTCTCTGTTCATGTGCTGGATTCCAGAGGGAATGTATAACTCAGGTTGGGCTAATTAGTTGCTCTTGCTCCTTGGAATATGAGTCTTGCAGGGACCCAAAGACGAAAACTACCGTGGTTTTTACCTCCCTGAGCTGCCTGCTGAATAGACTATCCATTCATTCCTGCTTCTTAGATCGCCAGAGTTTCCCTAATCCTCCCTTTCCAGGGCCTGTTATCCTGCACCTCCTCTGATTTTATAAGCCACACTAAAGCTAAAGTGGATGTCTTTTGCTTAAAGGAAATCTAGTGGATTGAAGCTTTAAATATACTAGCTGTCTTTGAGTTTTATCCTAACTCAAAACATGATAATTGTATCTTCTAAATCTTTATCCAAGAGGCATTGCTGAATCAGGATTAGTATTCCTATATTAGACTCTCTCAATTTTTATGTACTGACTATCAATAAACAAACTTTTAAAACAATTATAATAGCTCACATTACTGAGTGTTTATTACATGTTAGGTGCTGTTATATGTTAGGTGCTGTTATGTGTTAGGCACAATTAGCCTTGCATTTATAGAGTGTTTATTACGTAAGGAAGTATTTATTTTTTGGAAAAGTAAACTTTGAGAAAATTTTGGATTTGTAGCAAAATTGCAAAGATAGTACAGGAAGTTCTTATGCCCTTCACCCACTTCCCTCCAATGTTGGCATCCTACATAACTATGCACATTTGTCAAAACTAAGAAAATAACAGTGATGTACTGCTATTAACTACAACTACAGGTTTTATTTGGAATTTACCAGTTTTCATCACTGTTCTCTTTCTGTTCCAAGATCCAATCCAGGTTCCATATGTGTTTAGAAGTGCTTTACTTTTATCAGCTTATTTCCTCCTCACAGAAACCTATGCTACAGGCAACATTGTTGTTTGTTGTTGTTGTTTTGTTTTTTTCTGTTTTACAGATGAGGAAACTGACACAGAGAACATAAGCCATTGGTGAAAGTCACACAGCAAGTGGCAAAACTAGGATCTGAATTCAGAACCCTGGCTCCCCAGCCTTTTTTTTTTTTTTTTTTTTTTTTGAGATGGAGTTTCACTCTTGTCGCCCATGCTGGAGTGCAATGGTGCGATCTCGGCTCACTGCAACCTCCACCTCCCAGGTTCAAGTGATCCTCCTGCCTCAGCCTCCCGAGTAGCTGGGATTACAGGCACCCACCATCACGCCTGGCTAATTTTTGTATTTTTAGTAGAGGTGGGGTTTCACCACGTTGGCCAAGCTGGTCTCAAACTCCTGACCTCAGCTGATCCACCCGCCTTGGCCTCCCAAAGTGATGGGATTACAGGCGTGAGCCACCGCGCCCAGCTGAGCCTTTTTTTTTTTTAACCCTTATGCTGTGTTCTCTCACAAACACACAAAAGTACCTGACATTCTGATATACCACCCTCATTTTACTTTGAGATGGCTTGAGTGCGTGTGCTTAGTTCCTAGGGAACTTCTCCCAGGCCTAGAGATGACTACAGCCCTTCAATATGCACATAAGCCATCTCTGGAATCCTTCTTCCTCCAATTCTGCTGAGATTAGTGTCAAAACTCAGCAAGCTTTAGTGTACAGAGTTGACCTGTATTGAAAGTCATGTTATTTGTCTCTCTTTTTTTTTTTTTAACAGAGCTTTCCAGACTTTACTGTGTGTGTGTATCACAAGACATACAGTTAAAATGCAGCTTCAGAAGGCTTGAGGTGAAGCCTGTGACTGTATTTTCATCAAGTTTCGAGGTGATATGGCACTGCCAGGATGTGGAGCAAACTTCAAGTAGTGAGGCTTCTTATCGGCCACTGTCCCTCAGATTGGCTATGCTTCTCTCCTTCTGCAGTACTCTGGGGAACAGTTTGCCTGGGCACAGAGAAGGGAACCATTTCAGGCTGTTGGGTCAGTGCCTTGTTAACCCATTTTAGACACCAATTTTATTTAAATACAGTCTTTTACCTTTTTAATATCTAGATTTCCTTTCTCCTTATAGGAATTATTGAAGTAGAGTATTTGTTTATTGGTTTTGTTATTTCATTCTCTTTCATTTGTAAATAATCCTGCCTCAGTAACAAGTCTATGTCCTCCCTATTCTTTATAACCTAAATTCACCCAAAGATGTTTTAAGTGTTACATGCATTTTCTACAAGCCTTAATTTACTGTGAATCATTAACTTTCTTGTCATTATACCTGCCGAGTTTGTCACTCATTTTTATTTGGCTTGGGCCATCATTCTTCCCTCTGTCTTCCATGTATGGTATTTTAAAATATGAATGAGTCAGAGGTTTCTTGTGCAGCCACACTAATTTCTTTTTTGTTTGTTTTTTGGTTTTTTTTTTTTGAGACAGAGTCTCGCTCCGTCTCCAGGCTGGCATGCAATGGTGCAGTCTCGGCTCACTGCAACCTCTGCCTCCCTGGCTCAAGCAATTCTCCTGCCTCAGACTCCCGAATAGCTGGGACTACAGGTGCATGCCACCACGCCTGGCTAATTTTTGTATTTTTAGTACAGATGGGGTTTCAACATGTTGGCCAAGATGGTCTTGATCTCCTGACCTCGTGATCCACCTGCCTCAGCCTCCCAAAGCGCTGGGATTACAGGCGTGAGCCACCACAGCCAGCCACTGATTTCTTTTTGTATCACCTTCCACTCCAGGCTCTTCCAGATGTTTTCCTCATTGAAAACATTTATGGGACTGTCATGTCCTTTTCTGTTTCCTTGCTCCTGGCTTACTTATTTTTAGAATGTCCATCTTCCATTACTTTAGAATTTCTAGCCAACTGAGACATTTATTTTGTACATTTTCTTGGAACCTTTTGAAATTTGCTTTTATAAAGCCTGAGTCTGTGTCTGATATACTCATTATATTTGTGTTTTATAATTAGCAACTCTAACATGAGATCACTTCTTTCTTCTAAGTTTCCTGTTATTCAGAGCCCATCGACATGTCCTTCCTTGTAGGTTAGAATTAAATCCAGACTAGTCGTTCCCACCACTGCTTCCTTTACTTACTGAAAGATGAAAGTGCCAGCTCTTCCTTCAGGCTAAACATTTGCATACTTTAGATTTTTTTTTTTTAATGAAAGAAATGAAAAATCTCAGGCCGTGCTCTGCAGAGCTGACCTGCACATGGATGGGGACAGGGAGACACTCTGGAAAAGCACTCTTTCTCTGAGGGCTGGATCCAAGGGAACAGTGTCAAAGACCTGACAGTCAGGACTCTCAGCAAATACAGCAGCTCCTCTGGGGCAGTCATGTTTCTGACCTTCACAGTGGCAGAGATTGTTGCTCTGTTTTCTGTTCCAATTACACTGTTCAATTAACAATTGCTCAGATCAAACTCCAACCAGAATTTTAGGGTCCAAGAGCATGTTGTCCATAAATAAACAACCAAGTTCTGGGGGTGGAGCTTTCTGGAAAGTGGTGGGCTTCAAACTAGTGTGACAATGTGAAGAGAAATGACAGGATGCATGGTTTTGGGGAGCAGCTAATATCAACTGGCTTCCCTGCTCTACATACAAACTGCTGATAGCTCTAGTGCAGGGGACTGTGGGTAAGCAGATGCCTTGATTCTAGCAGCACCCACTGAGCTTGTTGTCTATCTGGAGAAGTGGCTGGAGGAAAAAGCAACTGGAAGAGAGAATTATCCGTCATAGGGAGATTTATGTATTGGTTGTGTTCTTTGGTTTTCTCCCAACAACTCAAATGTTGGTGATCAGTTGACATGCTGGTAACACTACAGTGAGGAGTGAGAATATGCCTATGTTTCTGGGGAGATGTAGAAGTGATGAAAAAGGTGTCAAAGGGAAGGAGGTGGGAGAGAGAAGCAGCCCACAAATGCATGCTCTGTGTGCCATGGGTAGATAGTGACAGGTCTGAGCAACCAGAGTCCTACATCCTCCAAGATAACCTATCCCATGTCCTCCACAAATAGAGGAGCAGCTCAGCCTCCTTCTCCGACCTTTTCCATCACTGTTCCCATCCAACACTTTGGCCATAAGTATTTAAATAATTTCATTTCTTCTCGATGCACTCAGCAAGTTATCCTAAAGCACTTTCACACTTTAGTCCATTGCTCCTGTTAATTTATACACACATTAAAATCAAAGTCTAAAAAGATCTAGCTTTGAATGTATAGATCTAATCTCAGATACTCTGTATTTTGAGATTATCAAAATACAGAGTTATCTTATGCTTCATTACAAATTACTGCACAATATTGTGGTATAAAGCAACAACCTTTCGTTTGCTCACCATTCTGGGTGCTAGGAGCTTAGGCAGGGCTCAGAGAAGAATTTCTCTGCTCCCTGTGGTGTCACCTGGGGTTATTCACTCATCTGTGTTCATGAGTGGCTAGCCTGGGCTGGCCAGTCCAAAAAGGTTTCACTTGCATATCTGGCTCTTTGTGTTCTTGAATGTGGTCTCTTTCTTCTTGCATGGCTAAGAGATAATAAGACTCTCAGCCAATCCAGTAGCTCCTCTGGGGAAGTCATACTGCCATCCTTCACAGTGGCAGAGAAGGCTGCTCTGTTATGAAAGTCTCAGAGTAGTCAGATTTTGCTCCAGCTGTCCATTGTTTGTAACAGTACAATAATTTATGATAATTTCTCGTAGTATTGAGGTCTCTTATGTGGCTGCTGTCAGATATTAACTGGGGTATAGTTATGCTAAGGCTTGACTGATCTGGATACCCAAAAGCTTGGGCCCAGGACTGGCCGTTGATGTTGACTGTTTCTGGGAGCACAAATGTAAGCATCACTGGGAGCACCTACACCTGGCCTCCTCTATGTGACTTTGACTTCACACATCATGGCAGCTGGGTGTTAAGAGGGAGCATCCCAAGAGTGTGTATCTAGAAAAGTTCAGACAAGAAATTTCTAGGCTTCCTATGACCTGAATTCCAAGTGACACAGTATCACCCTGGCCACTCTCTATTAATCAAGAGCAAGTCACAGGCCCAGCCCAGATTTTAGCAAAGGGAACTCCTAAAGGCATGCATAATAGGAATGGCTGGTAGCATAAAGGAACGTCTTTGGCTACTGGCATCACAGACTTTTTATTTTATTTTATTTTAAGCTCTGGAGTAGATGTGCAGAATGTGCAAGTTTTTTACATAGGTAAATGTATGCCATAGTGGTTTGCTGCACCTACAAACCCATCACCTAGGTATTAAGCCCAGCATGCATTAGCTATTTTTCCTAACGCTTTTATACTGTTGGTGGGAATATAAATTAGTTCAACCACTGTGGAAGACAGTGTGGTGATTCCTCAAAGATTTAGAACAGGAAATACCATTTGATGCAGCAATTCCATTACTGGGTATATACCTAAATGATTATAAAGATACATTTTATTATAAAGATACATGCACATGTATGTTCAATAAATGCAGCACCATTCACAACAGCAAAAACACGGAATCAACCCAAATGTCCATCAGTGATAGACTGGATAAAGAAAATGTGGTACATATAACCTATGGAATACTATGCAGCCATCAAAAGGAAAGAGACCATGTCCTTTGCAGGGACATGGATGAATTTGGAAGCTATTATCTTCAGCAAACTAACACAGACTTCTTACATGGTGGCTTGCTTTCTAGAAGCAGGACTCTAAGAAGACAAAAGCACAAGCTGCAGATATCTTAAGGTCTGGCTCCTAAAGCCACACAGCATCACTTCCACTGCATTCTACTAGACGTCCGGTCAGATATATTCAAGGGAAGGAAAGATAGACCTCACCACTCCAGAGGAAGAGTGGCAAATTTTTAATCCTTGACATCCTGCTAAAACGATTATATATTAGGTCTGGGAAAAATCACAGATATTTCAGGCATTCTCATATAAGTTCTTTAATTGAAATAAAAATTGACATATGATAAAATATATGTATTTTTCTATTAAAAACACTAATACTGACCTAAGCCCCTAGGTCTTCTTCATAAAAGATTCCTGGCCACTAGAAATTTTCTGAGTAGATTTTCCAAGTTTTGATTTTGAAGAACTGGGGACCTAATAAACAGAAAATCATTTTGAACTCTCTGCTAATGAACACATAGAATATGACATTTTATTTGCCTTTCAATATATTGAGCAAATGCCTCAACTAATCATGTTAGCAGTAAACATCCTATAAGTAAAATGAACATGAGTATGAACTAAACAATTCTGAACTGATCTCTGTCCTTAGAAATATAAGATTTAAGTTTTCATGATTTTTACCCAGGTACATTTTTTTCTATTCATACTCTTTAATAAGACTGTTTAACACTTCTAAAATAAACTAAAATATCCTCTGTAACGTAAAATCTCACAGAACCTGAAAACTATACCTCTAGTAGGGTTTTTTTTTCTCTACAGGTATGCAAAACACATATTTTCTGAAACAAAGTGAATGGATGGGGGCATGAAGTCAGATGACAGGTAGTCATAAAATCAGATTCATTGTTAACATATTTGTTGAACATATTACTAAGTACTGAATGTTTTGTTAAAAGTTAGAAATAAAATCAGAATACAATCTGCCATTTTATTATAATTTTATTGTGATTTTATTTTTATATTTAATATTTTTAATCCATCTATAATATATATCTACAAGTATGAAAATATGTAACTTTCACTTCTAATTTGAAACATTACCATTATTGGCTCAATAGTTATAAAATAGGACTGATTCTGAGCTTCATGATTCTACTCCAGTATTCTCTGTTTTCTTTCACTCTTTCAATCACTGTAGCTTTAAAACATGTTTCTGCTTGATTTTTTATCACTTTAATATGTTGTTGTCATTTTAATATGTAATATAATAATAGAGGGCACTATTGTTAAAATTTGAGCTTTGAGGTCAGCCTGTCTGGATTTAGATCTAGGCCCCATCAGTTACCTGTGTAACCTTCGAGCAGTTACTTCATCTTTCCTTATCTGAGTTTAATCATATAAAAAGTGGTAATTATAATAATATTCATACCCAATAATTTAATAAAAATGTGTTTGCATTGATTAGAAAATGGTAGGTGCTGTAAAAATGTAACCAAAAATAGCCTAATACAGTTGAAGTTTATTTTTGGTTCCTATGAGGTCAATCGGTATTTGATTTGGTATGATACCATTCTACAGGATTATTCAGGCTGTACTCTTCAGGGAAATGGGAGAGAACTAAGATGATCTTGGGCGAGAGGATTTACACACTAGATCTTACAGTGACGCTTATCATCCCACTCACCTCTCATTGGATAGAATGTGATCATTTGCTTACATCTAACTACACAGGAGCCTGGGAAATGCCATCCAGCTGAGTTTCCAGGAAATAGAAAGGATTTAGTGAACTACTAGCTAGTATCTGCAACATTATACAAAATTCCTATCAAAATGTCTGATGCAAAAGTGTGTAATAAATATTAACCATTATGATTATCATTGTAGACATGCAGATATGATCCAGCACTCAGCCCTAGACCATTAAATGGATGAAAATAACAAAACGTGGCAGGTGATGTTATGTGGGAGTATAGCATACTAAACAGATCCATGACCAAGTCCAGCAGAGTCGAGAATGATTGCATTCCAATGAAGTAACAGTTAAAGGCATACTGGAAGAATGTCATACTGAAAGTAGAATTGGTCTCTTAAAAGGAAGGGGAAGAGAGTTTCAGGCAGTGAGGTCAAAGTTCTAGAAATGAGAGAGAAGAGACAGATTTGAAGAAATTGGGTAAGTTAGATGTAGCTCTAGTTGTATATGGAAGTAGAGAATTGAATAAGGAGAAAGTTGAGTCTAGAGTTGAAAGAAAGGAGGCAGGTCATGAAGGGTCTTAGAAAACCCTAAAGTTGCCTTGACTTTATTTTGAAATCAATGGGAAGTTAGTTGAGACTGAAGGAGAGTGGAAGATTTGAGAAGGAATGGATAATGACAACCAGAAATAGGTTGTGAGATGAAAACTGAGTTCCAAATTTGATAGTATTTTAAGAGCAAGAACCGACAAATGATAGAAAATCCTTGTAGGTTATGGGGCATGGTGTGGTCAAAACAATGGCTTTTTCATGATGAGAAGAAATTATCTTAGCCATAGAATGAATGAGAAGGAGTAAAACTAAGCACATTAGCTAAGAAGTTGTTAGAGTAGTCCAAGCGCATTGTTTTGAAAGCCTTCACTGTGATAATAGAAGACGGAATGAAAGGAAAGAAATGGAAGATCATCTCAAATAAAAATAACTGCAAGACCAAATCCTTCATTCAAAATTATTATAACAAAAAGTATAATTAACATCTTAATCTAAAGGAAAGAATCAGCCTTCGATTTTATAATTGATATCTCAAAACCAAATTCACTCCATAATAATTCCTTTAGCATCTACCATGTGCCTGGCACTGTGTAGGTACTTGGAATTGAAAAAATAATCAAATCATATCCTCCAAGAGTCCAAAGTCCAGTGGGAAAAATCACATGAATGCATAATTAGGATGCAGTTTGGCAAATGCTGGAGCAACATTCCATAAGAACACCAGAGAGTAGGGTTTTTTTCTTCAATGTCATATTGAGAAATGTTTTGTAACATAGGGCAGGGACCCCCAACCCCTGGACAGCAGACTGGTACTGGTCTGTGGCGTGTTAGTAACTGGGCCACATAGCAGAGGTAAGCATTACTATCTGAGCTCCTCCTCCTGTCAGATTAGCAGGGGGCAGTAGATTCTCACAGGAGTGCAAACCCTATTGTGACCTTCGCATCCAAGGGATCTAGGTTGTGCGCTCCTTATAAGAATCTAATGCCTGATGATCTGAGGAGGAGCAGTTTCATCCTGAAACCCACCCCCACTCCACACACACAACAGCCCTTGTCCAGGGAAAATTTGTCTTCCATGAAATTGGCCCCTGGTGCCAAAAAGTTTGGTGACCACTGACATAGGGGACCTGTGAACTGTGTTTTGAATTAGGACTTTATAAGGCAGAGGAGAGAAAGGAAAGGATGTTCCAGGAAGAGCAAACAACATGTGCAAATGCTCAGAGATGAAGCGGAAATTAGTATTAAAGGATTTACGGCGTGCTTAGGAAGGACTTCGCACTTCCCGGCAACCATTTGAAATTAGGCACCACAATGTGACTTTCTTTGGCCAATGATTCAAAATGGCCACTTCAAGGCAGAAGATCTTAAAAGCCTATCCTTGATTCACTACACACCCTTCCCTCTTCCTGAGGACAGGGCAGATAGTGGAGGCTCCGTAGCCTGGATCTCTAGGTGAGACATATGTAAGCACAGCCTCCTCAGGTTGCGAGATGGACATGTAGAACCAGTGAAAATAAACTTGTGTTGTTTTAAGCCACTGAGATTTGAGAAATTTCTTCTTGCCTCAGCATTAACCCAGTCATTCTGGATTAACACAGAAAATGGAAACTTGAAGGGGAGTACTATGAGACCACAATCCCAAACTCTATGACAGTGGCTTAGTGTTCAGGCAACAGGTGACACGGAAGCTATCACTGAAGGCAAACAAGGTGATGACCAACACAATACCACAGTGAAACCTTTAGTGAAATTGTCTCAAAAACCGCACAGTAGTCTGGGCAGCAGATTATGTACCTAATGCATTGGTAGCTTTAAGGGAAGAGATTGAAAACTGCTAGTATGTATCGGTTGCTGGTGGTTGCTTCAGAAGGTATATTACAGAAAAAGGGATAAGCCCAGAGAACAAATGAGAAATTTGCAATAAGGTGAAAGGAAATAGAGGGAGTCCATAAATTAGAGAACATTTAGAATTTGAAGTAGCATCTGTGTTTCATTCCTTAACAGCAAAAGATAAAACTGAAAAATCTTAGAGGAACAAAGGCAAGAACATGTAGCCTTTTCACAAAGGTAAATTTAGAGTACGGCCTTCACACCTACTGTTAAAATCACTGAAAGAATTAAGGGGTCTCAGATCAAAGGTCTCACCAAAGATGTGGTGTCCATTAAATCCACTCAATTGAACAAAAAGGAGGCTAAGTATGTAATTCTTCCACTAAAGCTTGATGGGCTCAGCAGAGCTTTAATGAAGCAGGAAGCGAAAGGTATGAGCATGAGAAAGCCAAAGAATGTCAGAATTTTGTCTCTAAAAGGACTGTGGTTGAGACAGAGCTCACTGTCAAGTATATAGGAAGCCAACTTAATTTTTGAGGGAGTTATACTACCAAAAGGATCATCAACTTACATTAAAATTGATTGACTGTTTGAAATTCCAAATGACCCAGGGACCCCCAATTGTCTGCAGGCAGCAAGTGTGGCAAGAAGACTGCTCAGTTTTCAGGTGGGCATATTCTTCGGATACCCACTTTGGATTTGAAGGAGAGTAATGGAGAGGAGGACTCTCCCAGAGGGCAGAACCAGGAGCCACAGAGATCCAAGGACAAGGGGGTTACTTCCAGGAAGTGAAAACAGTGCCTAATTAAAGGTAGTCCTCCTGTAATCCCAGCACTTTGGGAGGCCAAGGTGGGCAGATCACTTGAGCTCGGGAGTTCAGGACCAGCCTGGGCAATGTGGTGAAAACCTGTCTCTACTAAAAATACAAAAGTTAGTTGGGTGTGGTGGTGCATGCCTGTAGTCCCGGCTACTTGGGAGGCTGAGATGGGAGCTTGACCACCGGAAGTCAAGGTTTCAGTGAATAGAGATCGTGTCACTGCACTCCAGCCTGGGTGGCGGAGTGAAACCCTGTCTCAAAAAATAAAAATGTAAAGGTAGTCCTCAAAATACTTGAGAAATAAGAATTTAGAGTTGCTACAGCCAGTCCTATGTCTGCTGTGTGTGCCCCCATTCTTCTGTCTGAATGCGAGTCTTTATTTCAGTAGTCCTTTGGTTGCTCCATTTTGGGGTCCTGAGCATGTGGGGAGCATAACTGGCACTGGACTTACAGACTATTGCACCTCACCCCCTGCTGTGAAGACTTCCCATCCTTCCTGTCACCCAGAGATCCTGCACTTTGAGCTACATGCTGTGACCGAATGGCAATTTTGGGTTGTCTCACCCGAAAAAAAAAGGCTGAGCATATTTTGCACGTGCAAAGGACAGTGTACTATGTATTTCAGAACGGGATGGCTCCTTAATGCTCTTCACTAGCGTTTCCGGGTCCCCTTCATCCAGGCACGTGATACCATGGCATTGCTGCACCCCTTCACATTATTACTTGTTTCGGTCATGAGGATGTGAGCAAAAGATTTGTGTCTCGCTTTTGGGTAAAAACCAAAAAAAAATTTCTACTTTCTGGGTAAAGCCGGTGTATGATTCACCATGTTCCCTCCCTTCATGACCATGATCTGCAATATTTTAGATTGTCCTGCTTGGGCGGGCTGGGCCCCGGAGAGAGAACAGTGTAGAACAGAGCCCCCTGCTGACTCCAGATGGAAGTACAGCATGACTGAAATCCACCTTCCTCGTCGGAAGCCTCTCTACAGTTTGGGGGTTGTTGGTTACTACAATTTAATAACAATCCATCCTGAAGGACATGTACACTAAAATAAACTTCGTAAGGTGTAAGCACCAGGTATTAAAAGTTACAAGCATGGAAAGGGAGAAAATAGTCCAAAGAGAATACTGAATTTGTGGACATTAATTATCAACTAGCCTAGATCAAAGGCCTCCCCTAAGGTGGAGTCTAAAGTTGAATCTTTCAAATAATTAAAATGGACATCTATCAAAATAATACATATTTCAAGAATAATGACTTTTGGAAGTCTCAAATGTGGATAAATCTAAACATATTATGATATTTGAGGTGCTTTAATAGTCCTATTATATAATAGAGTATCTTTAAGGTAAGAAAAATATTTTAGTTGCTTCCCAATAAAAAAGGAAGTAAAACTCAAATGCATTAAATCCATGATTATATAATTAACACCGTTAAATAGGTATATACCAGGAAAATATGCTACTTTTATGTGCCATACTATATGATCTTTTTAACTCTTCAGAGATCTTTAGTAAAGTGCTTGCTGATGTTGATTTAAAACATGATTTGGGCTCTGAGGACAAACCAAAACATTAGTTTGGTGATATTACATATTTCAGATTTGATGTCCTGCCACTCTAGAAATACTCTGAATTTATAAAAGCAGGTTGTTATGTCTAAGATTTGGCACTTATCTGTGAAAAGGGAAGGGAAATTTGTTCAGTTTAAGGAGGAAATACCATAATCAGTGCCCTGGAGAACAGCTATTTAAATTGAGTGCTTTATTATGAAATCATGGGTATTTAGCAGAATTATATCCAGATAGCTTTTTTATGTTCCTTTCAACCAGGCAGAAATTCCTTCTCCATGGGAAAATTGAAAATAGGGTATTGACAAATTGTGGAAATAATAAAGAATTCTGTGTAACATCATGAGTTTTTTTTCTGGGCGGGGGGTGGCGAGTGAGGAGGCAGGGGATCTTTGGTTTATTATCTCAGAAAATGGGTCAAGGCACAGGTGGGATCTATGCTTCCTTTCACTTTCTTTAAATCCTGGGCTTTCTGGGAGCCTTAAGAAATTTGTCTTTATGTTCCAACTTTGCTATTCTTAGGTGAGAAATGTTGCAGAAAAATGCTTATTTTATTTTATTTTTTTTACATTGCTCAAAAACTTCACTTTGGCTCATAATGTCGTATGTGCACTTTTTGTCGTATTGTGACTACACCTTTTAAACTCCCAATTTACCAGGGGATGTGTTGTTCTTGATTCACTCACTGATAAGTGAACATCAGAATGCTAACAAAGTGGGGGGCCCGCAGGGGAGCCGCTGTGACCGTAACCCCGATGAAACACAAAGCAGGAGGAAATTGAAAATCGTGTGTGAGTGTGTGTGTGTGTGTGCGTGTGCACATGGCTGTGTGCCTGTGTGTGTACGTGTCTGAGAGACAGGCAATATTCCCGCATTAAGTCAAGAGAGGCAGAGTGGTGATTTCTATTGAGGAAACCAGAAGGAGCTCTGGAAAAATGTCATATCAAGCCTAATGCTCTGCAAATGTAGAGAACTGGCATCTTTTTTCTAAGGGCAGTACATTATGACATTTAGAGCTAAAATTGTAAAATTATGAAAAACATTTTTACATGCTTGGCACACCGTAAGTGTTCAATAACTATTTTCAATTTATAATAATGATGACTGTAGCACATATTTCATTTATGTGAATACACAGTGATAATGGAGACTCTGGGATTCTGCTACGCAACCCTAGCCCCATCCTCCCCTCACACATATACACATCCCAGGGAAATTATTATGGATGAAGTAATCTGGACTGGATGCTTGGCCAGTCAGTGAGTTCTGTATTGTCAATCCTTGACGTTTTCTACATTCAAGTAGAATGGAGATAGTCATTCACTAGGTGGAAAGAAGGATACAAGGGGATTTGATGCGGGAGAAGAGCACTCCACCTTAAGCTGTCACAGAGGGCTGACAAGGAAGAGAATAGTGCAACATGAGGTGGGACCACCACTGAGGTCGATGGCTGGGAGCTAGAGACATTCAGCTTTAAGCTGGCTAGGGACATGTATCAGACAATGATCAGCATGTCACAAAAGCTGCCACGGACTGGTCAGGCCCTACCAGGAACCCTAGAATTGTCTAGGACACTGGGGATGGGAGCAACTGCGAAGTCAGTCTGAATTCAGAGAGATAAAATACTGAGTT
Organism: Homo sapiens; assembly: GCF_000001405.40. Taxonomy (NCBI): domain Eukaryota; kingdom Metazoa; phylum Chordata; class Mammalia; order Primates; family Hominidae; genus Homo; species Homo sapiens. The sequence goes on along the minus strand of NC_000002.12, from coordinate 220,685,141 downwards.
TATGTAAGAAAGATCTTTTCCTTCCAGGGGACAAGTGGAGCCAAGATGATGCCAGAAAGAAAGGTTGATGGTGGTCAGACCAAATGACAAAGATCTAGGGAGACCTGAGGGTCCTTTCCGATCTGGAAAAGGAGTTAACTCAAATCTAACACCTGGTACCTCACAGACACCTGAATGTATTTAGCCACAAGTGTCTTTGTTTTGCTTCTGTTTCCCCCAATTTAGTTTCTATGACTTAGTGACTCAGGCTTTTAAACCTTCAGAATGATGATGGATGTGATAGTTGGGTCAGAAGAAACTAAAGCTTTTTCACACCTCTCCCTAGTTCCATCCCATCTCTCTGCCTCCTTTGGACTTTCTGCCATGCCATTATTTGGCCAGTGTGGGGAAGGCGATACCTCAGATTCAAATTTCCTTTCCAATTGAGAGTTCACTGAATACCTGGTGTGTTTTAGGTGGCTGGGGCGCTTGATGCTAATATGCTCACACAGTAACTTCTAGGCAAGATGCTAGTGCTTTAATAGCAATTTCAGGGGACAGTGCCTTCCCCACCTCAATACATTCAATTATGGATGTTAGATATTTGGGCACAGTTATTTATTTTAACGTTCCATAAATATCAACATGCAGCCGTCTACCTACTCCACCCGCCATAGCCGTAGAGACATGCTTCATGGCTTTGTTCTGAAGTTCCCTAATTGATCTTCCGAACTTGTTCTGGACATTAATCTTTTTGGGGATTGATGATCAGGGCTTTATGTGAGTCTCTTGAATATTGTCATTCAGAGAAACCCTGTGCGTTTAGACTCTAGTCTTGGGCTCAGATTGTTTTCCACAGATGCCATTCTGGTGTTAAAGTAACCCATGGAAACATATGCAAAGTAAGTGAAGCCAACCAAAACGTTATTTTTTTAACTGACAGGTGAAAAAACAGGAAATAATCTTAAAAGTCTAAATTAGTATTTTAATACCATGTACTGTTTCGTTTTGTCAGGATAAAGTCCAACTAGTTTGGCAAAGCCCATTTAAGGCTCTTAACAATATTGCCCACATATTCCCCAGGGCATTTTTCCCAACTGGTTTCTTCAATCCAGGTCCACCCGACTCCTCACCATTCCTCAAAGGTAAATGTCCCTTTACAAGCCATTCTGGGCCCTGGCCATGCCATCTCTGTCCCTAGAATAAACTTTCTTCTTTTTTTTTTTTTTTCCTTAAGAAATTCCTACTTCTTCTCTAGATTTAAAACCAATGCCTCCTCTTTACAGGCTTTGCTTGGTCTACTTGAGTTGTTCTTTCTCCCAAACTTCTACTGTCTTCATCCCTAACTTGATTACATTATTTATGAAAATATATTGTGGGTATCTATTTACATGAACGTCTATCCTGTGTGCTCCCAGTGAGAAGGGACTCTTGTTTTATTCATTTTTGTAGCTTTAGCACCTAACAGTGTTGTTTGCCCTAGAAAAGAAACTTAATAAATGTTTGGGGAATGAATGACTAAAAATAAGTCCTAAAACGTATAACGCAGTCTTGTTAATAGGAAACATTTGTCTTGACACATGGGATAAGGTACAACACAGGACATGAGAGAAGGAAAAAGAGGAATAGAATAATTCTGTTATAAAATATCCTTGTTAAATAAGCCACAGGGTATTTAAAACTGTGAAACATTAGACACATTTTACTTAAAAAAAAAAAAACCCTTTACTATAAATTATTACTTGCCTCTTGAATAAGAAACACAATTCCAGCCAGGCACGGTGGCTCGTACCTGTAATCCCAGCACTTTGGGAGGCCAAGGCGGGTGGATCACCTGAGGTCAGGAGTTTGAGACCAGCCTGGCCAACTTGGCAAAACCCTGTCTCTACTAAAAAAGTACAAAAATTAGCAGGGTGTGGTGGCGCATGCCTGTAATCCCAGCTACTCTGGAGGCTGAGACAGGAGAATCTCTTGAACCTGGGAGGCGGAGGTTGCAGTGAGCCAAGATCGCGCCACTACACTCCAGTCTGAGCAACAAAAGTGAGACTCCATCTCAAAAAAAAAAAAAGAAAGAAAGAAACACAATACAATTCCTAAAATATGACTATCAATTATCGAGCAATCAGAATTTTAAAATTACATTTAACCCACAAGCTGGGAGATGCCTAAGTAGGTGGAATTCATTGAGCTCTGAATAAAATTGGCATGCCCTGATTTTCTGACACTAAGGTGCTGAAATGTGCTGTCAGGTATTAACATGTTTGTTGATGGTAACTTGGCTTAGCAGGATAGAAACTCCAGTCTAAGTTTTATGATTACATTTTCATTACAAAACACAGATCTATATCTAAGGCAGCTTATTGCCTGGAGTTATTAGTCATACGCTGGTACAATGCTTGACTGCTGTTATCCCTCTTCAATTGTAACAGTGGAGCTTTGCTTGAGTATTCATTTGGTAAACAGTTTAGCCTCTGTCCACAATCCCAAAGTGACAAGTGAATGCCAGTAAGAGTCAGTTAAACCAGATGCTGTGTATTGTTGAATTAAAAAGCCATTTAACTGTTGTACAACTTTTAAAAGTTTTTTTTTAGTGTGCAGTATATATAAACTCCAACATATAATAGTTTATATCCAAGTCAAGAGTATTATTTTGCTATCCTTTATATGTTGAATTGATCAATCCTGCTCCTTGCAAACTCTTTTAAAAATATTTAAAACCAATTATAATAAAAATTTAAGTCAGATCTGTAAATATTAAGTAATAATTATGGTGATAAGAATATTTCAATCATCCTTAATTTAATCGATGAAAATAATGAAGAATAAAAAGGGGGCTGGGCATAGTAGCTCATGCCTGTAATCCGAGCACTTTGAGAGGCTGAGGTGGATGGATCACTTGAGGCCAGGAGTTTGAGGCCAGCCTGGGAAACATGGTGAAAACCTGTCTCTATAAAAAATATAAAATTAGTCAGGTGCGGTGGCCTGCGCCTGTAATCCCAGTTACTTGGGAGACTGAGGCATGAGAATTGCTATGAGAATTGCTTGAACCAGGGAGGTGGAGGTTGCAGTGAGCCAAGATCTTGCCACTGCACTCCAGCCTAGGCAGCAGAGTGGGACTATCTCCAAAAAAGAAAAGAAAAGAAAAGAAAAGGAAAGAAAAGAAAAGAAAAAAGAAAAAGAAAAAAAAGTGTTAAAATTTGGATAATGTTCACTTCTTATCCCACCCTCCAACAACAACAACAACAAAAAGCCCAAAATGACCCTTTAATGACATTTGTACTTTATAGCAGGGGATTAAAAAAATGATAGTGGAATTATAAAAACAGTGCAAACAGTGCAAAGACTTCTTAAAGTCCTCAGAGTCACTGACAAATGCCTGCACTCATTTCCACAAGCTGATTTTTGAAGTGAATTATCAAGGAAGGCCACCCTGGTTCTTGAAATGTGTCTTAATAAAAGAACACATTTTTCTTTCTCTAGCGTGATCATTGCACTATTGATTTGACTACTTCCTGTTTGAATGTTCCTTTAGATCACGCAGTCCATTGAATTTTCACATCAGAATATTTATCTCAGAATGGCTCAGAACATTAAATGAACAATTTTCAATCCAGATTATTTTCTCCCTACTGCAAAAATGCACTTTGGCAAAGACAGAAAAGCTCAGTTAATTTCTAATGTATAATTTCTCCACTGTCTCACTCTTCAATATGGAAAGAAACACTTTATGTAGACCAAGGTTATATGTTTATAGGAAAGAAAAAAAAATCCTTCTCTTATGCCAAGATTGAGTTGCAACCGCCAATTAGAGGCCAAGTTGGTAGAGCGCTCCTCTGGCTCTGTTAATGCCTATTGACCACTGTTCATTGCAGTAGATTGTAATAATTAGTGCCATAAGCATAAATACGAAAATGAGGGGATTGTACTAGGTGATCTCTGAGGTCCCTTCCAGCATTAGAATTCTAAAAGTTGGTGAGCCTAAAATTGCTAATGTGTTTCTGAATGTACCCAATTTATGCCTAGAGACAAGTTGTTCATTTGAAAGACGAATTTATTAGTTTAGCTCAGAAATACAAGCTTAAATAAAAAGTAAGTGCTGGTTAAACACTAATAATAATAATAAATATGTGGGTTTTTTTTTTTTGAGACGGAGTCTCGCTCTGTCGCCCAGACTGGAGTGCAGTGGCGGGATCTCGGCTCACTGCAAGCTCCGCCTCCCGGGCTCACGCCATTCTCCTGCCTCAGCCTCCCGAGTAGCTGGGACTACAGGCGCCCGCCACTACGCCCGGCTAATTTTTTGTATTTTTAGTAGAGACGGGGTTTCACCGTTTTAGCCGGGATGGTCTCGATCTCCTGACCTCGTGATCCGCCCGCCTCGGCCTCCCAAAGTGCTGGGATTACAGGCGTGAGCCACCGCGCCCGGCCAAATATGTGGTTTTACAGTATTTCACCTTTTACAAAGTTGTGTTTAATTCACAACCACATTGTGAAGAAGTTCTATGACTAGGATTTTCTCACATCTTTGGCAAATTTGTGCAAAATTCGGTATTACTGAACCATTCTTGGTTTTCTTACTTTGTCACAGATTCTAAGGCATCTTCATTAGGACTGGGGTGTCCAGGGAATGGAGGACAGAGAAGGACCTATATTCACCTAAGCCTGGAAGCTCCATGAAGGCAAGGACTGTCTCTTATTTGTCTTTATACCCTTAATATCTGATCCAGTGCCCTATTAACATTATACTCCAGTAAAGGAAAACAAACCATGCATATATATGTAATATTTCAAGCCGTAGTAAGCACTGTGAAGAAAAGTAAAGAAGATTAAGAGACAGTATTGGCAGGATATTTTAGATAGAGAAGGAATCTTTGAGGGAGTGCCCTTTGGGAGAGCAGAATAAGAAGTTGTATTTAGGGAACTGTTTTTCAGACATAGGGAAAAAAAAAAAAATGACACAAGGACTCTGAGGCCAGAGTGTGATCAGCGTGTTTGAAGGACAGCAATGATTTCCTGTGGCTAAAGTTGGAAGAGAGAGACAGAGTCTTAAGAGATGATAACATTGAGGTAGTGGTTTGAAGGTCATTGATTAGGCAAGAAAAACAGTAGTTAAAGCCACTTTCATATATAACTATGAAGGGTTAAAAATGTATTAAAAACAAGTACAATTGGGTATCTTGTCACTAGTTTGACTTAGGAACCCTACTTCTTTAAATCTCTAGGGTTTTTTTGTATTTTTTCCCCCCCTGAAGCTTGGCACTTACCCAACTCATAGTTTTCTAATAATTTCTAATAATTCTATAATAATATTCTAATTTCCAATAATTTCTAATAATAATTTACCTTTTCCACAAACCCACACTACTCACTCAGAGAATTAAGTTTCCAGAACCTAACCTTTCAAGTTCCTATTTTCTTCCTTTTTTTTCTCACCAATAGCTCTGGACTTTCTTTTAAAGATGGTGCAGTGGGCCAGGCATGGTGGCTTATGCCTATAACACCAGCACTTTGGGAGACCAAAGAGGGAGGCTCACTTGAGGCCAGGAAGTCGAGGTTGCAGTGAGCTATGATCACACCAACACACTCCAGCCTGGGCAACAGAGCGAGACCCTGTCTCTAAAAACAGTAATAATAATAATAACATTAATAAAATAAAATAAAGATGGTTCACTGAAGAAGGCCTCTGGATATAAGCCAACACTCTCCAAATGATGTTTCGCTGAATACCATTTCTGAAATAGTTAATGGGTGTGATGTGGTCAAATAAATTTCTGAAACGTTATATGCTCTATTTCTTTTCAAAATTTTACAATGCATATAGACAAATGATAAACTCTCTTTCTGTTTATAAAAAACAAACCCAGCATTTTCTAAATATATTTTACCCTGATGCTTTGACTTTTCCCTGAAAATTCATTAATAGTATATGCTCCAGCTATCCCTGAGCCCAAATTAATGCCACCTCCAACCTATTCTCAATGCTATCTCTCAGTGCCCAATTCCATTCCATCCACCTATCTGTGCATTTATTTTTGTAATTGGACTAGGCATTGGGTATGACACATGGACAAATACATAGTCCTTATCTTGAATTCTTCCACTCTAATGAAGGAGACAGCCACATAAAGGGATAATTCAAATTTAATATGATAAATGCAGTGGCAGAGATATGCATGGATTATTAAAGAAGCTCAGAGTAGAGGGTATGTAATAATACAAACTATTGTCTAAACTGCCAGACTCCTTTTATTTTGAAGTCATATAACCAAAGATTAGAAGTGTGTTCCAAAACAAACAACAGCAACAGGTTTCTCTACAATCATATTGGATTTTTATTTTATTTGAAAATATTTTAACCATAAAAAAATGACTTTCGGTACATTTTAGGACTTTGCCTCTCATGGTAATCCTACTCAAAGTCAGAAGGGAACATATGGTGCCAGAGTGCCCTTCTAGAAATTCCAAGATGACATTGAAAAGCAATTTCAGATTCAATTTAGACAAAGGTCCTGATCAGCATGCTGCCAAGAGGAAGAACACAGTGGGCTCTGACTCCACCCCAGACTACCTTTCTGAGGTTCCTGTGCAATTCACTGGTCCCCATGCTAATCCTAAGGAGTTCACTTATTACAGTATAAAATAATCCTTCCAGAGAACACTTTTTTTTTAACCATTCACTTGAGTTGTTGAATGCTTAAATACCTGCCCTGATGACATATGTTTTATTTTTAGTTTATGATAAATACAGCATTCTGTTTGAATTTTTTTTAACATCATATATAATGGCTAGAAAAAAGTGGAAGTCAGAATGTGGCAAAAACTAAGTGAAACTTTGCTAAGAAGACAGATTATCTTTCTAATATAAGCCTAATACATTTTTAGTAATTGTGGGATGTGTGAATTGTCTTCTGCCTTATAGAGGCATAGATCTATTGCATTCTGCCAGAATGTGTTCTTTCCTCGAAATATCCCGGAAGAGAGGATTATAACATGAATACAATCTCTTTTCTGAGTAAAATAAAAGAAAATGAAGCTAATATTCTAGAGAGAAGCTGCTAGATGATGGCTATTTCTCAAGAGGGTCAATGCCCTATACCTGTTGACTAAATCTCAATGTACAAACTTGAAGTTTGGGGCATTTGTTTTTTTGGATCCTATTTCAGTGGAGTGGGTGAGAGAGGATGGTATCTTCTCTGATTTACCAGAGTTTAAGTATATGTAGGAAAAGCTTACAGGTACTTGAAAATACTAATATTTTTGACCAAAATCTTGTAAGATAACCTATCTGCATGTTTCAACTTTTGTTTTCTCAATCAATTCACGGTCCAAAGCTGAAACTACAGTGGAGAATTTTAGCACCTTTAGGCACACTTTGAACCATTAATGTTTTTTAAAAAAATAATTAGAGTAATACTTAATAAATGAGTAAAATTCTTTTTAAATTTTTGGTTTAACCTAGCCAGACAACTTATTCAACCCTTCATTTCACTTTGCAGTAGATACAAGATGGCTGGAAAGAGATAACCTGACAAATACATTTTTGTGATAAGCGATGAAATAAAATGTTCTGAAGAAAACAGTGTTCCAGCTTTTTAGAATACAGTTTCTCAACCTTGACACTGTTGGCATTTAGAACCAGATAATTCTTTCTTGTAGGGGGCTGGGGCAGGTGAGGCAACTGTCCAGTGCCTTGTAGAATATTTTGCAACATCCCTGGCCTGTACCCACTAGATGCCAGTAACAATCTACTGGCATCTTTCTTCCCAGTTGTGACAACCAAAATGTCTGCAGACATTGTCAATTGTCCCCTGGGCCAGCAAAATTGCCTCTGGTTGAGAACCACAGCTTTAAAATATAGGTCAAGAAGATTGCAGGATTACTGTTAGTAATTCTTCTATGTGAGGGATGGCAGAAAAGGTGGAAAATCCCTTCAAAGGCTAAAAGCTGCATACTGCAAGCCTTTGGTGGGTACCATTCATAGAGCTCAGATGCAAATGCACCTCTAGAGCTGAGCTGAGCAATTGTGTTGTGCTGAAATCACAATCCTTCTTCCAGACTAGAGCTGCAGCATGGTGAAGGGGAGAGTAGAAACACTGTTCTGTTGAAAGCCAAGAATGGTCATACAAAGTAGCAGCAACGCTTAGTATCTGCCTTCTGAGCAAGCTGGGCAATTGGTTTGTTGCTCCTACTGCTGGCTATTATTAGGACCCCCAGGATGGACCAACAAGCCACACTCTATCAAAGACAGATAAGAAAATCTCCAAGCAGTCATGGGGTTGGTGCCCACTTGGCATACCCTCATGAAGGGTCTCATCTTCCCTGGCTGGGATTTCACCAACCTCTTGACTAATCTCCTTTTGTAGGCCTGCTCTGGTCCAGCCTTCCTCTGCATAGCTGTCAGAATGTTCTTTCTAAAGCAAAACCCTGGATTTATCTCTGCCCTGCTTAAAATGCTTTGATGTTTCCTTTGAGATAAAGTTGAAGCTCCTTGGCACCGCCTAGATGCCGACTTCATCTTTTGACACCCTCTTTCACGCACATCAAATTCCAAACTCAGGTGTGAAAATGTCCCTTGTCATCTCTCTCTTCTTGTTCATGCAGGCTTTTCCTATCACTGCCACATTAGCCTAAGAGTCTAATCTGTATTTTTAGTGAAAAAAGTCAACAAAGAAGAAAGCCTTTTTACTGTGCTTCTTCTCTTTCTCTCTCCCCTCCCCTCTTTTTCTTCCCTCCTTTCCTTTTCTTTATTTTCAAGTAAGCATTTCTCTGTGTCATTAAAACTCTGATTTAATGGTTTTATAGCTTATGGTTCTTATATTATTTTCTATAACTCCTATCCCTACCCTCAACTCTTAGTATATCTCTGACTGTTCTTTATTGACCCCTTCTGGTGATAACTCTTCTCCCTTCTTAAATGTCTTCACACAGCAGGGTTTCAACACTGATGCTTTTCTCTTTCCAAATGCTTGCTGGATAATTACTTCCATTGAGCGGTTTGCCACTTTGGTGCTAGTGACTCTCAAACGTGTACCTCCAGCCTTACTCAGCCCATTTTCTGAGCACCAGACCTGATATGGTTTGGATCTGTGTCTTCACCCAAATCGCATGTTCAATTGTAATTCCCAGTGTTGGAGGTGGGGGGTGGGGGAGGTGATTAAATCAAGGGGGTAGATTTTTCATAAATGGCTTAGTCATCCCCTTGGTAATGTTCTCACAATAGCGAGTGGGTTCTCATGAGATCTAGTTGTTTAAAAATGTTTGGCACCTCCCTGTCTCTCTCTTGCTCCTGCTTTCACCATGTGATGTGCCTGCTCCCCTTTTGCCTTCCGCCATGATTGGAGGCTTCCTGAGTCCTCCCCAGAAGCAGATGCTGACTGCTATGCTGCCTGTACAGCCTGCAGAAATGTGAGACAATTAAACCTCTTTTCTTACAAATTACCTAGCCTACGGTATTTCTTTACAGCAATACAAGAACGGCCTCACATAAGACCCCTGTAAACTGTCTACAAAACAGTTTCCCTGGATGTCCCACCTATATCCCCAGTTCCACAAGCCCTCAGCTTAGCTCACCTTTTCCCACAGACTTGGTTTTATTTGAAATGCCATACCATGCAAGCATTCTCATCAGAAAACTGGGGACTTTCCCAAGACTGCTTCTTCATCTCTCACATTTAATTGGTGACCAAATCCAGTTGATTCTATCTGCTCAAGATCTCCTGCAGCTTTCTTGTTGTTACCGACTGTATTCAGACTCTGTTGTGTGGGATGTTTCAAGTATTTATCATTGATGTGTTCCCAGGCTTGTCCTATTTCAATCTATTCTCCTTGCTGCGGACAAAGCACATCTGGTCATGTTCCTTTTCTGTCTAAAATCCTTCAAGGTCTTTCCCATCAAACAAGCTCAAGCTTCTTGCCATGTTAGACCAGGGAAACGGGAATATCATTATGTCTGGAGTATTGTTACACAAAATATCTACCTTAAGAGTCACCATTAAATGGATATATCTAGGGTTGCACAAAGGCCAGAAATAAATTCAGAGCAAACAACACTGACATAGCACACATGGCCCCTAACTTCCTTTCCAGATTTATCAGTTCCCTTGAAGTTTCTTCTCTGCATCTCATATTCTAGCTACCTGAACTCCTTGAAGGCCCCTGAATGTGCAATATTACCTAATGTCCCTGTGATTTTTCTATCTCTAGAATATCTTTTCCTCGCTTATCCTCCCAACTTTTTTGCCTTTAATGCCCTTCTCTCCTATGTTTCCTGGTAAACATATACTTTTCCTTTAAGACTCTCTCAAATATAACCTTCTCTGTGAAATGTTGTCTGACTTCTTTCATCAGATATACTAAATTCCCCTCTCCTTTTCATCTGTACTGCACTCTGTAAGGGCAATATAATTGCATCTACAAATTTGAATTCAATTACATGACTTTATTTACTTCCTCATTTACTAGATTGATAGGGTAAGTCACTTTCAGAAAGAAACTATATTTTATTTATTACTAACACCTGCTATGGCACCCAGAGCACAGAGACATTCAGAAATGTTTTTCTAAAATTAAAAAGTAGACAAATGGATGAATTATAAGAATGTATCAGACATTTTTAAGGTTCATTACAGCTCTTCATTTCCTCATTCTAAAACAATTTCAAAGCTTCCCTCTTAGTATTTATAGATAAGGAATAAAAGGCAATTCTCTCAAGAGAGGTGATCCATTGACTTTGATTTAAAATAAATTGAATGAAGATGCATCACTCCGGTTCAGTGCGGACACATCTGAAGAGCAAGTGTTGGCAGGGACAAAGACATAATAAGCATAACATCACTGAGGGAGAGAGAGACAAAGAAACTAGAAGAAAAAGGGGCTCAGTGAGGAAAAGCACAGAGGCAGGTACTTTCCAACCACTTCAAAATCTTGCCAGGAGAGGGCTATGGTCATTTTTCACTTCTCCATTCCTCCGTAATTTTGGTCAAAGGGATAAGAAACCTGCATATCTTACTCAAATTTGCTTTCTAAAATGACAGAATAAAGTAGAAAAATATCAAATTACCACTTTTCCTTATATCCTTGGAGTACTTCAAAAGAAGCAAAATCATAAAATCAACAAAAAGTCAAAATAGAGGCTACTAGCTGCTGCAAGGAGAATGCCACTAAAACATTTATAAAGTTTCTATTCATATTTCTATTGTAAGGATGACTATGAAATTTGCTTCCATGATATACTCTTCCATAATTATAGGTATGAAAGTATCAATGACTGTAATTAAGACAGAAGGCTTAATTTTAATCAAATCAATGTTTAGAGTTGATAATGGAAGTTTTCTCATGTCCCTAATGACTAAAATTCTGCCTCTCAATATGATTGGCACAAGAGCCAACCACTTGGATGACTGAGTTAATTTTTATAAAATCAATAATTACATATCATGGGGACATGACTAGTAGTTAGACATAAAGAGAAAAATTCTCAAATCATGAATCAGCAAAAAGTTCTTAACGAAGGGAATTTCAGAATTTCCATCTTGGGGATAACTTTATACCTGAGGTGCTCTCAGTGACCTCTGCTCTGGCTTGCAGAGAGAGAGAGTGACTGGCGTGCTTCCTTCTGGGTCTCGATTCTCCACTTTGGGCCACATACACATGCCAATATTGGCAGAATTTGCACAGCAGAATGGTAACTAAGATAGGCAATGGTCTCTATACAGAAGGTGGGGAAAAGACGGAGAAACAGAGGACAAGGTCCAACTTTATTTGGGGCCAAACATCACACGGTTTTGGCAGAGTAAGGCCTGCTTTCCTCTGCATTTTGAGAACATGGGAGGCAAGGTCTCCCACCCCTTCTGCACCGCCATCTGCCTCAACCCTGCTCAGGGAGCATACGTGACAGTCATCTCTGAAAAACTGCAGTATTTTGACTTTTGATATCTGCTATGTAATGGTATGGGAAAAGTATTGCCAAAATGCAATATTTTTTGTGTGTATATATATACACATATATGCATATATGTGCATATATATACACATATGCATTATATATACACATATATGCATATATGTGTATATATATACATTTTAAGCCAGCTGGGGAATGGGTTTGTAATGGAAATGTCATGTTTAATCTTGTATAAATTATAAGATTAAAAACAAAACACCATAATAACCCATCCCTTAACTGGAAAGAGTTGAAATATGTAGAGTTAAGTAGGGCCTAGTAGTATAGACAGGATCAACAATATTCATGTATTGCTTAATAGAAAACAATATGCCTCAACTAATAATTGTGATTGCTTCTCTCAAACATAAGCCATGAACAGAAGCTAAGTGATTGCTCTTCAGCCACAGATTTCAATAAAAATTCTCATTGAATTCAATTGGCCTTTTAGGTATTAACTGCTAGTGTGTGTTTTTTTGTATATGTTTTATCATCCTATTGCAATTGATTTAACCCTTGGGCATGTTAAGGTGACCATTGTGTCTGTGGCTAAACGGGAAAAATATGGCTCATATTAGAGTTCAGGACCAGGAAATCCTGACTCCAGGGTTTGGAATAATAAGAATGCTGCTATTACAAGGCTACCAGTTACAAGTGCTCAATACTCTGACCGAATATTTGTAACCTTCCCATTCTGGCTGTCAGAGGAATACACCTGCATTTCATTACCTGACCCCCTGGAACCCGATAGAAAGATGTGAAAATCAGACATACAAAAAAGAGAGTCTTTTCGATCTTTTCTGTAGAAATCTCAGTGTATTTGATGGGAGGTACAATTAATAAGTTTGTACTTAGCCCTTCAAGACTCAATAGATGACTGTATCTGGATGCATAAACTAAGTAGTGGCAAATTCAGATCTGAAGACCCAGCCCCCTTTAAATCAGTGACAGGGAGTAGCTCTCCCTCTTACTACCTAAAGTTTCTCAGCAATGCAAACTCTCAGGTTCAGAAGAGAGAAGAAATTCTACCTTTCTCTTTTGGGAAAGTTGGACAGATAGAAGAGTAAGGAATTTTTATTTAATGAAATATGAGTTTGAGTTTCATCCCTTCTACTTAACGCCTATAGGTCTCCACTTCTCAGAATCTTTAAATCCTGGTCTCAAAATGGAAATAATACTATTATATACCTCACTTGAATACTGTGAGAATAAGTGTGATGATATAAACTAAACATATTTAACTATAGTCCAAAAATATCTATCAATTATTTCTTAGTTTATTCATTCATTTATTTAGAGACAGGGTCTTGCTCTATTGTTGTGATCACGGCTCACTGCAGCCTTGAACTCCTGGGCTCAAACTATCCATTCTAGCCTCCCTAGTAGCTGCGACTACAGGCACTCACCACCACGTCCAGCTAACTTAAAAAAAAAAAAATTTGGTAGAATCAGGGTTTCAGTATGTTGCCCAGGCTTGTCTCAAGCTCTTGGCCTCAGTCCTCTCACCTCAGCCTCCCAAAGTGTTGGCATTACAGGAGTAAGCTATTGGGCCCAGCCCTATCTTAGTTTAAATGCTTGTTCCCCTCAAGCCTCAGTCTACAGCTAGAATGAAGCATGGACACCAATAGATTTCATAATGATCAAGAAATGAATCTTACTTTACTGTGGCAGTACACATAACTTAATTCCACCAGCTAGATACTCCCTAGCAATCTGCTGGGTAAGGGGCAGAATCAAAGTATACGCAACTGAAACACCTCCCTTTTGACATTACACACTTGGAAGATGTTTACTCCATGGAGCAGGAAAGGTAAGATGAGATAAGAAAGCCCACCCTCCTCCTGGCCAACATGGTGAAACCCTGTCTCTACTAAAAATATAAGAATGAGCTGGATGTGGTGACGCGCCTGTAGTCCCAGTTACTTGGGAGGCTGAGGCAGGAGAATTGCTTGAAACTGGGAGGCAGGCGGAGGTTGCAGCGAGCCGAGAACCTGCCACTGCACTCTAGCCTGGCAACAGAGCAAGACTCTGTCTCAAAAAAAAAAAAAAGAAAAGAAAAGCCCATCCTCCAATGCCACACACTCCATCTCCCCACAACACCCCCCCACCCCACCCCAGGCAAGGAATAGCTACGACTATAAGACTATATATTATAATAACTTTTTTGCATTATTTCAGCATCTCATTTTTTGGTGAGGGTAGAAGAGTAGAGGAAGAGACATAGGAGAGGAAGAAAGGGCACCTGAAGAGCTTATTTTAGTCACAAACACTCCTTATAAGAATTAGGCATAAGATAATCATTTGAATGGCTTTGTTTAAACACTATTCAAAATGTTGGCAGAGACAGGAACAACAATTCCGACCTTAGACCTTAGTTCCCCTCCTGGAGGCCGGATACCTTTCCCAGACATTGAACCACTAATGGGAAATTAAAGGCAATAAAACAACAGCTGGAATCCCATAACTGACAAGGTTTATATTGTACTCGGAGCAATTCACACTTAAAGAACTTCCTTTCCAATCACCAGGCTTGTTTCTTTCTCTTCATTGTTCAGGTTGATTGAGGCTCTCCTGGTAAAGTGTTTTTCTCTTTGTATAACTGAGCAAAGCTAATCTCATTGTCGTCTCAGAACACCGTTCTGCTTCCAAAGATTTGAAGAGCTTTGCCCTCATTTTTACCTCTGGCTTGCAGGTTTCACTGGGGGAAAGGAAGGAACATTAGGATGCCTATTGCACAAGCCTTATGTATTTGATTATCTCAAATAGTGTTATTTTTATATTTTGTCCAATGTCATGGGCATTATTTCTCCAATTTCATGAGTAACAGAAGCCTCAAGGATAATCATTTCTGTCTCTTCACAAATGTACTCACGTGAAGTCAGATTCTGTAGCAGGAAAATAAAAGTGAATTACTGTGATCCACTGAAGAAGAAATTGACCCATCTATATGAAACAGTAGTAATAATAATAGCTAAAATTTACTGGGAACACTTCATATTCCCACCACTAAGTGAGTCACGTGAATTAGGTTTTTTTTAAAAAAACATTTTTCATATCCTCTCAAGAGTCCTTTTAATTCTTATTAAATTTTATTATAATACTTGTTTTATAGAGAAAGAAACTGGGCTTATAGGGGTTAAATAATACATTAGAGGCTTTGGGCAATAAATGATAAACCCAGAATTGAAACCTGGGCAGTCTGACTTTGGAATGAGAGTGCTAAATGATTTTCCAAATACAAATAAATTCACATGTATGTGTGCATGGACAGATCCAAGGTCATTATCATCTGTCATTCTCACTCCTATTAATATGTTTTCTTGATTGGAAAAAAAATGGTGGAGTTATAGCCACCTCATTGGGAATACTGGTGGAAATGTGTTGCACTATTGAATGTCATCTGTGAAATGTGTCACATCTGAAAAAATGTTAAGATCTCTGCTTAATGGGAAAAACGGGTGGGTAAACAGATGGTCACAAGACTGTCTGTCTGGTGCTATGATTGGGGCATGTGCACGAGATCATGAAACAGCCAAAATAAGAGTTACCCACAAGAAAGGTTTCTTAAAGAAGGAAATTCATGAGTTGTATCTGAGTGGAAGAGGAGGATTTCACCGGGAAGAAAATGGACGGAAAGACAACAAGACAAAAGGCAAAATATAAGACAAAGAATCAGCAATGGGGGTGGGGAAGGGAAGTGGTCAACATGTGTATAATTGGTGGACTTGGGAGAATAAAGCGTGAATGTTGTTGGTGGTGTTGTTTGTTTTTTGTTGTTGTTGTTTTTGCCCTGCTGAGTGGTTTGGATTTTAGCTACATTGTGATTAAGAACCATTTAAGGATTTAAATCTGGGGAGTGACAAGATCCTAATTGCATTTCTGCAGAATTACTCTGGAAGAAATGTGGAGAATGAATGGCTAGAGGTAGAGATAGACAACAGAAAGATCATTAAGGAGGCCATGATTCTAACTCACCTGCAGAAACTAGTGCAGGTGACAGAGAATATAGGTGTAGGCTAAGAAGCTCACAAGAAGAAAAAGGGGAGGAGATGTATTTAAAAACCTAACCTTAGAATGTAGAGTTGACAGAACTCGATGACCATTTGGCATGGTGGGTAAAAAAGAAGGAAGAATAAAAAATGAACACAAGTTTACTTCAGCAACTTACTGCCATTTCTGATGGGATATAAATGAGAAAGAGAATCTGAGGTAGAGAAAAATGTGTCCATTTTAAGAAAATAATGAGGTGCTCATATAGGGAATCTGAGCAGTCAGCAGAACAAACCAGAATAGAGTACAGATGGTAGAGTCAACTGGCAAATTGTGGGGTGGCAGTGCTGTGTAATTGGGGGATGAAACCTTGGAAGTGGCTAAGACCTCAGAGAGCCCATGGGGCAATAGAAGAGAGTTGATAGTTTATATAAAATGCAAGGGCTCATATAAGAAAAAGAAGCTAGTAAGGGAACCTGGAAATGAGTAGTTTGAGAGGTACAAAGAAAATCACCAAAGACCAAAGATAAATCAAGAGAAGAGAAATTTTCAAGAAGTTGAAAATGGTCAGCTGTGTCAGAGAGGTCAACTAATAAGAAAAGTTGAATGACTCCATTGGAATTTGGCAAAAAGGAGGCCACCAATAAGTCAGCAGAAAATGGGTTATTGGAGAGGGTAAGAGGAAGATGGTGGCGATGTGAGCACTGAAAGAAAGGGAAGAAAATCCAGGTCAATGGGGTGTATTTCTTTCACCCAGAACACTGGAGGCAGTTTTGTATACCTCCATTTTCACAAGATTTTGCACTTAAAATATTTCTTATGTGTCATAGGTAAATTAGCTATGTGATTTATATTTAATTTCAATAATTTTGTCTTGCTAACATGTTTTCCTTACAATCAATTAACTTTTATTTATTTTTCAGCACATTAGCTTTTTAAAATTAGCAGCATTGAAGAAACTAAATACGGATGCATGTACCCTAATTTCTTTATATTCTCTCACCTTTCTCAATCTCTTGACCTCCTGATATTTATCTTTCCTTAAAAGCTATTATTCAATTTTTAATACTCTATGAAAATTTTATAGTTCTAACTTGTTCATAAAATGTCATTGTTAGTGTTGTTTAATCTTGCTTGACTTCCTCTCATTTCTGGCCTCAGTTTTAACACAATCCACATAATAATTCATGCCAGGTTTCCAATCACTGCTTCTACAACTTCTTGTTGTTTCTGCACTCTTGTTGTTCTTGTTTTATTTATCCTTTTTTTTCTGTTTTACTTGTAATGACATTATATTATAATATACTGTCACATTATATATAATCAGTTCAACTTAGGGAAAATAATGTATCTTGAAAATAAAAGAAAGTGTATGTATGATTATGTAGACATATTCAGAGTATTGTATTAATACGATTTTTCATTTTTATCCATGCAGTGCGTGGCATATTTAGATATGAAATGGGCCTATATAGGGATTCCTCTGTTGCTTTAACCAATCAGGACACCAGCAGAGCAGGACGATATTATTTGTACCTATTTGTTTCAGGTGACATTCTGATAACATCTTAGGATTTCATTAACTTGAGACCTTATCAAAACAACCAACATATTATTTGAAAAGAATCACTTTGCATTATGGAATAAATTCTATACATACAGCTAACTTAAACAGGTTCAGCAATTTACAAACAATATTCAGAAGTGATCATGTCCGGATTGCATGAACTACCTTACCAATTTAAGGACTTTGCTAAAACTCAGGCAGGAGTGCTCATGAGCCATCTCTGCCTGCCTCTGATCTTTTTTCAATCTCCTGAAGCGTCTGACCCTCAGTGCCCCAAGCCAACCCATGCCAGACTGACTGCATCTGACATTTCACTGTGGAGATATCTCAGACTCTTCATATGTAAACTCCAGAGTTCAAACCTTGATATATATGCTGCATAGAAGTCATCATACATATGGTTAAAGAATTTGTTATTTCTAATTACTTTCCTAACTGCTAGCTCATTAATCCACATAGAATAGTCATCACTCCCTGACATTCTTTAAATCCCTATACATGTCTTTTGTCTTGTGCTGCTGCTATGGGAAATGTTTCTCTATCTCTATGACTTCAGGTTGGAAGAAAATGTCCTGAGCTTATCACTGTAGAGAAGATCACTTTCCATTACTCAAAAGTCCCTTCCTTGTGGCTATTTCCTGCCTCTTGCTGCAAATGGACCCTACAACAAGTTAAACAACTTGCTCATTCATTTTTTTTAGCAAACAGTTATTGAGCATGATATTGGGGCACAAAGCCAAGCAAGACAGCTTTCCCTTCCTTGAAGAAGCCTATCTTCTAGCTGAGGAGAAAGACAACCAAATCAATAATTGCAGGACAAGTACAAATGTTAGCGTTCAGGCACGTACAAGGTGAAACGCAAGCCTAGGGATGCACGCCTATTTTATTTTTGAGACGGAGTCTTGCTCTGTTGCCCTGGCTGGAGTGCAGTGGCCTGATCTCAGTTCACTGCAACCTCTGCCTCCCTGGTTCAAGTGATTCTCCTACCTCAGCCTCCCGAGTAGCTGGGATTACGGGTATGCACAACCTTATCTGGCTAATTTTTTGTATTTTTAGTAGAGATGGGGTTTCACCATGTTGGCCAGGCTGGTCTCGAACTCCCGACCTCAGGTGATCCACTGGCCTTGGCCTCCCAAAGTGTTGGGAGTACAGGTGTGAGCCACCATGCCCAGCCCACACCTGTTTTACAAAGGGGGTCAGAGAAGGCTTCTCTGAGCAACCAGAATTCCACCTGAGCATTGAAGGATGACAGGGAATTTGCTAGATAACATGGAAGAATGGCCTCCTAGACAAAGAGGAGAATATGTGTAGATGCAGAGGCTTGAAACAGCACAGCATTGGGGAAGATGGGATTGGGGAGAAAAGGGACTTCCATATTATGTTTTGCATAGCTTAGGATGCTCAAATTTTGCATAATGAGAATATATTCATAAACAAGTTGTATCAATAATAAAATGAAAAATAAAACATAAGGACACAAAAAGCATTGCATGACACTTTTGAAAAAGTTTATTATTATTGGAGTGATGAATACCTGTCAGAGAGGGGTGGGGATGAGCCTGGAACACCAAGCCAGGGCCACCTCATTCAAGAAGCCCTTACATATCAAGAAAAGGCATCTATAAATGTCCCCTGAATGCTTTGAGAAGACAATGATAGATTTTAAAGAGGAAATGGCATTGTTTAGTATTAATTTTAGAAACAATTTCATTAAAAAAAGCATGGAAAAAAATGGGAGGGGGTTGATTTTGGAAGTGGAGGAAGCAAAAACAAGAATCTAGGAGAATGATGTGAAGGGCTGGAGTTATGATAGTGGAAGGGGAGAGGGAGATGAGGGAGCAGAGGAGAGGGATAAAGAGGTTGGGGCCACAAAAGTGAGTCACAGGTTCAATACAGCCCCCAGTGGTGTGGGTGAGGTGGGGTACAGGAGAGACAACTCCAGTTTGTACAACTGACTATTGTCAGCCACCAAGAAGGGTATAGAAAAGAAGGAACAAATTTAGAAAAAAGAGTTTGTTTGGGGTGGGTTGCATTTTTATGTCCTATAGAATACCCAAGAGGAGATGTCTAATCGGCACTTGAGAGAAGAGTCTGGTGTTTGGCACAAAGAGTTGAATGGCCCTTTAACCATTCATAGAAGCCTCACAATTCATTAGGTAAAATTTCTTAGAAGTCAGACTTGACCCAGAATTAAGGGACATAGGAAAGGGTTTCCAAATTTAACAAATTTTCATTGTTTATCATAATATTGCCTCGTTAGCTAACATAATGTGTGAAAATTAGTTTTAATCGGAGTGAGGCTCTCGCTTAACAAAAACCAAAACCTGTCATTCTTTCTACAGGAGTCAAAGCAGTTATTTTTGTATCATGTAGCCAAAACAGCTGGCTGGTTTCATTGTTCCCTCAGTAAATAGCTGTTTTGGCACAGAGCTAATGAGCACCAACAGGATCTTTACCCAGAAGCTTCAAGCAAAGGTAGCAGTAATAGGTGTACTTCTGAAAGATAGGGTGGCAAATTGGCTGATGTTAAACAATTGCACATAATTGGTAAATGTTACAAGTATTTACAGTGAATAAGAAGAGCTAAGTGCATTTGGTAGAATAGGATTAAAATGGCACTAAAAGCCAAACACAAGGAGAAGTAACATCTGCTCTCAATCATAAGAGTCAGTGTTGAGAAGTGCTCCACAGGGCCCAAAGCTTGCTCAAACAACAGTCCCTCCATTTGTAGAATGTCACGTTAAGAAAACAGTGATTGAGAAAGCAGCAAAAATTGGGCAATGTCCACATCGCATATTTCAGCTAAGATAAATGTAGGAGTCACTAGAACACGCTTGTGTACTATATGTATTTTAATCACTTATCCATGAATCCCATAATGGCTTGGTATATGACTAAAAAGTCTACTAGGAAGCCTTATTGTTTAGACAGGGAAGATTAATGGTAAAATTATCAACTATTATTAACATTCATTTACTTATTCAACAGTTTGGGGGCGTTAAATACATGTCAGGCTCGGCAGCTACAACAGTGAGTGAATCAGACTCCCCTCCTGATACTCTCATGTCGGCATCCATCCCACACATACTAGGTCTGGCCCTATGTGGTTTTTAGGATCAAGTGAGTTCAGAGAGTTATCACAATTTTGCTGAAAACACTGAGACAAACTTGTGAAATAAATCGCCAATGTTATAAAGCTAATAACTGCCAGAGCCAGTGTTGAATCCAAGTCCAAGACTTTTTGCAATATAATTGCCTTTTATAGTCCAAGTAGGACTCATGGAACAATTTAAGATACGAAAATGATGAAACTTTATTCAAAATAGCCACAAACTGGAAAAAAAATAACAAATACCTATAAACAGGATAGATGAATACATTTTGATATATTCATAAAATGAAATATGCATTAATAAAAATAAATGAATTATAATCACATGCAGCAACATAGAAGAAAGATATAAGGGAGTGTGTACTATGCAGTCTATTTATGTAAAGAACAAGCAGGCCGGGTGTGGTGGCTCATGCCTGTAATTCCAGCACTTTGGGAGGCTGAGGCGGGCGGATCATGAGGTCGGGAGATGGAGACCATCCTGGCTAACACGGTGAAACCCTGTTTCTACTAAAAATACAAAAAAATTAGCCAGGCGTGGTGGCAGGTGCCTGTAGTCCCAGCTACTCGGGAGGCTGAGGCAGGAGAATGGCGTGAACCCGGGAGGTGGAGCTTGCAGTGAGCCGAGATCGCACCACTGGACTCCAGCCTGGGCGACAGAGTGAGACTCCGTCTCAAAAAAAAGAACAAGCAAAACTAATCAATGATGATACAAATAATAGCAGCTACCTTTGAGAAGTGATATTGACTAGGAGGGGACATGGAAAGCCCTCTGATATGCAAAAAATGTACTTTCTCTTGATCGGGGTGGTAGTTACAGCTGTATAAATATATCAAGTTCATTGACTTGTGTATTTAAGATTGGTGCACTTTATGTATATCGCATCTCAATTTAAAAATAATAAATGATGAGCAGGAAAGAACTTGGTGAGCTGGTGAAGTATTTGTCTAGCAGAGTCTTTAAAGCAGTTTCAGAAAAAAAAAAAACTGGTTCCAAGCTCTGATCATTTAGACTTAACAATTGTTTCTTCGTGCTCTTTAAGCTGTCTCGGCTCAGACCTGTACTATTTCACACCAGGGCAATTGCAGTAAGCACCAAGTGGTCTGCCTGTCCTTCAGTCCACCCACACAATGCATCCAGTTATCCTTCCTAAGTGCTGAATTTTCCCATTAACTCCTTTGTGTAAACATCTTCAATGGTGCTCCATTTTCTATGAAGTTCACAATCTTTAGCATAGATATGGAGTCTTCTGCAATCTTTTCCCAGCCACCTAACTAGTCTAGTATCATCATCTGCCTGTCACTTCCAATTATCTTTCCTTCCTTCCTTCCTTCCTTCCTTCCTTCCTTCCTTCCTTCCTTCCTTCCTTCCTTCCACAAATATTTATGCAATACCTACTTAGGTAAGACATTCTATCAGATGGTAGGTAATAAAAATGAATGGGACAGAATCTTATCACATTGCTGCAGATTAGACATAAGGCAAAGATATCCACATACATACAATTACAAATCTAATGAGGGGCACAAAGAGATAGACCAGGGCATTATGGAATCTAGAGTAGAGGTACTGGATGCAACCTAAGAGGTTCTTTACAGAGCCGATGGAGGATAGTGAGTCTTGAAAGAGAAAGAGAAACAGACCTGGCAGATAGAGATAGGTATGTGGTAGATTACAGCAATCTGGGCCGAGGACCTTACCTAAACAAAAGTATATAGGCATGAAAGAGCATGGGATATCTAGGAAATAAAAAGTTAAACATTTAGAAAGATTGAATCTTATAGTTCAAGGGTGGGGATGAGGTGTAGCA
Organism: Homo sapiens; assembly: GCF_000001405.40. Classification (NCBI taxonomy): domain Eukaryota; kingdom Metazoa; phylum Chordata; class Mammalia; order Primates; family Hominidae; genus Homo; species Homo sapiens. The sequence continues at coordinate 220,662,744 of NC_000002.12, read as the reverse complement.
GTGCTTGAGGCAGGACATGTAGGCAGAGAACCATATCATCAGAGACCTCGTTTGCAATGCTAAAGAGTTTGGATTCTGTCCCACAGGCAGCGGGAGCTCCCAGACACACCTTATGCTGCAGCCATGCCAAACTCTGGCTGGTTCCACAGCCACTTCAGGCACTTTCACAACTCTGCGCAGTTCATCTTGTTTCTTCAGCTCCAAATTCCAGCCCCACCTGGCAAAATTATATCATTGTTCTGAGTTGTATACCTGACAACACAGAATTGCTTTTACTAAACTTGGCATGGACATTCTGCCATTGGTTCCCATAAGATGTGAAAACAAACCCATGAAAATTGCTACCCTCTTGACTGTAGTGAAGTTGTTTAAAAGTATTGTTTGTAAGATTTCACAGGGTTTTCTTTATGGGGGCCACCAAGGAAATGTCTCTCAGTACCAAGAATATTTGAGATCTCCCAGAGCTGGTTTGTGTTTAAGCACACTGATGCATTTCAGATGTTTCTCTTCTTTGCTTTAGCTCAGAGCTGAATCTGTGGCCCATCTCTATTGAGCCTAAAGGTCTCTTTTTATTTATTTATTTATTTATCTTGTGGGCTAATCTCACCATGCCTTTATTTTATTTGATTCTTCCTATTTTCTCAATATCCTGATTTCCTCACTTACTTTTATATGGATTACCTATAGTTTTGAGATCCATCTGAAATAGTTTTTGAAACAAGTTGGGCTACACATGACCAGGAGAGTAAATAAGAAATAAGTCATCATTATTTGAGATTCTTTAATGCCACCTTTTTTGTGAAGCCTCCTCAGATTCTCCAAGGCAGAGTCAGTCAGTGTCTGCTTGGAAAGCCCGCATGCTTTGTTGATGCATTTATTCTAGTCTTTCTGCATTGCTTTATTAGTAATTGCTTACATATTTGTTCATCCCACCCTTCTGGAACACCTTCAAGCCAGGAACAAAAAAATTTAATTTCCCTATTATTTTCCCAGAATCTCATGCTGTAGGTAGGGACACATTTAATTCTTGCTGTATGAATAAATAAATAAATAATGATAATGTAAAAGAAACTTGGGTTAAACTTATCTGTTAAGAGAGCAGAGAATTGGGTAAAAGAATACAGAGAACAGGCTGGGCACAGTGGTTCATGCCTGTAATTCCAGCACTTTGAGAGGCCAAGGCAGATGGATCACCTGAGGTCAGGAGTTCAAGACCATCCTGGCCAACATGGTGAAACCCCATCTCTACTAAAAATACAAAAATTAGCTGGGCGTGGTGGTGGGCACATGTAATCCCAGCTACTTGGGAGGCTGAGGCAGGAGAATCACTTGAACCTGGGAAGCAGAGGTTGCAGTGAGCCGAGATTGCATGATTGCACTCCAGCCTGGGCGACAAGAGCAAAACTCTGTCTCAAGAATAAAAAAAAAAAAGAATACAGAGAACAGTGATCAGGAAGCTCTGAGATGAATGGCTCTATAGAAATACCAAGATACCCAGATGGCCTCAAGTAACTCAGGGTCAAAGCATCATTCTGAACATGTAGTTGAGAAACAGCAAGAGAAAGGAAGAGAAGGAGATTGCACTTGTTTGAGGGGAACATGAACAAGGCTAGATGTAAAGCATGTGGCCGTAAGAACAGTCACACAAGAAACACTTATTGAGCTACTACTGAATTATTGCACTGGAGGCTGTGCTTACATGTCATAAAAAACAAACAAACAAAGAAAAACAATAGTCTTGCAAGAACATGACCCCTTCATCCTGTGACTAAAGGCAGGCTATATGAATTAAAAATAATGAAAGCAGGATTGGGAAACACATACAAATTATGAGAATATTTACTGAGTGCTTTTATTTCACAGTTGCAATGACTCATTAATGTATTGTTCAGTGCTTCACCATTCACCTAGAGCTTTCATGGACATAGTCTCCCTTGGGACACACAGTGACCCTGTCAGGGCAAAAGGGCAAATGATTTTCTCTCTCTTTAGTAGATTAGGTGGCTGGGTCTCAGATAGCCTGAGGTACTTATACAAGTGCATTTACGTGGTTAGTGGTTGGTTGGTGGAACCAAAAGGGAGGTTTTTTTAGCTCACCATCTATAGCACAATATCCATTTTATTTTGCTGCCTCAACAAGTTTTAGACAATGCCTGGTAACAGCCTACCAATAAGACTGAAACTATTTGGAGAGGTTCATTGTGTTGGTTCACTCACTGTGACTTCCCGGAGCCTCTGGGATAAAGTTCAAGTTCATCAGCATAGCATTTGAGGCCCTTCCCAGACTGGCTCTACCTGCTCAGGTGGTGTAAGTCCCCACATTCTTTCCTGGTGCATCTATACCTGCTATGCTTCCTTCTGGGGGTTTGAGCCAAACAGCCATTCCTCCTCTGGAATCACAGAATATCAGTCAGGATCTTTGTTTACTCTTAAATGTTTCTACGTCCTTGCAAATTTTGCCTGTATTCCATGAAATATCCATATTTGTTTTAGCTATAAAAATGTTGAAGGGACTTGTTAATACTCTCAATAGCTTAGCCTTAGAGTGAAGCTGCAGACAGACATGTCATATTTATTCTCTGGCCTTAAGGACTGCCCTACATGAACCTCTGGAGGTGAAGCCCAAGTTGAAAGACAGGGCATTTTGTTACACTGTGAACTTACTCAAGACAGGGAATGTGTCTCATTCTTCTTTTTAACCCTAGCACATCCTCCGATGTATTATATATTAGCTGGCTGCCTGGCTGGCTCAATGGATGGATAAATGATAGATGATAGATGATAGATAGAAGCAATAGATGACACTATGCAAAGAGAAAAATATCTGTTTTTGCCAATTATATATAATTTTAAAAAGTATGCCCTATAATTAACCTCACGGTCTCTTCAACTTTTGCACAATGCTGTAACCCTTGTTGACATAAATATGAAAAGCTTATATATGATACAAAAATAAGAATGCATTCATATGAGCGTCTTTTGGCAAAGGTCCAATAGAAAACTTCTAAATCTAATTTACCTCATTAATTCTTTTCTCTGATATTCAGAGAAGGCTTTTTTCCTTTAGCATGTATAATAGCATAATGTAGGAAATATGTTCACTTTCAAAATCTCTGTGGGCTATGTTTATTGTTTATTGATTGTACCTATTCTAAACTATGCCTTTGCTAAAATTCAAATTTCTTCCATTATCGAGCAGACAAAAATGGGTTTCCACAAAGGTGACTATAAAGTAGATTACCGTTGACTTTTGTTTTGTAGAAAAGAACAAAGGAGGAGAAGACATACGTCTTCATATAATCAATTTAAACCATTTCTTATTAACAAAGTGATAAACATTTGGCTAGCAAAGAGTCAACGTGTGTCAAGTGTGGGTGAAAGGAAAGGAAGGTGAGGTTGTTTCAGGGTGAGGGTAAAGGTTAGGGGTGGTTGGCTGTGGTCCCTGGATGGCAGAGTGGGGCTATTTGGAATTTTTTGGGGATTTTCCAGAAAATGTCAAGAAATAGTCTTTTTTCTCTCTTATAGAAGTTTTGAGAAAAACTACCTAAATTAGCTAATTACTTAATTCTTGATTTTTTCCTTATGGAAATGTTTATATACATATAGTATATTTAAAGGAGAACAAGGAAGGGAAGAAGGCATTGAATGTGTTTGTCTGGTATGGCTCTCTACAAGTTAACAACTTGCAGCCTCTGTGACACTCATCCGGTCATGGTTGGATGTCAGGAAGGTGACAGAACAGAATGTTTTAAACTAAAACAAGGTGGGGAAGTTAAAGATATAATTTTAGAATTTATGGACATTTTAAAATAGTGGGATTTTTTTTTCCTTTTTAATGAAAATATCGGAGAACAAATGACATCTAAAGTAATTACTGCAGTAATTTACCCAATTGAGTCATTTGGTTAGCCTGGGGAAAGTAAGAGTGCATAGGTTTAAATGAATAATATAGTTTGCCTATAAAAAGGAGTATTTGTGTCTGTGAGTGTGTGTGTTATATTTTAAAAATGAAGAAATAAAATATTTTAGTGGACTGGGTGATATTTACCTATATTTTTCTTTTCTTTTCTTTTATTCCCTCTTTTTCTACCATCCTCTCTCTCCCTTCTCCTCCTTCTCTCTTTTTCCTTCCCATTCTATTTTTCTTCATCTCTCACTTCCTCTTAACAATGTTGGACTAGAAGTCCAGGTAAAGTCCATGCTTTTAATTAACTTGCTGTATGAACTTATTAGGTGAATCACTTAAGCTTTCTATAAAATTAGAAGGCTGACTTTCTTCCAGGCCTCTCATTTTGTGATATTTCTCTGTTTGACCAAAATAGTGCATAATCTATAGCTGCTGTCCTTTTCCTTCTCTCCAGATGCCCCTCTGTGTCAGCTTCCCAGGTGGGATGGGGTATATTACCAGGCACAAGATCTCTATGGATAGAAGGACTGAGGAGTGTTGACTGGAAGATATGAGACCTCATCCAGACCTTACACATGGATGTGTAGACACTTCTGGGCAAAAGAAAGAATCAGAAGCTCTCCCATGTGGAGGACCTCATAGATCAAATGTCATGTCATTTCATGGAAAAGGTCTGTATACCTCCCATTCTTTCTCCTTGCCTACTCAGTGGCCATTTTTCCCTTCCAAAGTTCAACCACCATAATCAGTTTTCTCTCTGTTCTTTATAACCTTCTGAAGTATTCTCTTTTTCTGTCTAACCCTGGTGGAATTACAAGTCCTCCTCCTTTGAATTACCATTAGATTGGGTCCCAGTCAACCTCTGTAAGCTTCCATGGTTGTTTTCCACCATCCTATTGATAGGGACAGGAGACAGGGAAATACTGGGTGGAAGACAGTGGTTCCCCTGCAAAGGCCCACCCTCAAGCCTGAAGACCCACACCCTAAATGAGAACAGACATTCCTGTTTTCATACCCAAAAGTTGCCTTTTGGCCCACCATGCCCCCTATCCTGCACCCATATAACCCCGAAACCCAAGCTCCAGAGCAGACCAGCAAGCCAGCAGACCAGCGGACAGAAGGCAGAACAACACAGCAGAGAAAGGGAGAAGAGGAGGAACATCTGAACACCGAGAGGAGTTCGTCTGGGGGTGGTGGGAGAGGAATCCGGCTGCTGGACAACCCAGCTCCAGGGGAGGATCGCCTTCACACTCCATCCCCCACTTCCGGCTCCCCATTCATCTCACTGAAAGCCACCTCCACCACTCAATAAAACTTTGCCTTCATCCTTTGAGTCCATGTGTGACCTAATCTTTCCAGGACACTGGACAAGAGCTTGGGTTACAGAAAGTTGTTGTACTGGCCCTTTGCCCTTGTGAAAAGGCAGAGGGTTAACTGAGCTGGTTAACTCTCAAGCCATCCGCAGGTGGCAAAGCTGTAGGAGCTTTGTAACCCCAAGGTTGCAGGCACCCACCCCTAGAACCAGCCCAAAGTGCTCACCCGGCCTCTGCACTTGTCCTTCTGCATGCTCCCCCTCCCTCAAGGGGTCTGAGTGATCCAACAGGGGAGCCACACCTCTGTCACATGTCCTGAAAGGGGAATTGGGGAACTCTTTCATTTCACTATCACCCTCTACCCCTAGGTAACAGGAGTGTGTCTATTTTTCTTTGCCACACAGGTTGCACAGTATAATCATTTTACATTATGCACCATCCTGCCCCATTTATCAATTCCTGAATCATTGAAACATGAAGGGTCCCAAAGTTAAATCATCTCTAATTCTGTGTGTATGGCAGATTGAGGACTGCCCTATATAATTTATCTTTGGTTCCAATTTAAGAATTTCTGCTAAAGGGATTGTTCTAACAACTCCTGTTCAGAACTCCTAGTTCCACTCACTACATTGCTTTGTAACTCACTTAGCCATCTTTTACCAAGTAAGGTTGAGTCACTGCGCAGCCAAAGAACAACATAATAATGTGCAGAGATGAACACGTATCTCAATTACTTTGTTACATGTATTAATACTTATCATTTTAGCAAAACAATGGTCTAATAAAATGACTTTTATGTCATTCTAAGCCAGGCCATCCTGACTCTACTATTTGGGTTTTAATAGCATATATAAACAAAATGGTCCTATATCTGCTTAGTGGTATAACAACAAAATCCACTAGCAATTCTCGTATTTTTATCATCACTTGGTATTAAGTTAATATCAATGTGTTGCTGGTCCTAAGAATGTCACACAAATCTGATGATGAGCAATTCTTTCTTGCTCCAGGGAGAAAAAAAGGCATATTGATTTAAATTCCAGCAGGACTAGAACAGCATGTTATAAAATGACCCCGTGTGGTCTCTCAAAACTTATTTTTCCCCATATCTTTGTTCCCGGAAAATAATTTCCTCCACCTTTATTTGCCTCTCAAAAATTGCTTTTTCAGACTTGGTTGGGAGAAATGCATCCATTTTCTTCATCAAAACCATTAGAGCAAGCTGAAGTATTTAGAAGAACAGCACTGCAATTCACTTTGAAATGCATCTCAAAAATAAGATGGATTGCCACAGGTAGCAGGATGGATAGAGGGATAGATAGGAGATAAAGCAAGTGGAGCAAAATGTTAATGGTAGAATGCAGGGTGGAAAGTATACAGGTATTCAAAACTTTGTGATATGTCTGAAAAATTTTATTACAAAATGTTAGGAAAAAAGATTATAAGACAGAGTCATTTAACCACTGTCCTGGTTCATTTGACAGCACCAACCCTCCAGTGTGCTGCGGGATTTGCTCTACCCTGATGTGCAAATGGACAAGCCTTCATGGTGCAGGGTGTAATTAGAGCACCAGTTTAGAAATTTGGCAGTCAGCGCTAAAAGGGAGCATTTTCTACTTTGTGCTGTGCTCATCAATAGACAAGATGAAACACTCTTGTCATGATATTTTTGCATTGTAACCTGACGAAGTTTAAATTCAGCTAGCTCCAGCATCCTTTACAGGTTCAATTCTACTCATAATCACAACAAAACTCACCCTTGCAAAAAGGAAAAACTGAAATGAAGAAAATGCTTAGTGTCTTATGAGATATCATATATATATATATATATCTCCTTGATAATAAAAATGTAGGTAGAAACAAACAAATGACAACAAAATCCCTTAAGAAACCATAATAACCAAGAATGAAAGGAAGATGTTAAGGAATAAGAGATAAAACTGAGTGTGAATACTGTCTAGTTCATATAGATGCATATAATCTATTGAAAGAGGTCATTATAAATTTCATATAGTATCTAACACAATAATGAATATGAAATGTGTTCATATGTGGTCTCTAATAATGCATCACCTTAATTAAAACCAGAATTATTCTCTTTTCTCTGAATTTCATTTACAACAGAGAAGGCGGTATCTAGCCTGATGCACAAGCAAGTTACTGAAAGGAAAATGTTCTACTTTTAATTCCAGGGCCAATTATTGGTAATAGAAGAACACATCACCCTATTTAGTTACCTTTTTGAAAGGGATATGCTTTCCTTCTATCTTAAAATGCTTATTGTTATCAAAGACAGCGTCTAGACAAGCAATTGACCTTCTTATCATGACCTACGGTTGTCATTGTCATTTCTCTAACTTTACCTTGGGCAGAAATGGTATATATATAAAGTATATAACATTTAAAAGTATTTGATGAGCATATAGCTCATTGTTCCTTCTTTCTTCTTTTAATCTTAAAACTTATCTGATATTAATCATTTATACCCTTCAAACATCAAATATTTTCTATTTTCCTTTTTTCTAAATAAATCCCACTATAAAAGAGAAACTTGGGCAAAGATTTTAGAAACATCCTACAAGATAAGAAGAAAAAAAATGAAAAGAAATTCGAACTTGGTCAGTTTCATCATCATGAGTTAAAATGTCACAGACATTTTGTTTGATGAACAAAATTTTTGGTCTAATTTTGTTCACCTGATCAACTTTTAAAGATTTTTCAATCACAAATGCCAGCATTAGAATTTGGACTGTGCAGTTTAAAAAAGAATCTAAATTTCTCTGCATCATACCAGTAATTTTAATACATCAGTGACGGCATTTTTAATAAACATGTTTTTTCTTATAGATTTATCTACTAAACGTATTTATTAAATACTTATTTTTAGATACTTAATAGATTTTATGTTCTAAGCAATCCTTACATATTTAACTTCAAATCTCTTACATACTGGATAGATTACTTGATATCTCCATGAAAAATACATTAACCTTAGTCAGCTCTTTGTTCCTCCTTTCGAAATGCTCTTCTATGGTTAACCCACCCCCATGTTAGGCTCCATGAGAGATTAAACTCCAGGTGGTGAATGAGTTTCCTAGGTGTTCACTTTGTCATGAGCAAAACCCTCATAGAGAGTATACTGCTGATAATAACATCAATCAACACTGAGTCAAATTACTCCCATGTCTTTAGTGATATCTCAGAGGACAGCAAAATGTGCCAACACATTTTTTATTGTTCTTCACAATATGTACCTAGATGACTCTGTCTCTCTGTTTCTCTTTCTCTTTCCCTCTTCTCTTCTGCCTTTCTCTCATCCTCTCCTTTCTCTTCCTCCCTTTCTCAATCTCCCTTTCTCACTTTCTTTCAGTAATTTTAAAATCACGTAATAGTTTGTAGTTGAAATATAAGTTATAATTTTATCCTCATGATGAAATGATGTACCAAAGCATCTGTCTTTATCCAATAATTATCCCATATTGCCTATGTATCTGCTCCAGTTACCTGAAAAAAATCAGACAGGAGTCTGAATCATCTTAGCAATTGCATAAAATTTCCACTACACTGCTAGTCTAGACGTGCAAAGAGTATAACCTACAATTTGATAGAGCTAACACATTAGTTATACCTAATATCAAAATAGGCAAGCATTTCTTTTCTCCCTATGATATCATTTGTTTTGGAAAGTACATTGATTGCAGAGTAATTTTTTGTAACTACTTTATAATTTTTCCAAAATATGCTCCTATTGTCCTGAGAAGAAAAAGGAGGAGGAGGAGAAGGAGAAGAATTGTGATCATTAAGATCATGAACAGTATTTGAATAACTATTGACTATGTTTTAAGGGCCTTCAAACAGAGAACTTCATGGACCTGAAAAGAACTTTTTGAGTTTTGCATATTATCTTTAAAAAAAGTTTAAAGCAATGAAAGCTCTGATAACCCATTCACAGCACATATAGGGATAACAGTAACCTAGAAACACAATTACAGCCATTTTTAGACACTTCAATTAAATTCAGCTCTGGCTCTATCTTAACAAGTTTTTCTATAATATTAAATGAAACTATCCCTCAATAATTATGGCAGCCTTGAATATTTGATAAACAGGCTTTTGTTGTGATCATTTTAATACGTTTTTGCCACATATACTGTATATCTCTATTCTTCACTAGGTATCTGAGCAATAACTTGGAAATGAATTTGGCATAATCAGCAGTTGTCCACCCCTTGCACCACTGTATCCATGACAATATAACATTGGCTGCTGATTGTGAGTGAACTGTGAACAGAAATGCCACATGGTTCCCTCTTCTCTCCTAAATGAGCTATTAGAAGATCATGACCAAGGCTACTGGCAGAGTAAACAACAACTGAAGGACTGCTGTAGGTGGCACCATCTGCAGAAATACAAAACCACCCTTCAACAATCTGCTAGGCAATTATGGAGCTGGATGGGGTACACTTGTAATAGTTCAAGTCATAAAAAATAGAATGAAACAAAGTAACATCTATGTTATTTAATCTGTTTGGCAATGATTGAGAGTAAATCTTTATTTTAGCACTACCACCAGTTTGGATTGTCTTTTTAGAGCCCAAAATGCTATAGTATCATTGGGCCAACTGAAGCTCAGGTTAAGTTGAAGGAGTTATGAAACATCCAGTCCCACTCGTGTTTGCATTTTCTTGTTCAGCAACATAAACAGATGCCAAGGTAGTCTGAAGGTCCTGGGGGTCATTTTGGAGCTAGGAATCACAGATTTCTCCAGTTTCATTCCTTTCTTTCCCTATAAAGTTATTCCTCTTAGGAGAGCTGTAGTCTTTGAATCTTTTATGAATTTGTAACTCTGAGAGTGGTCAATGCATGTTGTCAGGTTTTATTTTTAAAGCCTAAGGAAGGGGATTCTTTTCACAAATGTCTTTGACATATTTGTAAAAATAAGGGAGGAATTTGGCATGGGCCAGTGTCTCTTTTGCTAAGGTACTTTATATATATACAAGTATATACTTTATATATATACACGTATAAATTATGTATATAATTGTGTGTGTGTGTGTATATATATATATATATATATATATACATGCTTTTTTTTTTTTTTTTGGAGACAGTCTTGCTCTGTCACCCAGGCTGGAGTGCAGTGGTGAGATCTCAGCTCACTGCAACCTTCACCTCCCAGGTTCAAGTGATCCTCCCACCTCAGTCTCCCGAGTCGTTGGGGTTAAAGGCACGCCCCACCATGCTGTGCTAAGTTTTAGTAGAGACAGGGTTTCACCATGCTTCCCAGGCTGATTGCGAACTCCTGGCTTCAATTGATCTGCTCACCTTGGCTTCTCATAGTGCTGAGATTACAGGCATGAGCCACCGCAACCATCCTATATATGCATTTTTCAATGTCCTATAAGCTTCAATCAAATTGGACTCATGATATGAGATAATAATAGAAAGAGGCAGAAATTGTCCCAGGTTCATTGGAACAATGGCTAACTATATGAATCACCCACATTTACAGATCTAGGGAAATAGTTTACCAGCCATGGGACAAGAAGAAACAGATGTCATCGGAGAGACAGGGCTGTCCCAGGAGGCTCAGGACTATGCTGGACAGGGATTGTCTGACCCTGTGGAACCCATCTCCAGTGAGATACTGCAGGGCAAATGAGGACCAGGGGATTCTGTGCTGCTGCAGAAATACTGTCTCTGGAGTCCATTCAACTGTGGAGAAACAATATGTTCTTTCTCTCTGTTTCTCTTTCCCGGCTTCCTTCTTCCCTCTCAGCATAGGAATCTTACCTAGAAAAGTCAAACGTCTCTTTGAGCTTCTCTGGGAGATGTAAGCCTAGAGGCACCGACCAAGAGAAGAAAGCAGAACAGCCTCCAGTCCTGATTCATGCTGAGGTCTTCAGGAGGGAGCATCCAGTGGGAGTAAGCAGAAGAGTTCGAGTCTTGCTTTTTCCTTTCCATTGAAGTGTAGACTCCTGTAGGGCAAGTCTGAATCTGTTTTGTTCAATACTTCATACATTATATATAACACACAGCTTGGTATGTAGTAGATACTTAAAACTATGTGATGAATGCATCGAAGGATGAATTAAGCATCCCACCTCTGAATGTGGGCTCTCTGACAATGCACTGTCCCCCAGTCTCCCAACCTGATGAGTCATGGTAAGGTGGTCCTCAGGTCTCTGAGGGTCCTAAAGATTCCATGATCTATGGTTATGTTCTGCTTCATTTTTGCATTACTAACATGGAGACAGAGCTTCTTCTTGTGCTGAAATTCCAGTATTTTCACCTCCCCCTACCTGGTGCTGACAGTATTGGTGGAGAGGTTGATCACAGGCTACACAGATTAGCCTCTCCAATTCAGATGGATGCTGAAAACCACCTCAGCCACAACCTTGCTGCCTTCTTCTTCTCTTTTCATCTTTTCTTCCTGCTTGCCAGAGGGTTCAGGATAGTAAGAGAAAAAAATACCACGTCTCTGGTCCAAACACTGTCTTTCTACTGAGTATTCCTTGCAGTGGGGCTCACTTCCATGGTGGCTGGAACTGCTGGTGGGGAAGGTGGAGTGAGCAGGACTGAAAGGCGGTGCAGAAATGAGAAGGAAGAGGAGAAAGAGATGCAACCTTAGAAGACCAGGAGCTACCAAGTACAGGACAGGGTGATTATATTTACAATGAGATTCTCATATCCTCTTCTCTGCAGTCACCATAGGGCTATGCCTGCTCCAAGGTCACACTGTGCAGTGCAAAATTGGTTTCAGGGGCTTCACTTCAACAGTCCACTAATACAAAAGGGAGAGCTCATGTCTCTTTCTTCAACACCTGAACTCTGCAAATGTTTCTGAGATTGACCCAGTTCTTTCTTATCACTCTCCCTGAACACACGGTTCTGTCTTATCAGTTCCCTGGGATTGAGCCTAGACAGCCAATCCCATTCAGCATCTGCTGTCTGCTAGAGTTATCCAGTTTTGCTCAATCTCTCCTGCCTGTTCAGAGCCTCTCTCAGCACCAGCACAACAGCCCTCTGTCTGTTCTATTTTTGTTATGATCAAGCTGTAAAATAAAATGAAAATAAGTGGTAATGAATTACTTGCAGAATCCCATATTGTTAGTATTGATTAAATATTTGCTGAAACGTTTTCTCTGATGAGAAAGGGGAGAGGGATGATTGATTACCAACCCTGGAAGGAGTTATGTTGTGGCTGAAAGCTACAAGAGTTAAAGCCAGTCAAAATCTGGTTTCAAGTCCAGAAGCTTCTACTTCCTAGCTGTGTGACTGAGACAAGGTACCTGATCTTCATGAGCCTCAGTTTGCTTTCCTACAATGCCTGGGTAAATGACAGTATCTCACCTAATCATTGTGTACAGCTCTATGTCTAGCACTGGTATGCATTTAGCAAACACTGCATCTCTAGCATCAATGCTTCCTTCCTGGAAGGAAAAAACAACTGTTCAGAATTCTTGTCTTGTGCTGTTTCTATATAGGTTCTAGCAAAAAACAGAAGTTGAAAATCAAGGTGATTGCAAAGATGGCCATGGTAGCTACTGAGCAAGTGTAGTATATAACAGGTGGGGAGAGAAAATAAACTGGGTAATTTAACCACCTAAAAGTTTTAATCATCTTTAAGTGTTTGTCCTTAAACCCAATCTCAACATAATCTGCCTCAAGTACACTAAACTGTTTTAGACAATCCCGTCCATTCAACTAATATTTAGCTGAAGTAGATGTTAGATATCATGTTTGGCACTTACTGGAGCCATTTCATTTGGTGATAACTAAGAAATTATAATCCTCTCTCTAAGGAGTTCAAATGGAGAAGCCTCAGATGACACATATGCAATAAATTATGATACCATGTATTAATAGCTATAATAAAAGTATGAAAAAACTGTCATTGAAGGTTGAATTAATTCAACCTTTCAAATTCTCAGTTAAAATGACAGTTGGAAGCCTGGATGCATTATGACAAAAATAACTTATACTACCAATTTGCAGAAATGTATTTGGAAATGGTAAAACCTGAGCCGGCCTGATTAATAGCCATCAAGCTGGGTCAATAACAATGAATCAATACTAAATAAAAAGGATGCTCAAGATCAATGAGAGGTAAGACTTGTGATTATGCCTAAATCACTCCCCTTCAAAGTGCTTTACCAACATCCACTAATTAATCTTTATTATATTGTGTTGAGAATGATAAGTATCATTATCCCCAAATAACATTTTGAAGCACTAGGGTTTAGTGCCTTTCCCAGAAGATGCCCAGTATGAGACCTGAGCACTTGCTCAGAGCCAGGAGAGCTAATCAGCTCTTGATATTCTATCTTAGGAGGCACCTTTGGTTAAGAGCATCAAAAGCAGAATCTGTGATATGTGACCTAGAGCCCCAGCACCATTCTTCAGTAGATGGGTGACTTTGGATGAGTTAAAGTCTTTGAGCTTCATTTATTGAAAGACATTGATGCCATCTCCATAAAAGGCTATTTTAATGTTAGAATGAGTTAATGCTTATCAACCCTTGGAAAATAATAAGGGCTCAATAAATAGCAAGCATTGTTGTTGCTGCTGTTGTTATATTTATTTTTGGAAACACTGGCCATGAACTGGGGTTTACCAGAGGATGGGGCCAGCTACGAGATGCTCACAGCAGGATTGGGAGCTGCCCTTTGGGATGAAAGGAAACTAAAGTGACTCGAGCACTTGCTATGTGCCAGTCATTGCTTAGGTGGTTTATGCTTTGGATTTCAAATTGTTCTTCCTTTTATTCCTCACAACAACCCTGCTATGGAGCAAGCAGAGGTAAAGCCAGAGCCTGGGCTCTTTCCTCTGGCACATGGCAGCTTCTGCTGTCCTGGGGCAGGTGGAATAGATGGTGAGAGGGTGGTCCCTGCTGCAGTGGTAGAAAGCAGAGGAGAATCCAGGGCAGCAGTACTTAGGAACTCAGACTGGTAGGCAGGTAGTCTAGTGCCAGGAAGTCCATCAGCAAGGGTGAGACAGATGTTAAGCTGGATGCCAGGTAGGCTTCAGCAGAAGAATGCAAGAACAGCAGGGCAGATCTTCTGCCCCAAGATTAGGGGATTAGGAAGAATATGAAAAATATATACCCGGGGCCTGAGAACTACAGTAAAATCCAGAGATGACAGCAAGATCCAAGGGCAGAGGGCAATGCCTCTTCTGATAGGCACAGATAATGGAAATGAAGGCCAAGGTCAGGGCAGGAACATTACCAAGTAAACCTGACATCAAGTAGGGTTCTTATTTACTTTTAGCCACTGAATCTCTGTTTTGTTACTAATTTATTACCTCTCAGCTCCAAATACACCCTTCAACACATGCTCTCTGATAACAGAATCCTTTTAAATATTTCTCCTTTAAAGTGAGCACAACCTTTAACCTTTCTCTGTAAAAGGTGCTGAAGAAAGATTGCAGGAAAAATTTACAGTGCTGGCGGGAGAGCTTGGCAGTGTAGATAGACAGACAAATGTTTCCTGAGCCCCTCCAAGCACCACATAAAGCCTGGCCCATCAGGTAAAGCCTGGTCCAGCCACAGGCCCAGAACACAGTCCTTCTGTGATTTTGCAGTTACTCATCCAACAGAATTCATAAGTACTTCTATTAAACTTCTTTTCAACCTAGTTTATGGTTTCTATCTCCAGATTCTACTCATTGTATGACAACTCCTTTTTTTCATTTGAAACTTTACCTGAAACCCAGTATATTAGCATGAAATCCAAATTCTGTAAGGCCCGTGTGACCTGCCTCCTGCCTTCTCTCTGACACACTCTTAAGTGCTCATGGTTCCTGAATACACAAGGCTTCCTTCCTGGCTTAGCTCTCTGCAGTCTTCAGACCATCTGCCTAGAAAACCCTCCCCCTGAACTTCCTGGCAGAGCCACAGCCCTCTCCTCAGGCAGCACCCCATCTAAGGCAGCCCCTCAAATCACTCTTTTTATAAGTGGTTAATTAATGTTTATAGCACTTATCACTCACTAAAATTGTCTTATTTGCTCTTACCCCTACCAGCTCCCCCGCCACTGACGTGCACTCCACAACCCCATCCTCCTGGCTCTTGTCCAAGAAGTAGAGTCCTTGTTGATTGTGTCACCTGTATCCCACCAGCATCCAGCACAGTACCTGGCCCCTGGAGGGGTTCGGTAAACTTTTGTCAAGTGAAAGAATGCCAAATGGAGAGCGCTGATAGAAGCCTCCAAGCCTAAGCCTCAGTCCTCTTCCCTCCCTCCACATCTCAACTCTTCTGTGGCCACTAAAGCACTTTAGTAAGACAACAGGATGCCCGGGAACTGTCCTAGGGAATACAGCTGGAACTCCTTAATCCCAGCCTCCCTTGAAATCATGATGGTTCCTTGAGCCCACAAAGTGGCAATGAGCTCTGTGCCCAAGGGGAATGCAGAGAACCTGGGGACCAGGCTGCATGGCCGGTGATCCCAGGGGTCATGCCAGAGGACTAGAAACTCAAACTCCTGCTTCTGACTATGGCAGACAGACTGCTCTCTAATGTAAGTGAGAGCCCGTGTGTGCCCTTTACTTATATTTTTGCTTTTTTTTTTTTTTTTTTTTTTTTTTTTGGTCAATGGGAGATTTTAAAATAAAATGCCTCTAAACCTAGAATCATAAGAGGCACTGCAGAAAGAGACCTTGGCATCACCCAGTGAAACCTCCTACTCAATTTACCTTTTTGTCATCCACTTTTGGGAACTCTAGTAATTACTTATTTCAAACAACAGTGAAGCAGACTTTCTCCTGCTCTCTGGACTATCAAGAAGCAGGCGCTGATGGCTGTTCTGGGAGTTGGGGTGAAAGGATCACTTCAGTAGCAGAGGTAGTTCTGACCACAAAGAAAGCGAAAACAAGAGCTGACTGCAGAGGATGTCAAAAAGAAAGGAGAGGAAGGAAGCAGCTCAGCCCTTTGGGTGAGCCCTGGAGGGAGTGTTTAAAGAACTTGTAAAATCAGGGCCTTCTCCTGACCACCCCCACTCCCCTCCAGCAGGCCCTGGAGTCTGAACCCAGAGGCAAAGTAAAAATAATAGGAAGGGCTAACGAAGATTAAGAAAGAAAAAGGCAGAGTGTGGAAACAGCAGGGGCTTTCTGGACTAAAATCTCAGTTGCACCTTGTACCTCTCTGGAGATGCTCCCTGTGAAAACTGCTTTCTAGGGCCAGGAAATTGCTGATGACTCTTCTCCTATGCAAGAAAATTCAAGAGAGTGAGCCGCAGAAGTTTTTAATTTATTAATCAAATAAGTAATATCTAGCAGTCAATATGTTCTTGGTGACTGTAATTTTTCAGCTCTTTCCATGGACATCCATAGAAGATGAATTACATTATATATAATCACAGATTTGACTTACAAATTAGAAGATTATTTAAGGCATAGTAGAGAAAAGGCATTTTTTTCATTTTTGCCATAGCTATCAAGTTTACCTCTAGGCAGTTTTTATGAAATACAACAGGATATCTTTAGTAGCTTTGATCACCTTCGATGATAATGGCATTATTATTTCTAGTGATTAGCACTGATAACAGCTGACATTCATTGATCACCATGTTCCAGACACTACACTTCACTCTTTACACACATATTCCTCACAAAAATCCATCGAGGTAGACAGTATTACTATCACAATTTTCGAGATGAGAAACTGACACTTGGTTCCCCTAAGTAACTTGGTCAAGGTAGTTAATGGTGGGAAGACTGGAATAAAGACCCTATATTGCCACCTATACTCTGAAAACCCATTATTCTTCTTGACGTACACCACCAGCCATGCAGTCAGGAAGTGGGAAATCTAGGGATAGTATATACACAAGTTCAGAAGTTTGTGAAGAACCAATGCAATGCTATTTAAGAAGAAATTCCATATGGCTTGAGAGTCAGATGAGGCAAAATCAGTGGGGAGTATGAGGTTGAAGAAGGAATTGGAGACCAGATTTTGAAGATATCATGTATAGCATGAAAGGTCTTTAATTTTTTATCCTAAAAGCAATCGGGATATTTTGCATTTCGCATGTTGAGCAAGGCAGTGTGCTATTTCCACTTTAATTCTGGAAAAAAAGCTACATTGAAAAGGAGGAAAATTGGATAATTGAACTGGTCTACTGGAGGGATGGTGTGGGCCTGAACTGAGACAAGGGCTATGAGAATGGAGAAGCAAAGCAACAGACCCAATCTCTCCTCTGAAGGAGGCAGACTCAGTTGAACTTGGGGATTCATTGCATGCGGGAGGGTGGGAGAGAAAAGAATCAAGGGTAACTCCCATGTTTTCAAGTTGGACAAAAAGAAGAACAATGATGGCATTTAGAGTAATGCATTGTTTTGCAGCAAAGTAAAGTGGGAAGCTTACAAGTTGAATTTAGTACATGTGAGTTTTGAATGTTTATTTCCTCAAGATCAGTCAAGACAGAAAAATGTAATCTAGATATTAGTGCAGCAGAAATGGGAAGCCCTTTATCTGGACATGAACAGTGACAGTATCCATAGGTATAATTTGTAGTCTATTGTCACAAAAAGTCCACATCTCTAAAACGAAATCTTGTTTTTCAAAAATGAATGAGGAAATAAACCCATGAAAAGCAAAACAGCCTTGTAATAAAAGTAAACAACTTGTTCTAACCTAAATGAATACAAATGAAAAGTTAAAAATAATCACACTGTGCACCCCTCAAAGATCCACAGCAAGCAAAATGCATTTTGTCATAGTGGGGTGGAAGTGAAGTGTTCAAAAGCACCATAAAAGTAGAATTCTCCAAAAAGTAATGCAGGTGTCTAGGTCAAATGCAAATAAGGAGCTATGCAAATTGACTTATACTTGACTACAAAATCAGATGCTTAAAAACATTTCAGGAAAGTGAAGTTTTAGTCTCACAAAATTCACCCGGTCCTCATTATAATACGTTTCCCATTTGTGCCATTCATTCAATGCACTAAATGCATGATGGGGCTCCAGTTAAGTAGATTTAGAAGCTGATTATACTGCATTAAATGTATTCACTTCAATTTTAGGGAGGTTTTTTTTTCCTTTAAAAGGATTACTAAACCAAGAAAAGTAGAAAGTAAGACAGAAAATAAAATACCCTTTGGTGATTCTGTAACAAGATTAGAAAATAGAATGGCTTTATGATATCATGTAAGAACATACGTTCTCACTTATCTGATTTAAATAACTAAAGAATACATTTCAATTTTGTTAATTGCTTTTACACTGTACTTGACACCTTCTGTACACATGATTAGCTCATCCCTTGAGACTGCATTTACTTTAGAAATGTCTATCTTTTGTTATGAATTTACGTTTTTTTCTTTTAGAATACGTAGATGGTCAACAATTTTTTTTTTAATTACCGGAATGGACACTCTTCTAGGTGTTAGAAGATTTGGGTTCAACCTTGGCTCCGCCGTGAAGAATAGATTTCACCAATCTTGTCCTTCATTAGTTTCCTGATTTCTAACACTAGGATATTGAATTACACTGCATGAACTCTAAGTGTCTCCTAGGCTCAAAATATATATGATTTTGGGAAAAGGTACTTGGATGTCACTTTTTGATGTTGCCTTCAATCAGCTTCTATTTAAAATAGAAAAAATACCAAAATGCAATGACTGGAATTACAAAACTATTCATATGAATGTATTTATGAATTGAATCTTCATAGATAAAGTATACTGTATACTAGCCAAAGCTACCTAAAATTCAATAGTTTGAGATATAGTAAATTCCATTTGTTTCTAAATGAACCTAGAAGGGAAGTAGCAGAAGAGAATAATTGGCAAGGAAAGAGAATTTCAACATGAATCAACTCTATCATAATTTTATGTAGCATGAGTAGCCTGGCCAATGTACGTTGAGAAGTATCCTTTCAATAAGACATTTTTAAAGTATAAAGTAATCCCTTAAATAGGACATAGGAGCATCAGTTTGCATATGTGATAGGTAAAAGGGAATTTTTTAATAAATGCCCTACAGTTTTAAAAAATTAATACTAATTATATAGCAATGATAATATATTGTAGGGCTATGTCCTATTTTATAACAATTATTAAATTTAAAAAGGCAGTTATAATAAATGCAAAATAATTTGCAAAACATAAAGCCTCATACCCACCACCCACCATGCTGTGAAGGAAGAATCTCCAGACAGAATGAGCAACTTGTCCAACTTCACATTGTTCATAAACAGCCAACCCAAGATTCTGTTGATTTTCCCATTCTTCAAATATTTGCTGAGTACCTTCTGGGCACGCTGATAGTTCCTCCTCTTTCCTTTTCTTCATTTTCTTCTTCAGAAACTAACCAATTTGTCTTCAATTTATGCCTCCCTTTTCCTCCATGTTTTCTGACTTCTCGTCTTTTTGCTCTATATTTTGGTGGTTTTATTGTCTTTAAACATTTTCTTTCAACTTTTTCCTGTCTTCTTTTAGTTTTGGCAAAGGTATTTTAAATGTACAAGAGCTCTTTCTTATTTTCTGATAGCTCCTTTTTAATAGCATGCCGATTTGGTTTTACAGATGTAAAATTTCCTTGGGTTTTTATGAATATGGATTTCAGATTTTTAAGTGATTCTCTGTTCCTGAGTCACTTCATTTTCCTTTTGATCAGTTTTTCCATAGGTGTGAATTATTTCCTCAAATGTCTGATGATCCTCGGTTATTTTTTCGCATTTAAAAATTAAGCAATAGAAAGATTTACTGAGGGCAGTCGTTTATTAGCTGGAAGCTTTAATTCAGCAGGAATGGGCTTGGGCTCACCGTTATACTGGAGGTAGCCTTCCTCAAATGCCAGAATGAGGAGGGTTTTCTCAAGGTGACTAGCCTTCACACTATCTAGTCTGCTCCTTGTAACAATACCTTCCAATTTTACGAACAAAAACAAAACCCCAAACCCCAAAACTCTTTGTTGTTGTTTTGATTGGGGAATAACATGTAGCAGTCAGGTGTTTTTCAAGAAGGAGTAGGAAATAAGGGCTGACAGCTGTGATATATATAGACGAATAATACCTCTAAAATGCCTCTGATTTCTATTCTACTTCTCACTTGCATCCCCTGGTTGGGGTTCTCTGATAGGCAGGTCAATTTCTCTTCCTATTACAGGAATCTCATTGTTGATACTTTAAGTTGATGTTCCTTACACTCTATTTTTCAGTTAATATTCTTCCATCTATGTTTTTTTTCTTCCAAGAATTGGTTGACATCTGCAGGTAGAAAGATATTCACTGTTTTGGTAAGATTGTACCATTTTTATAAAATTTATTTATTTTTTTAAATGTATTTTAATAGACATAGGCTAGTTGTTGAGACTGATTTTGCTTTAGATAGTACCTTCTTCTGTAAGCCAATTCCGACAGGCTTATGGAGCCTTCATATAGTGGCTGAATGTTGGAAATGAAATCCAACACTTAGGTTTGCAATCTGCCCCATGCAGTGAAGGAAGTGGATTACTTCCTGATTCAAGTCTTGTACTTCCATTTGAAATTCCAACTAATCCCTGCAACAGTCTTGGGATAGATAAGCTTCTTGTTTTCAGGATATTTGCAGGACAAAGATGGTTGACATAACCTGGGATCAGTGTAAGATCCAGCTTTTCTGGGCTTGATTTAGTCTCCACTTTCCTAGGTGCTTTTCTATTTCCTCAAAATTAACTTTTCTGTTTTTCAAAAGAATAGATTTCCAGAAGCCATGTGCCATGTCATGATATTTATTTAAAGGAAAACATACATTAGACAGCACATTTGATGATTCTGTTTGATCTCCTCTGTTGGCTTGCTAGCTATCACTCTTTAACTTAGTGGTTGCTTTAGGGTTTGTAGTATGTATTTTAACTTGTCACAATCTACCTCCAAGTGATATTATACCACTTCAGATCCAGCCTAAGAACTTTACAATAGTACACTTCCATTTCCCCCTCCTGACCCTTGTGTTATTGTTGTCATATATTTCACTTGTATATTTATTATAAACTTGACTTTACATTTGTTTTGTTTAAAGATTTAATTATACTTAAAAAGATCTGAATAAGAAACTTCCATTCTGTTTTTTCCTTTGCGGTTACTGATATTGGCAGTTTCCTTTCCTTTGTGCTGATCCATATTTCTATGTGATATAATTCTCTTTCTGCCCTAAGGACTTCCTTTAACATTCTTAAATTGCTGATCTGCTGGTGATAAAATTCTGTAAACCTTTTATGTATGAAAGTAGTCTTTATTTCAGTTTCGTTTTTAAAGATATTTTCACTGTCTAGAATTGTAGATTGACCTTTTTTTTTTTTCTGTACTTGAAAGATGTTGCTCCATTTCCTTCTTGCTTCTGCTGTTTCTGATGGGAAATCTCCTGTTATCCTTATCTTGTTCTTCTGTACAGTGTGTGTCTTATTTTTCCCTCTGGCTACTTATAACATTTTTAAATTTAATTGTTATGTGCTTTGCTGTAGCTTTCCTCATGTTTCATGTGTTTGATGTTCATTGATTGAGCTTTTTAAATCTGTGAGTTTATAATTTCCAGCAAATATGGAAAATGTTCAGTCATGATTTCTTTGGATGTATGTTCTTTCTCCTTACTCCTTCAGAGACTCCAGTTACACATATATCAGGCCGTTGCAATTTGCCCCACTGATGCTTTATTTTTCTCTTTCAATTTTTTTGAATCTGTATTTTATTTTTAATAGTTTCTATTGTTGTGCCTTCAAGTTCACTGGTCTTTCGTTTACAATGTCTAATCTACCATTAATAGCACCCAGCATATTTTTTATCTTGGACATTGAAGTTTTCAGCTATAAAAGTTTGATTTGGGTCTTTCTTAAATTTTCTATGTTCCTACTTAATTTTTTAGATACATGTGACATAGATAGAATAGCATATTTTATGCCTTTATTTGCTAGCTCATTTCATGCCTTTATTTGCTAGATTTAACACCTTTGTCAGTACTGAGTTGGCTTTAATTGATTGATAGTTTTGCTTTTTTCATAATCAGTAATTTTTTATTAGATGCTGCATATTGTGACTATGATCTTGTTGAAGCTAGGTGATTTTGTGGTTCTATAAATATTTTGAAACTTTGTTCCGGGATGTAGTTATTTGGAAGTACTATGATCCTTTTGGGTCTTGCACTTAAGATTTCTTATGTGAGATCAGAGCTGTGCTCATCCTTAATTTTTCCCACTTCTGATGCAAGATCCTCCTAAATATTCTATCCAATGCTTCATAAATCTTGAGGTTTTCCAGCATGGCTGGTGGGAACAGGCACTATTCTCAGACTTGTTTGAATGTTGAACAATGCTGTTCCTAATCCTTTTAGGTGGTTCTTTCCTTGATGTTGGGTAACTTCCTCACATGCATGTGTACATCAATATTCATCTGAATGCTAGAGGAGAACCCTCTGCGGTTCTCTGGAATTCTGTGTGCAGCTCTCTCTTCACTAGTACTCTGTCCAGCAAACTCTAGCTGTTTTGGTTTTACCAGGCTCTCAGATCCATCTCCTCAACTCCAGGAGTATGCCAGACTCTGCCTGGGTCCCCTTTTCTGCACTATGGCTTGGAAACTGTCTCCTGCCCATAAACTGGGGCAATTGTAGGACTCACATTGTTTGCTGTCTTTCAGGGATCATTGAATTTCACTGCCTGGTGTCCAGTGTCCCACAAAGCATGTTTCATGTATTATATCCATTTTGTGGTGGTTTCAGGCAAATGGGTAAATCTGATGTTTGTCACTCCATCTTGAATGATTGAATTGTGTTCTGATTGTACCTAAAGGACATGGCAAGCCCCTAGAGGAAATGACAATGTGGTACATAGCACAAAAGCAGCAGAACTTGGGGACATAAAGGAATCAAAACGGCTATAACAAAGAATGGCTTTTAATTAACTCATGTGAGTGTATGACGAAAGGTCTGAGGAGTCAAGGCAGTAGGAAAAACTACAAAATTTGGGCTTTCATGACATCCTCAATTTCAAAAGGATGGGGGCTCAGAAACTAAAATTGTTTTTTTGTGCAAAATGAGGACAAATACTTCCTGATGACAGCAATTTCAGAACACAAAGTGTGATGGGTAGATAGAAAACAAAAATAGAGAACATGTATATAGTGCTTAGCGAGGCACTAGTATAAGGTTTAACAAGTATTAAGTCATTTAATCCTTTCAACAACTCTATGATGTCAATAGCAGTATTATCCCCATTGTACAGGTGAGAAATCTGAAACACAGAGATTAAATTTTTACCCAAGATCAAATGACTACAGAATGGGAGAACCAATATTTGAACTCAGGAAGTACAGCCCCAGAGCCTGAATTCTTAGCTACCCACACTATATTCCCATCCAAGCTAGATGAATAGAGGGAAATCCTTCTTCTAGAAGAAACAGCTAATTTTTCATATTACATTGTAGGTATCCTGCAGTAGGATAACATTATTCTGCTTTTGGTCACTCAGCCTCTACCTTCTATTCCTCTGAGGAATCTTCACCTTTAAGAAATGAACATGTTGATCCAGTTTCAAGGGGAAAAAGAGACTCAGAAACCTCAGAGGCAATAGTTCAAAATGTAGCACTAAGTGGACATATAAGGAGCATATTTTCCAGAGGACAAGGTCAAGAGCACCTGAAAATGTCTCCATAATGTGTATTTAGAAAGTGCATGTCACAGTGATTCCACTATTGTAGAGTTCTAAGACCTTGTCATCTTTATTTGGACATCAAATCTGGTATTGGGTAGCATTAAAAAATTAAGGTGATGTAAAATTAACATTTTACTAAGAAATTTCAGGGAGTCTTTAATATAATTGATGTCACACTATGATATTGAGATTGCTGTAATTTTAAATTATTTACCAAAATTGGGATATAACTAGAGTTCTTTGCAGCATAATTTGTCCATTTAAACAATGACATATCTATATATGGAGGAATATACTTTACATCTGCCCCTTTTCTCACACTGATTAACACTCTTTCTGCTGTAACTGTCCAGCCCAGAACAAACAGGACCTTTCCAGTTAGTACTGGTGTTTCTCCTTCTGAATAAGTCTACATCAATGAGAACCCCAGAAGTGAGTGCTACAAAGTGTGTTCCAGGGTAAATGGAGCAGTAGTTCTGCTCATGAACTCTCTGAGTTCCCCCTGCCTCGATCCTCCTGCCTCTTCTCTTCCCCACCTCTAATTCGCTCCATTGGTGATACCATTTAATCTCATGGTACCAAATGCCAATTTTTATATTGATTATCCTCCAGAGTTTATCTTCTGCCAAGACCACTCCCTGATTATCAGACTACCTCCATAAACCTCTACCTGGATGCCCAATAAATGTTTCAACCTTAACATGTACAAAGCTAAACTCCTGAGTTTCTGTCCCAATCCACTCTCCTCATCTTCTCCATCTCACTGAATGAAAAACAAACCTGCATAGATATTCAAGACAAATGTTCTGGGGAGTAATCCTCATTCTTTTTTTCTTACATCACACTTTGAATGTATTAGAAATTCCTCTGGTATCTGACCACATATCATAATCTATGCTGCTACCCAAGTCAGCACCATCTCTAGCCTGGATTATTGGAATGCCCTTTAATAGGTGTCCCTGATTTCATCCTTGTCCTCCTATAACCTGTAAGAGTACCCAGAGTGATCCAGTTATAAAAATGGTAGATTATGCTCATCTTCTGCTCAAAGGTGTTATATATATATATATATATGTGTGTGTGTGTGTGTGTGTGTGTATATATATATGTATATGTGTATATATGTATATGTTATATATGTGTGTGTGTATATATATAGTTACATATAGCTATATATATAGCTATATATAGTTATATATATATTTCAGTATAACATATATATTGCAGTATAACAAATTATACTGCAATGAGTTCTTAGTGATATCCCAATTTTGGTAAATAATTTGAAATTAATAGCCTCCCTCTTAGAACAAATGCAAATGGCCTAAGGAGCATTAAAAATTTGGCATCATTACCTTCCAGATCTCATCTTCTACAATAGTACTGCCAGAAGAATATAATGTGAGCTACATAAAAGAAGTGCAATTTTTAATTTTCCAGTAGCAACATTAAAAATATGTATAAAACAGATGCAATTAACTTTAACAATCTATTTGACATAATATATCCAAAACATTGTATTTCAACATTTAATCAGTACCAATTGCACATGATATAGTTTAGTTTTTCTTTCGTTACGACGTCTCTGAAATCTGGTGTGTCATTTATGTGTACAATACACCTCAGTTCAGGCTAGCCACATTGCAAATGCTTGATAGCTATATATGGTCAGGGACAGTGCAGTTTTACAACAACTTCTCAGTGCCTCTCATTAGAGCAGGCATGTTCCTACCTCTCGGCCTCACAGACCTTGCTCTTCCTTCTATCTGTAATACTCTTTCCTTTGAATCTCTTTATCGCTCTTTCCTTCACCCTTTTCAAAACTTTGTTCAAGTGTTTTCTTTTCAGTAAGATCTTCCCTGTCCACAGCATTCAGATTCCAACCTCTTCCAACTATAACATTTCCTATCAGCATTTCTTGATTTATTTTCTCCATTGTATTTAACACATTCTAGCAAATTACGTAATAAATATCTCACACACACACATACACACACACACACACACACACACGCAGGTTCTTACATCAAATTTAATCTGACACTAAGCTCTCATACAACTAGACTATTAGGAAGTTTCATTACATTATTATTATTATTATTGGAGCTCCTTCCTTCCACTCCAGAGTTGTCTGAAAGTCCTAGGAATGATGGTAACTCATAATGTATTAAATTGATTCCAGAGCTGCCTTTCTAAAATTGGGCAAAGTACACACTGCCAGGTTGGGGCCCTGGTGTCTACAGTCTACAATTGCTGAGTTCAGTTCCTGGGTTCCCAGGTTCTCTAGGAGGCAGGTCTGTCCCACCTCCCTAGATTTCTGCACCAATTTTCCTTATTCAGAGAAATTCAGGCCACCATCTTCTTCCTAGTCCTTAACAATTTCCCCTAATGTTTTCTTATCACCTCTCCCAATGCTCAAGGTATTTGCCTCTTTCTCTTCCCCTTAATATATCTCTTTCGTGAGTTTAACTTTAGGAAACAAAATCCTTAATGTCTGAAGGAGAGTGAGGATTGGGCAGGGGTGATCATGATGAATGGTGGACAGCACTTACAGGCAAGCTTTAAAATGGAAACTCTTGAGTCAAAAGCCCGATTATCCCCTTGGACTGGACGGGGAGAGATGGGAGTAAAAATG
Source organism: Homo sapiens (assembly GCF_000001405.40). Taxonomy (NCBI): domain Eukaryota; kingdom Metazoa; phylum Chordata; class Mammalia; order Primates; family Hominidae; genus Homo; species Homo sapiens. Next base: position 220,636,267 of record NC_000002.12, on the reverse strand, counting down.
CAGTAAAAATAAGATCTGTTAATATTGTAACAAAGTCTTGACACAACCATAAGTAAGAATTTTTGGAGATTTTTAGGATATTTTCATTTTTTAATGACTCATGTTTTTGTTATCCCTATTTATTATCAGGAAAGCCTCCAGATTAAAACCATTTCAGTAATACTATTTTGATGCCAGGAAAATAAGGGGCCTGGAAGTAGTGTCACATGGTAGCAGCATACAACAGGAACTATAAAAATGTATGCATATAAATATACATGGGTACATACATACAGACATACATACAGGTTTTGAGAAGAATAGAACCCAAAGAAATGCTTTTACACTGTTGGTGGGAGTGTAAATTAGTTCAACGATTGTGGAAGACAGTGTGGCGATTGCTCAAAGATCTAGAACCAGAAATACCATTTGACCCAGCAATCCCATTACTGGGTATATATCCAAAGGATTATAAATCAGTCTACTATAAAGACACATGCACATGTATGTTTATTGTAGCACTGTTAACAATAGCAAAGACTTGGAACCAACACAAATGCCCATCAATTATAGACTGGATAAAGAAAATGTGGCACATACACACCATGGAATACTACACAGCCATAAAAAAGGATGAGTTCATATCCTCTTCAGGGACATGGATGAAGCTGGAAACCATCATTTTCAGCAAACTAACACAGAAGCAGAAAACCAAACACTACATGTTCTCACTCATAACTGGGAGTTGAACAACGAGAACACATGGACACAGGGAGGGGAACATCACACATCGGGGCCTGTCAGGGGGCGAGGGGTTAGAGGATGGATAGCATTAGGAGAAATACTTAATGTAGATGACGAGTTGATGGGTGCAGCGAACCACCACGGCATGTGTATACCTATGTAACAAACCTGCACGTTCTGCATATGTATCCCATAATTTAAGTATAATTTTTTTAAAAAAAGAGTAAGAAAATGCTGTAGAAAGGAAAGGGAAGCAAATAGATGCTCAAGAGAAAAGGAAGCCTGGAGGATGAAGAAAGCAGAAATCTGGGGAAAGAACAAACAAACAACCTGACTTCTGGGTTGGGAGAGGGGAGGAGAAATGAAGGACATTGCATGAGACGCCAAGTCAGGGCCAGGAAGAGTTTCATGAAGGAAATGTATTGCAATGACCTATGTGCCATACACTGCATTTTCAGGATACTGAATTGCTTGAGATCTTACCACTAAATAACAGAAAGGGAAAAAGCGAAAAACTTTACTGGCTATCTCCTCTGTGCTAGGTAATTTTGCATACAATATTCCCTTTCATCTTCACAATAGCACTATAAAGTAGGTAAGATTAATCTCATTTTCCAGTTGAGGAAAGAAGGTCAAAATGATGGAATGCTTTGCTTGGGATCACACAACTATTCAGTGTGGACTCAAGGAAAGAAGGCATGCATCCAGCCCTGGGTCCTACATTCTTGCTACAGCCGCTCCTCCGGCTGCATGCCCTTGTAGGAATCATTTACTTTTCCAGACAGATCCCCATAATACATCTTCTGCTCCACAGTGGAAATATCTCTTTATTTCTGAAGGCTTATTTTTTCACTTTATTTTTAATGCTCAAGCTGGACAGTCAATAAGGATTTAGTGAATAAGTGAAAAAAAAGAACCCATGTACATAGGTATGTGTCCATTCTGCATCATTTAGTTCAAACTATATGATTTGACAGTAGCGACCTGTAAACATAATATGCATACTACTCATTTAAAAATATACATCGCAATCCAGGGAGCATGATGTCTTAAAGGCAGGGTCCCCTCACAGGGCACTGTATGCTAATCAGCAAAGCGAAATCAGGACTTTGAACAAATTGAACGTATGCATGAAAAACGTTTCTAATTTTTGTATTATTAAGATTTTATAAGATATGTAATGATTCTTTGGCGTACTTTGTTACAATGCTCGTTACAAAATCTGCAAAAAAGGATTAAAATAAATCTCAGATGTCAACACAATCTCCTGGGCAATTCTTCACTAGATCAAACCATGCCATCCACGACTACATTATCTATGAGGCTGAGAATGGCTAATAAGGCCCATCTATTGTGATAGAGCCTGTACTGCACTGAAAGACTTTTTCTCTCTTCTCCACCACGGGCTGTACTTACCCACTCCTGCAGAGAGAGCCCAGCCTTTATAGTTGAAGGCAAAGGTGAAAATAGCCAGTGTTGTCTGGGCTGAAAGACTTCAAACTTCAAATAGTTCTTGGGTTGTAGGGAAAATCCTCATGGCCAATGTTTTTTCATGAGGGCAGGGATTCATATTTCCCAGGCACAGTGGAGAGTACCTGGCATGAAGCTGGGAGCTGAAAAAATGTGTACACATAAATATGCATAGATACATACAGACATATATATATATATATATATATATATATATATAAACACGTGTGCACATATATACTAATATCATCAAATCAACGCTATAATTTTGTTGATATAACCAAAAACCCATCATGTACCCACTAATCATCCCACTACCTGAGCATTTTTCAGAAACTTTGAACAGTATGATTTTTTTAACACTATTCCCAGCTCCTGTATTCAACGGCTTGTTTACTTTGTTACTTTCAGCCTCCTACTCTGGTTTGAGATGTCTCAAAATAGCGTTCCAGTTATTTGAGTTATTTGTGTTTTCATCTATAATTATTTTCTCAACAAGAGTTTTTAAAATTCCTACATAGTTTAAAAAAAAACAGAACTTGAAAAATGATGCAAAATTCTGCAATGTATCCTTAGGAACAAGTAAAGATGCAAATATATCACTAGTAATATGGAGGCAGAGTGATTTGAACACAGCAGAAAGGAGTATTAATTTCAGTCCTGCCACCTACCATCTGAGTGAATCGTGACAAGGTTTTTTTGTTGTTGTTTTATTTACTTGTTTGCCTTCCTGGTCTTCAGTTTCTCACAAGTATATATAAGGAATTGGATCCTGTGCCCTCTAGCATTTTTTGAAACTCTGAATTTCTAGGATTCTAGGAAACTTATCCTAACCAAATTTGTGTTGGCATGACTGGCTTTAGAAAAGCATAGCCAGTAATTGGTGATGGGGCTGACTGCAAAGAACAAGGGCAGAATGAGCTAGACCCCACCTCATAACCCTTAATGAGTCTACCTGTATGATTAAGAGCAATCCTTAATGAGTACATCTGTATGATTAAGAGTAAAGGTGGGTAAACCTGACTTCTACCATATAATCATTATGGAAACTACGAGTCACTTTATCTCTTCAATCATTCATAGAATGGAGAAACAAAACCTACCTTCACAAAATTTAAAGCATTACATAAAATATAAGTGTAAAGCATTTACAACCATACCCAGAACATTGCAGGGTCCAGTTGATAGCTTCTACTAATGTTCTTATCAGAAAACATTCAAATGATAGAGCAGACAAGAAATACACAGGATGGGAAAAGAGACTTACCAATAGGAGATAATTGATCCAAGTTAAACAAAAAGCTATTTATTTCCTCTTTAAATTATTCTTGAAATTTGCCAAGACTTGTATCATTGTTCAGAAGATTTGAACCCCAGAAGTTGTTTCATGCCAACTCGTGTGGTAGATAAAGGGAAACCTTTCAAAAGAATAGATTTACAAATAACCACATTGGTCTTTATCGTCCGTGTTGTTCTTCTCTCTAAAGTCATAGGAAGTATAATATTATTGATCAGACAAGACAAGAGCCTGACCTACCATAATCAAACAATAACCTTTTATTTATCCACCTGGAGAATGTCCATGGAAACTATAAAGGAGAGTGCTTTGGGTCAAAGAGTACATTTGGTTTCACGTTGAGAAAACTACCCCATTCCAGTTTATTTCCTAAATAAAGAGCATGGTTGCTTTTGTACAGTCATGGTCTCAAAGGCAAATCTTTTGTTTCAGGGACTGAATGGGCTATTTCTCTACATGTCTGATTACATGCCGTGCATCTCAAAGCATATTGACAATTTCATTATACTGAGTGCAGTAATCCATATCAACAGCTCATCCCTGTTTTGAATTATAAAATGAAGTGGCTTAAAAAGCCAGGTATAAGCAAACTTATCTGCTTCTAGTACTTCAGGGACTGGACTAGGTCCAAAATTAAACAAGACGCAGAGTAGCTTTTTAAATTTAAACACTTCCTAAAATTGTTTTTTCACCAAAATAAGCCACCTAAAAGATTAAAAGCTCTTTTTCTTCCTCAAAAAAAGAGAAAAAAACCACATAATTACATTCTAATTTAAAACTCTAATTGAGTGCTCTTGTATTTGTAAGATGTTCCACTTTCCTTTAGGGACAATATTCTTATTAGTCATACAAGCTGCCTAATCATTGAAGGGCAAGGCTTCTTCAAACCATCTACCTTTGTTGCAAAGCAAATGAGAAAGTGCAGTGCTGTCTTTTTTTCCTCAGTGCATCTCAATTATGTACTTATAAAAGCAACAATCAAATATTCAGGCTGAAAAATAATGATACCTTCTGGACTAGCACAGGTCTAAAGACAGCTGAGGTTAGTCCTGACTGTATTTTTAAGACAGTTCTCTTCCTGGTCTAAATTTAAAGATTTAAAGATTAGAAAAAGACAAACAAACAAAAACAAAACAAAAAGCAAACAAAATACTCATGAATAAAGGACAAGGAAGCTTGGTTAGGGGAGCAGAAAAGCAAACGCTTGAACACTTTGGTTGGCTTTGGAATCCGGGAGACCCATGTTCAATCTCAGGTGAGTGACCTAAACCTCTGAACTTTGCTATCTATAAAACAGAGGTAGTACCAGCATCTCTCAAAAAGGGCTGGAGTAAGAATTACGGGAGAAAACATGTATAAGTGATTTTCACTGTTCAAAGTAAGCAATGGATGTTCAATATCATCAGCATAATTAAGAAATCATTTTGCAAGTGTGAAATATACAACGTTTAATTTTCTCCTGCTCCCCCTTTCTCTCCATATGCAAAGGTATACCGGGAAAAGGGGAAGAAAACTAGTATTTCCATAGAGTGTTGGCCATGTTCCAGGTACTTTACGTAGATCATCTCAACTAGTCATCATGACATCTGCCTGGGGTATATTCCTTTTAAAGATGAGGAAACTGAGGCTAAGACAAAGACAGAGACAGAAGACAGTAGGACAGAGAGAGAGAGAGAGCCTGAAACCCAAGTCTCCAGTGCCCATCCCATACTTATTCTACTACAAACGTTCACATGCACACGTATTAACACACATGCACACCTATTCCTGAGACAATTTGGGAATTTGTTTAAGTGGTACTCATAGGCTTACACAACCTGAGTACAGTAGCTTTTTTATTAATATTTAATCCTCAAAACAGTCTCATAAAGTATTATTATTATCTCTGTTTCATGAATTACACAATAGAAGCTCAGCACATACGTGATATAAAAAGGCAAAAGCTATTAAGTTCTGGATTTAGGATTAGAACTGAGGTCTGTTTGACACCAAAGTCCAGGTAATTTCTCCTATATAAGGACAACTTCTGATGAGAAGCAAGGGTTGTTTGAATAGAAACCCTTCATTAAAATACATAGAAAAAATTTACTTTTTACTCTCTTAAGATAAAAGATTTCACTTTCTTTTGGGAAACTGGTTGTCTTATGGTGAAATTTTTCTTGTAGAATAAAAGTGATGAAACTGGCTCTCTTTGAATTGGGTGAAAAGAATGAGTACCTTGGACATGAGCATCCTGCTGGCTTATTTCTTGTGTATTACGGCATTCAACAAAGAGGAGAAAGGTCCTATTTGATTTTAGCAAAATGTGGGATCCATGCAGCTCATTTGTAAGCTTCCTTCCTGTAGTAGCTCCCGTTCACACAGCGAGGTCACAGCGTTGGTGATCCGAATGCTCACACCTGCAAGGTGAACTTTAATATATCACATATTTCAACTGTGAGATTTCAAATGAAGCCTGTTGTTGGCTCTGTGTTTCCAGGCAGCTCACAGATCCCTGTCTAAAAGCACTGGGTATAGCAATGATCTCATGATGTTATCTCAATAAATTTCTGTGGACCCAAAGAGAAAAGCCAGTCTTTCGTTGATAGCATAACAGAGTGGACAATATTGCCTAGAGAAGGCTACCATTTGGAAGACCTTCAAGCAACCATAGCGTGGATTGCCTGAAACAAGTACAATCATGAATATCAATTGTCATTAGTTCTTGAACTGACATCTTGGTAACCAAGCAGCTTAGACCAAAACCATCTTACAGAGATTTCCACAACCCAGAAGATCCCTAAAACAAGATTTTGAGAGCAGAAATTAAGATGCAATAGTAAATTAGTTATTGCATATTAGCATAAACAGGTTTAAATTTTTATCTTTTGTATCAGGATAAACTATCAATTAGGAGGTACAACAAGAAAAAAAAAGCCAAGATGAGCTAAATACCCAAACATGAATTGGCTTTAAAAAATTCTAGCTTCAATATACAACTCTTACTACTTTGAAATGTAAAGATTTTAACACTAAAAATCATCATTTTGATTCTTAAAATGTTGTGCCAAAAGGTCTTCATTCAAAAGCATTATCTTGATTCAAAATATAAAGGTTTTCACAGGAAACAAAGTTAATTATACACAGTATGCTGAAAGTATGTCTTAACTATGAGTCAGTTGTTTAAATGAAAGAAATACAAGTCTGAAAATTATCACTTTTCCAATTCAAATTCCCACTGGAATTTCTAGCAGTTCTGGATCCCATATCCCAAAACACCACCAAAACTGCTTAAACACATGTACATACATACACCACATCTAGGTATATTGAAAGAGCACAAATGTCCTTAAATATGTAAGAAACACAGTCCTACAGAAAAATACACACACACACATACACACACACACGTGCTTCTGAAGTGCCACCATTCATTCTAAAAGGCTATAGGGTCGGCTTGACAGTCTTTGGCTTGGTTTAGGTATGCAGTAGATCACTGCCCTGGTTCTGGTGCTCATGACCCATTGCCTAGGTTGCAGCAACAGGTAGTCCACCAACCTACTACAGGAGATAACTTCCTAAGATGCAAGTTGTGAATGACAGTCATCTCAAAAGCTTTCCATGGGTCTCCTTTGTTGGCAGAGCTATGTCCCATTTCTATTTTATGACATTTATGGACCCTGAAGAGACTAACAATAGTTTAGCTCTATATTCCTCAAATTATGCATTGCCTAGAAAATCCAAGCAGTACATCTTTTTCAAATTTTTTCAAATTTTTAATTTTTGTGGGTACATATGAGGTGCATATAATTGTGGGGTATATGAGATGTTTTGATACAGACATGCAATGTGAAATAGTCACATCATAGGAAATGGGATATATATTCCCTCAAGCATTTATTCTTTGTGTTACAAACCTTCCAATTATACTCTTTTAGTTATTTAAAATGTAAGATTAAGTTATTATTGACTATAGTCAACCTGTTATGCTATCAATAGTAGTTATTACTTATTCTTTCTACCTATTTTTTGTACACATTAACCATCCCAGGCGATACATCCTGATGAACAGTTGTGCTAAGTCAAAACCAGAGACACCACCACAGTCTCCATTGCTGCCCTGGAGATATGGATTGTGATTAGGTTGTTGAATGAAGGAGCCAGAGCTTACAATCTGTGGCTGAAAGTATTCAAGCTGTATTTCATTAATTTGCAAGAATCATCTATGCAGCTATTAAAAATATTGATTCCCAAGTTCTGACTCTTCTCCTAAAGGTTCTGATTTGTTAAGTCTTGGAAAGCAGCCAGGAATCTGCATTTTAAAAAGTCCCTGGGCCTTCTGATGCAACCAAGCAGCAATTTCACATTTGGAGCCATACATAATTTATTTTCCTCATTTTATAGGTATAAAAACTGTGAGCCAGAGTAGTAAAGTGACTTGCCAATGATTAGTCAGAAAGTTGCTGCAAACCAGAACTGGAACCCAGGTCTCCCAGCTCCCAGTCTTCCCTTTCTATTGGGCTGCCTCCCACTAGAGCAATAGGGGTGTCATGTAGCAATCTCTGTGCTGCTTCCTATAGCTCTTCACTGGTTTTATTCTACAGATACTCCTTCATTGCAAATTCACTTTTTTAAGAAGACAAAATTTCACAGTCAAACCTCTCACAGGTCAGTGCAAGAAACTTGTTTCACCAAAGGCATTTTTCTGGCTCATCTAATTCTTGATGATGAATTGTGATTTGCCTCATTTATTCTGTCTGTACATTGGGAATTGCACCAGCTCTCACTGAATTGTCTGTTAGTGTTATTAAAAGCATGGATAAAGACAATAAATTCTGTGTCACCACTCAAACTACTCTGTGAGAGATTTCCTACAAATAACAATATGAGTATGCATTCCTGCTACAGCATTAGCATCAAAGACAAAATGGACAAATCAGATTGTCAGTTCATGATTTAGCATCCTCATGAGAAAAGCTTGTGCATGCCAGACAAGTACCTCATAAATTGACACTTATGTTTTGGGCCAATTGAGATACATTTACCTTTACCTTAAACTGAAATGTATACTTGGAAATTAATTTAATCCACTGGTATGGAAGTCTTTCTGTGGCTAGCCTTCTTGGGGAAAAAAAGCTTGACATCTTTGATAAATTCAATAATTCATTCTGGATGAAACTAGTTTTATGTGTTCAAACTGAAACTTCTTAAATATTCCTCTGCTTGACTTAACTAATTTTATGTAGCTTCATTTACTTCCATGAAAGAGTTTAAGTACCAGGGGAATTGGATTCATGGTCTGTTTCACAATAAGAAAATTTGCTTAGTTGGAGAAAAAGTCTTTAAAAACATTTCCAGTACCAGATTATTAAATTATTGCTTTTCCAACAAATGGGTGAACTTATTCAAGTAAGACTTAATTATTCATTCAACCATTTAAAAACATACATATTGAGTGCTTATTATGGGGTAGAAACTGTTGGGCACTGAGACGTAACAACGAACAAAAACAGATTTTTCTTACTCAATAGACATACAAGGGCTTCCAAGGGACATAAACATTAATCACATAATTACACAAGAGAGAAGTTTGTTACGGTGCAGAGAGTATAGGATGAGGTGGAAGTAAGTGAAGTCAGAGAGAGCTTCCAAAAGGGACCAACAACTCAGCTGAGATTGGAGGGGTAAGCAGTTTCTAACTAAGGCAAGGAGGGAAAGAATGTGTACATGTGACAGTAGAAACGTGATGACCAAGGACATCCAGCCTAGTTCTAAAGAAATATCAAGAGAAACTCTGCTGATGGATGTTTCCAAGCCAGCCTTGAGGCTTGCACCAACTATCCAGGTCCTTGACCATGCGGCAGTTGTGGTTTACTGGACAAAGTACTCGAGGAGGAGGAGCAAAAGACCTGGAAAAGGTGCTTTAATCTCCACGGTTCTAAGTCATCACACTTACAAAGGGAGGTTAATAAGGTATACTGCCTGAGGTCATAGGAAGATTAAATGAGATCAAGTGTGTGCAGAGTTTTATAAACTGAGAAGTACTATACAAAAGTGAGGGATTATAAAAGATTATAATGACTAACACCTTCAGTATATAAACTACTTTCTGTTAAAAACAAAATTGGTTATTATTAAGGAGACACTGATCTGTTGTACAGACAGGCATAGTATTTTTTTCATGATGCCATACCAAGCAGGACAGAGGCCAGGTCCTACCAGCTTGCTGTGTCTTGCATGACCAGGCATTCTATGTTTTAAGGCCTTCAAGGGCATGTGCCTTACCTAAAACCCTGGCCCCCACACCAAGCGGCTGTGTAACATCAGCCCAGCCCTAATAGTCTACCATCTGAAGATCAGAGGTTAGATTTTTGCCTAATGCTGCAGAGGTAACCACAGAAATGTTCTGAAGTTTCTCATCCATAAGTCTTTGGACTAACTGCAAAATTTTATTATTGTTGTCCTCACTCAGAGTCTCTCCATTATAGGATCTTCCCCAGGCCATGGTAGTACCCAAAGGAAATTATACTGTGGAAGAATGTGTTAACAAAGTTATAGTGTGGTTACAAAATCAATATCAAGGAAATTCTTGACTAATTAATGTAACTAAGGATGGAAAATTTCAAGAAGTGTAGTAGATGGCAGGTGAGAGAAAGGAAAACTTGATATATCCAAAGAACAAGTGGCTTGAAGATTTTTAGAAGGGGACACTCACCCTGATCAGGAAATCAAAAAAGGTAAATTAGCAAATTATGGCTGATAGTTATATTAGCTCAATCTAAATAAGGTGGATGGATCATTTGGTGAAAGCGGATACTCAAAGAGACACAGAGAAATTCTTCTTTTCAGAAAGAATGCATTTCTGCCCTTGTTTATTTTCTCTAGAGGCCACATTATTGCCCTCGGGAAGTAGGTTTTTTAGGAATCAGAGTGGCAAAGTTTAACTCTTAGAGAAATTCCAGCCACAAGAGAAGAAGTCATGTACCCCCATCCCCATCCCCTTGTTTTGCTTGACACCATGCCTCTGGGAGAGCCCAGTGTGGATTAGAGTTAGGGCAGCACTTTTAGTGCTGGATATTCAACTCCCCCTCCCAGAAGAGTTTCCTCTGTTTTAAGGACACAGCCAGCACCACTCCACAGTGGCCCAGGAGGAGTCAGAATAACAGACTGATCCATGGCCATGATTAAAGCATCCAAGAAATTAGGTGGGTGTCTCTGCATGTTCTGAACGGATGGAAGAAAAAAGCTTAGGGTCACCTTTCCTTGGCACAAACTTAAGTTATGTAGTCATGCACAGTTGCATTCCAGCATAATTTTAGATCAATGGTGATTCCAAGGCAGACTCAATTTTGCCTTTCAGTCCTGGGTTGAAGACCACCCACGATCTTATTAATGCAATTTTCCCACCATAAATGGCCTACTACAAGTGAGTACGTGTTCATGTGTTGTGTGTGTGTGTATTTGTGTGTATGTGTAAACCTCACCCTCAGTGTCACTGTCTTTGTTGGAGAGCCACCATTTCTGATTGCATTTTATTATTCAGGTATCTGTAATCTGGTTTTTCATTACAGCCTAAGTTAAAGTCTCCCAGCTATTCTTCATCAAATTCTGTAACTTCTTAGTTATAGCACCAATATAATGAAGCTAGAACTTTGCTCCACATGGAGAAATTTTGACTACTCCAAAGTGGAGGGAAGTTTTTCCTTCCTGTGACCAAAGAAGCTTTGAGTGGTACTTCCTGACATGGTATCTTTTAGGAGCATCCTATTACCTTTCCTTTATTCTCTTCTGTTCACTTCTTGTGTTTACTTTGGGGAATCATCCTGCAACTCTTCGAGTTACTCAGGCTGGAAAGCTTGATGTATTCTTCATTTCTGCTTTTTTTTTTGTATTAGCCCTTATTTCCAATGAGTTTGTGATTTCTATCAATTATATATTCCCAGTGACTCTCCTATCTATCTCTTTCTTCCAGTTACTATGTCCAATGCCTTAGTTTGGGCTCTATTAATCTCTTTCTGAACTCAGGCCTTTTACCAGGCTCCCTGCTTCTGATCTTTCACCTTGCCAATCCATCCTTTACACTTTCCCCAGATTTATCTTTGTAAAGCAGAGTTTTGATCATGTTGCTATTGTAAAAACTATTTGACAAGTCTGAATGTCCACACACATGGCATAAAGACAAAAGTCCTTCAAGGCTTTCATTAATCTGACCCCTTCAACTTTGAAATACATCTCCTCTTCCATACAGCTTAGAGAACAACCAGAGAAAGTTATTTGCCATTATCCATGTATTCTCACTTTTTTCCCCACACTTTTGGTTTTTTCTCACTGTTCCTTTGGCCCAGAATATTGCTGCAAGCCCATCACAACTCCCTATTAGTACTATAGAAAATAGATTCTCATGCTTCAAATTCCAACCCAAATGACAACAGCGATGTGGAACTTTCCCTAATATCCTCATTTCTAATTAATTGCTTCTTCCTTTGATCCCCACAGCATTTTCCCCGTACATCTATTTTACACTTATTTAATTATACTTAATTGTTTAAACAGGTTCTCAATTATATTAAAAGCTTTGTGATGGCCCAGGGTATCTTCTACTTAGTTTTGTATTCTCTAAGAAGCATCTACAGCACAGCGAATACTCAATTAGTGCTGAAGAATTAGAGAATGAGGAGGAAAAGTTGAATCATCAGTAAATAATAAAAACAATCAGAAAATTCAAGAGTTTCCTAAAGGCGTTGAAATTCCTAATTTTAAAAGCTTTTAGAAAAATTAGAAATTAAATAATGTTTTCACATCTTACAAGGCTCTAAATCAGGCTGCTAACAAAATTATTAATTTAAAGACTTATTAGAATTTGGCTGTGTGCAGTGGCTCAATGCCTGTAATCCCAGCACTTTGGGAGGCTGAGGCAGAGGTCAGGAGTTCCAGATCAGCCTAGCCAACTTGGTAAAACCTTGTCTCTACTAAAAATACAAAAATTAGCCAGGCGTGGTGATGAGTGCCTGTAGTCCCAGCTACTCCAGAGGCTGAGGCACAAGAATTGCTTGAACTCTGGAGGTGAAGGTTGCAGTGAGCTAAGATTGCGTCGCTGTACTCCAGCCTGGGTGACAGAGCAAGACTCTGTTTCAAAAAACACAAACAAACAAACAAAATTAGAATTTAAAATGATAATCCAGGAAAAAAAGGCATTCCACCTCTCCAGTATCTCAGAAAGATTTGAGACTCAGAAACATTAGGTACAAGGTATAGAAGAAAAAGAAGGAACAAGACATGAGCCTGACAGCAAAAGGGAGTCGTTTAAAGTCTGTATAGTTAATTCTGCACACACCCTGTGTGCAACACTCCTGAAGGCCCGGGTAATGCTTTCAAACAAAGGAGTCAACGAGATTTAAAAGCTGGAGAAGTTGAAAGTCCCCAATTTCTGACATTTGAGGCAGCATCACAAAAATTTCCCATCCCCATCACTCTTCAGTAAAGTCCATCAGACTAAAAGCTCTGTCCGTGTACGAAGAGTTACCAAACGGCTTTTATTGTCACATTGCTAAAAATAGACAACTAAGGGTGACCTGAAAATGAGAAAAATACAAAGTATGAAAGAGGCCAGGATAAACAAGGCAAAAACTGTCCCTAAATAAAACAAAGGGAATTTAGTGGAGAAAATTAACATGCAATAATAGGGTTCCCCTTATTCTCAGGAAGAAGACCAAGATGTCTTCTTTTATTAATATTATTAAGATGTGTTTTTGAGGATACAGCCAAAACAATAAGCAATGCATTTATTGATTTACATCCCCACCAACAGTGTACAAGAGTATAAGCACTCTTTTTTCTCCACATCCTCGCCAACCCTTGCTTTTTCATCTTTTTGATAGTAGCTATTTTAACAGGTATGAGGTTATTTTTATTGTGGTTTTAATTTGCCTTTCCATGATGATTAGAGATATTGATCCTTTTTAATATTTCTGCTGGTCATTTGTATGCTTTTTTTTTTTCCCAGAAATGTCTATTTGAGTCCTTTTCCCATTTTATAATAGGGTTATTTGGGTTCTTGTTGTTGAGTAGTTTGAGTTCCTAATATGTTATTTATATTAGCCTCTTACCCAATGTATGATTTGCAAATATTTTCTCCTAATCTGTGGGTTGTCTCTTCATTTCTTTTTTTTTTTTTTTGGCCATGCAGAAGATTTTTACTTTCAGGTAATTCCATTTGTCAAGGCATTTATTGAAATAATGGGTAAAAATTAAACTTATTTCTAGATTATATTATTTATAACTATAAGAAAAAATAGTTAAGAAAAGGAAATTTTAAAACTAGTATGAGAGTATTAAGTGTTGCTACGGTTTGAATGTTCCCTCCAAAATTTTTGTTGAAACTTAATTCCAATTGTAATGTTATTAAGAAGTGGGGACTTTCAGAAGTAATTAGGTCAGTGGATTAATGCCATTATTGTAGAAGTGGGTTAGTTATCCTGGGAGTGGGCTCATAAAAGGATGAGTTTGGCCCAATTTCCTCTCTATTTCTCATTCTTACTTGCACTTCTGCCATGTTATCACACAGCACGAAGACCCTCACCAGATGCTGGCACCATGCTCTTGGACTTCTCAGCCCCCAGAAGTGTAGAAATAAGGTTTTGCTCTTTATAAATTACCTAGTCTGTGGTATTCTGTTACAGTAGCATAAAATGGACTAAGACAGGTGCCTAGATGCATAATAAATATACACAGAACAACAGTATTCATTAAGACCTTCCCATGTGCCAAGAACTTTTCTACAAGTTTTATATGCATTACTTATGCCAGAATGTTATACTTTAAAAACATAATGTGAGAAAGGCATCATAATTTATAACAGCAAGCAAAAACATGAACTATTATGGAATAAACTTTGAAAATATGCACAAGATTTGAAGAAATTTGAAAAATCGTATTGCAATGGGTACCTTTATGGGTCAACTTAGGTAATAGATATATGTCTTGTTTATTATGTTTCTCTGGTGAGCCCTGACTAGCAAATCGTACTAGGACACTTTAATAAATGAAGATATATACTTACATATACCTGAATGGAAAGATGAAATTTTACAAAGCTATCACTATTTCCAATACAATGGGTATAACTTAATTGTTAGTGATAACTTGATGTGGTGGTTCTGAGGACAAAATTATTATAAATCCATATTTAAAAATCAGTAGGTAAGAATATCAAGGATTATTTTTTAAAAGATGAATATTTATCATGATTACCTTACCAGATATAAAAACTGACTATAAAACTACTGTAATGGAAAACATGTTGTTTTGGTGCAAAATTTGAATGATGAAAAAATACAGAAGAATGAACTTTTTACATGGACAAAAATATCATGTATCTTGTTTACATAGACACTTTCAGGTCTTTATTTCACTTTAATAATGAATGAACAGATAAGCATGTAAATCAAGGCTGGCATCCACCAGATGTTAACTTATGGGGAAGAAATGAAGGGATTGATTACTCAACAAAGTAGATCAAGGGTGGTTTTTTACTCTTTTCATTTTGCAGAGCCATTGTTTTGGTTTTTTAAATCAAGTTAGATGTACATTTCGAATTAATATCAAAAACATTCAGTGGGCTGGAAACACTTCACCAGCACTCCTGGTAAACTCAGGTGGTCCAATAAATATAGAAAAGGACATCAAAGATTTCTACTGCCCCATTCCAAGAGAAAAAGAATCAATATACTCAACAAATTCACACAAATACCTCTTACGAACCTTTATGGAAATCATTACTAGTCTATCAGACAAACAAAAACACAAACATGCACAGAAAAAGAAATAATTGAACTCTGGCCAAAAATTGGAGTTCAGATAAATCTATTCAAGTTCACAGACAATAGTAAGTAAGGGGAGAGGAGAGGAGAAAATGAAAGAGATTGCTGGACGGATGCAGCCAATGGTGGGTTCACTGAGAGAGTCCCCTTCATCAGTGAGAAAGGAGCCTGGGATGAGGGGCAGAAGTAATGCCTGGACCTGACACCTTGCAAGGAAGATTTCTCAGGTCTAGGTTCAACTACTTTTTTTTTTTTTTTTTTTTTTTTTTTTTTGAGACGGAGTTTCACTTTTGTTGCCCAAGCTGGAGTGCAATGGTATGATCTCGGCTCACTGCAACCTCCACCTCCCAGGTACAAGCAATTCTCCTGTCTCAGCATCCCAAGTAGCTCAGATTATAGGCATGCGTCACCACGCCTGGCAATTTTTTATTTTTTTTTTAATTTAGTAGAGACGGGGTTTCACCATGTTAGTCAGGCTGGTCACGAACTCCTGACCTCAGGTGATCCACCTGCCTCGGCCTCCCAAAGTGCTGGGATTACAGGCATTCACCACCGTGCCCGGCCTCAACTACTCTTAAACTGACCTGTGGATGAGGGGCTGTGGATTCAGTTGCCTCACTACAGACACAAATTGACTGCAGGGCTCCTAACCTACCTCTGACCCTCACCAAAATGAAGATGTGAAGCAGGGTAAGATGAGGGAAGCCGTTTTGCTAGCAGCAAGAGAGAATCTAAAGATATGGAACCCAGACTCCAGTGGGACAGGTGAGCAGCTCCCAGTGGTCACTGTGCAGAGATAAGCTACCCCAAGAGGTGTCTCGGTTTATGGGCCTCCTGGGTGTTGCTGCTGTTGTTTGGGTGGCACTGGAGGGGTGGGGCCATGTTGGCACCTTGTCTGAGGTGAGTCAGCATTGCCACAAATAGGGAGAAGGCAATAGCAGGAGTCTGTGTGGTTCTAAGGAAAAAGCCCAGGCATCTCTCTTCTGTATCTCACAGAGAAGCAAGAGAAAGAGAGAGGCCCAAGACCTAGCATTGGAAAGTCAGGACTACCCATCCAGTTCAGTTAGTGACAACATTAGGCTAACTCCTTCATTAGACTCCAGAAATCTTTAGGGTCCAGAGGACCCTTGACTTATAACAAAGAAAAGCTAATGAGTCAGGAGATGAAGGATGAGATAAAGTAGGCAGCTCTGACGTTTTCCATAAACAGACTTGTAAGGGAAGAATGGGAGTGATTAATCACCTTAGGGTTTTTCTGTTTGTTTTTCCACTCCCTGCATTAAAAACTTTATTTACTCACACATATCATTCACTTGAATCAGGTTAGTGTGTTCATGCACTCAGTTCTCAGGTAAACCTCATGTAAACTGTTACCAACTTGAGAGTTGCAGCTCTAGACAGCTTGGCAGGTTCGTCTCTTCCAGAGCCTAGGAATTAGAAAAAGAGTCATGCAAAGCCCTTTGGCAAACCCAGTACTCATGTAGGGGCTGGTGTTGCTAGGCTGAAGTCCAAGATGGTCTTGACTCCTGAAAAGGTATTCTCTCAATTTCATCCAAACAGTTTCTCATAATCCTTTCTACATCAGCTTCTACACAAGCACAAAGAAAAATCTGAAATTTAGGGGAGGTTTTTCCCAGTTTTAAAATCATTTTCTTTTCCCAGTAACAGTGGAAAACAGACCATCTTGAATAAATACTCATTCTAATCTACCTGTTGTTTTGTTTGACTTTTAGGATTTATCCACCATTTGTTTTTAAATCAAATCCAAAACTGACAACTAGCAAACTACTTTACTTCAAGAAGTTGTTATTTTATAATAGAACTTAATGAGCATTTCTGAAACATATCAAGAATTACTCACCATTTTCTTCTATTGTTTATTAGGGGAATATGCTGTTTTCAAGTTCTGTTGACAACTCATGTCCATTTAGTTTAACATTACATGTGCTGAAATGTTGTAATATTCTTCTTTTGTTTTCCTATGATTTTTTTTTTTTTTGCCTTGGGTAATGTAAGACAGTTTTCAACTCTATAGCTGTAAGGGTATTTTTATACATGCTCAAAAAGATGGATCACTCTACAGCTAACCAGAATGGTTTGCAAATAGTCTCTTAAGTAATCAGTCTGGATTGTGTGATCGATCAGTAGGGACAGAAAGAGTTTTATCAAGATGACTGGCTGTGGCTGACCAGCCACTCTGTGCAAGCTGTTCAGAGACATGTTTATTAAGCCCGTATCAGTGAACTCAGAATATAAGAGCTGGAAAAATCCTTGGATACTCTCTACTCTTCATTTTACAGAATACCAACCCAAGATCTAGAAAGGGAAAGCAATGTTTTCAGAACCCACAGTGAAGTTAGAGAAAGAGTCAGAACAAAATCTCTGTCACTGGGAGAAGATATTTATGTCACATATAACTGACAAAGGATTTTTATCTATCATATATTAAGAACTCTTGGAAATCAATAAGAAAAAAACAAGCTAATTAAAAATGGGACAAAGACACCGTAATAGTATGACATGTTGCTACTTATTAAAGAAATGTGGTTAGAGCGGCTTAAGTAAATGTAGGCTGATTTTCCTCTCATAATCAGAGGTAGGGAAAGAAGCCATCTAGGGTCAGCACAGCCGTCTGAGGAAATCATCAAGGGCTTGGCTTCTTTCCTGTTCAATAGACTTTCTCTTCACCTAGGACAGTCTTCTTCCTTTTCTCCAGGTATCAGGTCTGTGCTCCAGAAATAAACAGAAGTGACGTGCCAGGGACACAAGTAAAAGACCTGCCTTTCAAAAATTCACCTGGAGGCCCCAGTGACTCCCACTTTCCATTTGCCAGAGCTGGGTTACACGGCCCCCACTCCAGACTCAAGTGAAAGGAGAAAATAAGTTTACCTGGGCATATTGGGATCTCAAATAAAATTAGAATCTGTTGATAAAGAAGCGAAGGATGGATAGGGAGAGACAATTAGCAATGCCTGCCAAAGAAAACAGAGGCAATACACAGAAGAGGGAAACATACTGGTTAATACAGTTAAGAAAAACTGCCCAGTCTCACTCCTAATCAGCAAAAAATAAATTAACTAAATACAAATAAATGAAATAATAAAATAGCATCCCATACTCAATTAGAAAGATAATGTCTTTTGTTCACAAAAATAAGGGTAAAGGAAAACTTTCATTCATGAATATCAAAGCATAAATTTATATAGTTACTTTGGAGGATAATTTGTAGTAAATATGTAGTAAATTTACAATTAACCAAAAATAATACTTCTAGGTGCATTTTTGAGAGAAGTTCTCCTCTGTGTGTTTCAGGAGACGTGTAGAGGTGCTCTTTGCAGCTTTGACTATACTGAAGAAATACTGACAAGAACTAAATTTCCTCCATAGGGCATGTATAACTAAACTGGTACGTTCTTCTAATAAACACACTAGATCTATTGGTATCAACATGGACTGACTCTCGGATTTATACTCCATAGTTCTTCTGAGCCTGGCCCCTACATCTTTGCCACTACTCAGGTGTGAAACGTTTTTGGCCTTTACACCAAGTTCTACGAAATCCTCTTCCCACTAGGGTTTCTGTAAGCATGCATGATTTGCTGAAGATTTGGTGGGAGATATGAAGAAGTCAAACTGGAAGGCTTCACTTCCAATTTGTACATGTCCTTCTCATCACTCTCCCCGCCTTTTTACTATCTCAGGATTGCCCCACCCCAAGCTCCAAAGTCTTTGGTCTGTATGCAGAGCTTCATCTCACACACACACACACATATACACACACACACACATATTGCTGCTCAGCAATCCAGTCACATGTGTCTTGGAGACATGGAATCTTGCCTCCAAGACACATAGGAGCTGAATTGCTGAGCAGCAGCTCCAAATCTTCAACAAAATATTTTACCCACCAAAACAACTCTTTCCTTCAGAAAAATTCTGGTGTTAGATGATAATGGCAGAATGTATTTCACAGCTCATTGCCAATCAACATTACTTTTATCAAAATTGATCCCTGCTTAACCCTCAGAAAGATTATCTATAAATTGATGGTGCCTTATACAATCAATGGCATCAGGGAACTGGGAAATATAGCAAATTCAACTTAGTCAAATAATTTCTGAAAGTTGGAAAGTGAATCAGTGACAAAAGATTATGTGACATCCTTATAGTAAATGTGGTTGTATGAAGGCACGTCCTTATCAACTTTTGCAGGTTTCGATAATGAAGCCTTGAAAAAAATTAACACAAATAATATAACCCAGTTGGAAGTACTTGCCCCTGCTATAGAGAAGATATTTAAAAGATCTAAATAGTAATGGATAACATTCTCTTCTGTAGTCATAGACGTATTTACTTAAAACACATATTTTGTAAGCAGATCAGCATATTACAACCATATAGCTAATAATTTACCCAATCTGTAAATCATAGCTGAACCCAAGCATTTACTTTGTTATTAAGAAATATGGCAATTTATGTAATGATTGAGAAGAATTATGTGTTAAAGAAAAGAGAGCTTCATGTTTTGATTATGTGGGCAAGAAATGAAATTAAAGTGGTCCATGCTGATTTATAGCCAAGTGTTTTATGACTGTATAGTGAGACCTAGAAAATGTATGCTTGCTTTGTTTATACCTAAGCATTTCAAAAGTATGTGCCATCACCAGCCTTAAGAAGATTTACTGTTGATATGTTTATTTCAAATTCAGTTCAAATCAGTGTACACTATAGATAGGTATGCGGAATTTCTAATTCTAAAATATGAATGTTGCTTTAGGATTTTCAAACTGAGCCAAATGTCCCAAATGGCATATAAAACATTCCATGTCATCCAGCCAAAACTGACACCGCTATTCCTGAAACTCTCCCTAGTGTTCACCTGCCTGCAGTTGTGCCTAGAAATGAACAGGACACTGCACAGCAGAAATAGAAGTACAGAATCATTGAACCATCATCATTTACAGCATCACCCTAATGGGACTGAAAAGGCCTGTACTCAGTGACATTTATCACAAGGAATGTAGCAAATGAGACTGTATGAGGGGAATGAGACTGGGACATTCATATTAACTTAGGTGGACAGGAGCCTTACCAAATGTGATAATGCAGGCTGGGCACGGTGGCTCACGCCTATAATCTCAGCACTTTGGGAGGCCAAGGCCAGTGAATCACGAGGTCAGGAGATCGAGACCATCCTGGCTAACACGGTGAAACCCCATCTGTACTAAAAATACAAAAAAAAATTAGCCAGGCGCGGTGGTGGGTGCCTGTAGTCCCAGCTACTCAGGAGGCTGAGGCAGGAGAATGGCGTGAACCCGGGAGGCGGAGCTTGCAGTGAGCCGAGTTCGCACCACTGCACTCCAGGCTGGGCGACAGAGTGAGACTCCATCTCAAAAAAAAAAAAAAAAAAAAAAGTGACAATGCAAATCTAGATAACCAAGATAATCAATTTTTAAATCCCTTTGTAAGCTTTGATAACCTCTCTAGTCATCTAACAGTTAGGTATCAACATTGTAAGAACTTAGGATATTATTTTTAACCACATATTTGCAATTCACAGATACCTAATTTTAAAAGTCAGAGAAAGTAGCAGGCAGTAAGTATTAAGTAAGTAGTCATCCAGACAATTTAAATAAAGCTAAAATGTAAAGATGCATCAAATGCTATAAATTTATAATTTGATTCATAATCTAGACCAGTGCTGTCCAACAGAACTTTCTTTAATGATAGAAATATTCTGTATGTGTGCTGTTCACTATGGTAGCCCATAGAAACACGTGGTTGTTGAGCACTTGCAATGTGGCTAGTGTGACTGAGGAACTGTATTTTAAATTATTTTAGTTTAGTTAAATTTAAATAGCAATATGTGATTAAAAAGCCACATGTGGTTAGTGGTTACTCTACTGGAGAGCATAGATCTAGACTACGAATATTTTCTATAGTCGAACACTATGTTTAGGTTTGTACTTTCTGTTAGTCCTAGGAAAAAAAGAAGATGTGCTGAGTAAAATTAACTGGTCAAAGAAAGCGACCTTATTATTCAAGGAAGTGGTTTCTTGTTCATCCCCAATATCTAATAGGAATATATTTCAGAGACCTTCTCCATGCAGTGAATAATTCCTTGATGTGATGGTTTTATAGAAGACACAGCAATGTTTTTCATTTTGCCTTTTTTTTAATGTAGACTCCTAATCGTTGCTGCAGAAATAATACTAAACCAAAAACAATACTTGACATGCTTCCTAGAACCATTTGGCAGTTTGCAATGCAGAGCCAACTACTTCTCTGATAAAGCAGAGAAATATTGAAGGACTCTTCTTTTCTTTTCTGTTTCCCTGAACCCAGAGGCTTCTATCAACTT